>NC_000023.11:5262488-5887488 GCF_000001405.40 Homo sapiens | reverse complement strand
CCAGAGGCAAGGCAGGGAGTTTGGGCTTTGTCCCAAAGTCAGGGAGACGCCAAATGATTGCACCAAATTGGTGTATGAGTGTAGCTGGGACATTTAGCAGTAATTCTCAAAAATTCACGTTCTTAGGAACATGTAGGACATCTGCTTAAAGTGCAGATCCTTATTCAATTGTGGTTTGGTGAACCTGTGTCTGCATTTCCAACGAGCTCTCAAAGTGGTGCACATGTTGCTGGTCCTCAACTAACCCCAACTCTTTTAGGTTGCAAAGGATGGAGAACTGTCCACTTTAGAAGTAACCGTGAGCATAGTTTGTATCAGAGTGAGAGGGCTCTGGATGCAAGGAAAGCATTAAGGAGGCAGAGCAATCTGTTTGAGAAATTAATGACTGTCCTCTTTTCAAGGGTGATGGCGATAGTGATAATAAGAAAGCAAAAAAAAAAAAAAAAAACAATAAAAACATTGCATCATTTTATAGCTGCATGTACCAGAACTGATTAGGCGCAGTCATCAAATACCACCTGGAACCGCATCTGAAGTTAAGCTTGGGTTTAGGAACTTGTTTCAACAGAGGGAGGGCATACAAGGAGAATGATGAGCTACCTTGGAGAGGGGTTCAGACGGGCTGGTCAAGGGTTTGGGCTTAGACTGGGTTGTTTTAGAAGTGCTAAGAGGGGCAAGAACTTGTTCCTGGATTAGTTGCTATCAGGATAATGGGGATGTCAATAACCTTTAGCCAGAAAGTGACAGGACCAGAGCATGACTAGCATTGTCTTCAGTAAAAATAAGCAGTGGAAGAGAAGGGGATTTGGGGTCGTTATTAGTGGTTACAAATTGTTCATGTTTCTGTCTCATCCCGTGCTGGCTGTGGGCTGCCTTCTTCTGATGTTGAAGTTCTTTCAATTATTTTTATGTGCAGCCGGATGCACCTTGACTTAGCCATTAATTAGCAGGCTAGTTCCAGCAGCCAGATATGAGGGCTGTTTCTTTTGTTCTTTCTCAGAACTTCCAGAATATGTACTCATATGTCCCATCTCTCAGGCCACCTGGTTCAAAAAAAATCTAGGTTATGCTAAGGAAGTGAAAGTGACACTTCCTCTGCAAATTCTCATTATTATATTGAAAGAAATGGGGATACAGGAAAAAGTCCACGGAAACTCTACCCTTCTCTAAAATGACCATCCGTGTAAATACTTAGAACACCCACAAATAATCCTGTTTCCTCTAGAGGCAAGAGAATTAGGGAAAATGAGATAAATTAGCCAGGGGAAAACCTTACCTGGAATTAACAGGTGACATTTATTAAAGGTGAAGGTTCAGACTAGTTCTTGAGGTCACTGGTTCCTAAACAGGCTGGATAGGGAGTCTTTGGAGACTAAGACAAATTGCCAACAGCCACAGCTGGAAGGATACCCAAAAGAAAAATCTTTCTCAGCCCCAGGCTCTAAACACAGGGCCTTGGACTCAGAAGAAAGGAAATGGGGAGATGTATTTCTGGCACCCCAAAATATAACCCTAAAAATTCCAATAAAAACTGAGAAATCAAACGATGCCTAATTTTGAATATTAGAACCATTATTATGCTTCAGTGGTACAACTGGCCGAATCAATTTTTTGTGGGCTCAGGTATTAGCTTCGTTTTTATGCAACATCTCTTTCTATGAGGATATACATTATGAACACAGCTTTCAAACTAACATGCTTGGGCTGCCTGTGTTATTGGGCTTCAGGTGTTATTTCTAGTAGAGCAATTACAGTTTTCAAATTATAATAATAGAAAAGAATGTAACAGTTCATAAGGATGTGCATTACATACAGACAAACTTTTCAAACAAATGCTTAAGAGATTTTCGAAAAGCATTGAGTCAACCATTTACAGAGCAATGACTTGTTTTAAAACTTTCAAATAATCATCAAAATGTGTTGTTCTGCATAGGTTATATGCATTACCTCATTTAATCCTTTTACCAGTCCCAGGGTGTAGACTGTCTCATTTTACATACGAGGAAAGTGGGGTACAGAAGATTAAATGAATTGCTCAAGGTTGCAGTCTTAGAACATAAAATATCTAGTGATCGCAATCATATCGTTTTGCTTTTAAAAGCATGTGCTTGTCAACTATTCTCTAACACACACAGTTGTTGGAGAAATATATGCCTCCCTGTAGACATTTTGGGGAAGAAAAAAACTAATCTCTCCATGTCTTGAGAACAACGATAGCTTTAAATCTTAAAACTCATCATGTACACACACAGACACACATATATGCACTCATAAACAGAGTAGATTCAGAGTGCTTATAGATTTTGTAGAGTGCCCGTTTAAAACAGTTTCTCAGTTTTACCTGTGATTTTACTTTACTTGTGATTTGTTTTTCTCTGTGCTCATTTTTGCTGAAATGGCGCCTTAAAACCCTTGTTGTGCCTGCATCTCACCTGAATGCACATAGAGAGCGCATGGAACTTAGAAGATTAAGGTTAGAGAGCACAAAGGAGATACAGGTGCCCACGGAAACATTGTGAATAATGCTTAGCATAGGAGAAAGCAGGCTTGGATTGCTATAGAATGTACACCAAAATGCATTAAATAGGACTGGCTTTCAAAAGCAGCACTCTTTGAATGAGATGAACAACCCCAGGACATCTGCTCCTAACCAGCGATGTCCATGGACTGCCTAACCTGTGTGACCAGTGCACACACTTTGTGAAATATGTGGCTATTATCATCACCCCACCATCCCCAATGCATTGTGTCGTCCCCATCAGACCACAGACAAAACCCCTTTTCTCCAGACTTGGGCAATGGAAGAAACCGTTATCTCCCTACCTGACTGCTTCAGAATCTCCTTCCTCTGTCCTCGGATACCACTAAAAGAACGTTCAGCGGCAGACACAGGGCAGATCCCCATCTCCAAACTCAACAGCTTTGGTTTAATGTTGTCATTTAGGAAGAGTGATTCCACCTTAGAGATCTATCAAATATTTAAGTAGGAATACATTTAAGTGTGAATATATTCATATACTTAAGTTTTAAATGTGCAGTATTTTTCATCCTGTCCCTCCCCACCTCTGAAATCCAAATTTCTATATGCTGGCTTGCTCCTGAGAGAAAAAGAAATTTAGCAGGATACATGGTCACTGTTTATACCCTTTAGCCACAATTTTCTCATAAACCTAAGTGGGACCCATTATATAACAAGTTTTAACTTTGTTCTTCCAACCCAGGGAATTGTTTTACAAACTCAATTAAGTGTATCTTACGCACTAGCAGAAACAAGGTACAAACTAATGTTTTAAGATGTGTCTCCCTTAATTTAGGCGTATATATAAAATAGTTTGTAATATGGAGGGCTAACATTTTGTATTTTCAATTAATTACTTGAGTGACCAAGGAAGAATTTACAGCATGTCTGCACAAAAATACTCCAAATTATGTGAGTCTTTTATGATCCATGTATGCTGGAGAAAAAATACTAATATTTCCTTCTTAAAATACAAGAACAAGCTGACAGTTATTGTCTAAAATGGACCCTGGAAATATTATTCCAATATTAAGCTAATAAGAGGAATGCATGGTTTTGACTTTTCTCATTTTGAAGCAATGGGCTTCAACTTCAAAATTATGCTATTGATGTAGGTGTTTACTGTAAAAACAATTCAGAGGAAACATGGCATTCACTTGTGAGCCACGTAAACTAAATCTCACAGTTACCTCTGTCCTCTGCAGAGCTTTGACACCTTGGATTTCCATGAAAAGTAATTTAATAGAATGAGCATTCACCTTGCAGCCAAAACTTCTAGAACATATGGATTATCATCTTGTTGTCTAGTCCAAGATGCCATAGAAAGCCTTTTATTTAATTCTCCCATTTACCATGACATGTTTTACGGCCTATTTAAATTGACAAAAATATCAGCACCACATAATGCAATATTTCTATTAAATAGTGGCATAAATTTGACTTTTATTATATTAATCCACCATATAATTACTATGAACAGATACCACAGTAATCCCTTTAACAAATAAATAGTGTACAATTTGAGCCTATGCTAGTTTTATTCTTCATAGATGGGCAAATGTTCACACAATTGTACCCTGTAGCAGTTGTCCTGAATTAATAGGACTTGGGATAATAGTTCAATTTCATACCCTTTTTAACTTATTTCCTATCTTAATATAGAGGCAGATCACGCATTTTTTGCATTTTATTATTTTTTTTCCTTTCTTAGGTTTAGTAGTTTCTTAGGTTTAGTGTATAATATTAAACGCTTTTTCCCCTCATTTTCTTCCCTTTTCTTTTTTCTTTTTTTTAGACAAATTCTCATTCTGTTGCCCAGGGTGGAGTGCAGTGGTGCAATCTTGGCTCACCGCAACCTCCGCCTCCCACGTTCAAGTGATTCTCCCGTTTCAGCCTCCCGAGTAGCTGGGATTACAGGGACACGCCACCATGCCTGGCTAATTTTTGTATTTTTTAGTAGAGATGGGTTTTCACCATGTTGGCTAGGCTGGTCTTGAACTCCTGACCTCAAGTGATCCGCCCACCGTGGACTCACAAAGTGCCAGGATTACAGGCATGAACCACGGTGCCTGGCCTTTTTCTCATTCTCTTCTACATTGATATAGTCTGTGGGCTATTCAAGAAAAACTCAATGTTTTTCTTACAAAATAATAATGACAGTAGAAGTAATGATGGTGATTATTATTATGATGATAGTAATATAGATCAATGGCAGCTTCCCACAATAAAAATAAAAAGGGAAATCAGACTGGGCGTGTTTCAAGTATAGATGAAGGCAGAGACATTTGACAATGTGAAATTGGGAAGCGCTGTAGAAGCAGGATCAAGTGAAAGGCAAGACAACATGATCTGGAAGAAACTGTATCCCCCAGAGAGGAAGAGGAAGGGAAATGCAGAAAGAGGGTTCTCTCTGGGAAGGGAGTATTCCTGGTTGTCCTAAAATTCCCCATGACAGGAGCACGTTGTCTGCATAGCAACCTTTGTCTGATGAGTCTCTTTTCCTTGCAATCAAAAATCCAGGATAAGCCATCAATATCGACGCAAAAGTTATTCATTACTCAAGAGCTGGTTGGATGTTCATAGATTTTACAACTCTTCTCTTCACCCTAGATTTTATCCCTGTTGCTGCAAGGTGTTGAAGCACTTTACCAAGAATACCATTAGCTCTGGTGAAAGGCACATGAGAGGAGAAATTAGAAATAAGTGGATAATAGGATTATTCCATCTCGTCCGTCCACGTAGCACATTTTCCTTTAAACAAATCTTCTTTAAACAAGTTTTCCTTTAAACAAGTCTCACTGGATATTCTAATTCCATGAACATCGCACCTACATCTTTCTCCACTGGGCTTCAGATCAATTTCTTCATTCTATCACACATCCCATTTGGGATAAGCATCCTTATGTTTATTTCCTAACTGCAATAACAAAATCACCTGAGAAGTTAGTTGCATGGGGGGTGTACCTGGTACACTTCATTATTAACCCAATTCTGCAGTTGGTTTTAGTGATTGCTCCCTAAGACCAATGGAGGGTCAAAATGACATGAAGGCAAGGAAGTTCCCACCTGTTTTCTTCTAATAGCAAGTCCAGTTTAAAAACAGCAAGGTAGCTTCTTTCAACCAGCTGATTCGGATTGGAGCGGACAGTTAATTTATTGGAATGAACACATGTCAGCAGCACTCTGAAAAGACAAGCACCCAACAGAAAGCTTAATGCGGCTTGAGTTCTGAACAAACACCTCTTAGGTGCAAATGAAAAATATTATCTATTTGTCGCCAGCCCATTGCAAAGACAACAATACAAAAAGATCAGTGGAAATTATAGTTTCTAAATTGGAAATGTTTATGCAGAATGCCTGTTTGTATTATGCACTATCTGAATCTAAAACCAGCTGCTAGCCTCCGCATTTTGTAGAGAATACAAACACCATGAGATCTGTACTGTGCCCAACGGGGAAAGGGGAGAAAATGCACCTCATAACAACTCCTCAATGACCCTTTACTTAGGATTGAGCTAATTGGGGAAACTACTTTCTGGCCTGAAACATGAAGCATAAATGCATTGTTTCTTGGTGGAACAGATGATGATATTAACAGCTGGTCTTTCCTAAGATGAGTCTGCTGAGGAATAAGTGATAAGGCATTTTCTGGAAGAATTGTAAATAAAGGCAGCATATTTGAGGTCATATATTTTTACCACCAGAGCATACATTGATAATAAAAAATAAATAAGTGAAGTCTTCCTTTGTCAGCAGTGGGAATAAATCCACGCTCAACCTGGGAAGGGAAAGGCTTGCAACTGTGCTAAAGGGCTTTGTTACATTCTCCTGGAAAGCATGCATCTAAATAATAGCAAAACATCTGCTGGCCAAGGACCAGAATCAGCTGGCTTGGGTTATTCTCCTCCACTAGCAGCGGAAGCTCAAGTTACCCTACAGGAGACCCCCAATCTCTATATGCTTATCTGCTCACCAGAGAGAGTGTTTGGCCAGCTTGCACCACGGGGTCCAGTTAAACATAAAACAAAATTGCAGATTTGAGAATTTGTCATCAACTCATAAAAAATCTCAAAGGATCCAGGGTCATCTGATTCATTTTCAAGTCTGCTTTTAAGTCATATTTGAAGAAAGGAAGTGCCATAACTCTATGCTGCTGACTTCTAGGAACTCTGCTTAACATGTTGGCAGAATTTAAAAAAAAAAAATTAATTATCTTTGTTCATTTGGCATCTTTACAGCAAGCGCACAACTAGGGCCTGTGGGAATAAAACAGAAATAGCAGAGTATGCCTTGTTTCCGTCCCGTAGGAGGAGAGAAACTGCCTGATGCACATCTAGAGTGCAGATGCACCGTAAGGAAACAGGGAACAGAGACAGTGTAGAAGATTATACTGGACTAAATTAAGAGGAGGAGATAAACCAAACAAGGGTCAGGTCAGGGTAGTGGGGAGGTGGGAATCTCAGACACGACGTGCGTGGTCTTGAGGGAAGGAAAGAAAAACCACTAAAGTTTCATCCCCATAATTATTCCCCCAAAATAGAAATTAAAAATTTAAAAGCCAGTCAGGCACTCCGCTGACATACCTGATGAAGAGACTGATTTTGTTCTTCCCTCATCATTGAGTCAAGAAGTTTGTAACTCAGCTCCATTTGGCAGTCTGACCCTATACTTTGTGGTATTTTATTTTATGCATTTTCTTTTTAATGAGGGAATGGAGGCTCTGCCTGGAGACAAGGTAACTCATCATCAAAATTCACTTTCTTGGTCAATTTCCAAGTTACCATCAAGGCCACATCGTGATGTGGATAGACAAAAATATTTCTATCCATTTTGAGAATTACATTTTTTTCCTAGCTTGGTGTGGAGAGAAAGATGTCCTTCCCTCTTTCTTCTTTCTTTCTCCCTTCTGCACTTACTTCTCTACTATTTCTTCCTCTTCCCGATAAACGTCTTTATAATCTCCCTGGGAAGATGAAGAGATGACACTGAGAAATATATCATTATGGCAATTTCCAAAGAGTTTTATGGAACACAAAGTTACTGGAATTTCTTCAAGTTTTTATCGGTAAGAAGCCTTAATATATATTCATGTGTAATAGCGAGTAAAACACAAGGTCATATAACATGGTATTCTAGTGTTGTACTGCCTATCATATGTGCATGTGTGTGTGTGTCTGCGTGCATATGTGTGTGAAAAAACATATATTCCGTATAATATATAGATACGTATTATATGCATACATATCCAGTGTACCTATGTATGTACACACACATACACTCAAAAATAATTATACATGAAGCTCTCTAGAGCATACGAACTTTTCTTTTGAAACACAACGATTGCATATTTGTTCTGACAGACTCTTGCAAATGCTACAAACAATATTTCAAAATGAACCTTAACTTTCCTTGGGATTTCTTGGATGATCTTTGATAAACACAATCTCATGGAATTAGAAGCACAATCTTTTTCCTTTTTTAACTTTTAAAAATTAAACTTCTTATTTAGAATACTTTTAGATTGACAGAATAGTTGCAAAGGTAGTACAGATTGTTCCCATATACCTTGCACCCAGATTCTCCTATGTTTTAATTGTATATTGACAAATAATATTCATATCTATTTATGGGGTACAAAGTGATGTTGTGATATATGCGTTCAGTGTGGACTCATTGATCCAAGCTCATAAGCATATCTCTCCCCCAAAAACTGATTATTTATCCCTCCTGTCTAGCTGAAATTTTGTATCCTTGGATTAATACCACCCCGTTCCTCTTATCCATGCCCCTGGTAAGCACCACTCTACTCTATGTTTCCATGAGTTGGGCTTTTTCATAGACTCCACATATGAGTGAGATCATGCAGTGTCCGTCTTTCTGTGTCTGGCTTATTTCACTCAGCATAACACCCTGCATGTTCATGCATGTTCTCGAAAATGACAGGTTTTCCTTCTTTTGAAAGTCGGGATAGTATTCCATTGTGTAGATATACCACATTTTCTTTAGCCATTCATCTGTTGATGTTGTTCATTTCAAAGTAAAGTAAGCCTATGCTAATAAGGAAAATGAGGATACTTGGGATGTGTGATGAGTCTTTTAATATTAGCATCTTTTTGGCCTATCTAGTGACATGAATGATGGCATTCTACCTCTATCAAAGACATTAGTTCACACCCATGTAGCGAACCCTTCATGTTCATGTTATTCTCCCAGCTTCATAAGAGCCCTTACTTGCGAATGTAAAAAATATATATACTATATGTATAGTAAAAGCATATATACTATATACAATATATATACTATATAAATATATATACTATATAAATATATATCCTATATAAATATATACACTATATACAGTATCTAAATATACTATATACACTTTATATATAGTGTCTAAATATACTACATATACTCTATATATACAGTATCTAAATATACTATATATATATATATATATACATATATATATATATATATATAGTATCATGGTCAATTGGCCACAATCCAGTTACACTTACATCTATATTGTCTCTTCAAAAAAACCCAATGAACAACTTCCACTTTCTACTTTAGATATTATTTTTATTGCCTAAGATTTTATGCACACATGCACACTTGCAGGAGTCTATCATGTATGGCTAGGGATGTGTTTGTGTAAAATAAATACTGTAAATATATAGTATATGCGTCACACACACAGACACATACACATGCATATATGCGTGTATGTATAGGTAACATAATCTCGCCAGTGACACAAACTGAATATGCTGCTAAGATTAATTGTACTAAAATCTGACTCTATAATAGAAATTTTTTCTGCCATAAGTAAACCAAAATCAATGTGTTAATGAGTAGTCCCTGACATATCTACAATAGACAATAGAACATACAATTTTCCAAGAGTTTTATGGAACACACTTACTGGATTTTTTCCCAATTTTCTTGATCAGTAGGAAGCTTTAATATATATTCACTATAGTCTAACCTATTATACACACGTGGAGTATGTTTTCCTAAGCCATTAAAGATGCTTTATATGAAGTTTATTAGGAGCCTTTTAAAAGTGTGTCAATATAAGCAAAGTACACAATGATTCCCTCATTAGGAGACAACATTTTGTGATAGGTGAAAAAGCTTCACATCTGAAGCCAGCCTGATGTGAATTCCAAGGTCCCACCCTTACCAGCTGTTGAATCATGAATAAATGACTTACTTTCTTCCGCTTTGCCCTCATAGGGCTTTAGGATTAGCATAACATTAATACACGTACCCCAGAACTTAAAATTAAAATTTAAAAAAGAATATCATATACATGATATGAATACTATAAATAGATTTAACTATCTCTATTTATCTACCGCATGTCCATTCATATTATAATCGGAAAGAAGTATTGCAGCAGAGAAATAAAATAACAGAAGTAAAATAACAGAAAATAAAATAACAGAAATAAAATGAATGCCGCCACGTTCCATGAAGCAACGCGAGTGTCCCAGTAGGTGGTGCTATCCGCTCTGCGTCAGGAGAGGCAGCAAGAATTTCAGGTGGAAATGGGGAAGGCTGAATGGATAATGGAGGGTGTGAGTAGGGAGTGTGTGAAATAAGAAGTGACAACCCAAGTGGCATGACTTCCCATCTATCTTCTTGAAAACCCAATTAAGGCACTTTTCACCGTCATGCGTGTGCGAGTAGAGCTGCTTGACAGGTGAACTTACTTTCAAGAGGAAGAGTCTATGGTTTTGTAGAATTCCTTCCAGCTCCATGAACAGTTCTTTCCATTCCACTTCCCAGAGGAGACAGAAGCGCCAACGCAACCTGGATTTTACTGTCAATCAGCAGGGAAATAGAACTTTGACACCATTATATGAATATATATTTTATTAATAACCTTGGATTCATAGTAGGTCCTCTGGGAGGAATGGGGAGGAGAAATTCCAAAATATTTCACTGGAAAATTTCAGCATCTCAAACTAGAGCAATTTCTACTATGTTGTACACTGATCGGAGGATGATTATATTTAGTGCTTGTAAACTCGGTTCTAGGAAAACATGATAGTCATTTCAAAATGATGGGAAGAGGCATACGCAAATATATTATTCTCAACTTCAGCTCTTTATAGCATGGGAGACCCTGAATTGGAACATGTCTGGTTTTGCTTGTTTGTTTTTTTACAGAGAATGTATTTTATTTTATTTTGTTTTTCAAATTTCAATAGGGTTTTGGGGAACAGGTGGTGTTTGGTTGCACAATTAAGTTCTTTAGTGGTGATTTCTGAGATTATGGGGCACCCATCACCCGAGCAGTGTACACTCTACCTAATGTGTAGTCTTTTTTCCCTCACCACCCACCTCCCACCCGTTCCCTTGAGTCTCAAAAGTCCATTGTTTTTTTTTTTTTTTTTTTTTTTGAGAAAGATTCTCACTCTGTCGCCCAGGCTGGAATACGGTGACAAGATCTTGGCTCATTGCAACCTCCACCTCCCAGGTTTAAGTGATCCTCTTGCCTCCGTCTCCCGAGTAGCTGAGACTACAGATGCATGCCACCAAGCCTGGCTAATGTTTGTGTTTTTAATAGAGTCGGGGTTTCACCAAGGTGGGCCAGGCTGCTTTCAAACTCCTGACCTCAAGTGATCCACTCACCTTAGCCTCCCAAAGTGCTGGGATTACAGACATGAGCCACCAGCGCAGCCCGCTGTATTGTTCCTATCACTTATGAGTGAGAACATAGGATGTTTGGTTTTCCATTCTTGAGTTACTTCACTTACAGTAATGGTCTTCAGTTTTATCCAAGTTGCTGCAAATGCCATTATTTCATTATTTTGTTCCTCTTTATGGCTGAGTAGTATTTCATGGTACATATATATATCACACTTTCTTTATCCACTGGTTGATTGATGGGCATTTGGGCTGGTTCCATATTTTTGGAATTGCAAATTGTGCTGCTATAAACATGCATGTGCAAGTATCTTTTTCATATAATGACTTCTTTTCCTCTGAGTAGATACCCAGGAATGGGGTTGCTAGATCAAATGGTAAATCTACTTTTAGCTCTTAAAGGAATCTCCACACTGTTTTCCATAGGGATTGTTCTAGATTACATTCCAACCAACAGTGTAAAACTGTGCCCTTTTCAACACATTCATGACAACATCTATTATTATTATAATTTTTTATTACGGCCATTTCTGCAAGAGTAAGGTGGTATCACATTGTGGTTTTGATTTGCATTTCCCTGATCATTAGCGGTGTTGAGCATGTTTTCATGCTTTTTGGCCATTTGTACATCTTCTTTTGAGAATTGTCTATTCATGTACTTAGCCCACTTTTTGATGGGTTTGTCTGTTTTGTGTCACACAGAAGATCACGTCCAGTAAAAGCTCTGATGCTGATGTAGTCTCTGTTACATTTCTCATTGGAAATATTTCATTTGAAATTCTATTTCACCTTGAAATTTATTGTTTGATGTCAGTAAAAAATTGTATCCTAAGTTGGAATATATTGACACTTGTAGTTCTTTAAAGAGGTACGCATTTTAAAGCTGAGAGACTGACATTGTGAAGCGTCAAATGATTGTTCAGATGTCTGTTTTCTTAAACTTGGTCTCACCAAGGGTTGTTTATTTAGTGATGTTTACATACCTAGCTCCTTCCAGGCTTGTGGGACACACACAGTGTTAAATAGAAGAAGAGCTTACAGGCTGGGCGCAGTGGCTCACGCCTGTAATCCCAGCACTTTGTGAGGCCAAGGTGGGCGGGTCACCTGAGGTCAGGAGTTCAAGGCCAGTCTGGCCAACATGGTGAAACCTCATTTCTACTAAAAATACAAACATTAGATGGGTATGATGGTGTGCGCCTGTGGTGCCAGCTACTTGGGAGGCTGAGGTGGAGGGGTCACTTGAACCCGGGAGGTTGCAGTGAGCTGAGATTGTGCCACTGCACTCCAGTGTGGTGAAAGAGTGAGACCTCCCCCCCCCCCAAAAAAAGATGTGAAAAATCAGAAAAGGAAATAAAGAGGTAGCTTCAAACTGGTAAGGACTTTTAATTGCACAGGGTTTGGTAATGCAAACTTGAAAAGAGATTGTCCAGGAAAAAGTGACCTTGGAGCTGAATCCTAAAGGCTGAGAAGAAACCCACATTGCAGGAGGGAAGGAAATGTTTAGATAGAAGAGGACCTATTAGGGTTGGCTAGGACCTTTATGGGAATCAAAGGATGTTTCCATGGACTGGAATGTGGAGGGAATGGTAGCTTAAAAGGTGAAGTTGCAAAGCTGAGCCAGGTCAATGACCTTATCATCCTGGTGAGAGATTGATGGATTATTTTAAGTCCACTGGGGAACTACTGATTTAAGCAGAATAGTGACCTGAGGAATATATCAACAGAGATCCTCAAAGCTATGCAGAGAGAAGAAGGTGAGGGGAGAGGACAAGACAGTCTGTGGGGAGATCAACTGAAGCTCCCAAATGAGTTTGCAAGGGGATTGTTCCCTGTCTTCAGGTGAGACTTCAGCTGTGGGTCTTATCTTGAGGGCAGCCTTCTGAGAGACCCTGAGGCAGATGACCCAGCTAAACCATGCCTAGACTCCCAATCCACAGAAACCATGAGATAATAAATGTATTGCCTTAGGTCACAAATTCCTGATGTGGTCCTAGAGAACAACTAGGTTGCAGGGGAACAGATAGAATCTCGGGTTCAGCTGGGAGGGTGGCTACAAAAATGGGTTTGGATGAATAAAGTCAAGCACTTAATCACTGAAGATAGTAAATAAGAATTAGGGAATAGGTTTCAAGGATCAAAACTATGTCCCATAATTTGGCTGCAACATCTGAGTCTCTTGCATTTCTTTTTTCGTTTCTGTCCTATTTGGCTCACTGTGCAGACCACCTGCATATGCCAAACGCTAACTTCAAGGTCCCCTTGTCTCCAAATGCAGCCTTGTTGCATTCTGGTAGGCAGGAGAGACTTTCCTGCCCTTTCCTGGGGTGCCTGTTTCTGTTGCTCTTGACAAATTGAGGGATGCGTCAGCATAGTTTTGATGCTGGAAAAAAATAATAGGGTCCCTACCACTGGATGTGCATCTTGTGGGTGAGCAATTGAGTCATATATGGGAACGCATTAGAAGGGGCTTGGTTGATATAGCTGCTATTATTGTCAGGAAGAAGCTACCCTGGAATACAAATCAATAATTCACAATCTTCCTCTAATAAAAATTACCATTAATTAGGTCTTTTCAATCAACAAGAGGTGTCATCCATTGATAGGGCTATAAATAAATTCTGGAACCAACTTATGCAAACAGTAATTTTGCTTCCCTAATCAAAACCTACTCAGGTCGGGGATAGCACTAAATAAAACATTAAATGTTCTCCTTTCTTCCTTTGATGTTCTACGTCTCTTGTTCATTACTGCAATAACAAGCTCAAATCAACCAACTACATGAGAATAATATAGAACTGAATTATGGTGAGTACGCTAAGCTTGGTCTTATCCATTAAATAGCAAAAGAGACCCTGTTCTCATTTATATTTCAGTGGGCTCTCTCTGCAGCTATCACAAATGTCATCCTAGCGTTTAGCACAAAAATAAGATGTTAAGGAAGTGGAGGAGGGCAGTTTCTTTCAGCTTACTACAGAAGGTGGAATGAGGAAAGTTGGTCTTAAATTTCAGCATACAGGAGTAAAGCTAGATTTCATTTACAAACTTGGCATGTGTAAAGTTCTGGGAATTTTTATGTGGCAGAAACAAGGATAACCCTTCCATTTTCTCATCCCTATGAAGAAAAGACAAAAGACACATTATTGCCACTTCTTGTTAATTAAAATAACTTTTGAATGACATTTAACATTTCTAACACACAATATAGAAATGCAGAATATAAACATAATAAAGCAGAAGGAAAAGTTAATTGATGTTACAAAAGAATTCATCCTGGCTGGGAAGGGAGATGCAGGTGTAGTTTACAAGCATCTTTCAGGTATTCATATTTAATTTATACCCATCGAGTTATTTTTCTGCATCTGCTCAAGCTAGTAAGTACTTCCTCCAAAGAAACTTTAAAAGAATATGCAATCAGCAAGAAAAAGACAAATAGCTCTATTAAAAAAATAAGCAAAGTGTTTAAATAGACATTTCTCCAAAGAAGATATAAAAATAGCCACTCAACACATGGAAGCATCATTAGTCATTAGGGAAAAGCAAATCCAAACCATAAGGAGGTCACACTTTACACACAGCGTGGCTAAAATTGAATAGATGGTCCTTAACAAGTGTTGACACGGATGTGCAGAAATTGAAATCCTGATACACCGCTGGTAAGAACTTAACCTGGGGCAGCCGCTTTAAAAAGCACTTTGTCCCTTCCTCCAAATGTTAGACATGGAGTTACCCATGACCCCATCCATTCCTCTCCCAGATACGGACACAAGAGAATGAAAATGTATGTCCACATAAAAACACGTATGTAAATGTTCAAGCAGCAGTATTCATAAGAGCTAGAAAGAGAAAACAAAGCATATGTCAACCAACTGATGCAGAGATAAATAAAATATGATGTATCCATATTCCACACTGCATAATAAAGCATTATTCAATAAGCAAAAGGGATGACAAATTGATTCATGCTAAAATATGGATGGACTTTGAAAAATTGTGTTCCATGAAAAAGTCAGACACAAAAGGCCACATATTGTATGATTCTATTAATTCAAAATCTGTAAACTATGCAAACCTATTAAGCCAGAAAGTATACTACTGATTTCCAGAGACTGAGAGGAAGGAGAAATAGGGACCTATTAGGTATGGGGTATCCTTTGGAGTAATGAAAATATTAGGTGATTAAATAATGTTGGTGGTTGCACAGCAAAGGGGATATACAAAAAATGCTAAACTGTACATTTTATAAGGGCGAATTTTAATTTCTTGCGGATTGTCTTAATAAGGTTGTTGTTTTTATAAAAGTCTTATTTATGGATTCAATTCACTCTCAGTAGTAGTAACACTTAAAAGTGAGTCACTTTGCATCGGGCAAAAATTATAATATCCCCCAGAAGAAACTGAATTTTTTAAAATCAGCTAATTCTTGTAATGTTAAAGAGGATGATGCTGAATTGACATTATTCCTTTGAGGCTGACCAGATGAATTCCTCTCAATCCCTATTCTTTCTTAGCTGCCCCCATCATAGAGGCTAGAAAAGCTAAAAAGCCCATTTCTTTGGCCTATTGGCAACTCGGTGGTTCATAAAGGCAATAGCATAACTATATTTATTTTTGTCCCCTTCTCCTTCTTTTCTGCCTGGAATATGGTCATGACACCTGAAGACAGAGCAGCCACTTTGTAGGCATTAAGCAGTCAGTATAAAGACAAAATCCAGTAGTCTAAGGATGGCAGGATAAAGGGCTACAAAGAGCACGAACCTGGCAATGGGCAAGTTTAAGCGTCTGTGTCTGCACTGAACTCCTTAGTTTGGGCTACTTGGTATATGAGAAAACATACATCCCTATCAAGTTATTCTTGAGATTTTTCTGATATTTGCAGCTACGTGAACACATGGTTTCTTCAACATTGATTAACCATGCACAAAATATTCCCAGAAAATTCAATATTTGTGGTTCAGTTTGTAAGAGATTTTATTATTTTCATGCATATACCTTTCAAGACTAAATGAGCAAAGTGCAGACTATTGACGGAACGTATCTCAAAATAGTAAGAGCTATTTATGACAAACCCACAGCCAGCATCATACTGAATGGGCAAAAGCCGGAAGCATTCCCTTTGAAAGCCGGCACAAGACAAGGATGCCCTCTCTCACCACTCCTATTCAACATAGTACTGGAAGTTCTGGCCAGGGCAATCAGGCAAAAGAAATATTTCCAAAATTGATGAGAAATTTGGCCAGTTGTAGTGGCTTACGCCTGTAATCCCAGCACTTTGGGAGGCCGAGGTGAGTGGATCACTTGAGGTTAGGAGTTTGACACCAGCCTGGCCAGCACGGCGAAATCCTTTCTCTACTAAAAATACAAAAGAATTAGCCAGGTGTGGTGGCAGGCACCTGTAATCCCAGCTACTCAGGAGGCTGAGGCAGGAGAATCACTCGAACCCCAGAGGTGGAGGTTTCAGTGAGCCGAGATTGCGCCACTGCACTCCAGCCTGGGCAGCAGAGCGAGACTCCATCTGAGAAAAGAAAAAAAATGGATGAGAAATTTATTCTCTGCATAAGTATCTATGCCTTGACCTAAAAAATTGAGTTCTAATCAAATACTGTTTTCTGTATCTGTAATAATTTTTTGCCTCTGTTCTCTGTGCATTTCTATTGAGTGGGAATTTTTCTTCTATCAGTTACCCTTGGGGAATGAGAGTCTACATCCTCTGTCTGTTTTCTGTAATCTTCTGTTTATTGTAACTCAGGCTTTACAAGTGATAGATGCACTTTTACAGGATGCTGTGTTTCCCTCAAATATTGGGCAATTCCAGCATGCTGATCATTCTTTATTGCAGAACACTGGTTGCCTGCTTGGGTAGTTTAGTGTTTCCACTCTCTTGTGACCAGGGGAGTGGACAGAAAACTTGGCAGTACTCATAACTCATGTCCTGGGTGTGGGAGCTGCTAGCCACAGCTAATCTTTGTCTTTTTTGTTTCCGTAAAGCCGTTAATACAAAGGAAAGAAAACGATGAGTTGTGGATTTGTGTCCCTGCCAAAATCTCATGTCCAACTGGAGGAGGGGCCTGGTGGGAGGTGACTGGATTGGGGGTGGATTTCCCCCTTGCTGCTCTCCTGACAGTGAGTGAGTTCTTATGACATCTGATGATTCAAAAGTGTGTGGCACTTCACGCTCCACTCTCTCTCTTTCTTGCCACCATGAGAAGAAGGTGCTTGCTTCCCTTTCGCCTTCTGCCATGACTATAAGATTCCTGAGCCCTCCTAGTCATGCTTGCTGTGAGAAGTTTTCTGTATTAATTTGTTTCACACTGCTATAAAGAACTACCCGAGACTGAGTAATGTATGAAGAAAAGAGGAGAGGTTTAACTGACTCACAGTTCCGTAGCGTGGACTACAGGCATGTGCCACCATGCCCAGCTAATTTTTGTACTTTTAGTAGAGATGGAGTTTCACCACATTGGCCAGGCTGGTCTCGTACTCCTGACCTCAAGTGATCCACCCGACTTGGCCTCCCAAAGTGCTGGGATTACAAGCGTGAGCCACCGTGCCCAGCCATTATTAGCTTTTTTACATCTCTGAAGTACTAGATATTGAGAGAGATGATGTAAGTCCTGAAGGTATAGAGCTCATCCCTGGCTGATTTGTATTCAATATTTACATCTGCGGTATTTGAAAGTTTTTACTGTGTTTATGATGGCAATTTGTTTCCTCGTGACTTAGATCTTGCTTCAAGTTTCAAGGCGTAAAGAAGATGGATGATCCTAATGAGTACATCTTGAGCTGCGTGGTAGATATTGCATTCAAGTCTACGATGAATATTAATTCAAATGCCAGAATTTACAGCTATTTAAACTTCCTATTTTCCCCAAGAGTTTCCATGCATCCTCAGAGGCCAAGTTGGCGCCTAAAAGCTAAATTTGTTGATTGACTTTGGTGCCCTCTTCTGTATATGAAAAACTAATTTCAAAGCATAGTTAATTTGTGAAAATTCCACACATATTTATAATCTATCAGAAAAAACCGAAACTGTACACATCACAAAATCCACGTTAGAAAATAGCTATGAATTGTGCCAATTTCAGTGCAAGCTTATACATTGCAGATTAAATCACAAATTAAAAAAAAATCTCCCTTTAGTTAGGCAAAGAAATATTCATTGTTGAGCCAGCATGAGAAAGCCCAGTGACAGGGAATTCTATTTTCTTACTGGATATTTATGTGAAAAATGTAAGTGGCATCAAATGAACAGCTCAAACTTTGAGGAAATCATCATTGGCAGAGCAAGAAACAATATATTTTGACATTTTAAAAATTTATGCTGTGAGGAGTCACTCCTTCCTGCCAAAGGAAATATTATGTACACATTTAATATACAATTGACCCTTGAACAAAACAGGTTTGAATTGCATAAGTATATGTATATACAGGTTTTCTTCCACTTCTACTACCCCAGAGACAGCACAACCGAACCCTCCTCTTCCTCTTTCTCTTCCTCTTCCTCCTCCTCAGCTTGCTCAACCTGAAGATGATGAGTATGAAGACTTTTAAGATGATCCACTTCCACCTAAAGACTTTTCTCTAGCTTACATTCTTTTCAGAACACAATATATAATACGTATAGCATAAAAATATGTGTTAAACAACTGTTTTTCTTTTCAGTAAGGCTCTGGTCAACAGTTGGCTATTAGTAATTAAATGTTTGAGGAGTCAAAAGTTATATGCGGATTTTTGACTGCACAGAGGGGCTGTGCTCCTAACCCCCATGTTGTTCAAGAATCAACTGTATAATAAAATTGTTACAACAGTATGAATGAGTCCACTCTTTGGGAGTCACTGAAACCTATTCACCTCGCAAATATGTGTACTCATGTAGATCTTTTACTGCAACTCAAGTCTACTATTCTCTTAGGTTCTCAGGCAGACTTTAAAATAACAAAGTCAACTTAAAAGGGAAAAAATTACCCAAAAGTCTGCAAATATCAGAAGTAGTGGAGACAGAAAAATTCTCCAGATTCTTGGTAGTTCACTCAAGGAATACTGTGGGATTCTGTACTTCAGATGAGCAGTTTGCTTCAAAACACATGGAAATGTGTTCAGCACAAAGACTTTAAGGTTTGCATATAAAGTTTCACAAGCTGCCATGTGGCAAATCCATACAACACTGGGAAAACCAAGAAGCTCATACACTGTAGAAAATATTGATTGTTTAAGAAAATGATTATCATAATGGTGATGATGATGGTGATGGTGTTGATGGCCATTATGTTGATGATGGTGACTATGATGATGATGATGATGATGATGATAATGGTGATTGTGATGATAATGATGATGATGATGATAGTGATGGTGATGATGGTGATAATGATGATGGTGATGATGATGATGATGATGGTGATAGTGATGATGATGATGATGGTGATAATGATATTGATAATGGTGGGGGCGATGGTGATTTATCATGGGGATGTCCGTATATACTGATATGGTTTGGCCATGTTCTCACCCAAATCTCATCTTAATTTGAAGCTTCCCTAGTTCCCACATGTTGTGGGAGGAACCTGGTGAGAGATAATTGAATCATGGGGGCAGTTTCCCCCATACTGTTCTCATGGTAGTGAATAAGTCTCATGAGATCTGATGGTTTTATCAGGGGAAACCTCTTTCACTTGGTTCTCATACTCTCTCTTGTTTTCTGCCATATAAGACATGGCTTTTGCCTTCCACCATGATTGTGAGGCCTCCACAGCCACGTGGAGCTATGAGTCCATTAAACCTCTTTTTCTTTATAAATCACCCAGTCTCAGGTATGTCTTTATCAGCAGCGTGAAAAAGAACTAATACATAGACAAAATGGGCGAAGAGATAAAATGAATAGAAAGGAAGAGCAAAGAGAAATTTAGAAAAAAAAAAGCAAGAGTAGAATGAAAGAGGGAGGATCCTACACTGTAAAATATTGCTTAGTACCCAGGAGAGAGCTACCTTGCTAGCAATTGCATACACTGAACTCTTAAGGCATCCCCCTAATAAACATGTTGCATGTCTTGAATGCTTTTCAGAGAATCTGACCTAACATACAACCCTTGATTAAGATTATAGAAAATAAGTATAAGAAGATGAGGACCATCTCAAAAATAAATTCAATTTGTAGGGTCATCAATTGTAACAACTGTGTAATCAAAGTACCACTCTGGTGGGGGATGTTGATAATGGGGAAAGCTATGCATGTGTGGGGGCAAGGGTACCTTCCTCTTGATTTTCCTGTGAGTCTAAAACTGCTGTAAAAAATAAAGCCTTAAAAATAGATGCATTTTTAAAATATTTACCTTAAGTGACAAGTATTGACCATATAACGTTTCTTATTTTTTCTCTTTCCTTTTTTTTTTTTTTTTTTTGAGACAGAGTCTCACTCTATTGCCTAGGCTGAAGTGCAGTGGTGTGATCATGATCAGAGCTCACTGCAACCTCCACCTCCTGGGCTCAAGTGATTCTCCTGCCTCAGCTTTCCAAGTAGCTGGGACCACAGGCACGTGCCACCATGACCCACTATTTTTTTTTTGTATTTTTTTGTCAAGATGGGGTTTCATCATGTTGCCCAGGCTAGTCTTGAACCCCTGGACTCAAGCGATCCACCTGCCTAGGCCTCCCAAAGTGCTGGGATTACAGGCCTGAGCCATTGCACCCAGCCACATCTATAATTTTTCTATGCAAAAGATAAATAGTAGTTTTCTATAATTCTAATAAAGAATTTATTATTGCAACAATAGATACTAGCTGGGAGGATTCTTGCTCTTGCCTCACTTTTGCCTTACATCACAGGCATTCACAGCCTCGGGTGAAATAGCACCACCAGAAATGTCTTACCATTGATCTAACATACTTCTACTCATTTTACAAATCAGCAGGTCCTTAAGATTCTGTCCCAAATGCTCAGAATTCTCTAGGATTTCAGGTGTGTGGGTTTTGCAGCTGCAGTACATTTCTGCCTGAATGCGTTACCTTTACTTCAAATTCACGTAAAAGGGAACTCGTGAACATCAGTGGAAGCTGGAATCCTTTTCCCTTGGTTTTTACTGTAGGAACAGCCTTTGAACCACAAGCTATGTTGATTTAACTCCTTTGGGCAGCTTTCTGGTGGAACCTTGAACTACCACCAGCTGCAGGTCTCAGGTGTCTCTGAGTTTGCTTGTCTTGGGTTGGTAGACTTAATTCAGTCTTTGTTCTGCTTCTGTTTAACGGATGTAAACTGAGAGGCATAGAAATGTTGGCCTGGCCAGATTATTAGCTCAATCCTTGGTGAGAGGTGGGGAAAAGTGCCCTCATTAAATATTGCCACCAGATAAAAGCCAGTAGAATTCCAACAGGTAGATGGTTGATTCCAGAAAGAACAAAGAAAAAATGTTCTCTAGAGTCCAGAACAACTTTCATGCCCTTACTTATTCCTGAAGCTCATGTTATCATCAATACTATCATGTATTTGATCATTGTCCTTTGTTTCATGGAGGTACTTGGGGCGGTGAAAGTTTCGGTGAGGCTCAGGGATGATGGTATGGGTTTTCTGTTGTTTCTGTAACGAATTCCCAGCAACTTAATGTCTAAACAATGCAGGTATAGATCTTACTGTTCTAAAGTCCTAGAGGTCTCCCTGGGCTAAAAAGGCATTGGTAATATCATGTTTCCTTCTGGAGGCTCTAGATAAGTATCTGTTTCCTTGATCTTCCTGGCTTCTAGGAGTTTCCCGTATTTCTGGACTCATGGTAGTCATCCCACTCCAAAACTAGCAATGACCAATAAAGTGTTTCTTACAAAACCATCTCTATTATGCTAACCCTTCTTCTGAATCCCTCTTCCACACAGAAGGAAACTTGTAATTACATCGTGCACACCCAAATAATCCAGGATAATCACCACGGTTTAAGGTCAACTGACTAACAACATTAATCCCACCAACCACTTTAATTCCTCTCTGCTGGTCAATCTAATATATTCTTAGCTTTCAGGGTTAGGATATGGATACCTTTTGGATACAGCCATTCGTTTATGTATATTCAAAGTATGGAGGCTTTATTTTACACACCACAGTGACCACTCTTCTTATATCTTACCAATAAACAGACAGTGACTTTAAATTGACACAGCCATTTTTAAATGGTTTTATCAAACCAGCCAGGCACAAATGTCCCTTGCATAAAAGAAAGGAGTCCAACATTTCCTCTCAAATGCCATGAAACCGCAACTACAGAAAGATCACTTGATGATTTCATCTCCCAAATTCCACAGATCAAATGGAAGAAAAAAGCTGATCGTTTGGTAATTTGTAGCATTTTTATTTTTTATATTTTTAATCAAAGAAAACTAAAATCTAGCTTAGTAAAATCACACCAATGTATCTGGCAGTCTGTACCACCTGGTTCAATCATTTGCATTTCATGGTCTACTTGGATTTTTTCATTAATTTGGGAGCTTATAATATTGATTTTATTGTAATAAGTGGGACACCAAAGAAGCAAGCCACAAGAGGAGTCCTCATTATTAAGAAACAGATAAGGGAAAGATGGGGGAAGTCACATAATGAATAAAAAGGTGAGAAAATTCCAAGACTCTGCCTCATTTCATAGCAACACTGAAGAGTGCATCCTGGGTCTTCTTAGTTTGAATACAGAAAGACAGGTTTTCACAAGTACACATATGTCAGCCACTGCCTAATGGTCTCCCTGGGGGAAATACCTCCCAGAGAGTTCTGAGTCTTTTTGTACTTTCACGTGGAGATCACAATAGCATAAGGACAGATTTCTCAAGAGAGTTACAGAAGTGGGGTGTTGAACCAAACACACAAACAAATATTCCAACAAACACACACACATGCACATGCATACACACAGAGAAGATGGATCATGGCACATAGAAACAGTTTAAGAGTAAATGTAATCCAGTGAGTTGATGTGCCTCACCCATACCATCAGCTACAACAAAATATTGATAGACTTTTCTGGTAAAAGTAGTACCTTTTGGAATGGTAGATATTTGAGAAAGAAAAAAAATTTAATAATGTGTTCTCAATAATTTCCTAAGGGGCCCCCTATTGGGGCTTATTAAAGAGAGTTTGATATTGGGGAAATTCTTTTATTTTTTAATCTACATCTAAGCTCACAAACTGTCACCTTGCAAGAAATAAAATTTTGCAAATGATGATCCATCCTTCTAAAGACACTATTATTTAGTGGTTTATCAGTTCTGTCATAGGAAGTCAATGTCAGCCAAATGCAGCAGCCAGAGGACTGGGGGACCTGATCTGTGAGAAGACACTACTTTTGGCTCCCTTCTCATCTTCAGTGGTTTCCAATACATGGAGAATACAGTTCAGCTTTTATAACGTATTGTGGAAATTCAGAGAAATGCCCTCATTACTGGATCTTTTCAAATGTACTTTTGAATGATGATTTCAGAAAGCACTTTAATCAGAATAGAAAAGACTTTTTCAGATGTTAGGGAAAGAACATAGAATACCCAGACACTGCCTAAGATTGTTCATGCTCCTTAGTAAGTACTTTGCACTCATCTTTGTGGTCAACTGGGCTTAAGTGCCTACCCCTTCTAAACAATACAGCAATCCCTCATTCCAACTCTAGTCCTTATAAAACAAAATGACATTGGCTTTCTCATTTTCCTTGTCCACTATATCAAGTTTGCAAACTAAGCCATCCATCCGTTTTTGTCAATGAAGTTTTATTGGAACATGACAACATTATCTGTGGCTACCTACTCTACAATGTTAGATAGAGTTGAGTAGTTTGCACAGAAAGCCACAGTATTTGCTATCCAACCACTTTAAAAAATAGACAGGAATAAATTAGTCCATTCCCGCACTGCTGTAAAGAACTACCTGAGACTGGGTAATTTATAAAGAAAAGAGGTTTAATTGGCTCATGATTCCACAGGCTATATAGGAGGCATGGCTGGGGAGGCCTCGGGAAACTTATAATCATGGCAGAAAGTGAAGGGGAAGCAGGCACTCCTCACATGGCCAGAGGAGGAGGAAGAGAGAGAAGGGGAGTGCTACACACATTTAAACAACCAGATCTCGTGAGAACTCACTCACTATCACGAGAACAGCAAGGAGAAAATCCGCCCCCATGATCCAGTCACCTCCCACCAGGCCCCTCCTTCAACACTGGGGATTACAATTTGACATGAGATTTGGGTGGGGACACAGGTTGTTCAGGAAGAGACAAAAAAGGCTGTAGACACCAGAATGGCCATATCAGAAGTAGTTTGTAATTTCAGATACATTATTCTTTACCCTATTCTTTGGTTAGAAATGAAACTCACTCCTCAAAAGTAAATGTTACATGCAGTTTCCTAAGCATATGAGATGCTTTAGAAGTCTTTAAATAATTGCGATTTGTTCTAGTTAATTCAATCTCTCTTTTTTTTTTTCTGATTTGGGTTTAAGTGACCAAGGAATCAGGTCTTATACCTGTTTTCAGATGCTTTTTATTCTTCCCAAGAAATAAAAAAATTAAATATTAAAATTATAGTCATTTTTTTACCTAAGATTGCATTTATTTAAAGACTTACTATATTTCCATGATAAAAAATGTGCATATGTGTGTATATATGTGCGTGTGTATGTGCATGTGTGTCCTATAAGTGACTCAACATTTATAAGAGTTGATAAATCCATCAGGGTCAAGAGCAAATTACTTGTACATATGGTAGTATGAAATTATTTATGTTAGTTTGAGGTGTGTAAAATAAATCATTAGCATTTACATATTTAATCTCAGCTTCAAATGATGCAATTCTTTAAATAAGACTTGTAATCCCAAATGTTCATGCTTGTTATTTTTGCGAAGACCAGATTGAAATTTAACCATCTTCTTCCTAAATTTGTGGACTGGCAGAAAAAACTGCTCTTTTTAAAAAAGTAAACCAGAAATTATTTTAATGCTACCTTTTAAGTATGAAATTATAACATTAATAAAACTATTCTATGCCCTCTTAAAATCAGTTTCTGAATATAACTTTTTTACTCTGTCCCAATATAGGAATAGTTGTGAGTAGGTAACCATTCTGTTGTGTACATCTTTTTCACACTATCTAAAACCCTAAGTGTTCAGGCTGGTCATGGTGGCTCATGCCTGTAATGCCAGAACTTTGGGAGGCCGAGGCCTGTGGATCACTTGAGGCCAGGAGTTCGAGACCAGCCTGGCCAAAATGGTGAAACCCCATCTCTACTAAAAATACAAAAATTAGCTGGGCATGGTGGCACATGCCTGTAATCCCAGCTACTCGGGAGGCCGAAGCAGGAGAATCACTTGAATCCGGGGGTGGAGGTTGCAGTGAGCAGAGATCAGCCTGGGCAACAGAGCGAGGCTCTGCCTCAATAAATAAATAAATAAATAAATAAATAAATAAATAAATAAATAAAAACCGTTAAGTGTTCAATTGTATCCATTCTATAATTTGGCAAAAGTTTTTGTCTTATTTAAAATTTACACTTACTTTTTGAGCAGTCTGAACCTTTGAGGGGATTTATCAGAAGAAGATAATTTGATTTTACAGAAATGTTTGCTGCTGTCTGAAAACAGAAATCACTGAGCTTTATTTTGAGAGCTGACAGATGGGTTTCCTATATCATAAGATTTTTTTCTGACATTTCTCAAAATATCAGCAAGAGTAAGCAGAATATCATCATTTAAGTAGCAATTTTTGACATCCTTTGAGTCACAAACACTTTTGAGTAACTGATCACAATTATTGGCCTCGTCCAGAACAATGAGCACATGCATCTTTTCAGAATTTGACGGGATTTTGTATGCATATATATAGGTCACTGGTTAAGAATGCCTCCTTCGAAAAGTAAATTGTCCTTGGAAAATTAAGCTGCCTTTTATAATTTGAGAGGAACAAGAATTTAAAGAGATAACTATCAGCAAATATTCACAATGAAAATGATATGCTACCAGTATGTCCTGAACTTCCATGCATAAAAGAAAATGATTTCCAAGAATTAGAATTTATCATGGCCTTAGTGTTCACGCAGATGTTATAAGAATAGTAAGCATCTTCAAATTCTTGAACCTAATTTTTTAAAGGTGATCATTTCTTAGGTAGAAATGGGTAACCGCCAACAAAAATGGATTGTTCAATCAGTTTCCCTTGTGAGTAACAGAGTGGCAATTTGTCTTCTGTTGCTGTTGTTAGATTTTAGACTCTCCACCAAGTTCTATTTCAGAGTGTTCAACCAATGGGTAAAATACCTATTTTAAGTAATATCAGGAGGATTCAATGTTACTTTTGACAAGTTTAATTTAATGTCCAGTTCCTTGAGTTACTATTTACAACAATTTCTTACAATAATAAAAGTATATACAGCTAGATGATACAGTTTTAATTGGATAGGTCAGCATGATGCTTATACATGAAGATCAGCCGGATGCGGTGGCTCACGACTGTAATCCCAGCGCTTTGGGAGGCTGAGGCGGGCAGATCACTTGAGGTCAGGAGTTCGAGACCAGCCTGGCTAACATAGTGAAACCCCGTCTCTACTAAAAAAATACAAAAACTAGCCGGGTGTGGTGGGGCGGTGGGGAGCCTGTAATCCCAGCTACTCGGGAGGCTGAGGCAGGAGAATCACTTGAACCAGGGAGGCGGAGGTTACAGAGCTGAGATTGTGCCACTGCACTGCAGCCTGGGTGACAGAGTGAGACTCCTTCTCAAAAAAACAAAAAAAAAAAAAAAAAAAAAAAAAAGAAGAAGAAGAAGAAGCTCATTCCCAAGTCATCTTGGGGTTAAATACCACACCGTACAATTGTTGATGTTCATGATTTTGACCCTGAGTTTCAAGAATAAGTAAAATTAAGCAAAACTGAATGCCCACCAATGAAATACTTCTCAGGAATTAAGCAAACAAAAATAAATGCTACTAATTCAAGAATAGCATAAATGAACCTCAAAAAAATTTAATCACTGCAAGAAGCCAGACACAAAAGAATACAGAGTGTGTGCTTCCCTAATATGAAGTTCAAGGTCATTCAAGACTGATGTCTTAATAGGAAGTTCAAGATCAGTCAGCAGAAGTGGTTGGCTTGACGAATGGCATTTGTTGGAAATAGGCATGAAGAACTTCCCTGGGAGGATAGAGATGTTTTATATCTTGTTCTTAGTGATGCTTATTTGGATACAACAGTTTTTTACCAAAGTGCATTAAGCTGCATACTTATGGAGTATACATTCTTTTCTGTATACATTTTACCTTAGTGAGATACTATTTGTAAAGACAATAAACTAAGTTAGCCTCTGATAAAAATGTATCTCTAAAAGGAACAATTTTACAGGATTTTAATACAGCTTATGCAATACATTTCATGTATGAAATAATATCCTATATCGTTAGTGTGCCTAACAACACAATTTGGGAAACTCTTATTTAAATGGTGTTCAGCATTTAAAGAAGACATCAAATTATAGCCCATTTGTTAAAATGAATGTTTCCTTATAAAATGGTCAGATTTTGAAAAACTGCCTTGGGTAGCATAGCTCGCTGATAAGTGATTCCAAAAAAATGACACATTACTACAGAAAGTTGAAGAAGTGGAGATTTTGAATTTCACTGTTAGAAACATAAAACTGATTCTCAAAAGTTAATGTCAGTGAGTGGAACTAATTAAAAGATATTATAAAATTTGTTTATTTTCTTCATTTATATTCTTAACAGGCACACATAATAAACTGATAATTTTTTTAAGATCCAGTTGCTTATTTTCTTAATGATGCTAAGAAAATTGTTTTTTAAATTTATTTTTCTCTCTTAAAATATATTAAAGCCATCACACACTCCAGGACACTAGGGAACCTGCCAGTTTTTCAGATGAGCCCTCGTAAGTACACACATAGAAAAGTATGATGTAATTGCTGTGAAAAAGAAAAAAGAATATTGCTACGCTAATCTAATTATCTCACCTACGAAATCACGATAGGCCAGGAAAAAAATCATTTTTCTGTTTGGTACACATCTTCAACAATGTCAATTATTTGGGGGAACAGAATGTAAAGCTTTCAACTCGTTAGAAACAAGATAACCTTGAGGATTTCCTGAGTGTATTTCAAAAATGAGAATTCTGTGCTTATTATGGGTTAAATCGGTAGTGGTTCATTTTTAACCATATTCATTTCATGAAAATTTATGAGGGTGGATTTTTCCTCCTTAAACTCTTGGTACATACTAAATCTACAACCTTCGGTGCTTCCAAATGAGACCGAACTGCTTTGCTACATATTCTAAGCAAAGGAATGTGTGATCAAGATTGTGGCACACCCCTTTAACGTAATGATTTTTTGCATCGCTGCAAGCCTCTTGTCTCAATAGATTTTTCTCTGCCAATTGTAACTAGGGCTGTAACTCCATTTTTGTCTGCCCCTGCTAAACAGGTCTGATACTATGTGTGTGTGTGTATATATATATATATATATATCCACACACATATGTATATATAGCAGATTATATATTATATATAGTAGATTATAAGTATTATATATTATATATTATATATATTATAATTATATATAGTATATAATATATAATCTACAGCCTACTCCTTGAAGGAAGGCAGGAGTCTATTCTCCCTGGAGTCCAAACACCCAGTGAACTCAGAAATGACCAGTGATATCAAATTTGTCATTATCATTGAAAAATAAACTTTAGATTTCGGGATTTGTTTTAGTATCAAATTAGGATACAATAAAATATAGAAAGCTGACATGACTTGAATGAAAACAGCTAATAACTTAATGGAATTTGAATCTACAATTAAACTTGTTTCCCTGAATTGCCATTAATTAATTTGCTCTATCCTTTGCCTACAGGCCGAAACCATACACCATAGTTGTTATTTCTGTTTTTGTTCCTCACTACTAAAACTCACAGCGGAGCAAGCCAACAGATACAATAAAATATTTTATAAATCATTTGGAGAAAAATATAATCCACTGAAGAATGGAAACTTCCCTCAAAATAATGCTAAGGTTCAGATGGATTTTTTTTCGTATTTGCAAGTTAATCCTCATCTGAAAATCTCAAGTGCATTGTAGTTTATATTTGCTTTTTAAATAGAATTTGTACCAGATATTAAACCATTCGCTTCCCTGTTTTACTCTTTTTTTTTTCCTTTCATTGCTTGGTGCTTGAGAGAGAAAATTTTTTTCCAGGTTTTATAAAGACATGAGATGTTGGATTAAAACATATATTTTTTATTGAGTTACATGTAACTTACACATAGAAAATGCATAGATGTAAAGTACTGTCTTTGCTGCTTTTTGTCTATTGTATACATCCATATGACAATGAACCAATTTAGGATACAGAACTTTTTTCATTATCTTAGAAAATCACCCCATCTAGCCATTCTCCACCAATTAACTCTTCCACAGAGGAGACCTTTATCTGACTTCTATTGGCCCTAAAAATGTTTTTCTCTTCTTATATTACTTAATAATAAGAAAATACTCTGTCGGTTTTTAACTCAATAGAAGACTTGAGATTCATTATGACGTTGTTTTTGTCAGTAGCTTATTCATTTTTATTGCGGTTGGTATTCCCTTGAACAAATCCTTCACAGTTTCTCCTTTTCTTCAGATGTTGGGCATTTGGGTTATTTCCATGTTTTGACTGTAACAAATAAAGGTTCTATAAACATTTGTGTATCTGTCTTTGTAGAACATGTTTCAGACAGGTCGAATCTTCTGTAATTCCTCTTGTGATTTTTTTCCTATGACCAGTGAGTTTTTAAAAATTATCTTAATTTTAAAAATATATAGGGCTTTCTCTGTCTCCGTGTCTGTCTTTCACTTCCTCTTTGTCTCTGCGTCTTTCTCCCAACCCTTCCCCCTTCTCTCTCTCGCACACACATATCTCTTGCTTTGTTTTATGCCGTGGGGTCTTCCTATGTGTTTGATTGCCATTGATTTATAATTTAACATTCTTTTAGCTAGGGAATATATTTGGTATGATTTGGTATGGAATCATTTGATAAGTTTTGAGACTTATTTTAACGCACAGCACATAATCAATTTTAGTGACTGTGCACTTGCAAATCAGTGAACCTTCTGAAGTGGCTGGATATACTGTTCCACGATAGTCAATTAAGTAAATTTGGTTGATAACGCAATTGAAATCTTTCATATTTTTACTGAATCTTTGTCTGTTGGGTTACTGAGAGTGAGTGGATTTTTTCCTATTTCTCCCATTACATCTATTTTTATTTTCTACATTTTTAAGCTCCGTTCTTAACATTTCTTGCAGTGCAAGCCTGCAGGAGAGAAATTCCTTCAGCAATTTACGGTTTTCATTCCATTGTTTTCTGCATACCCATGTTTAAGGGAAACTGTAACATTTCATTTATCTCAACGTTTTGCTCACTGTAATGTGTCTTTTTATTCCCTCAGACTGCTTGAAGGTTTATTTATGATTTCAGTTTTCACCAGATTGACTACGGAGTGCCCAGGTGCCGCTTTCTTTGTTTCATCCTGCCTGGGGTTCTCACATTATTTGGGTAATGTATTTTATCAGTTTTAGGAAGGTATTGGCCATTTTGTTTTTCAATATTATTTGGCTGTTTTCTCAGTCTCATGTCTTTCTGACGCTCCACTTACACACACAATGTTTGATGTTGTCTATCAGTTGACATCTGCTCTTTTCTGTTTGTCTACTTTTTTACTTACAAATTTGGTGTCAGTTTGGATATTTTTTATGGACCTATGCCAAAGGTTACACAAGCACACACCCACAGTTTGCTTTTTAAGTTTCCTGTTGAGTAATTCTAACAAATATGTCATTTTAATAACATAATTTTATTTCTGGTTTAAAAATAACTATTTAATAAATAATATATAAATTCATAATTATACATAATAAAAAATTTTGGTGCCGCTTTATAGTTTTCACCTCTTTACTAAAATATCCACTCTTGTTTTCCTTCTTCTTCTGCCTGAATTCCTGTAACATAAATACCTTGTCTGATAATCCTAATATTTCTAGAACTACTTTTATTGACTATTTCCTGTCTTGTTCATGGGTTACACATTTATAATTCTTTGGAAGTCTCATTATGTTTGATTTGCATGTCAGATATTTTGCATAAAAGCATAGTAGAATGTGAAATATGTAATCTTTTTCTCCAGGAGAAAATCTGTTATTTTTTTTTTTCTTTCAAGCTCCTAAAGTGTGGGCTTGTGCCAATTTGACCTCTAGTTGAGCTGCATCTATGCTTTCTACTGCTTTAGTTTAATTTTCTAGTGGCTTTAAACTTTCCAAAGACATGTTCTGGGCTTTCTTTTCAGCATCCCTTGCAATCTTGAGCACTTGTATCATTTCATTTACTGGGTGGCTTCCCTTGTTTACTACCCAGCATTCATCTTTTAGGAGTTCTCTTAGCTTTCCAGTTCTGCTTCTATATTTTTGTTTTAGGGAGACCTTTTTCTCCACTGATCTCTTCCCCTAGTCTTTAGAGGGCAACTGCCTTGCAATCTGTGAAGGTCAAGGATGCTTTGAGGAATCTCTCTCAGCATTTTTCTGCTCCTGCCTTCCGAGAGTGGCTTTATAGAACTAGAACTAGGGCTTTATAGAACTTCAGAGAGGGCCTGAGGACCTCATAGGGATAGATCTCAACTCCTGTGTCCTGTGCCCAGGCATGCATGCACTGCTCATACATTCTGGGAAGACCTAAAAGCGGGGGATCCCCGGTACCTCTGGCGCAGACCCTCCTGGAACTCTAATCTGTCTTACCAGCCCATTTGGTTATGGAAAGTTTGTTGTAATTTTGGATTTTAAAATAAATTGCTACCCCTTTTCTTTGTTGTACTTCTTGCTCTAATCCATCAGGGAGAGGAAAAGCCACGGCCCACGTCTCCCTCACAAGGAGATCATCTCTTTTCTATGGATTGCAGTAGATTTCTTTGCCTCCTGTGTTTATAATAAATTTAATTCGTATCATATCCAGTGTGTTTGGGTTGATAGGATGAGCGTGATATTCTCTCATTACTTTCTATATTCTAATTGGAAGCAGAAGAAGCCCAGATATAAAATTTAAATTGATTGGCTACTAAAAAAGAACTGAAGGCAATTATTCACTTAACTAATAATTCTGACATATGAAAATATATTTTGTACATTTATAATTATGTAAATATACAAATATAGAAGTATATACAAATTCAAATAGTACATTTTATAAATATAAGTATGCATATTTTATATGCTTATATACACATATTTATTTATGTAGTAAATGCAGTATAGTACACATATAGTATTTTTTTTTTTTTTTTGAGACAGGGTCTCACTCCATCATCCAGGTTGGAGTGCAATGGCATGATCTTGGCTCACTGCAACCTCCAGCTTCCAGGTTTGAGCAATTCTCGTGCCTCAGCCTCCCAAGTAGCTGGAATTACAGGTGTGTGCCACCACATCCAGGTAATTTTTGTATATATATATATAGTTGTTTTTTTTTTTTTTTTTTAGTAGAAACGGGGTTTCACCATGTTGGCCAGGCTGGTCTAAACTCCTGGCCTCAAGTGAACGACCCACCTCAGCCTCCTTAAGTGCTGGGATTACAGGTGTGAGACACTGCATCTGGCCTATACCTATTGTATTTATATAGTGTATACTATATAGCATTTATATAGTATATAATATTTATATAGTATATACTATACACATGTTTATATTCACTATATATATTATATATGCATACACATCGTGTAAACATATATAGTATACATATAGCATATACTATATATAGTATATATAATGTAAATTTATACCCACTATATATTTACACTATATATTTATACATACTGTATATTTATATACACTAAATATAGTGTATATTGTATATATAAATATGTATATAGTATATATTGTATATAAATATGTATATAGTATTTACTATGTATGAGTATATGTACTATATATAATATATACATATATAAGTATAATTGTCTCTCAATTTCTGCAGCATGCTAGTTCCAGGACCCCAGCAGATATCAAAATCCAAGGATGCTCAAGTCGCTGTAATAAAAAGGCATAGTATTTTCATATAACCTATGCACATCCTCCTGTATACTTTAAATAATCTTCAGATTACTTATATTACCCATATAATGTAGATGCTATGTAAATAGTTGTTATACTGTATTGTTTAGGGAATAATGACCAAAAAGTATGTACATGATCTGTACAGTTGCAATTATTTATGTTTTGTTTCCAAATAGTTTTGATCCTAGGTTAGTTTAATCCCTGGATACAGAGGGCCAACTGTGTGTGTGTGTGTGTGTGTGTATATATATATACACAAGCCAATAAGTATCTAGCTTTATATGTAGATTTACATGTGAATTCTATACTTATGTAATTATATATACATATGCATGCACACACATACAATTTCATACTTGTGAATCTTCTGAAACCATTTGTATTAATGACATTAAGTAAGGTCCAACCATTGTGAACAATAATGGAAACCCTTTTATTTGTAGTCAGCATTATATGACCTGGCAACAGAGAAGAAAAAGACCATAGCTACTTAAGGTTTCCCACGATAGACACTAATTTCACAGCCCATTTTGTAATAGCTGCATATTCAGGCCTCCATAAAGTTATTTGAGTGGGTTTTATTGAACATTCCTATCTTAGGAACATACTCAGTTCTTTGTAACCTCCAATATTAAAAAGTTCAGATAATTATATTTTTACAATGATGGCATGTAGTACATTACACTCCATAAATTGGAGAATGTGCATGCAGAATTAAGGTAAAAGGTATTAGGGATATCCTACTGAAGAAGAATCTCTTGGGAATGATAGTGTCCAAGTCTCTCTGTGTTTAGGAGTAGTTAGAAACCATGCCTCCCAGGCTCAGAAATGAAGAAGGAGAAAAAGACATTTTCCCCAGACACAGTGGTCGAACTGACTTCTCTGCCGTGCTGTAGCCTCTTTTCTAACGTTCCTAATTGACCTTTGCATGTTCTTCATTTCTATTATAACACAAACATTTTCTAATGTAATTCCTTTTGTTTGACCCAACTTGCCTAGCCAAACCTCAGTCTGTGTTGGGAGTTCCCACACCTGTTGCAGTTTAAAAAAGCAGCTGTTCCTATTTAGTTTGGCCTTCTCAGAGCTATCAAATTAGGTTGGATTCAGCTGTCTGGTTCTGCTAGTTAAGGTCAGGCTGCCCCAAGGCTTTGGCCAGGGTAAATCAACTAAGTGGCTCTCTCCCTCCTTGGAGGCAGCTGGCAGGTGACTGGGGGCTTCTTGATCAAAGATGAACCCAGATGTGATTTGTCTTGGGTGACAGACAGGTACAGATGGAAGGGATGGGGCAGTAATCTTCACATAGGTATAGGATAGGAGGAATTTATATTGGATGGACATGGATGCAGAGAAGTATGAAAAACCATGTTTTCTACTGTCACCAACCTCCCACACCTGGATGCCCTTTCAGGTAAGCTGGTACTCTTGACTAAATCAAACCTTCTAGTTTGCGACTGCCGAGCTAGCTTCTGTGTTCCAGCTAAATTATAGATAATCTTCAAAATACAACATAAAGCACTAATAGTGTCAAATTTCTACTTAAAAAAATCAGGTGCATAAGTTGTATGTGGATATATGTGTGTGTATGTTTTTTTGTGTCTATACACATACACACACATATATGTATAAAACTGTATTGCAATGCCTCCAATAGGTGGCTATTTATTTGAAAGTCAAATCTGTTTAAATTAAATACAAATTAAAAGTCAGCTTCTTCATTTATACTTGCCACACTCAAGTGCATAGTGGCCATACAGTTTATGCCTACCATACCAGGCTGTATAGTGGTCGAATATTTGTTTCTTTATAGAAAATTTCCCTTGTTCTTTGATAGCCATTATATTCACAGACACTTTAATTATTCAAAAGAGGATCACATCTCTTCCTGGGGGTTTAAATGGCCAATATCTCCATGTTTATCAATCTGCCCTATGCTGAACTTACTTTAAAAAAGCAAATAGTAACAGAAAAGGATATTCCCGTCGCGGCTAATTTCCAAAGAAGAAATTACATTGAATAATTGAAAAGTGCAGCCTGTATTGTGCTTTGGGTGAAAGTCAATAGGACTTGGCCTCGTCACTGGAAAATGACAATAGGTAAAATAGGCTCTGCCAATCAGTTCTGATATGCTCTGCCTTTGAACAGAACTGAAAAGAGAGAATGACACTTTCTCAGTTGGACAACCCAAACCGTTGATCATTTCATGACGCTCAATTCAAAACTATGAGTCTCAATTTTTCATTCTGTCCGGGGATAATGGGTTTGTTCTATGTTCTGTTATGAAAAGTATTCCATTTCTTGTGGATCATGCATATCAAAGAGTATTTACTAAGGCAGAATTGTTGCATAAACAACTAAAGCTGGGCTGGGTGCAGTGGCTTATGCCTATAACCCCAGCACTTTGGGAGGCTAAGGCAGGAGGATGCCCTTAGCAGTCTTGAAGTCAGGAGTTTGAGACTAGCCTGAGCAGCACAGCAAGACCCCATCTCTACAAAAAAAAAATTTTTTTAATTAGCCAAGTGAGGTGGTGTGTGCCTGTGTTCCTTGCTACTCAGGAGGCTGAGGCAGGAGGATTGTTTGAGCCCAGCAAGTCAAGGCTGCAGTGAGCTATGATTGCAGCACTGGACTCCAGACTGGGCAATGGTGCCAGATCCCGTCCCTAAAACACACACACGCACACACACATACACTGAAGCCACACCATATAAAGCTATATAGCTTGTGTAGCTTCACCGGCCTCCTCTTTGTGGCTTAGTTTAAATCTATTTGAGGACTGAGGGATGTTCTTCAAAATAACTTTTGTCTCCCACACATGGTCTTGGCTGCCTTCTGCCCTGATCATTTATTCAGTTGTTACCAAGTGACAGGTAAGCACTGGAGACCAGTTTCCAATCGGCTCTGACTGTGCCCAGGTAGAAGGAAAATCCAGCCAGATATGAGTGCTAATTTTGGTCTTTTACATCAGCTACTAGCTGAAGCTTTTTATACCCATGCAGGTCATCAAATCAAGATTATACATCGCCGATCTCTTGTTTTTCCCAGGACAAATGACTTCTTCCAATCTCAGGAGAATAGTTATTGAAGTCATGATATAGTTATCTAAACTTCCTTAAAATGCAGTTAGTTAAATCATTCTCTTGTCGGTTTTCCCATGTACCTTCTCATTTTCTCTTAAAACCACAATAGTACATGCCATTCTAAAACGCATGTTTTCGTTGATTCAAGTGTGCAGTGATTTAGAGACTCCTCTTAAGTATTTAAAATTATCTTGGTTTGATATCTAATATTGACAGATCTTGCCTTCCAAAGTAAAGTTAAAGAATTGAGTCATTGACTGGAAATCTCTGCAAAATTAAAAATAGACTTGCATAGAGGAGAGAGTTCAGGAAGAAGCTGGTGTTTTTCTTAACAACAGTTACTTGGATTCAACCAGGGAAATGAGGAAAGAGACTGTGGTATCTATAACTTGTTTTCTCAGATAATGTTAAAGCCTAGCTCTTATATAAATGTTGTCCTTTTTTAGAACCTTAAAAACAACAGCTTTCAAACAATGGAGGAAGAAGTAACATCAGTATGATGATAGCTGACAACAACAGTCATGAAGTCATGAAAATATTCCACTTAGATGAGCTTCTTGTATCTTTAACTGCATTAGAATGAATACATAAGACTTTTCTTCTTTCTTATGACTGATATTGATAAAAACCAAAGTCATAATGGTCAATACATGTTTAAGAGCTAAAGAGATGTCATATGGATTACACATTCATTAATTTTCCTAACGTATCTTGGAAACATAGTGATGAATTCTGGTTCCACCACTGTGTTTTCCTGCTTTGAAGTGGCTAACTATTTGGGCAAAGAGAAGTTTGATAGTCTCTCTACAAGGTACTCAGAAGAGAAAACGTCATGCCTTGAAAATGTGTATCATTAGTGACTGCTCTGTTTGCCACTTTAGCAACTTTCCTGCCATGGGACTTCAGTTCTGAGTTTTAAATAGGGTAGTCTTCTAAAGGGGCTAGTCTGGGCCACTGTACTTCCGCCTGTGGTTGGGGTCAAAGCTACAGTTTGTGTCAAGCATGTTTCATCTCTATTTCTTCTGAAGCACAGACAACAGGGGCCATGGCATGTCACTGGAGGTGAAGGTAAACCTACCAGTGCAGGCACATGTTAATCCTCCACTCACATTTTATGGACTCATCTTCTATTGACCAAACACAATCGTATGGTCAAAGTCAAGAGGAGAGAAATGCTTAGCAATGAGAGAATATATTATTATTTGCAGAAAAGTGAAAAATTAGGACAAATTATTGGATCTTCCACATGCATCTTCTTGTGTGAGTTGGAAGATAAAGTGTTTACTGTTAGACAAGGATAAAACATTACACTTAAGTACTGAGAGACAGATGGATAAAGAGTGATCACAGTGGCATGGGCTTAACCGTTGAGTCAACTGTTCTGAGTCAGATATGGGAGACAGAAATGACCAAGACAGTGGCACTGGCTTAAAGGAGTACAGTTCCGTGCATTTGAACATGATATCATGATGTAAGGTATCTAGAAAGTGGATATCTATAAGAGAAGGGCACCAATTTGTACCCAAGTATGGAAAACTGGAAGCAGATTGAGGTTTGCGAAGAGTGTAGAACTCAAGTCACAAGGCCAGCCTTGGAATATGAAGTCTGCCTTCATCAAATAACACTTCTGAGACTCAGTGTCTTCCACCTGAATGTCCCAGAAAACAGTACAATCTAAGTAACGTGGCTCTTTAAGATTCCCCTGACATAAGGCAGAATTAAGTTTGATGAAGGAACTGGCAAATTATAGTGATGATAATGAGAACCCTACAGCTTAATGAATTTGTCAAAGTTACTTAGAGTCAACAGAAGATCCCAAATGTGAAACTGATTCCTCTTGATGCCTTTAAACAGGTAAAGGATCCAATTAGGAACTCTTGATAATTCTAGAAAATTCCATTTCTTCTGCCTGCTGGAAATTTTCTTTACATGACCTTCAAGACAGAACATGAGTGGTTTATTACACATCTTCTGCTACATTGGGCTATAAACCTATGCTACACAGACCCTCCTACTATAATTTGGTGCAAGCCATCCCATATCACTTTGTCATTTGGTTACCAACCTTGTTACGTTGGACAATACAGTACTTGCTTACAGACCGGTGATAATAATGTTGTCCTGCAACAGATAGCTGCCTCTAACACAGTTCCTTAAACATTTGCCCAAACCATTCAGAAACACTGGAATTTTTTTGTTATAATGTTCTGGAGTCTGGCTGGCGATTATTCAATCACTGTTGTCACCAACCTAAATCAATGTTGCATGCAGTGGAATAAATAACTTGGCATAATGAACTGTTTCATGCATTTTTGTAAGAAGCTTGTCTAACTTCAACCATTTCTTCCACTTAAAAGTGACTTTGAAATTGAGCACCATTGCATAATTTTGTGACAGCTGACTTACATTTTTGAGGTCAGATATTTAGAAATAACTAACCTTGCATGAGGATGACAAGAAATGTTATAAATGAAGACAGAAAAATGCCACCTTTCCCATTTCACGTGCCTCCTACACATCCAACAGCTAGTTACATTGTCTCATTTTCTCAGCACTTTTTTTTCCCCAGCATAGAAACAAATTGGAGATGATAGACAATACTCTCTTGGCAAGTTCCAAAAGGATGTGAAATTTCAATGTCATGTATAGTCCAAGACCCCTATTTTCATGTGTTCATGATATAAATTTCAGCCGATAAAATCAGCATTAATAAATAGATTTATACATGAAACTGAATATTTTCTAAAAATCACATTTCATTGTGCTCTTACTGAATTGGGGAAAAGAGTGGTTGTGTGAAAGAAAGAAAATATGTGTATATTTTCAGCTACCATGTCTTATTATTAAAAGTGTATCTTCCCATTGGAAAATAAACATGTGGGAGAAAAGTCTATGTTGTATTGTAGCATAAAAAATAATTACAGTCAAGTCAGGTAATTATTGTCATAAGATAGAAATCTTCAACTATAAAAGGAATCTTAGAAAGTATTTTATTCAACCCAGTTAATATACGCATGAGAAAGCTGAGAACAAGAATTGTGTTATGTTTTTACTCACAGTTCTCACGTTTTTAATTTCCTAACTGTGTATTTTTCAAACAGATATGTCTATGCTTCATAGTGCGTGGGAAATTCCACATCAAAGTAAATCAATTAGTAAATACAGAGAAAACAAAGGAGAAAAAGAGTCTTCCCTGAAGTATATTTCAGGGATTTCAATAATCTCATGTATAACGCAAATCTATAAATCTTATGAGATCCCTATGCCTCCTCCTGCCTCTCTCCCTCAGAGCAGCTCCTGAAATGAGTGTTTTGGGCAACGCAATGTAGAAAGCATTACGTACCACATGCCCCTAACTCTATCACGGCCCCCTCTGAATAGAGACAGTTGTCAATGAGCTGATATTATTTGTTCCCCTTCAATATGTGTCTCCAGATGGGTCCATTATTACGGATAGACAGAAAATGCCTGCAATCTACAATATTTTTCTGTGTCAGGGCTAATTGCATGGACTCCAAATATTTCACTAGGAAATCATATACCAGTTCTAGAATATAATTTCTGCAGATGTGCTTAACTCTTAATTTGGTAAAAAACCCTGTTGTTTCTATAAAATTAATATAAAAATGGAACAAATTCAATAGGAAGAGGAATATATACAACTTTAGAATGAAAAAGGAATTATATATTTATACCTTCCTGTGGAAATACATCATGATGTAGTGGGTGGCTATATTAAATTTCATGGCTTCTTTCTCTCTCTCTCTCTCTCTCTCTCTCTCTATATATATATATATATATATATATATACACACACACATATTAATATATACTCATACATGCACATATATTCATTGATTTATATACACAAATTTATTTGCTATTTATATCCATAGCTATATTTATATATCTATATATATCTATAGATACCCCAGTGCTATAATACATGTGTATAAATCTATCATCCTATTATCTATCTATTCATATTATCTATCTATCTGTCTACCTACATATCTAGTATTTCACAAATAAGGGAAAAGGGTTTGGGTTCAGATACTCACCTCATCAGCTCGACATCAATAGGGAGTTGGTCTCTATGCATTTAGTCTCCAAATCTCATTTTTTATCTTCAATACTGTCTTGGATCCAGATCCATCAATCTCATTAATCTATTCCTAGTACTAGGTACCTTTACAATACCAGTACCTGTTGAGGAATAACACATTGTTTAATACACATGTTGTTAGAGTCCCAAAGAAAAAGGAGAGAAAAAATTTTTAAAATGGCATAAAAAACTGAGAACACAAATATTTGAAAAGAGACAAGTAAGTTACGTCATACAAATATTGATGTCCCTGAAGAAAAGAACAAATAACAAAAATTACACTTTTGGTTATGTCCAAATTGGCTTGATGTCCAGTTTCTTCCTGTTCACCATGTACTAAAAGCACTAATAACAAAACAACAGCCTTAAATCAAAAATTGATTTTGTTTAGAAGGGGAAAGCATGATAACCCACGATTACGTAGAGAACGCTGAGTAAGTACCACTTCATTGCAAGCACAGTGCTAATTTGAAAGAAGGAGACATTTTAAAATAGTTCTATAAAATCGCTTAAGTGATTTTGCCCACTTCTAATACATTTCATAATGGTGTCTGAGAACATAAATACGCATCCAATTATGATAAATTCCTGGATGCTTTCTTCACAAAACTAAAGTTCCCTAATCACACCCACTTGAAATGGAAAATCAACGTGTTGTGAGATGCCACTTATTCAACTTCCCTTTTCAAAGGACCCATAGTCCACTGAATTTTTGTCAAAATCTAAATTGCCAGGAAAATGTATGGAACTATTATCATGGGTCAGATTTCCCTGAGAAGATATCGCAGTAGACTTTACCTATCTATGTAGCTTTTGTTTAACTAGAGTCATGACTCGTTCTTTGGACGGAAGCTTAGGATCAATTATTCAAGCCAACGAGTTCCATCTAAAAAACGCACTTCAATAAATAACATCTCACAATACGTTCATGTTCCGTTTAACTGGATGTGATTATGGGACTTTAGTTTTGTGAAGGAAGAATCCACAAAATTATTGTAATTGGATGCTTATTTACTTTCTCAGACACCATCATGGAATTTACTAAACGTGGACAAAATCACTTGAAGCAATTTTAAAAATCTTTTTTAAAATTCTGTACTTCATCTGAATTCTTTTCTCTCTCTCTGTGTGTGTGTGTGTGTGTGTGTGTGTGTGTGTGTAAACATACGCCTTTTTTTAAATTTCCATTTCACATTGGTTTTCCTATTAGTTCTGTTTCTGAATTTAATTAACATTTTACATGTCTTAATTTCTTTCCTGGATTTCAGTAATTTTGTCTTATTAGCACTTCAAAGTCAGACTCAGAACTCGAAGCAGAGGACTTAATTGCATGAGTAGTTAATTTCCTATTACAGACAAACTCATACATAGTAAGTGGTCTTTTAAGTAAGTAACCTTTTAAATGTTCTCAGGAAAATTAGAGTGTGAATGTCTTAAAACCATTTTTACATATTAATTTTCTCTAAACTTCCATGAAATAATAAAAGAAGTTAAAATAATATATTTGCTTTCATTCAAATAAATTAAAACGATGCCTTTGTTAATATGCTGAACTTTTTAAGATTGTACATCTATTTTCCTGAGACTTGGAAACTGAAGGTATTTATCCCAATTCAGGTTTGATGAGGTTTGCTACATTGCATTTTCATTTATTTGTCTTTTCTGGAAGAGAGCGCAACAAAATTTTCTCCTTAAAACAATAGGCAATATATTCAATTTTAAGGAATTTTCTTCAGTAAATGATGGGGATATTTCAGGTTTTCAATAAGGTCATTTACTACCATATGGTTTCTAAAGAGAATACTTCAACCTCCTTAATATCTAGCAATAGAGGACTGGATAAATTATTTATAATCTATCTATATATTTCATCTATTACTTTGACAATACTGATTGTTGCTATTATTCATCAATTGAAAGAACACATTTTAAAAATGTGTGGAATATATAAATATTTTTAAAATCAGTATAATACGTATTTCAACCCACAGAGAACAACTGGTGGTATATAAAACAAAATGTTAAGAGCAGTTATCTCTAGGCAGTAAAGAAAGGTTATTTTATTCTTTGGGATTTTTGGTGCTTTGCAGATTTTTTTTTTTTTTTTTAAGAGACAGGGTCTCTTGCTCTATGTCGCAGGCTGGAGTGCAGTGGTGCAGTCACGGTTCACTGCAGGCTCGACCTCCTGGGCTCAAGCGATCCTTTCTGGCCTTAGTCTCTGGAGTAGCTGGTACTATGGGTACTATAGATACACTGTTATTGTTATTATTGTGGATACAGTGTCTTGCTATGTTGTCCAGGCTAGCTTTGTAGATTTTTTGACAATGTTTGTTTGCTTATGAGATGAAATAACATTAATAATAAGCATTTAAAAATGTACATTGTCACTATTTTGAACAGCTTCATGCTAGAAGATAGCTACGGAATTATGAGTCTGGAAACATAGGATAGTATATTATAATTTATATATAATTATGGTAAGATCCATTTTTTTTTTAGTGTTTTCATAATCAACTTTGTCTTTTCCTTCCAGGTCAATAACGACTGGAGTGTGATGGAGAGGAAGAGACAGTACACGGTTGAAATTTTTCCTGATGAAAGGTAAGGAAAGAAAAACCAGGGTCATATCAGACTTAGATAAATCAGGGAGAAGAGGTAACAATTAACTTAATCTAGATGACAAAGCTTATTAACTTGAAAAATCACTCCCTTAGCTCTTTTTATTTCTTGCTTTCATTAATATTCCTTTGGACTTCCTATCTTACACAGGATCCGTGTGGCCTCCAGAATACCCTTTAAGTAGGCATTGAATGGTAGCCAGTGAATATGGCCCATGATGTTTACTTAAAAAAAAATCACAAAGACTTGGGAGAATCTGAAGTGTAGGATTTATGTTTTATGGATGCTGTGGTGGGAACTGGGGAGATGCTAACTGATTGCCTCTTCAGAGTGACACATTCATTCTCCATCTTCTGGAAATTTCTGCCACTGAATGCTCCCAGATTCCTCCTTTTCTGGGAAATGCGTTAAACTGCAGCCTTCCCTAAGCTTAGAAAATCCTCACTTGATGGACCTTGGCCAGTTATTGATTGGTGTGGGGTTTGAAGCCATTGGCCACTTAACTTCAATTTAAGAAAATTCTGATGCACCATCCTAACTCCAGAGCTCCCTCACAGGTAGGCTGATGTCTCTGTTGCAACCATATTGCAGGACAGCTTCTCCTTCAGTCCAATCTGACTTTCTTTCTTTTTTAGTTGCACTTGTATTTCCCAAAAACACTCTCCAGAAAGCTTTCTGCACACAACCCTCTGTCGCTGAGTCTGTTTCTAGGGAACCAGTTTTAAGACAATTGTTAAATATAAAATTGATTCAGAGCAGGTGCAAGGCGTGGGAAAGTGTGTGGGTGTGGGGGGTTGGGTGGGTTACCCAAAGAATTAACGATGTAAAAATTGAGATGGAGTTAAGAAGTAGGAACACGTTAGGGTGCCTTTCCAACCATTCCCTGAAGCATCAGCACATTAACCCTGAGTAATTAGCACATTGCTAGTTAGGAAGAGGACACAGCAGAGGATAAAATGCCTTTAGGTTAGAAGTGTTCATAATATCACAAAGGCATGACTTTTTGGGTCATGGGATAATTTTGTGATGTTGGCCAGTAATAAGAGTAATTATTATTATTCCTCCAATCACAGTTACAATTTATTCCGGGCTTAGGATGTGCCAGACTGTTCTAGGTACTTTGCCAGCTTTTTGTCTTCATAAAAAACAAACAAACAAACAAAACAAACCTCTGAGGTAGGTACAATTATAAGTTGCTTTTTTTAGAGATGCAAAAACTGTGGTATAGAAAGATTAAGAAATTTCCCTTCAATTGCATAGACTCCAGTTTCAGGAAGATGCAATAGAATTTTTTCCGATAATTAGGATAATTACAAAACATCATTAGGAGGTATAATTGGCTATTCACGTAATGTTACTCTTAATATTACTGATTTATTGAGATTATGTTATGTGCCAAGCACTGTACTAAGAACATTTGTATACATTTTTCATTTAAGCTTCATCAACTATTTTTTAGCATATGGGGAAACAGTTTTCATAGAAGTGAGGACACTGTGTAGCTGCCTAGAGGCAAAATCAGAACTCGGGCATTCTGGCCCCAGAGCTTGTGGTTTTGCACACTATTATAGTTCATCCACTTCCTTGGCAAAATCAAATCTGTAGACAGTGATTTCATTGTTAGGTAATACTTTCATTGTTGACAGTTCATGCCAGGGTCCATGGGTCTTCCCTTTGTCCAGGTGTTCTTCATGACTGATACAATTCATGCATGTCTGTCTTAACTTTAGAATTTCTAACAAGACACCTAGGAAATGAAATATAATGCATATATAGACAGCTGAGTCATGCGATGTCTCAACTATCACTGAAATCAAATATTGCATTCTATTCCAATGGGATGATGCCATTATTTTGGAACTTTTCATTGTGAAAAAAGACAAATACAAAATGAACTTCCAAGGCACTGTCACATATCTCTGAAAGTTAGTATCCTATGCAGACTTTAATCTCCTAACCACCCCCACATCCAATTCCCATACCCATTATCCCCAGTTTACTTTGAGGCACATCTCACAATCATATTTCAAAAATTAAAATATGAAATATTGCAGTATGGATGGACATAGATTTAAAAGGTCAAGATTCTTCCGTTGAGGTAATTTTTCAAATTTACTATAAATGTTCTTCTCCTCCACGCCCTCCTCTTCCTCCTTCCCCTCTTTTTCCTTCTTTTCCTCCTCCTTCTCACCCTTCTTTTTATTCTTCTTTATTTACTCCCATTTCTTCTTCTCTTCTTCCTCTGCCTCATCCTCCTCATTCTTCTTCTGTCTTCCTCCTCCCCCTTCCCTCCTGTTTCTGCTTCTGCTTTATATTTGTAGTTTTTCTTCTTCTCTCCCTTCCTCTCCCAGCCTCCTCTTTCTCCATTAACTTCCTATTTTTTCATCTTGTTCTTATAAGTTTTGTTTGAATCAGTATCCTACAAGGTCTACACATCACATTTGTTTACTATGCCCCCATTTTTGTCTTCCTATTTTTTGGTGTTGAATAAAAACTGAGTCCCTGTGTTACTGACAGCAAATCCGTATGGGTCTGCAGCAACCTTAATTCTTGACTCCTCAGAAGAAAGAATTAGATTGAGAAGCATAAGGCAGAGCGAGAGAGAGATCAAGGCAAGTTCTAGAGCAGGAGTGAAAGTTTATTAAAAAGCTTTAGAGCAGAAACGAAAGAAAGTAAAGTACAGTTGGAAAAGGGCCAAGCAGGCGACTTGAGAGATCAAGTGCACGGTTTGACCTTTTGACATGGGGTTGTATACGTTGGCATGCTTCCATGCTCTTATGTCCTTTCTTTTTTTGATTTTTTCCTTTGGGTGGGCTGTCCGCATGCACAGTGGCCTGCCAGCAGTTGGGACGTGAGCATGTGCGGTGTGTTTCCTGGAGTTGTATGCATGCTCACTTGAGGCGTTATTCCCTTACCAGTTGAGTGTCCCTAGGAGATCATATACCAGTTAAACTCCACAATTTTGTGTCTTAATGTGCATGCTTGAGCCTACTCATGCAACTCCTGAGATCTTATCAGAAAGCTGCTGATCACTCATTTCAGGTGTTTCTGTTTATTGGAAGACTGCCTTTCCCTGGTGCTGGCTGTGACCAATTATTATTCTAGAGAGACAGTTATCAACCATCTGATCATTATCTGATGATGGGGGTTGTTCCTGGTGGGGGGGGCCCTCTCCTGCCCTGCTCCTGTCTGCCTAACTACCTGCTATAACTCCTGGCGCCCTGTGGTGACATTCACTGTACTTCTTCATCCCTATAGTTCCTCCAAGCTGGAACTTCATCTAGAATTTTTATCAGATTCAAGTCTTAATGTTTAGCAGCAGAACCGTCTCATAATTGGTGCTGAGTTCTTCCACCAGCAACTACATAATGCCTGTTTGTCTCTCTTTGGGGGAAGCTAAAAAGTTAATGATCATTGATGAGATCTGTCTTCATAAGGAGTTGCAAAATGGTGATAGCGTAATTATATACATATTTCTTTGTTTGGTTGGAATTCTTCTTTAAAGTGAAAATTTCCTTCATCAGCTGTGTGGTTCCTAAGAATTCAAGACTATCCAGAACTATAGGATGGTGTTTATAGGACACAACAGCTGACTTGAATGGACTCCCACTGGCTAAAGATGACACACTTTGACCGTCAGTAAGAATGATAATTTAAATGCATTTCAATACATCAAGTTTGATAAAAGACACGAGTTCCCAATGATGTTAAAGATATGCACATTAATTGTCTTTAGAAAATAGTTGGGAATCATTTCATTACTTTGTGAACTGAAAAAAAAAACCAAAAAGAAATCATGTGTCCTACTTTTCCTTAATAAACGCTTGATCAGATTAATCAATAACATTTTTAAAAATATGTTTTTATGGAATCACTTATGAGATACATGTTGTATAAAAACAGATCTTCAGTTTTCTGTATAAATCTTTAAGCCTCTGATATATATAATGTTACTATAATGTGTTCATCGTACAACAAAAAATGAGGAAAGAGACCATGCTGGATTTTGACATTGGCACATAAACCACTGGGCTGTTTCTTGACATGCAACTACAACAGCTGGTCAATGTTGTGTTTTGTGTGCCTGGAGGAAGATATATTCCCTACTTTATTGACTGGTGATGCATAGTACACATCTTTGAGTATAACTTCAGAAGAAATAAAAGATAATTTATCAAAGGATATTAACTTCTCAATACCTGTGGTGTGAGTTATCTCCTAATGATTCTCATGCCTCTAATATATGAGATAAATTCAACAAAATTGAGGTGAAATGAAAGAATTCAAAGAATTGTGATAAAGTTAGGCGAATATGAAATTATAATAACTATCTTAAAATACAAACAGAATGATTTCAGCTCTCATGATTTTAATTTACAACTTTATTTGTTATGTGGCGCAATAGTTTCTAATTTAATTAGACACAAAATTTTGTCTCAGACACAAAATGAGCCACAATGGTAATTTTTGCTTGGGACATCAATTAAAGGAATCTTTCTTTAACACTAACGTATATTTTACATCAAAAGGAAAAGAATACAATGGTGGAAGTTTGGGAATATCACTGGAACACAAGTGCCCTGAAGGTCCACAGCCCCACAGGTTGTAAATCACTGAACAGGACATGGATAATTTAATAAGATTCCAGGCAGTGTTCCCAGGGTTCATCGTTTCTCTGCTCTCCACTGAAAACACAGTGAGAGGGGAAAAAATTAGGTGGCATGAGTACAAAATATTATGCAAACACTGACTATTTAATCTACATGTCACTATTGTGATGTGAGGCATTGCTGTTTGCTAGTAGGAAAATAGATTTGAACCTTGAAATTCCTATACACTTAAATAGCCATTTAGTTTTATCATACAAAGCATCATCCATATTAATAAGGTCACCAAAATGTTGGTCCAAGCAGGAGCTACTGACGAAAGAAAAGAAAAAGCCCACTGATTCTGAAGAGTAGGCTCACTACTTCATCATATTTAGACATGGCAATTTGGATAAACAGGAATATATTTTTAAATATATCAATTCTATCTTCTAAAGAACCAACATATGAATTACAATCCCTCAGGGTTAACAGTTGGATGCTCCTGGGTTCAAAGCCCAATCTTTGCCGGGCACGGTGTCTCACACCTTTAATCCCAGCACTTTGGGAGGCCAAGGCGGGAGGATCACCTGAGGTCAGGAGTTTGAGACCAGCCTGGCCAACGTGGTGAAACCCCATCTCTACTAAAAATACAAAAATTAGCCAGGCACAGTGGCGTGCGCCTGTAGTCCCAACTACTTGAGAGGCTGAGGCAGGAGAATTGCTTGAACCCGGGAGGCAGAGGTTGCAGTGAGCCGAGATCCTGCCACTGCACTCCAGCCTGGGTGACAGAGTGAGACTCCACCTCAAAAAAAAAAAAAAAAAAAAAGCCCACCAATCTTGGCACTTACAAGCTGTGTGTTCTTGGCCAAGTTACTAAATTCTACTTATTTTTTTGGGCCATTCTGAGAATTAGAGCTAATGAAGCTAACATTTTTGGCACAAAGGTGGGTATTTAATAAACAATAGCTCTTATTCTGAGACTAAGTCATGGGGCTAGCAAAGTTTTCGAAATGCATCCCCAAACATAGCTTTATGGTGCCCTTCACTGCCATGCATTAGTTTAACCATGCGTTTATTTATTCACACATTTGTAAAGTAAGTTTAAGCACTGTCCTCTATCTGAGCTTAGAGATCATTAACAAATGCATGTATTTTAGGAGAGCACATTCTATTGGGAGAGAAAGATGAAACGTCTAACAGTGAATTAAGAGAGCTAGAGACTAGATGGGAGTGGAGGTGTGGATTCAAAATGATGCATGTCAATGGGTGAACGTCTACTAACAACCCAGCCAAAGTTCAGTGTGGTGATAAATACTCAGTAAAAGATGGGTATTAATCCCAGGGATATGGGAGTCCAAAACAGGAGGATCACTTGAGGCCAGGAGTTTGAGACCAGCCTGGGCAACATAGCAACACCCTGTCTCCACACGAAATTTTAACAAAAATTTACTGGGCATGGTAGCACATGCCTGTAATCCCAGCTACTTGGAAGGCTGAGGTGGAAGGATCTCTTGAGCCCAGGAGGCCGAGGCTGCAGTGAGCTATGATTGCGCCATTGCACTCCAGCCTGGACAACACAATGAGACCCCGACTCAAAACATAATAACAAAAAAAATGGAGAGTTTTGGGCAACCTAATGTCAGAAGTGATATCCCATCACTTTGCCCATATCCAATTTTTTAGAAGCAGGTCACTAAGGCCATCCCAAGCCAGTGAGATCTCCTGTACCTCCTCATTTTGTTTCCAAGAAGTTGCCTGTTGCCTCACGAAAGGATCAGCAAAATAAATATGTGTTGGTTGGCTAAAACGAATGTAAATCTGGAATTAAGGCAGGATGCAAGTGCTGGTGTCTATGGGATAATAATAATAATGAAAATGATAATGATAACACTTATATAATACTTGTCAGCAGCCAGGCATTGTTCTAAACACTTTACATATTTACTCATCTAATCCTCACAAGAGTCCTGTAAGGGAGTTAGTATATTATTCACATTTTGCAGATGAGAACAATGAGAAACAAAATGGTTGAGTCAGTGGCTTGAACTCACCCTAGCAGCATGCCTTGAATACATGATTTGAACCCCAAGAGGGTTGCAGTCAATGTCTGTAGACTTAACCAATAGCAGCTCTCAGAAATAGGCAAGATGCTGAACTATTTTAGCAGTAAATCAACAACTCAAAATATAAATGTTATTAGCTGCCTTAATGTAAATACAATGCATTAATAAATACTGTTTTACTTTGAAGAATTTCCCCTTTAGAAAATTTAAAAGAAAACAAAAACAATCAAAGTCACACATACTAGGAACTCTCTGAAACTTTCCCTTCACCCCTCCAAATGAGGCAAGTCCACTGAAATCCTGTGGCATGTGTTTCTCATATCCTTTGCTCCCCCTTTCTAATTATATCAATTTGTCCGCTCCTAGTACCTCTCAGAAGTTAATCTAGAACTCCTTTTGTCCTTTACATCGGAGACAGAGAATTTTGTTGAGAAAGTAACAGAGTATCTAGTCAATCTTGCAGAAAGTAGGGCAGATTGGCTTAAAGTTCAACCTTGAGTATCTGTCTGTGGTCTGTGTCCTGGAACTTTCATTTTATTACTTCTACAGCATTAGCTAGTTACTTACACTTCTGGAGCTTCAGTTTCCTACATCTGAATGTTGCTCTGACATTTAGTTCTCCAAATGCACATATAAAACCCCCAGCTCCTAAACATAGAATGACCACGTGACGTAGCAATTCCACTCCAAAAAATTTAGTATTTAAATCCAAAAGATTTAAAGACAGAAACTCAGATACTTGTAAGCCAATGCCCATTGCAGCAGTGTTCACAATGACTAGAAGGTAGAAAAAACCCACATATCTATAGAAAGATGAATGGATAAACAAATTGTGTTGTATACATATAGTGGAATATTATTCAGCCATGAAAAGGAAGGGAGCTCAGATATCTTCTACAACATAAATGAGCCTTGATGACATGCTAAATGAAATAAGCCAACCACAATAGGACACATATTGCTTGGTTTCACTTACATGAGGTACCTAGAGCAGTCAAATTTATAGAGACGGAAAGTAGGACGGTGGGTGCCAGGTGCTGAGGGGAGGGGAAAAAATGAAGAGTTACTGTACTCTGGGTATAGAGTGATAAAACTGTTTTTGGAAATAGAAGGTGGTATTGGCTGCACCACAGTATGAATGTAATTAATGCCACCAAATTGCACTCTTAAAAGTGGTTGAAATTGCTATATATACAATTAGCAATTTCAACCACTTATATATATACTTATTTATTTTATATTATTTACTATATTATATATTTACATAGTGTTACATATTAATATATAATGTAATGTATTATATTATGTATTAGTTATTTATATGCACATATATATACATCTAAAATTAAAAAAAATCAGATCCACCTACTCATGTCATCAATTGTAGTTGTTAATGTTCTTTAATGTAGGTGGACAATCCACGTAAGATACTAAAAAAACAGGGTGAGAGATGGCTAAGAAGAGCAATGCATTATTTAAATGAGTGTTAATGAAACATCTGGGTTAGAGAGGTCATCCAACAGTGGCTCGTTTTGCTGTGGTCTTCAACAGTCAAGAAGAGCATGATTCTTAAGTCATAGAATGCACTTGTTCTCCAGTGGCATCTCCTGGCCCACCTAAGCCCCTGGATTCATGACAGCAAGAGGAATTGCAGCCAACCAGGTGTGCTGAGAAGACATTGCATGAATAAATTACAGTGTGTTGCTTATTTGGACCTTTTGTCACAAGGAAGACCAAACATGAAGGAGGGAAGTGAATTTAAAAGGCTCCAACTATGTTGTTGGGTCTTTTCCATAAACTTAAAAGTGGCTGAAGAGGAGTCATGTTCATTGCTTCCTACATTGGCCGGGAACATTGGCACCTCTTTTCTCCACTTTGGCTGCACGATCGAATCACCTAGAAAGATTTTGCAGAGCCTCATGTCTAAGCTCACCCAGGACCTGTTAAGCCACAGTCGTAGGGATTGGAATCTTGGCCTCAGTATTTTTAAAGCTTTACAAATGATGCTGACCAGGCGTGGCGGCTCAAGCCTGTAATTCCAGCACTTTGGGAGGCCGAGGTGGGTGGATTGCTTGAGCCCAGGAGTTCAAGACCAGCCTGGGCAACATAGTGTAAAACCCCGTCTCTATTAAAAAAATAAAATAGATAACTAAAAATAGCAGGATGTGGTGACAGAGGCCTGTAGTCCCAGCTACTTGGGAGGCTGAGGTGGGAAAATCACCTGAGCCCAGGAGGTCAAGGCTGCAGTGAGCTGTGATCATGGCACTGCACTCCAGCCTGGGCAACGGGAGTGAGATCCTGTCTCAAAACAACAACAGCAAGCAAATGATGCTATATGCAGCCATGGTTGGGAATTGCCATACTCAATGCCAATAATGTCAAGTTACTGGTGATAATCTCTGAAGTTAATTAAATGTTTTAACTGTAAAAATAATCTCAAAACCCAAGTTTATGTGACACTAAATCCAGGCACATTTACTAGAGTGCAAAAGATGTTATTTTGCACAAAGGCTGTGATCACTCCAGGATTGGCCAGTTCCTTAATGTCAGGTTCCTGATCGATCTAAGACATCTAAAAAAAAAAAAGCCATTGCCCATTGCTAGCTTTTAGTATTGTTTTGTTTTGGGAGCTGGAGATTGGAAGCTGTTTAATTTGAAAATAGTGTGAGTTATATTTTATTGCAAGAATATGTGGCATAGTTTAGGGTTCAGATCTTAAATTTTTTATAACTCTTTAGACTTTTATAAAAATCCAGGAATTTATTTCATGACATAATATTGTTTGGTTTTGATTGATTTTTTTATGCCTAATTTATCAGCATATGTTTTCTTAAGTGTTGTTGCATCCAACCGAATCACTCTTCACAGGATCCCTTTACTTTTTATTGCTACATCCTGCCTGGGGGATACTTGAGCATCATTCCAAGATGCTGTGGTCTTTAGAGACCCAAAGGTTAGGTCTACTCTTGATTTATTAGCTATAGCAGTAACTGAAATGATAAACTTCCCACCATAACTAAATTGGGCACTAGTTATTTTGCATCCAGTTATGTCCTTCCTTGAAACCAAAGGATTTACTAGATAAGGGTTCTTTGGCAAGTTATATCATGTCATGAATCTCTGGTTCCAGTTTTTTATCTGTAAAGGGAATAATTAAATATATCACCCATGGCAGTATTGGGAAAATGAGAAAGGGAAGGTAGATGAAATACTTTTAGCACACTGCAAAGAGCAACGTAGTAAAAGCATTTCAATTTTGCCTCACACTGGTTCCTATTTATTTAATTGAGTGATACACTGGCAAGTGAAATCAAATTAGGAAGTGAGTTTGGACCATTCACAGTACACTGCATTGACTCTCCCTCCATAATAGCATCTGAGCAGAGTCCAAGAATAGCTTCTACTTTCTAATAAGCATAATATGGCCCAGAGAAATCAAATTTTATTAAAAAGTATAAAGTAGAGCAAATTATTTTATTACTAGAACCGATTTGATTGCTGTACTGTGAAGACTAAGCAATCCAGACATTGACACTATCCGTGCAAAGTTTTATTGTTGTTGCTGCTCAGGGCATTGATATTTCTGAGAAAGTCCATGCCTAGCGTACTGGATATTCAGGGACTGAATTTCTCCCCAGTATTTCGTCATCAGGGTGATGATCTCAAATGCTTGTATCCCATTCCCCTCAAAATGTGGGTAGAGAAAAAATGAAGGTAACCATGAATATATAAATTCATATTGTCCACTGTTTTAAAATGTAAGTGCCAGTATTTAAATAGAATAGAATAAAGGCCAATTTCATTCATATTCAAAAAGAGAGATGAAATTATCCTATATAGAGCAAGTAACAATATATTTGAACAACATACATTTATTCATCAAAGGAAACACCTTCTCAGAGGACAAAATCCCTCCACTCATAACATGTACTATTTGTCTAACTTTGTACATTGGACTTTTACTTCCAGAGAGCAGAAAAATCATACACTGTAGATTTTTCTTTTCCTCTCCCACATCAAATCCTCATATATGTCAGACACTTGTCAGGACATAAAATGTTTCAAATACCATGTTGGAAAATAATAAAAGTTGTCCTTGGTGGATTAAAAAGGACTCTGACATATGTCAAGCAGATGCCTTTTGTTTTGAACTTTGTTCTATAAGAACAGACACTGTGGAAAGAGGCCACGGTAATACAGGTATTTTGTCTATACATGAAGCAGAAGGTAAGCCAGAAAAATCTAGCAGGGAGGTCAAGGTGCAGTCAGAAAGGAAAGAATAATGAGAAGCAGGTGCACTTGCCTCCAAGTAGGAACAATAGCTGTGGAAGCTTGGGAAGGATAGTGGTAGCAGAGACCAAGGTGGATGGCAGCGCACAGAAGAGGTGGTTAGCTCTCGTGCTCAGATGAATCAGCTTCATTGGGCTTGACACCTCCAACCTGTATCCTTGCAGGCTGAATAGAAGAGGGAAACAGAGAAGGAGAGGGGGAAGGAAAGGGAAGAAAATGAAAGGGAAGAGGGGGACGAAGAGGAGAAGCAGAAGGGAAGAGAGGTAGGGGAAAGAAAGAGAGAGAGATGAGAGAGAAGAGAGAGATAAATGAAAGAGAGAGGAGAGAGAGAGGCAGGGAGACAGAGGAGAGAGAGGAAAAGAGGGAGAAAAGAGAGAGAGGAAGAGAGAGGAGAGAAGGGGAGAGAGACAGAGAGAGGAGGAGGAGAAAAGAAAGAGGAAAGACAGAGGGGAGAGAGGGAGGGAGAAAGACAGCACCACCTACATCCTGTCTCCATCCAGGCTGAATAGAAAAGGAAGAGAGATTGACAGAGAGACAGAGGGAAAAGGAGAGAGAGAGAAAGGAAGAAGAGGAAGAGGAAGAAGAAGAAGGAGGAGGAGGAGGAGGAGGAGGAGGGGCGGGGGACAAAGAGAGCAGAGGTGATCTAATGGAATTCACACACTTGGTGTACAGTGGTAAATAACCACATGCTGAAGGAAAGTGAATAGATAAAAGAGAGAAACAAATTCAACTAACTCAAAACAACATTGAACCTACGAAGCACAGATAATTGAGCAAGTTACAAAGTTTATTGGAAATATATGAATGATCCTCAAGTGTGTGATGTGATGTTGCCTTCCTTAAATAGTATTTTTAAATATCATCTAAAGATTTAAACATTTGTCTTTAGCAAACAAAAAAAAAATCTTAGGAGGTTGGGTAACTAATAAAAAATTTATAGTTGAAGGAGGGGTAAAATGGAGTGTAAGTTTTTGCTGAAGAACATTCTCAGAATTCAGCCCAGAAGGCATGAATTTGAAAAGTAGAAGTAGAAATGAAGAGATATACATTAAATCCACAGTTTGCAAAATATCTGCATTAATAGTTCTAGAAAGAGATACTAGAAAGTACAGTGGGAGTTAATAATTAGAGAATCAAATAATATACACTTCTGTAGAAGTAAAGAAAAGCATAAAGAATGGACTTAGTGCCCAGTGTGATAAATACCTAAGTAAATAAGTAAGTCACACATATTGTTGTGGAATTTCAGAAGTAGTAGAATAACAACAACATCAAAAAAATACCAAAAGGTTTTCGTATGGGAAAATTATCTATAAAACCACAGAATCATCATTAGATTTATTTTCTGTGACACTAGCTTAAATATGTTTTAAACAATTAAGGGAAAATAAAATATGGCAATGATAGCCCTTATTTTTTCAAATTATTGTTAGCATTAAATAGGTTGATAATTTAAATATTTTAGTTTCCTGCCACGGAATAAATCAGAGTGAATTTTCTCTCTCTCTCTGTCTCACTCTCTCTCTCTCTCACACACACACACACACACACACACACACACACACACACTTTACTATTTTAGATCTGTTAAAAACCTCAATATGAAAAACATGGAATACATAACAATAATGAAAGAAGAGATGATGTTATAATCTTGAAGGCAGAGAAACTCCTCTTTAAAAAGGCTGCAATAACCAAAAGCTACTCATGAAAATATTGAATCATTTGGTTACCTCAACATTAAAAACTCACAACAAACTACAGTTATGTGTTGCTTAACAACAGGGCTATGTTCTGATAAATGTGTCATTAGGCAATTTAATCATCTTTGTGTGAACATCACAGAGTGTACTTACACAAATCTAGGTGGTATAGCCTACTACACACCTCGCCTACATGGTACAGCCTATTGCCCCGAGGCTACAAACCTATGCAAAATGTTACTGTACTGAATATTGTAGGCAACCATAACACAGTGGCAAATATTTGTGTATGTATCTAAACACAGAAAAGGTACAGTAGAAACGTGGTTTTATAATCTCATGGGAACAGTGTGGAATTGTGGCTCATCAATGACTGAAATATTGTTATGCAGTACCTGACTGTATGTCCAGAATCTATGCTTAAAAACCTCCTCACAATACAAAGGAAGCCACTAATGAAAAAAATTATCAAAATATGATCAATTTATTCGGGATTACAAAAATACAAATTAAATACTAAATGCTACTTAACCTTATTATTAATAAGGGAAGCACAATTTTCTCTCATCAGATTAGCAAACATTTCAAAAGTACGATAAAATCAGGCCTGGAGTAGGGAATTAAGTGCTTGGTGTAAATGCAAATTTGCTGATATTTTTGAGGTTAATTTGGTAGAAGCTATTATAGTTAAACAAAATCAGTTTCTCTGATTCAGCAATTCTATTTCTCATGGCCCATTTTAGAAAAACATGCTCCAAGAAGCATGTGTAAAGATATGCTTCATGGCTTTGCTTCTAACAGTGCATGCCTTGGAATGACATAGACACCCACAGGAAGGACAAAGGCAAAATGCAACATGGCAGGGAACATTATACAGCAGATAAAATGATAACGCATGCTTATGTACTGTGGTGGAGAAGGAATTTTAAGGGTTATGTTGGGAAATAAGCTGTTGCAGAATAAACGCAGCTTTGCGTATGACACACACAAAAACAATCAGTAACCACAGAATTACTTTAGTATTTCTTTTTTTCTCAATGTAATTTATAGATTCACAGACTTCCATATTTCTTTGGTGTGAATTTTTGATAGGAGATAGATAGATAATATATTAGATAAGTAGATAGATGATAGATAGACAGAGATAGATGATAGAGTAGATAGGTAGATAGATGATAGATAGATGATAGAGTAGATAGGTAGATAGATGATAGAATGCATAGATAGATAGAGAGTGGATGGTTGCATGAATAGATGGATGGGTGAATAGATAGGTGTTAAGGATAGATTCATAGAGAGATATACCACTAGATAATAGGTATAGAGATAAATATTAGATACATAGATATGTAGATAATAGAATTAAGTAGAGTACATGTATAAATGGATAAATAGATGTATAGACAGATGTTAAAGATAGATGGATGGAAAGATGTACAGAAAGATAAAAGGTATGTATGGATATATACATTTGATAGATGGATAGGTAGATATTCATAACTACAGAAATGCTGCTCCAGCATGAGACATATCAAATTGATAATGGTGTTTACTTTTGGAGAGGGATTTATAATTAGACATGATGATTCAGTGTGCCTTAGGATTATCTATAATTTTGGACCTTTCACAAACAGAATCGGTCCACGTATTACTTGTGAAATTAAAAGTTAACTTTGTTAAAGGTTATACCTGATCAAGTCCTCCATGAAAAAAAAACTTACTTCAAATCTATGAGGATTTATGTGCTGTGTAAGCAAAGCTTAGGAACTCTACAATGGAGAGAGACCCAATCTATTAGATTGGGATCTGCAGAGAAACAGAACCAAAGAAGTTTCTTGGAAGGCATGGGTTCATGTGACTGTAGCGGCTGGCACATCCAAAAGCTAGGGCAAGGCTGCGGGCTGGGGATTCAGGCATGAAGTGATGCTGCAGTCTTGAGGCGGAATTTCTTATTATTCACAAAACCTGTTTTTGCTCTTAAGGACTTTCAACTATTATTGGATGAGACTCACTCCCATTATCCTCCTAAAGTCAACCGATTGTGGTTGTTAATGACATCCACAAAAGTCCTTCACAGCCACACCTATATTAGTGTTTGATTAAGGAGCTGAGTGTTATGGCCAAGCCAAGTTGGCACAGAAAGCTAACGTTTCATGCAGCATACTCCTGCTCCAACAAAGCACAGATGATTGCAGATTGGGGCATACAAAATTAGAATCTCCATAGCACCAAGACCATCTGGTTCCTTTTGTTTCCATTTTATTCTCTTTAAACACACCTGCAATTACAGCATCAACATTCCAGTTATTTTGAAGACGTGGAAAATTCACGGAAGGATATTTTGTTGGGTGTGCACCTCTCCTCCGGGTTCAATTTCTGTATGAGTTCCGTCTTCCTTTCCACTCACTTTGGCATCTGAGGAAGTGCAGGGGAATGAACAAAGTTGGTTTTCCAGACTTGCAACCTGGGACTCAGAACCAGGTCCCTGGAAGACTCACTAAGATATGAGCACCTTTTATGTGCGTCCTTGGATGCCAGCCATGCTGAGTAACACTTCAATTACAACATGCTTCAAGAAACTCAATTATATCACCACTTGAAACAAGAAGGCAGATTATTTCCTGCTACTAAGTAGTTAAAATTTACTTGTTAAAATCGAAATGTTAATATTCCCAGAAAAACTTCTTTGATACTTTAGCAATTAATTCCCTGAACTTTTTCTGTTTTTTTGACTCTGTCCTTTTACATAATTACACCTATACCCAGTACATGTCTGATTCTCCTCATCTCAGCTCTGAATTATTATTTATTCTGCAACCCCATGACACCACTTTTTGTGCATACCTGCCACTTTGAAATTTCTCTAGAGTAGGCAAATGACACACCACAATTCCACATTTTATCACTAGATTTCTGAGAAGAGCCAGGTCATTCAAAGATAGATCCTACCACTAGATTTTTATATATTTTTTAAAATGGTCAAATTTGAAGTATTTTTTCTTAGTTTGCATTGATACTTTTATAATAGTATTTCTCTTCTTAGACATACTACCTAATGTTGACCTATTTATGTTTCACCCTTGAACAAGAGTCAAGAGTAATTTTTCAAATTTTGATTATTTCATAAAATAGATATATCAATGCAGTAATGTTTCCTTTTTAAATGGCAAGAAACAAATCATTTTGCATATATATACTGAGGAGAGTAAAGATCACTTGATGACCATCTGGAGGCAAAACCCCTTATCTGAGGCATTCAAGAAGAAATTTATAAGTAACTAGAATTTCTATACATCTCTAGAATGTACGCATGTCCAAACCCATTGTGCAACCTTTGCTGACATCAAGGCACCAAAATGTCTACGTAACAAATATGGCTGGAATTATCCTTCAGCTCCTGCTCCAAGGTCCGTAAGTAACCCTAAAGAAAATCCACCACAGTGCACTGGGTCCTCCCTTGCCGAAGCTCACCCCTCTTCACTCTGCTGCAGTGTTCTTTCTAATACAACTTTCTTTTTCAAACCTATACCGTTGTCTGTAAATTCTTTTTACCACCTGTGAGCCAACCACTCTGCTACAGGGGCCTCTGACACCTTGCACGGGCATATATAAAACATTTTAAAATATATGTGTGTGTGCATGAAAAAATGCTCATCATCACTGGCCATCAGAGAAATGCAAATCAAAACCACAATGAGATACCGTGTCACACCAGTTAGAATGGCGATCATTAAAAAGTCAGGAAACAGCAGGTGCTGGAGAGGATGTGGAGAAATAGGAACATTTTTACACTGTTGGTGGGACTGTAAACTAGTTCAACCATTGTGGAAGACAGTGTGGAGATTCCTGAGGGATCTAGAACTAGAAACACCATTTGACCCAGCCATCCCATTACTGGTCATATACCCAAAGGACTATAAATCATGCTGCTATAAAGACATATGCACATGTATGTTTATTGCGGCATGATTCACAATAGCAAAGACTTGGAACCAACCCAAATGTCCATCAATGATAGACTGGATTAAGAAAATGTGGCACATAGACACCATGGAATACTATGCAGACATAAAAAAGGATGAGTTCATGTCCTTTGTAGGGACATGGATGAAACTGGAAACCATCATTCTGAGCAAACTATCACAAGGACAGAAAACCAAACACTGCATGTTCTCACTCATAGTTGGGAATTGAACAATGAGAACACATGGACACAGGAAGGGGAACATCACACACCGGGGCCTGTCGTGGGGTGGGAGGAGGCAAGAGGGATAGCATTAGGAGATATACCTAATGTAAATGACGAGTTAGTGTGTGCAGCAAACCAACATGGCACATGTATACATATGTAACAAACTTGCACGTTGTGCACATGTACCCTAGAACTTAAAGTATAATAATAAAAAGAAAATAAATAAATAAAATATATGTGTGTGTGTATAAAACTGAAACATATGAAACACATGGTGTCTAGAGTATACCAACTCTAGTGGATACTGTTGTTATCCATTTCAGATTCAGTCCCTTCACGGGGATACCACATCTAGTCACTAGAACCTGTGAGTATTGGCTGCTAATCACACACAGCTTCGTTCTTTTCCAGAACTGTATCCTTCAAGTTTCTCCAGCCTTGTTCCTGTTGACATTTGAAGTTGGTAATTTCTTGTGATGGAGGCTCTGCTCTGCATTAGGGGATGTTTAGTAGCCTCCTTGGACTCCACCCACTAAATGCCAACAGTGAAACCACCTTTGCAAAATTGTAATGGAGGAAATTATGACAGAGAAAGTAATCAGACCTAACTGACTCCATCTTGCTTCTAACATTTAAGCTGCCCTTGTTCGTTCCTGGGCATAGGCCGAACTAACTTTGGGAAGGAATTCAGTTCATGGTTTGACTCTGAAACAAAATTGATAATAGCCCTTTCACAAAAAGACCCCCTTCTTGCATGGGGACCAGTCTGCCTTTGCAGGACTAACAAATTAGCTACAAGATTAGAAATTGCCGTTTAGGGGTCATGCAGCCTCTGTCTCCAAGAGTCTGAACCTCCTCAAATTGCTTCTGAGGATAACGTCTGTCTCCAAGAGTCTGAACCTCCTCAAATTGCTTCTGAGGATAACGTCACTATTGTATAACCTAAGATAGTGCTTGAGATATTTTGCAGCCCCTGCACTGGATCGATCAGCTGACAGCACCCAGACAGGTAATCTGGCTCAACCAGTTCTGCCATCCCACCCAGGAACAGAAAACAGCAAGAAAACCTCACTTCAACCCCCTATGATTCCATCTCCAACCTGACCAATCAGCACTCCCCACTTCCGAAGCCCCTGGCCCCCAAATTATCCTTAAAACTCCGATCCCCGAATGCTCGGGGTAGACTGATTTGAGTAATAATAAAACTCTAGTCTCTAGCACAGCCGGCTCTGCGTGAATTACTATTTCTTTATTGCAATTCTCCTGTCTTGTTAAATCGACTCTGTCTAGGCAGCAGACAAGGTAAACCCACTGGGAGGTTACAATAGCATCCCCAGTTGGGAAAAGCAAAACCATCTCCAGATATTGCCACATGTCCACTGATAGGCAAAATCACCCCTTGTTTAGAAATATCACCCTAGGCTGATAAGAGTCAAATTGCCTGGGAATGTCAAAGAGGTTACACAGCCCTCTCCTGGGTGATCCCATTCCAAGTCCTCTTCTTTCTCTTCCTGCTCCTCCTCCTCCTTTTCCTCCTTCTCCCCCTCCTCTTCCTCCTCCTACTCTTCCTTCTCCTCCTCCTCGCCTACCTCAATGAGGGCAGCTCTGTGGTGCTTTTTTTAATTGAAGACCTCCCTGTAGGATGGGCAGAACTAGACTCTAGCTGAAGTTACAAGTTAACTAAACTTCTTCCTCTGCCCTATCTGCTTCCTTACCCTAGAGTAAGGATAGAGCAGGATGAGCTTTAGGAAATTCAACCAAGACAGCAAAATATTTTAGCGTGTTTATATTTCTCCTGGTCCTCCTCCTCCTGCTCCTCCTCCTCCTCCTCCTCCTCATATTCCTCCTCCTCCTCCCATCCCCCAGTAAGGACAATTCTGTGGTGCTCTTCCCACTCAAAACCTCCCTGCAGGATCAGCATGAAGCTAGACTCCAGCTAAAGGTACACCTTTGCTGAATTTCTCCTCTGCCCTAGTCTGTTTTTCTTGCTTACTCTCATAAATTTTTCTTTTGAACACATATTACTCTCAACAAGTCACCTGCACAAGAGCACCTTACCCTTGGGTCTGCTGCTCCAGAATTCAGCCCAAGATAAAAAAGTATTTCGATATGTTTATATTCCTCCTCCTCTTCCTCTTCCTCCTCTTCTTTCTTCTGCTCCTCTTCCTCCTCCTCTTCATCTTAATAGATGCTATGCACGAGGTATTATGAGATAGTTCACGTATCTTCATCCTTATCATCTTCCATTTCTATCCATTAGTACATGGGGCTTCACAAGGATTAAGAAACTTGCCTGCTGTGTTATGGCTGATTAGTGACAAATAGGGGGTGCATTAGGCATATGTTTTAAAATAATTCTACACATAAACACTGCAAAAGAGCTTTGCCAGCTCCAAAGTGCTCGACCCATGAGCCTGTCATTTTGCCTTCTGACAAGGGGGCACAGATTTAGCTAAAAATGAATGTCACATGGTGTTTTCCCCAAGCATGCAGTGATGTATCTTCATCGCTGTTTTGATTGAAATGCTGTGCAAAGATGATTTCTAAAGACAAACATCTGTTTTGAGCACAGAAGCAAAAACACCTGGAGCATGTATTGTATTATAGATGCATTATTGTGTGAGTATGTACCTGTGTGTTCATGTGTTGGACTCTTGCAATATGCATTGAAAACTTAGCAAGGTGTAAGAGGTCACAACTGAATATACTTGTTTGTTGACAGAGTTAAAGTCCCACCTGGTGCCCATTTTTCCACACTCAAAAACTACAGTGTGGTTGTTTATAGAGAAGGCACCCAGTAATTAGTTTTGTAGGCTGAGCCAAATTTTTGGTTTGCCTGATTATTTGCTGGAGGGCTGAAGGTACAAAATATATCATTACATTTGGGCTCCCAACCACCTAATTTAATTCACCCATGCAGAAGTTGTCTTGCTCGAATAAGAAAATAAATGAAGCTCAAGTCACCTTCTTGCCCTTGTGTTGTTTATTTGAAGGGTCATCTCTACCTTTATGATCCGTGAACATCTAGAGTAACAGACACACTAAATTTCTGAGGGAAGCAAGCTTTTAATATTTCTAAATTCTAAACAACCATACACATTTGTCTATGTTCCTGGACCAACAAATTTGTGTCTGTTTTCTGCCACGTTTGATCCGATACTATTATATCTGTATTTTGAGAAAGGTAATTTTTTTTTATAATGGGAGATAGAGTTATAAGATAAACCCATTGTAACTCCTGCCATTATTTCAAGGATAGAGCATTCTAGGTTCAAATCATCTAATCTAGAATATCATTTCTCTTGGTCAAAGTTGGACGGAACCTCGTTAGTCTCAAGATATGTATTAGTCCTGCCAGGCAACACCGGCAGTCTGAAAAGATTGCATTTCATTGACTGAATGGTGGCCTCTGCCAGCCTTGCCTGCGAGAATCATTTAGCACTGCCTCATAAATAAATGCAGACTGCCGCTTTCCCCAGGGCAGCCTCTGTGGAAGGACTGGACTTCAGCAGCAGCAGCTGCAAATCCGAGCTCACTCTCTGCTGAGTCTCTGCAATTTGGGTGGCTGCTAGATGAGTCCCCAGCTCATTTTCTCTTTCCAGAGTGCCTGAAGAGGAGCACATTTCTCTGCATGCAGAAGCTGGGTTACTCTCTGCATGTCCACCTCAATTTCAAAGACCACTGAGAGCCTCTCAGTTGGAGGTGACCTCAGAACCCTCCAGACGACTTCTGGTTCCCTATAGTTAGGTGAGACTCTCTCAAGCCCTCTCTAACTTTGGTAGAAATTTTTCTATACCACTCATATGCCAAGGAATTAGATAATTATTTTGAAAATAAATTTTCCGTGTATAGCTGATATAGGTATAGCTAGTACATACGTAGCTAAGTATGTATAATTTTATATAGGAAATTTATTTTAAAAATAGCTAATATATATGTAATTACATATAACTAATATATGTAGCTAATATATAAGTAATTACATATAGCTAATATATACATAATTATACCTAGCTAATATATGTAATTATACATAGCTTATATATGCGATTTTATATATAGCTAATATATATGTAAATATATAGAGCTAATATATGTAATTATATATAGGTTATATATGTAATTATATATAGCTAATGTATATATAATTATATATACCTAATATATGTAATTTTATATATAGCTAATACATATGTAACTATATATAGCTAATATATGTATATATAACTAATTTGTTTGCAATTATATACAGCTAATATGTACGTAGCTAAATATATGTAATTTTATGTAGCTAATATATAAAAATATATAAAGCTAATATATGTAACTATATATAGCTAATATATGTAATTATATATAGTTAATATGTATACAATTATGTATAACTATTATATATGTAGTTAATATGTATGTAATTCTACATAGCTAATATATATGTAGCTTCTATGTATAATTATATAGTATAATTACATATTTATTATTACTTAATATATAAATACTTAAATATCATGTTATAATTACATATATATTATTTTATGTTATAATTATTAGAATATGCGTAAAAGATCAGAGAGGTAATATATTTAACAGATATCCCAAGAATTATATAACCTGTTGTACATTTAAAACTTGTCTTTCATTAAGCAAAAAGATGTGAGGTCTTTTTCCAGAACATCTTTTGTGGTTTTTCAGATGGACAGACACTGAGGAAATCGTTTCTCACTAGGTGGGCAGATAGAATCAGGAATATAGACAGGGCATGGAAGCCTGACCAGAAAATATCATGGCATCAGTTCAACGCATCCCAAAAACTCACTTAAAAGCCAAAGGCAGGCCGGGCGTGGTGGCTCACGCCTATAATCCCAGCACTTTGGGAGGCCGAGGCAGGTGGATCACCTGAGGTCGGGAGTTCAAGACCAGCCTGACCAACATGGAGAAATCCCATCTCTACTAAAAATACAAAATTAGCCAGGTGTGGTGGCACATGCCTGTAATCCCAGCTACTCGGGAGGCTGAGGCAGGAGAATGGCTTGAACCTGGGAGGGGGAGGCTGCAGTGAGCGAAACTCCATCAAAAAAAAAAAAAAAAAAAGGAAAGAAAAAAAAAAGCCAAAGACAAACAAATCATCTGACAGCTGCAAAGAAAAGTGCAAGTCCCTATGTTTTGTTTTGTTTTTCATTCTATTTCCAGAGGTTCTTCTTTCCTGTCTTCCCTTCCCTCTCATCCTTTTTTTTCATTCCTTCTCTCCTTCCTCTCAATCTGCTTGAAAAAAAAAGGATTTTTGTTCACTCAGCATAGTTTCGTATGATTTTTAGCTGCTATGCAAAATTATTCAGAATGAGCAAAAGTCCTTTTTTTTGCTCATAATGAAAACATAATAATTATGACCCTTTGATAATTATTTGATTGTGATGATGGTAAGGGAAAGAATGTAAAGGAATGTCAAAACACTTTTCGAGAAGCCTGGGATAAACTTCACATTTTCCATATTCAACTTAAGCCCGCTTACAGGAGAGCATTTTTGATAATAAACGTTAACTTCTTTGCAAGGAAAATATCAATTTTGTTCTTTATTTTGCTTTAATAGAGTTCATGTTCATGCTCATGTTTTTGCACTCTGGAGCCGCGGTGGATCGTGGATTGTATTCCAAGCAGACAACTCTTCTAAAGGGATGTTTAAGTGCTATGGAATCTTGAATGCAGGATCCAAAACCTGCCTGATGGGAGACAGCTGGCACCTTGAGCAATGCATGCATATATTTTGTCTCTAAATAAACTAAGGTCCACAGACCAGTGCCATTAGCCAACAATTTGAGTATCCTTGAAATCCATCTGGATGCCCAGCACACACATTTTTTTTTAATTTCCATTTTTATTTTGTATTCAAGAATACATGTGAGGGTTTGTTACCTGGGTATGTTGTGTGATGCTGAGGTTTGTGGCATGATTGAATCTGTCACCCAAGTACTGGGCATAGTACCCAATAGGTAGTTTTTCAACCCTTGTCCCCCTCCCTCCCTGACCCCTAGTAGACGGCAGTTCATATTGTTCCCATCTTCATGTCCCTGCGTACCCAATGTTTAGCTCCAGCATGTAAGAGAGAACATGTGGTCCTTGATTTGCTGTTTCTGCATTACTTGACTTAGGATGATGGCCTCCAGTTGCATCCATGTTGCTGCAGAGGATATAATTTTGTTCTTTTTTATGGCTGCATAGTATTCCATGGTATAGCTGCACCACATTTTCTTTATCCAATCCACAGGTGATGTACGCTTATGTTCATTCTATGTCTTTGCTATTGTGAATAGCAGCATACACATTTATACAGGGTCCCAAGAGAACCGTGTGCCATTTGTGTTTCCAGAGCTAGGCAGAGGAGTAGGATGGGGGAAACAGGAATCTAACAATCTATGAACAAGGAGAAAGTATATTTTTATCTAGCAAGGAAAAAAACACATCTCAAAGCCATCACTCCCCTGAACTTCGTATTTTTGCTAACATCACATCCCTTAGATAAAGGAAATAAAAAAAATGTTTAAAATATTGCTATTAGAGTCAGGCTGAATAAATACATCACCAAGAAAGAAAAGTTATACTGTCTTCTGTCCTGCCCTCCAGAAGGAGTTTATACTTTAGAACATAAAACAATTCAGCGACACCTTTCACTTTACTTTGGGGTTCCAAGACAGAGACTTTATAAAATATACTCTCAAACAAATAGAAAGAGCTTCCTGCCCCCAGGAGACATTTTGGCTCTCTCAGAGCCTGTCTCCAATATTTATGAATGACCCTGAAGCTCCTTGTGGGGAGATTGGTAAGTCTCTCTTTGAGAATTACTGAGAGCACACCCCCAGCAGGTAATACCTAGGACCATTCCTGGTAGTTCTGCTTGTTGGTTAAATCCTTCTGCATGGCTTCCCTTGGGTCATTTAGTTAAAGAAATGCCTTTAATTTCTTCATGAAGTAAAATAAATATATCATGGTTAACAGATAATAAATATTTGAATGCGGTAACCAAAGATTAAACATACTCTCACAATTTGAGTTCGATATTGCTATATTACAGACATAGCATCGATGGAAAAATTCTAAACAGATAAGGAAACCCTGGGGTACACACGGATGTTTGATATTTCTCCCTTCAATATTGTGTACTGCACTGGATCGAAAATGTGAATGTACCAGCAATATTTTTTCTCCGTTGGATTTTACGCCAAGTCAAATGAATATAACAGGTAAGTCAGGATATAGGCAGTATAAACATTTGTGTGCAGGTTTTTTTGTGCACATAAGTTTTCAATTCAGTTGGGTTAATAACAGGAGCATGGCTGCTGGATTATATGGTATGATTACAATTAGCTTTGTAATAAATGACCAAACTTTCTTCCTAAATGACTTTACTCACCAGTAAAGAGTGAGAATTTGTGTTTCTCTGTATTCTTGTCAGCATTTGGTATTATAGAAATTTGGGATTTTAGTCATTCTAGTAGGTGTGTAGGGCTATCACATTGTTGATTTAATTTGCAATTCCCTAATGAAAACTGTTGTTGAACATCTTTTCATATGCTCATTTGCCATCTGTATACCTTAGCTGTTGTCTGTTTAAATACTTTGTTCAGTTTTTTAATTAGAATAGTTTGTTCTCTTATTTTAAGAGCGCTTTGGTAAGAGCTTTTGGTGTATGCTGGCTACAGATCTTTTACCGGACATATATTTTGGGTATATTTTATTCTACAACCTGAGTTTCCTTTCAAGTTTTAACAGTGTATTTCATACTGTAGAAGTTTTTAACTTGAATAAAGTCCAACATTTTCTGTCTTTCATAGATTGTGCTTTTAGATTTAATTAACTTGATTGTGGCAATCATTTTACATTATATTTAGATATGTATGCATATACATATGTGTGAGTGCATGTATGTATGTGTATTATACGGGTTTGTGTGTGTGTATTTGCAAATGAGATGATTTTATTTTTGCAGAGAATCCCCAAGATGTAACAACAAAAATGCCTCTGGGAATTAATAAGTGTCTATACAAAGATGACAGGACACAAGGTTAATATACAAAACTCAGCTGATTGCCTGTAGACAGGCATAAGCCAGTAGACATTAAAGAAACAATTAAAGGGGTCTTTGAGAAATGGCTGAATCTAGGGCTGGGGTCAGAAAATACTCATAGTTGTGTGTGTATAAATTTAAGGTGTGTAGTGTGATGCTTATATAAGAATCACATTGCACACAATTTTATTCATAAATTATATCTCAATAAATACAGGGGTGTACTCAACAAAAGTACCTCATGAGCAAGCCAAAGACATGGAGATTTTTTTCCTATTTTTTTCTAGATGTTTTACAGCTTTTCATGTTACATTGAAGTTCCTGATCCATATTTTGTTAATTTTTGTAAAAGGTGTAAGGTTTTTGTCTTCCAGCAAAGGTACATTCCATTTTTTTCAGCATCATTTGTTGAAACGGCCACGTATCCCTCCATTGACTGTCTTCGCACCTTTGACAAAGATTCGTTGGTCGTATTCACATGAATCTATGTCTTGGCTCTCTGTTCTGTTTCATTGCACATGTGTGCATTCTTTTAATAATACTATGGTCTCTCCATGGTTGTAGCCTTTCACTGCTTGAAACTGGATCATTTGACATCTCCAACTTTGTTCATCTTCTTCAGCTTTGTGTTGGCTATTCTGGGTCTTTTGCCATTCCATTTAAACTTCAGAAACATTTTGTCCCGTCTACAAAATAGCTTGCTGGTATTGTGATTGAGAGTACATTTAACTGATACATAACATTAGAAAGAATGGCTATCTTAATTGTATTGAGTTTTCAAAAACATGAACATAAAATTTCTCTCCATTTCCTCAGATCTTCTTCCATTACTTTCATCAGAGTTTTCAACTTTTCCACATACAGATCCTGTACAGATATTATTAGATTTATTCCTAAAATATTTGTCTTTTGGTGATATTGTTAATAGGATCTGGGCTTATTTTGTGTTTTTCCTGCCCCAACTCTAGAATCAGCCATTTCTCAAAGACCCCTTTAATTGTTTCTTTAATGTCTAGTTTCTCAGGCCTGTCAATAGGTAATCAACAAATTTTTGTATATTAACCTCGTGTCCTGTAACCTTTGTATAGACACTTATTAATTCTCAGAGGTATTTTTGTTGTTACATCTTTGGTATTCTCTGCAAAAGACAAAAAAACTCATCTGCAAATACAGATGATTTGATTTTTTTCCCTTCCCAATCTGCAAATTTATTACTATTATTATTATTATTTTGAGATGGAGGCTCGCTCTGTCGCCCAGGCTGGAGTGCAGTGGTGTGATCTCGGCTCACGACAAGCTCCGCCTCCCGGATTCACGCCATTCTCCTGCCTCAGCCTCCCGAGTAGCTGGGACTACAGGCGCCAGCCACCACACCTGGCTAATTTTTTGTATTTTTAGTAGAGACGGGGTTTCACCGTGTTAGCCAGGATGGTCTCGATCTCCTGACCTCATGATCCGTCCGCCACGGCCTCCCAAAGTGCTGGGATTACAGGCGTGAGCCACTGCGCCTGGCCTTAACTTTTTTTCTAGCTAGCTAGGACTGGGGATTCAATACTATGTTATACAGGACTGTTGAGAAAAGTCATCCTCATGATTTTGCTAATATTATGAGAGGGAGATAATCCAGCTTCTCACTGGATGTTAAGAATAACATTATAAATGTGTTTTCTTGGATATTTTAAAATCAAGTTAAGGAATCATCTCCTGATTCTAGTTTGCTAAGAATTTTTATAATAAGTATTGAATTTTTGTCAAAAGCTTTATCTGCATCTAATTATAAGTTCAGATGATTTCTTTTGCCTTCTTTGGACCACTGATATGGTATATTACATTCATTAATTTTAAAATGTTGAAACTATTTTGCATACTACAAATAAATGCCGACTGGTTGTGCAGTATAATTACTTTATTTCTTTTCCCCTCCTTTTTCAGTCTTTCGTTTTAATGAAGCATTTTGTATGACTGCAATTTCCCTTTAGTTTTCACACATTAATTCTACTTCTTTTAACAAATGTATTCTTTTACCTAGGATTATTAATATACCTTTTAAATTAAATTACTTCCCACCTCAAATATCGCTGAATCACTTCCTGTATAGTTTGAGTAATTTATAATAAAGTGTTCCCAATTTCTCTGTCTTGTTCACTATAACATTGCCTTAATTCATTTCATTGATCTGTATGCTACAATCACTCAATATATTATGATAATTACTATAAAGAAATAGTTATCTATTATATCAATTAAGTATAGAAAAATAAAAATATTTCATTCTACATTTTTTATTCCTTCTTTGAAGTTCCCTTTTCCCTTACTAGATCCAAGTTTCTGAACTACAGCATTTTTCTTCAACCTGAAGAACCTCTTCAAACATTTCTAGTGGGCCTGTCTGTGGAGATGAATTATTTGAGTTTTTATTTTTATGAGAAAGTCTATTTCTTCTTCACTTTTTGAGGATAATGTTATTAGATACAGAATTCTAGGTTGATGGTTGTTTAGTTGTTTTCTTTTTTTTTATTTTTTATTTTATTATTATTATACTTTAAGTTTTACAGTGCATGTGCACAATGTGCAGGTTAGTTACATATGTATACATGTGCCATGCTGGTGTGCTGCACCCATTAACTCGTCATTTAGCATTAGGTATATCTCCTAATGCTATCCCTCCCCCCTCCCCCTACCCCACAACAGTCCCCAGAGTGTGATGTTCCCCTTCCTGTGTCCATGTGTTCTCATTGTTCAATTCCCACCTATGAGTGAGAACATGCGGTGTTTGGTTTTTTGTCCTTGCGATAGTTTACTGAGAATGATGATTTCCAATTTCATCCATGTCCCTACAAAGGACATGAACTCATCATTTTTTATGGCTGCATAGTATTCCATGGTGTATATGTGCCACATTTTCTTAATCCAGTCTATCATTGTTGGACATTTGGGTTGGTTCCAAGTCTTTGCTATTGTGAATAGTGCCGCAATAAACATACGTGTGCATGTGTCTTTATAGCAGCATGATTTATAGTCCTTTGGGTATATACCCAGTAATGGGATGGCTGGGTCAAATGGTATTTCTAGTTCTAGATCCCTGAGGAATCGCCACACTGACTTCCACAATGGTTGAACTAGTTTACAGTCCCACCAACAGTGTAAAAATGTTCCTATTTCTCCACATCCTCTCCAGCACCTGTTGTTTCCTGACTTTTTAATGATTGCCATTCTAACTGGTGTGAGATGGTATCTCATTGTGGTTTTGATTTGCATTTCTCTGATGGCCAGTGATGGTGAGCATTTTTTCATGTGTTTTTTGGCTGCATAAATGTCTTCTTTTGAGAAGTGTCTGTTCATGTCCTTTGCCCACTTTTTGATGGGGTTGTTTGTTTTTTTCTTGTAAATTTGTTTGTGTTCATTGTAGATTCTGGATATTAGCCCTTTGTCAGATGAGTAGGTTGTGAAAATGTTCTCCCATTTTGTAGGTTGCCTGTTCACTCTGATGGTAGTTTCTTTTGCTGTGCAGAAGCTCTTTAGTTTAATTAGGTCCGATTTGTCAATTTTGGCTTTTGTTGCCATTGGTTTTGGTGTTTTAGACATGAAGTCCTTGCCCATGCCTATGTCCTGAATGGTAATGCCTAGGTTTTCTTCTAGGGTTTTTATGGTTTTAGGTCTAACGTTTAAGTCTTTAATCCATCATGAATTAATTTTTGTATAAGGTGTAAGGAAGGGATCCAGTTTCAGCTTTCTACATATGGCTAGCCAGTTTTCCCAGCACCATTTATTAAATAGGGAAACCTTTCCCCATTGCTTGTTTTTCTCAGGTTTGTCAAAGATCAGATAGTTGTAGATATGTGGCATTATTTCTGAGGGCTCTGTTCTGTTTCATTGATCTATATCTCTGTTTTGGTACCAGTACCATGCTGTTTTGGTTACTGTAGCCTTGTAGTATAGTTTGAAGTCAGGTAGCGTGATGCCTCCAGCTTTGTTCTTTTGGCTTAGGATTGACTTGGTGATGAGGGCTCTTTTTTGGTTCCATATGAACTTTAAAGTAGTTTTTTCCAATTCTGTGAAGAAAGTCATTGGTAGCTTGATGGTGATGGCATTGAATCTATAAATTTCCTTGGGCAGTATGGCCATTTTCACGATATTGATTCTTCCTACCCATGAGCATGGAATGTTCTTCCATTTGTTTGTATCCTCTTTTATTTCATCGAGCAGTGGTTTGTAGTTCTCCTTGAAGAGGTCCTTCACGTCCCTTGTAAGTTGGATTCCTAGGTATTTTATTCTCTTTGAAGCAATTGTGAATGGGAGTTCACTCATGATTTGGCTCTCTGTTTGTCTGTTATTGGTGTATAAGAATGCTTGTGATTTTTGTACATTGATTTTGTCTCCTGAGACTTTGCTGAAGTTGCTTATCAGCTTAAGGAGATTTTGGGCTGAGACAATGGGGTTTTCTAGATATACAATCATGTCATCTGCAAACAGGGACAATTTGACTTCCTCTTTTCCTAATTGAATACCCTTTATTTCCTTCTCCTGCCTAATTGCCCCAGCCAGAACTTCTAACACGATGTTGAATAGGAGTGGTGAGAGAGGGCATCCCTGTCTTGTGCCGGTTTTCAAAGGGAATGCTTCCAGTTTTTGCCCATTCAGTATGATATTGGCTGTGGGTTTGTCATAGATAGCTCTTATTATTTTGAGATATGTCCCATCAATACCTAATTTATTGAGAGTTTTTAGCATGAAGGGTTGTTTTCTTTCAACACTTTAAATATTTTACTCCATTCTCTTCTTGCTTGCATGGTTTTTGGTGAGAAGTTCACCGTTTTGCTTGTTTTTTTAATACTCAGCTCACTGCAACTTCTGCCTCCCAGGTTCAAGTGATTCTCCTGCCTCAGCCTCCCAAGTAGCTGGGATTACAGGCGCCTGCCACCTCCCCCGACTAATTTTGTATTTTTAATAGAAATGAGGTTTCACTATATTGACCACGCTGGTCTCGAACTCTTTACCTAAAGTGATCTGCCCTCCTTGGCCTCCCAAAATGCTGAGTTTACAGGCGTGAGCCACTGTGCCTGGCCAATTCTTTTTAAAATGTATTTATGTTTTTATTTTCATAGGATATTGGGGAACAGGTGGTGTTTGGTTACATGAGTAAGTTCTTTAGTGTTGATTTGTGAGATTTTGATGCACCCATCACCCAAGCAATATACACTGTACCCAATGTATAGTCTTTTATCCCTCAATGTGTGGTCTTTTATCCCTCTCCCACCCTTTCCCCCAAGTCCCCAAAGTCCATTTTGTCATTCTTATGCCTTTCTGACCTCATAGCTTAGCTCCCACTTACGAGTGAGAACATACGATGTTTAGTTTTCCATTCCTGAGTTACTTCACTTAGAATGATGGTCTCCAATTCTATCCAGGTTGCTGTGAATGCCATTATTTCATTCCTTTTTATGACTGAATAGTATTCCATGGTGTGTGTGTGTGTGTTTGTGTGTATCACATATATATATCACATTTAATTGTGGATAATTCTTCATCCATTCATTGATTGATGGACATTTGGGCCAGTTCCATAGTTTTGCAATTGCGAATTGTGCTGCTATAAACATGCATGTGGAAGTATCTTTTTTGCATAATGATGAGAAGTCCACTGTTAATTCTTGTCCTCATTTATCTATAGGGAAGGTGCTCTTCAACCCCCTTCCCAGCTTTTTTCAAGAGTTTCTTTGTTTCTGGTTTTCTGCAGTTTGAAAGCAAAATGCTTAGGTGTAGCTGTTGGTATTCATCTTGCTTGGTGTTCTCAGAGGTTTCTAGACAATGATCAATGTCAGCCATTAATTCTAGAAAATTCTCAGCTATTCTTACCTCAAACACTTTTTTCTGTTCCATTCTCTTTTTCTTCTCCTCTGATATTTCAATTATAAATAAATAAGTCACAACTTTTGTAATTATCCCACAGTTCTTCGTTATTCTGTTTTTGTTTATTTTATTTTTTTATCTTTCAATTTGGGGTGTTGTCATCACTGAAACTGGGTCTTTCTTCAATTATTTTTAGCATGTTATTTTGTATTGTGTTACAGTATTGAACCCTTCTAGGGTATACCTAGTCTGTTTAAGATGCTGGGTGAACTGATCATCCATGGGTTACATAAGCAAGCATGGAAACTGGGTCTCAATAGGATATGATTGATCATCTAGAAACAAACCAACACCTATGCGTTGGGCATTCTGGAATTTTCTGTTCAGGAATTTATAGCTTGTATAATAAAAATGTTGCCAGTATAATATAAAATTCCATCAATGGAACAGCAGTAAAAAAAAAAAAAGAAAAAACAAAACAAGAATAACAACAACTTATGGAAACAACTATCCTCAAGGCACTGCTAATGCCTTTTTTGAGCAAATTCTGTTTTCTCTCCAGTGTAATATTTCTGCCATACCAGAGCACTGGGCTTGGATTAAATTAAGTGGTTTACTGACTTAGTTAAGTCACTAGAAAAGAGAAGAAGAGAAATTACCTTTATTGAGTTAACAGTTATATATCAAATAGCATACAGGACATACATTATCCAATGTTAGTCTCACTATATGATGGCAAAGGCTAGCATATATTATCATTTTCCCTGCTATCCACTAAGGCAGGACAAGAGTAGGTAACAGATTTCAAAGCCAGGGTTTCCCCTGCCACAGAACATAGGCCTCCTTTTAATCTCATCTTTGCTTTCTTTCTCCCTGCATATAATTAGGGCAGAAACCTCTTTTATTTTAATCATATCTTCATCCTTGGATCTCAGTAAGGACCTAGCATACATTAGACACTAGGTATGTCTTGCATACACACAGAAAGAGAGAAAAATTGGGAGGCCATGTCAGTTTGACTTTGATATGGTTTTGCTGCATCCCCATCCAAATCTCACCTTGAATTGTAATAATCCCCACATGTCAAGGGCAGGGTCAGGTGGAGATAATTGAATCATAGGGGAAGTTTCCTTCATACTGTTCTCATGGTAGTGAATAAGTCTCATGAGATCTGATGGTTTTATAAATGGGAGTTCCCCTGCACAAGCTTTCTTGCCTGCCACCATGTAACACATGACTTTGCTCCTCATTCGCCTTCCACCATGATTGTGAGGCCTCCCCAGCCATGTGGAACTGTGAGTCAATTAAACCTCTTTCCTTTATAAATTACCCAGACTTGGGTATGTCTTTATTAGCAGGGTGAGAACAGACTAATACAGTCTTCAATACTTGTACCCTTTTATTCGCAAGACGTGCTCTGATACTTTGGAAACATTGCTTAACCTGCCTTATTCTAATTTTCTCTCTTCTACACTAATGGGATTAACTACAAGATTAACTACAGAAATCCCAGTTGTATTTATGTTCCTCCCTCAGCCCCATGTTGACACATGGATGTCAAAGAGCATGAAAAGGAAGGAGGCTTGCTTTAGTGATGCTGAGCAAACAATGAGTGGATGCTTGGTATGTGATGTGTACACATCTTTATGAAGATGGCACTGAAGGAAGAATAGAAGATTGAGACTCTTGATGGAGAGACATGGGTCAATGTTTGTAAAGTTTATATTGGGAGGTTAGTCTTGAACTCCGTCTGTGTATATGTGTAGTCTAATGTGTGTATATGTATACAGTTGACCCTGGAACAATGCAAGGATTAGCGGTACCAACCTCCACACAGTCAAAAATCTGTGTATAACTTTTGACTTGCCCAAAACTTAACTACTAATAGCCTACAGTTGACCTGAAGCCTTACCCATAACATGAACAACTAATTAAGAAATATTTTTTATGTTCTATCTATTACATACTGTATTCTTACATTAAAGTAAGCTAGAGAAAAGGAAATATTAATAAGAAAATAATAATGAAGACAAAATGTATTTACTATTCTTAAGTGGAAATAGGTCATCATAAATGTCTTCATCTCTGCCATCTTCATGTTGAGTAGGCTGAGGAGGAGGAGGTGAGAGAGGAGGGGGTTGGTCTTGCTGTCTCAGAGGAGGCAGAGGTGGAAGAAAAGCCATGTTTAAGTGCACCTGCGTAGTTCAAACCTGTGTTGTTGAACAGTTGACTGTATCTGAATGTGTATCTATTCTCAAGTTGCTACAAAATTCTCCAGAGAAAGAGTAGCACATCAATTTTAAGCAGAGGAAGGATAATATTGGCTGGGTCAGGAAAGTAAATATAGAACAAAAGTAAATGTTTTCATAGGATTTATGGAAACTAGGGCAAATGCTAAGAAAACTCACTAAATAGCCCTTTAGGAAAGCCTTGCCAACATTTTCCAAAATACTCCGAGTAAATTAGTCAAGGACACTGTAAGTCAGAATGGGCCACATGGAAAAATGTTCTCTTGATAGAACATCTTACTCTTAATCACATGTGAACACATGACAGGTGAGCACAAACAATTTAGAAATAATCCACATCCATTAATTGTCTTCTCAAACCTGGGTTTATCTGCAAATGCTAGAGCCGAAAAAGTGCATGAGAGATTTTCGTTTTCTTGATATGAGCGGCAAATAATTGCAGAGTTCTGAAACAGAGTTGTAGAAGTCTGTAAAGGTTTTGGAGGACGTATTGAAGGGAGGCTCCTAGGAGCCTAGAAGAGCCAGCTGCATAATATCCGGAAGCTTGGCCCTATCTCAGCAGGACTGTCAGACAGGATAATTACTTCCCTGTAAGAAAGTGAAGTGGTTTAATTCCCAAAAGCCTGCTAAGTTATTTGTATCAGTGAGCTGTTTGAGAGTGCCATTAGTATCGGGAAGGCACTCTTTGATTTTTATCAGTCCCGTACATTCCTCTCATATCAGCTTCATAACCCAGCCCTTATCTCTGATCCGTGAACAGAGACTAACAAAGTCCCAGAGAACAGCCAGCAATGAAAACAATTTATATTCTTCAAAGAATGCAAAAGTATCTGATTCTATCTGTACCCTCAGATAGAGGCTTAAATATAACGTTTGTGAAATATTATAAATCTCCCTTCACTGCACCGTATTTATCAGTTTTAGATTGGTTTTTAAAATTGCCTTCTCAACAAAGGTTTTTATTAGGCAGATAATGACCTTCCGATGGGTATTTAGTAGAATTGTTGACTATCCCTCAACTATATACACTAAATATAAGAAGACCTTAAAAGCCCCAAACCTACATTTAAATGATTTTTGTCCTAAATATTATAGATTAAAGAACAAAAACCAAAAAACAACTAATCATCTTTGCCATAACTATTCCTGCCTGATGTATTCAAAGGCAATTTGCAGCCCTTGTAATTTATGGATTTCTCACAAAGAATAAAAAAAATTAAAAAAAAAAATTAAAACCTTTACCCTAAAGCACATTTATGTATAGGAGAGGCCCTATTTGAAGTTCATCATAGATATTTACTTTTATTTTGTCCTCCCAAGCACGCTAGAGTATTTGGTTCTTTCAGAAGTCATCAATATTATTGTTGTCTAAAGACTTCAGAAAGCCAGATTGTCTCAAAAACTATTTCTTTGCTTGCCTGGGTACTTTCTAATTCCATCTTTAACCTTTTATACCAGTTAAAGCCAATTTTTTAACTTGCTTTCTTTGTCTTTCAGAGACTAAATTATGTTCAGAAAAGAATAGCAGATGATATATGACAAGCACAAAGAAAAAAACATATTTAGTAGTTGTATGATTACTTTCAGCAATACAAATGGCCATGGAAAGTAATTCAAGGCTGGGTGCTGTGGCTCAGGCCTGTAATCCCAGCACTTTGGGAGGGCAAGGTTGGGGCATCACCTGAGGTCAGGAGTTTGAGACCAGCCTGACCAAGATGGTGAAACCCCATCTCTACAAAAAATACAAAAAATTAGCCAGGCGTGGTGGCGAGCGCCTGTAATCCCAGCTACTTGGGAGGCTCAGGCAGAAGGATTGCTAGAACCCAGGAGGTGGAGGTTGCAGTGAGCCGAGATCACGCCATTGCACTCCAGCCTGGGCAACAAGAGTGAAACGCCATCTCAAAAAGGAAAATAAAAACAAAAAAAACCTAAGCAATATGAAGAATTGCATATCGGAAGTATCATTTTGTTTCTTCCCAAAAATAACACACTGTTATTTTGTTAAGAAATGTTTTAGATAATACTTTATTTTAAAAGGAAACATTTTCTACTAATTTAAAAAGTGGAGTGTCACAGAGATCCTTGACAAAGCAAGCTCTCTGTAAGATAAAAATATAGGTGAGAAGAGATAATTACTTGAATGATAATCATTATAAAAATAACCACAAATCCTCCATCACTAGATACCTGGTGATTTCTCAGATATTTAATAGTGATAACAGACCCATTAGGTCAGTACATTCAGTGCTATTAGGATTATTCTTCTTTTAGTAATCAGGAACTGGGACCCCTGAATCAAAGATGACTATGTAAGTTGGAAGCAAAAAAGGAAGGATGGAAGGAAAGAAAGACGGGAGGAGGGAAGGGAGAGAAGGAAGAAGGGAAGGAAGGAAAGAAGGGAGGAGGGAAGGAAGGAAGGAGGAAGGGAAAGAAAAAAGGAAGGAGGGAAGGAAGGAAGGAAAAAGGATGGAAGGAAGGAAAGAAGGAAGGAATGAAGGGAGAGAGGGACGGAGGGAGAGAGGGAGGGAGAGAGGAAGAAAGGAAGAGGTGGGGGAGGAAAGGGGAAGAGATAAAAAAAAGGAAAAAAGGAAGGAGGAAGCAGCAGGAGAGGGAGGGAGGGATGAGGAAAGAAAACATGAGCAGTAGAAGTCCAGAAACAAATTTCTATCATATCTTGTTATACCCTGTGATATATGGTTTGGCTGTGTCCCCACCCAAATCTCATCTTTAATTGTAGTTCTCATAATCCCCATGTGTCATGGGAAGGACTCGGTGGGAGGTAATTTAATCAGGGGGGTGGTTGCCACCATGCTGCTGTTCTCTTGATAGTGAGTGAGTTCTCATGAGATCTGATGGTTTTATAAGGGGCTTTCCCCCCTTTTGCTCAGCATTTCTCCTTCTTGCCACCACGTGAAGAAGGATGTGTTTGCTTCTCCTTCTGCCATGATTGTAAGTTTCCTGAGACCTCTCCAGCCATGGGGAGCTGTGAGTCAATTAAACCTCTTTCCTTCATAAATTACCCAGTCTCAGGTATGTCTGTATTAGCAGCGTGAGAATGGACTTATACACCCTATCATCATTCTTGAGTAATGCAACGCACAAGTATTGGATAGTAACTTGGAATGACTTCAAGGCGTGCAGTATATGGGGAAAATCTGGATTTTCTCACAAGATCTTGCCTTTGCTAGCTGTGTGACAGGGTGATTTCTGGACACCTTTGTCTCCATTTGTGCATCAGTAAGTGGAGGGGAATGATTCTTTCCTCTCACACTTGATGTGTAGAGTAAGTGGGATATTTGCATGCCCAGAATCGGGTCTGCCTTTTATTTAGTCCCTTATGGTATTTTTTTTTTTACATTTTAGAAATTGTCTTTTGTTGACCTTGAATAATATCCACTTCACAGCCTCCTTTTCCCTTCTCAGAGGGTACATTTCTTCTTCTGCCACAGTGGGATATTTATCTCTAAATAAAAGTGCCCTTGTTTTAAACCCACATTGCTGGCAATCAGGTCAGATAATGAAAAAAGGGAGTAAAGTGTCAAAAAAACTCAATAAAATTGTGTTTTTTTGTTAGTTTGTTTCTTAAAATGAATTTATTCTGTTTCATGAAATAAGTATTTCAGTTATAATGTCTCTTCCCCACATTTTTTGGATGTAATGTTTGCGGAAAGACTAACTCCATCTCTGACACATAAATATTTCAAAATATATAATTAAATCATGTATTTTAATTATGTATTCATGCAGGGTAGTATTCAGATTTGCCTCCAAACTAATGGTCTTCTTTTTGTTTTATTTTCTAATCCAGCCCAAAATGTTGAAATCATCTGTGATTAAACTTACACAGAAGCATTTTTGAAAAGAATTTATATTGTTTACAATTTAATTCAGCTAATGTTTGAGTAATTATGTTCAAAGTGTTGTGTTATGAGATATGTGGAGAAGAAGCCTACGTAGTTTCTGTCCTTCATGAGTCTATTTATAGTGAAGGCAGCATATACAAATGATTAATTAAAATTCATTGCAAAAATTGTCCTTCTATGCCAGAGACGGTAAAGGAAAAGTAGTGATTCATTAAACCTTAGAGGATGTGGTTACACATTTTTAGGGATGAGGCATTTTGTTTCAAAGTTAAAGGCTAATGAAAATTTTAATAGGCCCAAAATGTGGGAAAGAGATTCCAATCTAAAACAATAGCATAAGGCAAGACATAAAACACCAAAATTAAAAACTCATATACACAACATGCAATTATGTTTCATATTTGAGGAGGTGCAGAAGCAGAATTATCAGCATTTGAGGTACAGAATAGAGGAAGAACTCTGGCTAGAAAATTGAGCCTAGTTCTTAAAATATCTTCATTGACATAATAAAGTAGCCTTATTTTGTAATAGAGAATGGTAATAAGCACTATAATTACAATGACTAATCACTAGAATAATTAGTTTTGGAAAAAAGAAAAAAGATGTATCAAGAAAAAATAAAGTTAAATAAGAGACGATAAATCTAGAAATGAATTACGTATCTTATAAATAAAAACCACAGATTTTATTTTTAAAAATTATTTACCTTGTTAATCAGAATTAAATATAGTTTTGAAAAGTCAAAGGAAGAATTAATAAATTGGAATGAAATGGTTAAAAAAAGAGAAAATGCATTATAAAGGAATTCACACAAAAAAATGGAGGATCAAAAATAAATAGGCAAACTCTCAAGCAGGTTAGAGACATATTAATAAAGACGTTATGGGTGAGTTTGCAAAGACAGAGTAGTAACATAAGAAGTGTTAAAGGGAAATATGAGTTCTCTGTGCAAAAATGTACCCCAAACAATCAGACTCAAATATTCAAAAGTCAACAGAATAAATAAAAAGAGCTAAAATAAAGGAAAGTAAAACCAGCTACTGAAGAGAAAAAAAAAAACTAATCATAAAGGAATGGCAATAAGACTGACAGCCAGTTTCTTATCAGCAGCAATAGAACCCATATAAAATGGACTCATATTGTAAGGTGTTTTAAATAGAAACTTTCAACCTGTAAGTGTATGCTTGCTTCAGCTGTCTTTCAATAGTGGTAAAATAAGTAATTTGGGGACATACATAATTGAAACACTGGCAAAACAAACTCAATTTTTCATAAAACCTACTAAAATATATACCTTATGTAAAAACAACAAAACTCAGTAATAGGGAAACAATCCCCCTAAAATTTGTCAAAATATTTTTTTAAATGCAAGCCACCAAAACGCTTCACTCAAAAACTTCACCAAAGTTTTTCAGGTAACTTAAAGCACACGAAAAAAGATTCTTGGCAGCAATGGTGTTAGGGTGATTCTGAAGCTGCCATTTCATGAGGAAGCCCAAGCTACATGTGAAGGCTGTCTACATGTAGGTACTTCCATTAACAGTTCACTTGAGCCTAGTGTTCAATGTATTTCAGTCCAGGCACATGACATGTAAATAAAGAAGCCTCCCCAAAATTCTGTCTCCCAGCCATCTGAATTACGCAAAGTTCTTTGAGACTTACCACCTGAAGCCTCCAGACTCCATGGAACAGACGAGCTATACCTGTACCTTGACTGAATTATAAAAGCCTGGCAATGGTTAGCATAATAAAATGGTTACTGTTCTGTGCTATGCAGTTCTGGAGTAGTTTGTTATACGGTGATAGAGACCTCATCAGTTGTTTAATATTCAACGTCTGCCATTATAGAGAAGTATGCGTGTACAAGCCATGATAGTGCAGGTGGTGTCAATGGAAAATGGTCTATTTTAATCATACAAAACAGTAAAAGGTTTACATCCCAGTAGATTTAATTTTTTTAAGTTTACATGTAAGCATTATATAAGAACACACCTCCTTCTGTAACCAAACAGTATGTGCTGTTGATGCCTTACAAATGAGTTGTGTGACTTGTCTTTAAGCCGCTGCATCTCACCATGCTTTTTGCCATAAAGACATTTTCCATGAAGCTAACAGATGACATAGGTCTTCCACCTAAGACATAGCCTGGTAAAATAATGTATGCATCAGAGTTCTCCAGAGAAACAGAAGCAATAGGATAAATAAGAAGATTTCCTATAAAGCACTGTCTCATGCAATTATGGGGGATGAGAAATCCCATGATCTACTGCTGCTGTCTGCCAGCTGGAGACTCAGGAAAGCCAGAAGCATAGTTTGAAGCCTCAGAGTCAGAGAGAATCATGTAGATTCCAGTCTGAGTCTGATGATCTGTGAACCAGGAGCACGAAGGCCAGGAGAAGATCTGTGTCCCGGCTCAAGCTCCCAGGCAGAGGGAGAACAAACCTAATCTTCCTCTGTGGTTTTTGTTTTATTCAGGCCCCCAGTGGATTGCATGATGCCCACTCACCTTGGGTAGGGCAATCTGCCTTACCTGAATCCAAACGCTCTTCTTGAAACCATTTCTTGAATACTTGAAACTCTTCTTGAAACTCCCTCCGAGACATACTCAGACATGTTTCATCAGATATCAGGCCATCCCATGAACCCATCAAGGTAATACACAAAATTAACCATCATAAATGATACAATTACTCAGCAGTGCTTAAAGAGGTTCCTATTAATCCTAACCACTAGCCCTGTACAAAAATTTAAAAAAAAAAAAAAGGAAAAAAAGGCACTGCTAACTCTGGCATGAATAAATAAAGAGAAAAAGATGAAAGAGAATAGAATATATCAAAGAGATTTTTTTAAAGTAACCTGAAGCATTTTGCTTAAAAATCAAGAATTGGTTAAAACATTCAAGACATGAGAAATGCATACTGATGGAGGAAAGTTGTTTCTTTTGTTTGTTTGTTTTGTGAGGAAGAGTCTGGCTCTGTCACCCAGGCTAGAGTGCAGTGGTGTGATTTCGGCTTACTGCAACCTCTGCCTCCCGGGTTCAAGTGAGTCTCCTGCCTCAGGGATTACTGGTGCCCACCACTACACCCAGCTAATTTTTGCATTTTTAGTAGAGACAGGGTTTCACCATGTTGCCCAGGCTGGTCTTGAACTCCTGGCTTCAAGCGATCCACCTGCCTGGGCCTCCTAAAGTGTTGGGATCACTGGCGTGAACCACCCTGCCCAGTCATCTGAGAGTTGTTTCTTAATGCACCCTTTGCAGAATGCATTTTGCATGGTTTTATCCATATTTTGGGTTATATCTCTCTTTTCTTCCTTCCTTTTCCCTTTCTTTCTTCCTTTCCTTCCTTCCTTACTTCCTTCTCTCTCTCTTTCTTTTCTTTCTTTCTTTCTCTCTCTCTCTTTCTCTTTCTTTCTCTTTCTTTCTTTCCTTCCTTCCTTCCTTCCTTCCTTCCTTCCTCCTTCCTTCCTTCCTTCCTTCCTTCCTTCCTTTCTTTCTTTCTTTCTTTCTTTCTTTCTTTCTTTCTTTCTTTCTTTCTTTCTTTCTTTCTTTCTTTCTTTCCTTCTCTCTTTCTTTCTTTCTGCCTTTAAAAACTTAGAATCTCCAAGATGGTAATGTGACCTCTGTTTACAACTTCACATTTAAAGTTGTGGTCTGACTTGAGAATACCTCTTAATTACCAAATATTCGTGACTCTAAGGAGCTCATTTTTTCTCCACATGTTAATTATCTGGGATTCAGAAAGTGTATTTCAAGGAAGCTGTACATTTAATGTGTTACATTTGTTTTGATTTTCCAGGGGGAAAAATATATATCATTTACATAGTGAAGTCTATGCTTGTCAGATTCTCAGAATTCAGAAAATGAGAAATCTCACAGTATTTTTTATTTAAAAAAAAAGCACAAAGTGAAAGCAGTCCCATTAATAATTCAGACAAAATTCAGTTGGCCACATTTTACTTGAAAAGTCTTTCAACATTTATGAAAAACAGATTTAAAGTATGGCTGTAAGTATAGGGATAACAAGTGGTTTATCTGGACCATATAAGCAGTAACTGAGATTGTATGTCACAAACAGTGCCTTCAACAGATCGTTTTTCCCAATTCTACCATTGCTAATGCATTTTCTAAAAAATTAACCTGTATTAGTTTTCTACATCTGTGTAATGATTTATCACAAACTTAACAGATTACAACAGCACACATTCATCATCTCACAATTTCCGTGGCTCAGTTATCTGACCACACTCACTTTTATCCTCTGCTCATAGTCAAACAAGGCAGAAATCAAGAAGTCGACCAAGGCTATGGTCTCCTTGAGGCTAGGGAGTCCTCTTCCAAGTTCATTTATTGAAAGAATGTATTATATTTCCTTGCAGCTATGGAATTCATGGGTTCCTTCTTGTTTAAAGTCAGCAATTGACAGCCATTCCTCAGGATGGATTCTTCTTTTAAGAGATTTTACCTGATTAAATCTGATTCCATTTATCTACTAAATGGATATTAGTAGAATAACAGCCATTAAATGAACTAAACCTAAACTGATTTCCAGATTAGCTCACACCCTTTGAGATATTCTGTTGGTGAGGAGTTTGACACAGGTTCTTCCTGCACTCAGGCGGAGGGAATTATACAAAGAAGTGACCCTTTTGGGGTCCCGTCAGGGTGTGCCCACCACATAAGCTTTGCCTTCTTCATAACTTTTTTTGAAACTTAAATAAATTTAATAAACAATGTATGGTTTAATTAATAAATTAGACCAACAGGATTAGTGAACTAGAATACTGAGATGAATAAATAAAAGAACTACAGAAAAACGAAATGATCTTTTTAAAAGGAAAATGCCCAGAAAAAAAAAAAAAGAACATCTTGCAATCTTTAGTAGGCAGAGAATGGCATTTGTTATCAGAGACTCTTGGATTCAGCCCATTCTTTATCACTTGTACAAGACAATTTTCCACAGGGATTTTCTCCATCTGTTTCAAATTTCCTCACTCTTCAGTTGTTTTTAATTTCCATTTCCATTGCATTTGGGTGTGAGGCTCTCCACTTTTTGCAACTCAGTTTAAACAGGCAATCTTGTTTTATGGTTTAAACAGTCACCAATTTGGTATTTATCATTCATTTATCCAGAACATGATTCCCAGTAATAATTTATTAGCTTTGATTTTAGAAGTACTTTTTACCTGTGTGTGCTAGTGAGGGTGTCAGATTGTGTCATAGAGGGAGATTTTGACCTTATTAAGGCTTTAATCTCTTTAAACCTCATTGTACTCAACCATAACAGTGGAATCATGCTCATCTTAGAAGTACAGTGTGAGTGCAAAAAAAAAAAAAAAAGCAGTACAGTGTGAGTGCATATAAGCTAGTCTTATGCAAACATTTTGGTAACATTAAACATTTCATGAAGATATTTTTGTAAATTTAAGTATACTATAATATTGATGTTACTACTAAGGATAATAGAAATATCTAGATCATCAAATCAAAGTAACATGAATTCTAGAACTTACCCAGTTTTATTAGTAATTTAAAGTATACAGATAATTATGAAGTACAGCTAAAGTTGGAGATGGTATGGGACGCCATCACTGGTCCCAAAGCAATTTCTCAACACATCAGCATATGGTCTGGCTGGATATATTTGATTTCTGTCTTTGTTGCATAAACTCACATCATTAATATGGAAGGGGGCAATTTTGTTTGTAAAATTTCTCCAACATCTACTCATCTAATTACAGGGCCTACATAAAATTTTCCATGTGGCCATGTCCTATAATTTCATGAAGTCCAGGTCTGCTTACCAGAAGTGATTCTAGCCAGGCTACGTACATCCTTCCAAGAGCATTCCACATATAAGGACCCTCCCTCTGGCAAATAATAATAAGTGTCCAGGAGGTTTCTCCCTAGCATGTTTTCAAGGGGATTTGACCAGTTTACCTTCCTTCTTCCTTTACCAGGGGCTTCTGTCTTCCCCATAAAGGGGAAGAATGAATTGCAGAGCTGTTAATTCACCCTTTCTTCCCTCTGTTGATAATGGGCAGTCAGACACAGTGGTTTTCAAGAGGTGCTTCCCAAAGCCCTGGATAGTAGGTACAAGTTTCTCAGGTGGCAAATGTTGAGAAAATTAACCCGTGTGAAGACAGCGTTGGCATCCCTAACCCTTCCCTCAACTAAATCATTTTTTTCTATAGTCTTTTTACATATTAGTCTCCTGCCCATGATTCTGCCAGAACCAAGGATTTTACAGTTCAAAAAGTCATGTGTGTTCAATGTTTAAAGAAAATAGTAATTGATATGGTTTGGCTGTATACCCACCCAAATCTCAACTTGAATTGTAGCTCCCATAATTCCCATGTGTCATGAGAGGGACCCAGTGAGAGCTAATTGAATCATGGGGGCGGGTTTTTCCCATGCTGTTCTCATGATAGTGAATAAATCTCACGAGATCTGATGGTTTTATAAAGGGCAGTTCCCCTGGACATGCTCTCTTGCCTGCCACCATGTAAGACACACCTTTGCTCCTCCTTCACCTTCTGCCATGTGGAACTGTGAGTCCATTAAACCTGTTTTTCTTTATAAATTACCCAGTCTCAGGTATGTCCTTATAGCAGCACGAGAACGGACTAATACAATAATGTTTTCTCCTGTAACACGGAAAACCTAAGCATAAAAGGCACTGATGGAATAAGGCTCGTTTTTGAGGACTATAGAAAGGAGAAACATTGTTCTCAACTGGTATACTTCCCTTTTTCTCATTTCTCTGCTCTTCTATTGAATTCTGCAAATATTAAATTTATTTCAATGCTCAACTTAACATGTTTCCCCATTGAGACGTTATAGGCACTGGCATAATGCTTTTTCTCTCCTCTGAACAAAAAGACATAATGTTTTTTTCTACTGTTTTGGTAGTTATTATCCTACTATATAATGAGAACTTCTTTCTCATACTGATACTTTCATTCACCTTTTCCTGTTTTCTCTCAGGAAAGTAGCATAGAAAGCATATTTTTCTCTCAAAAGTAGCAATTCCTGTGAGGGCAGAGATTACTTTTTAGCGTGCACCATTTATTTCCTAACTAGTTCATTAAAGACATATTAGACTCACTAAGGGTGACTTTAATAGTTTCACATGTTGCTATGCTATTTTGAACGAATGTGCCCCTACTTGGCTACATAGTTTTCTTATTGGCATATACTATTTGTACATATTTATGGGGCACAAGTGGTATTTTGTTCCATGCATAGAATGTGTAATGATCAAATCAGGGTATATGGGGTATCCATAACCTTAAACGTTTATTATTTCTTTGCGTTGGGAATATTTCAAATCTCTTCTAGTTATTTGAAATATGGACTAGAATTGTTGCTAACTATAGTCACCCTACTGTGCTGTAGAACACTAGCATATATTCCTTCTATCTAACTCTGCGTTTGTGCCCATTCACCAGTCTCTCTTCATCCCTCACCATTCCCAGCCTCTGGTAATCTTCATTCTACTCTCTACTTCCATGAGGTCAACTTTCCTCAGCTCCCACATATGAATGAGAATATGCAATATTTGTCTTTCTGTGCCTGGCTTATTTTCTTTAACATAATGACCTCCAGTTCCACCCATCTTTCTGCACATGACAACATTTCTTTCTTTTTAAAAGCTGAGTAGCATTCTGTTGAGTATATGTACCACATTTTCCTTATCCATCTATCTGTTGGTGGACTCTTATGTTGATTCGATATCTTTATTATTGTGAATAGTGCTGCAATAAACATGCAAGTGCAGGTATCCCTTTGATATGCTGACTTCTTTTTCTTTGAATAAATACCCAGTAGTGGATTTGCTGGATTATATGGTAGTTCTATTTTTAGTTTTCTGAGAAAACTCCACGATGTTTTCCACAATGGCTGTACTATCAGCTAGCACATTGATAAAGAACATATATTTTGTAGCAGGAATGTGTTTATTTTAGCGTCAATGTCTATCATAAATTGTTTAGGCCGAAAGAGGAATGAAGTGAAATATATATATCTTGCTTCCATTCTTCCATAGTGAAAAATATTCATTTCAGGAGAATGAAGCAAAGAGAAACAAAACTACTCCATATTTATTCACAGACAGCCCATGGTATATAATTTTGTCCATAGTTATAGAAAACTTCAGAATGGACAGTGAGATGCCACTTAGCCAGCAAGCAACCTTCCCTTACAGTTGTCCAACCTAGGGTCTGGCCACTCCCCACCAGGATATGAAGACAGAGGTCTTGCTTGATTGCCGTTAATACTGACTTAAGCTACCAAATCCACTTGGTTAAACCCCATAGACCCTCCCATGATTTCTCAACAATGTTTAAGGGATTATTGTTGGCTACTGAGAGAGTTTTCTGAAATGTTTTCCAGCTGGTTTTCTGAAGAATACAAAACACCCTACAAATTCACTAGGAAAATCACCAAGACGTAAGGAACTCTAGTAGTCTTTGACCAAAGGTATGTATAACTTGGTTGAACTCATGTTCATCTTGCCAGAATCTTTTTCTAGATACCCAGCCTCCAAAATAACTCATAGTTCTAAGGCAGCAAACCAAGGTGGTTCTAAATGGTTGAGACCAGTAGCTTTAGGTAAAAGGGCATCTTAAACCACAGTAACAGGAACCTTCCCACAGAACCCCTATGGGAGCACTTGTCCCTTCCATTAATATAAAAGGAACCTTCTCTTGTTCCAATTATGTATCCAAAATATCATCCAGTCACTTCACAAATGCATTTATTCGCCTCTTCAATACCAGATATTTTCTCTTATCCTTCATGCTTTTTCTTTTCATTTTCTAAATTTTTTTAAAAAAATCACAATGTACACAGCTCATATTAGTTCAGTGTTTACACATCATTTATTATTCAGGACAATGTCATGCATTTTTGATTAGTGATTTCCATTCTTTTCTTTTTTTCACACTCTCAATCTGAGCTCTATTTTTTTTAACATATTAGTCATTTTCTGATATTTCCCCTGAGGCTAAAACTTCATTTTCCAATTCTTCTTTGTTAGGATTTCATTTTCTGCTGGTTTAGCTTCCCTTAAACCATAGAATAAAGATTAATTTTTAAAACCTGACCTGTTTTATGATTTCTTTTATCTGACTTGCTTAGTCGCATGCTATCTTAGAATAACACACCTTGGGCTGGATTTTGCAGAAAAGGAGCAACTGGCTGGATAATTAGGAAGTAGAGTCCTTTCTATCAAAAAGCAAAATGTAAAGGAAGTGATTCACATGTGGCAAGAATTGCAACTTACACAATTACCTGACACGTAAAACATTTGAAAACGTGTGTAATGTATATCCCAGGAGCATTTTCCCAATGCATATAAATGAGTTTAGGTACCAGACTCCACTTACATTTCTATTTTTTTATGATTATGCTCCTCAGTTCTGGTGAACGCTGAACTAGCTTACCTGGAAGGTAAAGATCTTACCTGGACTAGTTGTTGAAGATGCTGCAGCATTAACCCTGGTTTTCAGCAACAGATGATGCTCTCTTTCATGAACTTCGTTTCCTGATGACATGAATTTTGCTCCATTTTTTTGTCAGGCTGTGGTTGCTGTATTTTTAAAATTTATTTTATTTTTATTTTATTTTATTATTATTTATTTTCTTATTTCAACAGCCTTTGGGGTACACATGGTTTTCGGTTACATGGATGAATTGTATAGTGGTGAAGTCTGAGATTTTAGTGCACATGTCACCTAAATAGTGTACATTGTACCCGATATATAGTTTTTTATCCCTCACCCTCTTCTTTTTTTAGTTATGGTCTTCATTTTGTCAATTCAGTCTGGCAACTGTATCCGTGTCACACACACCTTCATTTGAACCTCTAAACTCTCTCATCTCCCAAGCACAGCAGTAATTCATCATGTTGAGGAAAAGGGATAGTGATATTTAATTGATATCCACAAGAATCACTTAACTGACTCCACAATCTTCAATAGACTTTCCATTTTGTTCTTTTTTTGGGGGGAGAAGTGATATTTTTCTTTTTTTTTCTTTTTATCTATTTATTTTCTTCCAACTTTTATTTTAGGTTAAGGGTTACGTGTGCAGGTTTGTTAGATGGGTAAATTGAGTGTCAGAGGAGTTTGGTGTATGAATTATTTCTCAAGGCAGGTAATTAGCATAGTATTCAATGGGTGGTTTTTCAATCATCTCCCTCCTCCCACCTCCCACCCTCAAGTAAGCCTCAGAACCTGCTGTTCCCTTTTTTGTTTCCATGTGTACTCAGTGTTTAGCTCCCACTTATAATTAAAAATGTGGCATCTGGTTTTCTGTTTCTCTGTTAGTTTGCTTAGGATAACGACCTCCACCTGCATCCATGTTGCTGCAAAGAACATGATTTCATTCTTTTTTATGGTTGCATAGTATTCCGTGATGCATATGTACCACATTTTCTTTATCCAGTCTACCATTGATGGGCATTTAGGTTGATTCCATGTCCTTGCTAGGGTGAATTGTGCTGCAATGAATATATTCATGCATATGTCTTTTTGGTAAAATGATTTATACTTCTTCGGCTATGTACCCACTAATGAGATTGCTGGGTCAAACAATAGTTCTATTTTAAGTCCTTTGAGAAATCTCCAAACTGCTTTCCACAGTGGCTGCTGGTGGGAATGTAAACTCGTTCAGCTATTATATTATTTATATTTTTCTATATTTTGTCTGCAAATTACTCATAGTTCTTTAAATAAATTGTTTATTGTCTGCCTTTCCAACTCATCTGTAATTTCCATGAAAGGGACAAAATAAGTTTCTTCATCATTTAACTGTTGAAAATTAGATTAATTCTGCCCCTGTCTCCTAGGGCAGGATTAGGGCCAAAATCAGCTTGATTGAGCGCCTCAGAGCATCTGTCTGCCTCTGGGCAAAGATTGTGGCTAACTACGCTTGGAAGCAGACCCAGCTCTACCCTGGCAAAGGTAGTAGTATGAGGACAGAAGACAGAAACATCTAATTCATGTCCTCCAAAATGTCATAATCAATGATCAATGAGTTGTTTGAAAAGATCAATAAAATTGATAAGCCTAGACTAGTGAGACAAACCAAGAAAAATAGAGAGAAAACACACACTATTAATAGGAAGGAAAGAGGAAGAAAGGAAAGAGGGGCCATCCCTACTGATCTCACGGACATTAAAAGGATAATAAGAAAAGATTATATTATGAACAACTCTATGCTCATGATTTCGATCAGGAGTCTCCAATCCTGGGGCCATGGACTGGTACAGGTCTGTGGCCTGCTAGAAACTAGGCTGCACAGCAGGAGGTAAGTGGTGGGCAAGTGATGGAAGCTTCATCTGTATTTACAACCACTTTCCATCACTGGCATTATTACTGCCTGAGCTCCATCTCCTGTCAGATCATCAGCAGCACTAGATTCTCGTAGAAGCACGAATCCTATTGTGAACTGTGGATGCAAGGGATCTAGGTTGCATGCTCCTTATGAGAATCTAATGCCTGATGATCTGTCACTGTCCTCCATCACCCCCGGATGGGGTTGTCTAGTTGCAGGAAAACAAGCTCAGGGCTCCCACTGGTTCTACATTATGATGAGTTGTATAATTATTTCATTATATATTATAATGTAACAATAATAGAAATAAAGTGCACAATAAATGTAATGTGCTTGAATTACCCCCAAACCATCTGTAACCCTCCCCTGGCCCATGGGAAAATTGTCTTCCACAAAACCAGCCCTTGGTGCCAAAAAGGCTGGGGACCGCTGATCTAGATGAAATAGATCTATTCCTTTAAAAGACATAATCAACCAAAACTCACTCAAGGAAGAATACTTAATAGGCTACACCTATTCGATAAACTAAATCAATAATTAACGCCTTCCAAAAATTATAATCAGATTTCCTGACTTCTTGTAGCCCCCAACTGGGTTTGAATTTTGGAGGAGTTTAGGATGCTTAGGGAATGAATAGAAATGACATAATGCAAAAATGTGTTTGTGGAAGCAAGGAGGGCACCGTATACCATCAGCAAAAACAGAGTCATGGACGTATAAAACTATGCAGAGAGGGAAATAGGATAAAGTGAAGGCACAGCTTAAAGAGGGAAACTCTGAAAAATACAATGGGACAAGAAATACAACAGGGATTTTAGCAAATGCAAAAATGGGACACCCAGTTAGATTTGAATTTCACTAAACAATGAATAGTATAGTATGTTCTAAATAATACTTGGGACTTATTCTTGCTAAGAATATGTTTGTTCTTTATCTGAAATTCAAATTTAATTGGGTGACCTCTACTTTTTCTGGCAATGGTTGATGTATTTCTCTTTCCAAGCAATTGAAGCAAGGGTGAGACAACTTTTATTCTGAGGTTCAGTGGCTGGGGAAGAGGACTGAAGGCTGAAGGAAAGAGGTAAGAGAGGCTGTGGGGAAACATGATGCTTGTTGGCTGCCATGTTTTTATTTGTGTCGGAGATCAGCTCATTCATTCATTAGTTGAGTGGGAGATTTGTTTTAGTAAGGTGAGGATCCTCAGAAAAGTAATACAAGTTTAAATAATAGTCCTGCCATACACAAATGAAATTCCAAGAAGATTCCTCAAATCACCAGGAGTCCTGGATTATGAAATCTATGGGGTAACACGAATATGTGAATGTCTCATAGAATCTCAGTTCAATTCGGCAAATGTTTATAAAGACCTCCTCTTTCGTTACTTTCTACATGCTTTTGAGAGAGAAGATAAATATGCATTTCTTATTCTTTAAAAAAAAGAAAAGGAAAAAATAAATGGGAGAAAAATTGACAACCTAGTGGGAAGAAAGCTGCAAAAACAGATAGTCAATAGAATGTGGTGATGTTTCTTTGTAGGTACTTGCAGCAGGAGGCTGTCATATAGGAAAGTTTTTTGTTGTGAAGACTGAACATGGAAAACTATAAACAGTGGAATGTGTCTGTTTCCTTGCCTTCAAATATGCTCTCTTGAAGTTCTCTGTCTGGTCTCTGAATAATCACATGAGGCCAAGTCCTCAGCATTCTGGTCACAACAATAATAATGTCCAGTCCTGTTTGCCTAGTTTAAAAAGTTCAGCCTTGGGTGGGGGGAGTGGGGAGGGGGGAGGGATAGCATTAGGAGATATACCTAGTGTTAAATGACGAGTTAATGGCTGCAGCACACCAACATGGCACATGTATACATATGTAACAAACCTGCACGTTGTGCACATGTACCCTAAAACTTAAAGTATAACAATAATAATAATAATAAAAAAAAGAAATTACACAAAAGTAAAAAAAAAGTTCAGCCTCATATCCAATTTAATACCCCCTCATTTCCCTTCCTAATTCTGAGCTGACTCAATTGCTGTGTTGGGGTGAGGAGATTAAAACGGGGAGATAAATACGTGGAATCTCTCACTGATCCACAATGCTGTCACCTCCCCTTGGCTAACAGAGGCTATTTAGGCACTCAGTATGGCAGCTCTTGCATGGGACATGTTGAGGAGTTTTGGGGAAGGCCAAAACCACTCACTCTCTTTGGTGATCATGACAAATAGGATACCCAGACTTTCTTGTCACTTGAAATAGCCAGAGTGCGGCTTGCTCTATTGCTACATGGTTTCACCCTTTCTTCACCTGGAAACTCTCCCTAGTTCCATATCTCCTGGTTGTATTAGTAGGAGTACTCCAGAGATATACAGACATAGAGCCAATAAAATATATGCATACACACACACACACACACACACACACACACACACATATATGGGTTTAGGTATATGGGCATACATATATGAGTTTATGTATGTATATGGGTTTATATATATGAGCATATATATGAGTTTATATTCATATGAATATATATGGGGGTATATATGAATGTGTACATATTTGGGTGTATATATATATAATATGTATGGGATATATATCATACATATATATACAGTTATATGTACATATATGGGTATGGGAGTGCATATATATGAGTGTGTGTATATATATATATATATATAGTGTCTGAATTTCTGTTGGTGAATAGTCACTGGACCATATATATAGAGAGAGACATAGACAATAGATACAACTGTATCACATGTACACATATGTAAAAATCTCTTCATATATATGCTTTTATATATCTTATTGGTTCCATAATACAGATTTAGACATATATAAAGAGAGTTGTACCCTGTTATCTGTGCGGGATTGGTTTCAGGATCCTTCAAGGATACCAAAATCAATGACTACACAAATCCTTCCTATAAAATGGTGTCATATTTGCATGTAACCTACACACATTCTCCAGATACTTTAAATCATTTTTATATTACTTATGATTCCTAATACAATGTAAATGCTACTCAAGCGAGCATTATACTTCATTTTTAAAATTTATTATTGTTCTAATTGTTGTACTGCTATTATTTATTTTTTAAAATGGTTTTAAAACATGGTTGGTTGAACCCATGGATGTGGAACCCACAGATAAAGAGGTCCTACTGTACTTGTTTTGTTTTGTTTTTTGAGACAGAGTCCCAGTCTGTTGCTCAGGCTGAAGTGCAGTGGCACAATCTCAGCTCACTGCAACCTCCATCCCCCAGGTTCATGTGATTCTCGTGCCTCAGCCTCCCGAGTAGCTGAGATTACAGACATGTGCCACCATGTCCGGCTGATTTTTTTTTTATTTTTAGTAGAGATGAGGTTTCACCATGGTGGCCAGGCTGGTCTCGAACTCCTGGTCTTAAGTGATCCTCCTGCCTTGGCCTCCCAAAGTGTTGGGATTATAGGTGTGAGCCACTGCACCCAGCCAAGGTCCAACTGTATTTGATATACAAGTAGATGATATCTCTATATACCTACGTAACTATCTATCTATGTATGTATTAATAGATTTATTAAGAGAAATTGGGCCACACAATTATGAGCTGAGAAGTCCCATGATCTGCCTTCTGCAAGCTAGAAACTCAGGAAAAGTCTCTGATATAATCTGAACCAAGACTAAAGACCAGAAAAGCCATGAGAACCAAGGGAAAACCCTAGCTCAAGGACAGCAGCAGCCTCATGTCCCAGCTCAGGCAGGCAGTCAGGAAGCAAAAAGAGAAAACTACTTCCTCTGCCTTTTTGTTTTACTGAGACCCTCAACAGATTGGCTATTTCCCACCCACATTGGAAAAGGCCATCTACATTATCAGTTCCATAGACACAAATGCCAATCTCATCCAGAAACACTCTCGCAGACACACCCACAATCATAAGCACCGTGTGGCCCGGTCAAGTTGACATAAAATTTACCATCACAGTGCCCTGCAAGGCAAAAGCGTAAGATATGCTGATGCATACATAGGCAGGTACCGCACAGGAAATGAGATAGCATTCTCCTTCCCTTGATGTGGAGTTCTCCAAATTCTCTGATTAATTATCTTCTGCCTGTCTTACTTGGCTTGGGAAGGGAAGGATGGCACCCTTTTTGGTGCGGAAGGAAAAGTCATAGTTCTCCTTACCAAACCAAGGGCTCCACCTCATCATCTTCTCTCCAAATCTGTTGCACTTTATTTATGTATTAATTTTATTTTATTTTAAAAATTTCTTTAGAGACACAGTCTCATTCTGTCACCCAGGCTGGATTGCGCAATCATAGCTCACTGCAGCCTCAAACTCCTGAGCTCAAGTGATTCTCCCACGTTAGCCTCCTGAGTCACTAAGACCACAGATGCATACCACAGAACCTGGCTAATTTTTTTTTTTGGTAGAAAAGAGGGTCTCACTATGTTGCCCAGGCTGGTCTTGAACTCCTAACTTAAAGCGATTCCCCTGCCTCAGCTTCCCAAACTGCTGGGATTACAGGCATGAGCCATTGCACCTGGCCATCTGTTGCATTTTTAACTTGGGGCAGAAACAGTGGTAATGAGTGAAGTACAGGCTTGCAGGGGATAACCATTTCTCAACTCTGTGCCAAGAACAAATATTTGAATTGGTTTAAAAGGATAATGACATAATTTGATATGTGCTGTGGTAAATCTATCTTGCTCTTCTGTGATGTCTTCTTTCCCATTTTTAATCTATTTTCGAATGAATAAGATATTCTGTACTAGCCTATCAGATGTAAGAAATACATTTTTAGATTAAATTGGAGAAACAACTCATATCTTAGCAAAATTGTCTCTTCCTCTTCATGAAAATGGTTTAACACTTTATCTTTTTCACATTTATTTGTATATTCCTTGTATTAGATTCTCATGGCTGCTATTTTTAAAATGCCACATATTTGGTGACTTATAACAACAGAAATTTATTATCTCACAGCTTTGGAGGCCAGAGGTCCAAAATCAAGGTGTGAGCAGGGCTGTGCCCCCTCTGGAGGCTCCAGGGAACGATCCTTCCTTCCTCTTCCAGGTCCTGGTGGCTTCAGGTGTCCCTTGGCTTGTGGCCAAGTCTCCCCTATCTCTGCTTCCATCTCCACTTAGCCTTTTCTCTTTTGTCTCTTAAAAGGACACCTGTCATTGGATTTAGGGCCCACCTAGAAAATCCAAGTTAATCTCATCTTCAGATCCTCACCATAATTGCATCTTCAAAGATGTTTTTCTCAAATAAGCTCATATTCACAGGCTCCCGAGATTGTGATAGGGACATATCTTTTGGGGAGACACCATTCAATCTACTGCAGCCTTCAACAATGCTTCCTGACTTTCTTTTAAAATATGTACTTATTTTCTGTGTGTGCTCCATTCACCGAACTGACGATCCAAATATTCCAAACAGCTTTTGGTCCTCAAATAAGGTAGCTTTCTGTACTCTTATGCCTAGTGGTACCCTGGAATCAGCTATCTTACGTACATTCTTTACTATTAATATCTTTATCTGATGTCATTCATTAGGTCTCTGTATAGACATTTCTTCTCCTCCACAAACAAAGCAAACAAAATCTTCCTGCATCTCTCTATACTGGCTTAGAAACCCAGACCATCACTTTTTTTTTTTTTTTTTTTGAGATGGAGTCTCGCTCTGTCACCCAGGCTGGAGTGCAGTGGCGCAATTTTGGCTCATTGCAACCTCTACCTCCTAGGTTCAAGCAATTCTTCTGCCTTGGCCTCCACTTAGCTGGGACTACAGGAGCCCCCCACCACTCCAGCTGATCTTTTTGGATTTTTAGTAGAGACAGGTTTCACCATGTTGGGCAGTCTGGTCTGGAGCTCCTAACCTCAAACGACTTCCCTGCCTCAGCCTGCCAAAGTGCTAGGATTACAGGTGTGAGCCATCACACCCGGCTCACTCTTTCTTTCTCTCTTTCTTTCTCTCTCTCTCTCTCTTTCTTCCTTCCTTCCTTCCTTCCTTCCTTCCTTCCTTCCTTTCTTTCTTTCTTCCTTCCTTCCTTTCTTTCTTTCTTCCTTCCTTCCTTCCTCTTTCTCTTTCTTTCTTTCTTTCTTTCTTTCTTTCTTTCTTTCTTTCTTTCTTTCTTTTTCTTCCTTCCTTCCTTCCTTCCTTCCTTTCTCTTTCTCTTTCTTTCTTTCTTTCTCTTTCTTTCTTTCTCTCTCTCTCTCTCTCTTTCTTTCTTTCTTTCTTTCTTTCTTTCTTTCTTTCTTTCTTTCTTTCTCTCTCTCTCTCTCTCTCTCTTTCTTTCTTTCTTTCTTTCTTTCTTTCTTTCTTTCTTTCTTTCTTTCTTTCTTTCGTTTTACAGACAGGGTCTCCGTTTGTTGCTCAGGTTGGAGTGCGGGGATGTGATCATAGCCCACTGCAGCCTCAACCTCAAAGGATCCTGATATGTTGCCCAGGCTGATCTTCACCACCTGATCTCAAGGGATCCTCTCACCTCAGCCTCCCAAGTAGCTGGGATCACAGGCACACACACATCACCATGACTGGCTATTGTTTTTGTTTTTTTTTTAAGAGATGAGGTCCCATTGTGTTGCCCAGGCTGGTCTTAATCTCCTGGTCTCAAACAATCCTTCTGCGCTGGCCTCCCAAATTGCTGGGATTACAGGTGTGAGCCACTGTACCTGGCCAATCATCACTTCTTAACCTTTTTCCTTCTCCCTCTAGACTGTAAGTTCCCTGAGGGCTGGTGGACATCTTTTTTGCAATAATGCCTGCCCTCTCACTCAGGAACAGCCTTGTTACAAAATAGCACCATATATGCTACAAAGGAGCTATTGAATAAAGCAACAAATGTCCTACTTTATTCTTTACATTTCTGATATAATTTAGAGGTATAAAATCCTGTTTCTAATGCAGTTTTTTTTTCTTCTGACATAGTAGTCTATTTTCGAGCTGTTTGCATACCCTGGATAAAGTCTCCATTCTTTTTTTCTTCATTAAAAAAAAAATAAGTTTGTCTTCCTCATCTTGAACAAGGTGATACTTGTCACCAGGCTGGTGGAGGGAGGTTCCCAAAGCCTCACTGCTTGACAGCCACTCCAACCTGGGCTGCAGGGCAGCTTGCCATGACAGCTTTGGGCCCTCTGTTCCAAGCAGCCGTTGCCTCATAGTTTTTAGCTGTCTTAGCTTCCTCCTACTCCGTCAGTCTGTTTCCCTACTTTTCTGAGCAGATCTGAAATAAATTTAAAAACAAGTTACTCTCAGATGCAGAGCATGCATGCCTACCAGGGCTCATTTGCTTAGCCCCCACCTACAGCGTTATAGTTAGGGTCAAATTATCTCTCACGATACTCAGCACTGCTGGAAGCTTAGCAACTGATCCTGGAACCTGCACCTTCTCCCTGGGTGTAGAAAAACAGAACTAGGTGTGCAGAAACAGGTGAGAGATGCTTTGGGCTGAGGACAGACCAGTGTTATGCTCTGGAGAGTTGGAAAATTTCTGTACATTTTATTTATTTGGGAGTTTGTTTGTTGATATTTGTGTTTAACTTAGGAATTGGCACTGCATAAATGGTGAGAAGAATATATTTGCTCTCCTTAGGGGGAATTGTAAGGTGGAGTGTTGATACACTACATTCTGCCATCCAGCCCTCTGGCCTGTTTTTTTAAATAAAGTTTTATTAGTGCACAGTCAGGCACATGCATTTGCCTGTTGTCTGTGGATGCTTTTGCTTTACAATGTCAGAGTGGACCGCCTGACTCACAAAGCTGAAAATATTGACTCTCTGTCCCTTATGGTAAATTGTGTTCATCTTTGTTCTATGTCATCAAATGAAGGTGGGGTTGGCTATGATCAAAAACCTGTGTAGGTTATTATGTTTCTGTCTCCCTTTCATTGTTTTCTTGGTCTGGAAAATAATTTGCTTCATTCTTCAGATTCTTCCTGATGCTGGAATTAACACCTCCATCACATATTTAAATGTTATTGACACCTTGCTTTCTCTTGCCTTCACATTATAAAATTGGAAAACATGAAGGCTTTGTTAGGCTTATACTGAGACCCGTATCTTCAACATATGGTATATGTGTTAGAAACATTTCTTTCTAAATTGAAACTTGTAGTTTCAGGGTAAGAGGGTTTCTTCTCTATGATACATATTCCCAGACATATACTAGAAAAAGCAGGAAATGCTTTTTGCCAAAAAAGCATTTTGCCAAATTTAATGGTGCCTATAATGAAACAGCCAGGTGGGAAGGGCTCTCTGGCAGAGCCTCCGACCAACCTGCACACTGGGAAGAGCTCACAGTGGGGTAGAGATACAGAAGTTTGCAGGGGTTGCAGTGGGGAGGAGCTAGGCCCCTCCCTTTCCTGGGTGGTACCTGGATTTCAAGCTGCAAGGCAGGAAGCACACTAGAGGACCTCTGGCTTTGTGGAGAGTCCCTGTTTCCCTTTTCTTTTCTTTTTCACCCAATAAAATCCTGCTTTATTCACTCTTCAAATGGTCTGCGAGCCTAAATTTCATGGCCTTGTGACAAGGACCTTGTCTTTGGCTGAACTAAGGAAGAGTCCCACAACAATAACATGGAAGAGTTTATGTAAAAAAGTACAGAGATGGTTAGGATATATATAAAATGAAAGTGTATTGATTGATACAGATATCCTGTAGTTAACCCAAAAATTGCCCTGGATGTTTTGTGAAATTTCAAGTTAGAGTTGTAGGGAAGCTATGGAAAAAATATGTCAATTGCAAATGACCCTAATAATGATAGAAATCATGTATCTACCAGAAAAAGGCAAAGAAGTGATGGTGAGGGGCAAAGATGAATCTTTTATTTTATAATAGAATGTAATTCAAATGTAGAACACTTGAAATTGATAAAAGTGCACAAAGAAAAAAATCAGCATTATCGTAACAGTCTAAAAATAACTAATATTAATTATTATGCAATTTAACAATGTGATGCCCGGTCCCTTTTCTTCTTGCTAAATGTTTAATATTTTAAGTGCATGATTCAGTGACTAAAGGGAATGGGGTCATTTAAGGAACTTCAAAGCCAATAGTAAAAAAGATATTTAAAATTAAAGGCAAATATAGTTTAAAAATTAATGTCTAGTGTTTGTGTGTGTATGTATGAAAATCTGAATACCAGTATAATAAAACAGTGTGATGTGATTTGCGTGAGAAATTCAAAAATAATTTGAATAGGAAATTAAATAGGACTACACCTTTCACTTGCAAACATGTTTTGGAGGCAAACTATGAACGATTTGGCCCTACAAGTGCCCTTCAGGGAAATTCTATTTGCTTTACAAGGTATTGAACATGATTCGATTTAATCACTCTCTGAAAAGGACAATTGCTTATAAAAACATATTTTGGAAATGATCATTATTCAGAGACTGATTTTTTAATAAAATAATAATTTTCGCTTTTCTTGTAAGCTTATTGCCATATCATGTATATAATCATTATTTAGAGAGTGACTATTTTATAAAATAATATTTCGCTTTTCCTGTAAGCCTATTGCCATATCATGTGTGTGTGTGCATATATATATATATATAATTTTTTTTTTTTTGAGATGGAATCTCGCTCTGTCACCCAGTCTAGAGCGTAGGGGCACGATCTCGGCTCACTGCAACCTCCGCCTCCTGGGTTCAAGCGATTCTCCTGCCTCAGCCTCCCGAGTAGCTGGGATTACAGGTATGCGCCACCATGCCCAGCTAATTTTTGTATTTTTTTTTTTTAAGACAGAGTTTCGCTCTGTCACCCAGGCTGGAGTGCAGTGGCGCAATCTCGGCTCACTGCAAGCTCCGCCTCCTGGGTTCACGCCTTTCTCCTGCCTCAGCCTCCCGAGTAGCTGGGACTACAGGCACCCGCCACCGCGCCCGGCTAATTTTTTGTATTTTTAGTAGAGATGGGGTTTCACCGTGCTAGCCAGGATGGTCTTGATCTCCTGACCTCGTGATCCGCCCGCCTCGGCCACCCAAAGTGCTAGGATTACAGGTGTGAGCCACCGCGCCCGGCTGTATATTTTTTTTAGTAGAGACGGGGTTTCGCCATGTTGGCCAGGCTGGTCTCGAACTCCTAACCTCAGACGATCCGCCCGCCTTGGTCTCTCAAAGTGGTGGGATTACAGGCGTGAGCCACTGCGCCCGGACATTTATTTATATTTTTATATTTATAATTAAGTAAACTTTTCTTGTCTAATGATTTTTTCCCTTGAGGGAACTATCCTCCTAAAAAAATAATATAATGACAAAATGTATTCCATTTTTTAATGATAACAGGAATTTAAATTGTATGCCCACAATACAACCACGGATAAGATGTGTTATTTCGTATGTCTGATATTCTTTCTCTTTTTTGCATTTAAGGGGCTCAAAGGTATACTGCAGAAATATGGTCTCAATCCCACATGTCCTTATTCCTGCTAAAACTGACAAGTATAGAAGCTATCCCTATTAGAATGTCCTCTGTACAAATAATAAGATATATGTGCACTTAAAATGGGCCAGGCATGATTGTAAGCATTTGTCATGTATTATTATGTCATTTTTTGGCCACACGATGAGAAAAAATTCCATTATTTTCCCTATTTTATAGCTGAGGAAACCGAGGCAGCAAAATTAAGTAGGGTGTCCGTTCACATGGGTAGTAAATGGCTGAGCAGAGAGGTAAACCCAGTTTATGCTACTCCAGTTTCTTTGCTTTTAAATTCCTATATTTAGACCCAAACATAATGCTCAGGGCTGTACATAAGATAGTGCATGTGATAGGGATGTATTACCTTTGATATAGATATGCATGTATAAGATGCAGATGCAGGAAGTCAAAATCATTCTATAGCCTGTCTCCAAGCCAGGAAGCCGTGCCTGCACCTGAATGTAATTGCCTTTGGAAGCCCATGGTCTTTCCTTGATGCCACATTTTCTCCATATGAATGAATGTGTACACCACAGAGAGTTCTTACCAAGATCTGCAGACATTGACACAAAACATTTCATGATGGTGGTAATGGGCTTTCAGGCATTAAGCTACTCATTTGCTTTTGCACAATTCCCTTTATGAGCAAGAACATTCATTTACAAAGCAGCTCATCGAGCTACGTCTCTGGAGCAAAAATGGTGTGCATAGAGCTGAAAAACATGTCCTCTTTGGCCCTGTTCTCAAGTTCAGGCTACTCAACCTTGCAGATATGAGCTCAGGACTGAGCACATAGGACTATATAGAGTTTTGGGATGTCTGATATAGTTCTCTTTTCCTCTCACCTTTTCATGGGCCTGTCAATCTTTCATATGGACTTAACTATGGTCACTTTTTCCCATTATGAGGGAGAAAAGGACTACATTTTCTAGCATAATACTGGCCAAAAAATCGGACAGCATTTTAACACAAGACAGAGAGACTCACTTGGCCGTGTTTACAATTAATTTTCTCCTGGACAATGTAGAGTGGTGTTATATGCCATGTCTAGAAGTTAGCTATTTATGCTCTCATAATTTTATTCCTAATATAACTGAAGAAGTGGGATTTAGTGGCAGTGGGAATTATAGCCTCCCTCAAGAAGGTACAGAAAGCCATTGTTTAACATTTACTCTGTATGTTAAATTCTAATTTCACACTAAGAAAGTCAATGTATGAGGTGGAACACAAGGGCAGTGTGCATCTAGCTTACAGAACAACAAAATAGCTACTGTGGTTAAACAAGTTAAACTGAATATATTCAGTTAGATAGAGGGATCCAACATATGCAAATAAAATATTCCATAAACAGGAAGATTTCACTGTATTCTTAAGTTTCACCTCAAGCATCTATGTTGATTAGCAGAATTACAAAAGGTCAACTGAACTGGTTGTGTAATAATAAAATTCAAGTAAATGATTTGGCCATGAAGGTCTTCCGTGATCTGCACTTAGAGTAGGAATGGTATCTCACTACAGAGGAGGACAAAAACTACATAACTAAAAGGTTAAAGTAAAGAAGATGTAATAGATTTCTGTGTCTTCCTTCTACAAATACCATTGGAGGGAAAAAAGAGTCTGTGGAGAGGAATGTGAGAAGAATAACAGATTTATGGAAAGGTCAATGGTACACTCAGAGCAGCTTTGTAGAGTGCTAGGAAATGTATCCTCCTGGCAAAAGGAAACGAACCATGGCTATCCACCAATACCCCGATCCAATGTGCAAAGACCACATTCACAAGTGCACATAGGCACAAGCTCCTGACTAATTTTGTCATAAAGCTACACTGTCAGCCTATAAGAATATGTTTTTCCTAAAATGTTTACCTCTGTAAAATAAGTACTCATTCATTATTTTCAAACTTGTCTAAAATTATGCAAATGTTTGGTTATATTTTTACACTGAAGGTCATTCTACTGGGTCAAATGGTCCCCTCCACAAATATATATGTACATATACATACATACATACATACATATATACCCACTCTGGACCTATAAAAGTGGCCACATTTGGAAATAGAATTTTTGCAGACATAATCAAATTAATATGCTATCATCCTGGATTAAGGTGGCCCTAAATCCAATGACCAGGGTACTTCTAAGAGACAGAAGAGGAGACATAGACACAGAGGAGAAGGCCATGTGGAGATGGAGCCAGAGACTGGAGGAATGCGACCATAAGCCCAGGACACCTGAAGCTCCCAGGAGCTGGGAGAGGCAGGAAGGATCCTCCCCCATGGCCTCCAATGTTGAGTGCAGCCCTGAGACACCTTGATTTCTGACTTTTGGTCTTCAGAATGTTTTGAGCATCTTTTTTTTTTAATTTCAGTTTTTAATCCCACTCAGTTTGTGTTACATTGTTATTGCAGCCCTGGGAAATGAAGACAGTTCTTGATAGAACGCTGGACCTATATAATAATGAGTGGCTTTGAGTCTGATTAAGAAATATAAGTTGTTCAGCATGTACAAATTGGTATAGGATTTAAATTGTTTCTTTTCCTGCCTTTGTGTTCCCTTTAGAAATATATTCAGGCAAATCAGTGATGCATTTCTAATAACTGATCTTTCCTGTGGGGGTGTTGTGAGCATTCAAATTCATGTTTCGTGAGTCCCTCTATGAAAACATAGCAAGCAATTAGCCAAGAGATCTGGGAATAATATCGCAAAATCGTCACTGAATCTCCAAAGTCCCCTTAGAATGTAAAACTGAAAGTGGCATTGGAACCAATTTAATTGGGAAAGCAGCAATTCTCAAATTATAGGTTGCTTAAGAATCACTTGTACAATGCATTTAAAAGCAAACTATCACAAGGACAGAAAACCAAACACCGCATGTTCTCACTCATAGGTGGGAATTGAACAATGAGAACACATGGACACGGGGCGGGGAACTTCGCACACCAAGGCCTGTCGGGGGATAGGGGGCTGGGGGAGGGATAGCATTAGGAGAAATACCTAATGTAAATGATGAGTTGATGGCTGCAGCAAACCAACATGGCACATGTAAACCTATGTATCAAACCTGCACGTTGTGCACATGTACCCTAGAACTTTAAGTATAAAAAAAATTGCAGATTCTGAACCTGCATGGTGATTCTCATTCTGTAGGTCTGAGATGGTCCCAACACCTGCATCTACGTGAGCACGGGGGTGGTCCCAAAGAAGCCAGTCCAACAGGATACGATTCTAGAGCCATTTCATGCTTATATCCCCATCCTGACACTTCATTACAGCTCCTGGGAAAGTTAACCATAACCCCTGGGCCTCAGTTTCCTCATCTGTAAAATGAGAAAAATATTAATACTAACACCTTGCATTGATACCAAGATTATATGAAATTTGAAAACTTACATACATATCCATCTATATACAATATAAAATTATATCGACTTTATGATATAAATATAGGGTGTAATTAACATTAACATAGTACTCATGTTATATATAAATATGAAAGCATATATTGCAAATATGTAAATAAATATGTATTACATATGAAAATTTTTATAAACATATATGACGTATATTATATATATTTCTGAGCACAGTGTGGGTGTCCTATTGAATTTGGCATAAACAGCACTTTTTAATTTTAATTTTAATACTATTATTTATAGAGAACACTAGAAAATCACAGAGAATCTGTAACAAAAATCAGATTTTCTTCTTCCAATCCTGTCCTTTCGAATAACATCACCAACAAAGATACTTTATTTTATAAGCTTTATTTTTCATGCTTCATATTTTTAAAACTACCTCATTTTTATGTGCATTACTGTTTTAGGGGAAAGCACTCACACAATGCTTCTTACTGAACATTTGGTCGTACAATTTAAGACCCTGGTTTGTTGTTAAGCTACGTAACTTGAGTGTGGTGTTTTCCTTCAAAGGACAGCCATGTATGAAGGAGGCTACAGATGACGTTCTAAGTATAAGACACTATTATTGGTGATTTTTAAAAGCAAATTATATTTTGAAGCCAAGTCATTTCTGAGTGATATACTCCAGCATCCTGAATTGTTTCATGCACAGAAAATCAGCCTTTGCACTTTTTGTACCCTGCACATACATCTCAAAGACACTCAATCACTCTGCAATTGGAAAGCATACATTAGAGCAGAGAAAGTTCATGGATAGTTAATATTTGTGGAGCGCCCGCAGCAAATGGGATAGAGATACATCATTCATAAGATAGACTGAACGTTGGTTCCCGAGAGAGTGATACCTTGGTGATGGAATAATGATAACTTGCCCAATAGCACTGATCCAAACATCCTTTATCTTCATCAAGGTTGTAATTAGAGCCAAGCAGGCGGCCCAAGGGCTGTGTTGCCTTGGGGTGGACAGAGGCATTAGGTGGGGGATGAGATGGGGAGACTGGTCTGCAAGCTATGATTATGCTGCTTGGGTTAAAATGCGTGAGAATCCACCTTCATGCTGCTTGCTGTAGACGCATGACTGAAGAGGCCAGAACGAGTCAGTCTCCATCTCCCCTTCCTGAAGATGCCTGGCCATTCATTCTCTTCAGGAGAGGAGAGAGTATCTCCTTGTACAAAGCTTCCAACCCACAGTGAATCCTGCAAGGACCCTTCCATTTTCTTACACTTTGCCATTTATTTTTTCCTTGCCTAGTAATTCAGTTCTACATTGTCCTAGCCAAATAGAGTCACATAACTATATGGCTAGTCATGCATGACATGACTATATGGCTAGACATGACTACGTGGCTTAAAGACAGTTACATTTTTTGGTGTGTGTGTGTGTTCTTTTCTTTGTATTATTTCAGGAGTCATAACACTCATAGGTACCAAGGCATGCAGAAGTCATCTCTTGTCATCCTTAAAGGATGCACCATAGACAAAACTGATCTCAACGAAGATATTCTAGAGTTAAGTCTGTGTGAGTCAGCTAGGGCTTCTGTAAAAACTGCCACAAACTCAGTGGCTTCCAATAATGTCAATTTATCATGTTTCAGTTCTGGAGGTCAGAAATCTGACATGGATCTCACCTGGCTGAAATCAAGGTATCAGGAGGACTGCACTCCCTGTGGAAGCTCTAGGAAAAAACACAAAACAAAACAAAACAAAACAAAAAACCCCTTGCCTCGTCAAGATCCTAGAAGCCACCCGCATTTCTTGGATTGCTGCAAGACAACTCCGAGCTCTTTTTCTGTCATCAATTCTCCATATTTGACTCTGACTTCCTGCCTCCCTCTTATAAGGAAATGTGTGATGACTTTGAGCTCACCTGGATAATGAAGGATCATTTCCCATTTTAGGATCCATAGTTTCATCCCATCTGCAAACTCCTTTTGGCCATGCAATGTAACTTAACTCACAGGCCCTGAGGACTAGGACTTGAGCATCTCTTGGCGGTGGGGGTTGGGGGAGGTTGTTAATTTGCCTATCAGAGTTCTAATCTGAGAACATATAAGCAGCCACGCTGGGTACTTGGAGGCTCTCAATTTAATACAGGCTTGCACAGCAAAATGGGACCAAAAATTCAACAATTACACAGTGAATAAGAGCAGTAAATACTGCAAGGCTGAATTAAAACACCAAATTAGACTTCTCAGTTAACTTTGTCGGGGAGATTGAACTATTGTGGGGATATAGTTCTATGAACTAATATAAGCTAGGGTTGTAAATTTTCATACACAATGGGATTTAATTTTCATAGATATTGGGAAGGTGATCTTTATTTGCATTTAAAATGGTGTATGGATGAATTAAGAAAATAATATTTGAATGATGGGCAGGATTATTAGAAGCAATATTCCAAGGGTGATTGCCTTTGCAGATGATCATTCAGCTGTCCAGGCATGGAAAATTGATGACCCCCTACTTCTTGTGTGTAATAAGGGTCCCACAGTGCAATATATTTATAAATATTTTCCTAACTGCCTTATGGATTTAAAAAATAACAAAGCAGTATCTATCATACTGGAAGGACTGTTTTAACATTATTGCATGAAGAAGAGGTTTAGAATGGGATTAATAGCGCATCATTCTAAGGTTAAAAACACCATGACCTCCAACAATTTTATAAGCATATTAATACATCTGTTCCTGAGCCTTGAACTGTTTCATTGCAAAATGAGAAAGTAGTTGCATCATTTCTAAGATAGCAGTAGACGTTAAATGTGCTTATGATTGAACTTCTGGACACATTTATTTATTCATAAATGTTTAGTGGGCACCTAATAACTATCAACTATCTATGTGAAGAATAATGTATCAAAAGATGGAAAAAGCTGTAACACTGACCTTAAGATGCTCAGCACATACAGGGTATGCCCAGAAGGAATCGGACAATGGCTACACTGTGTTGCCAGTGTCATGGAAGCAGTTAACGTGAGCTGCTCTGTTGGGAACATTTCCTAGAGTCTGTTAGTTTCTTGGAACCAACACCCAGGTGTAGACTTAGAACCAAGGTACAGCTGTGGAGGATTCAGTGAAGAAAGGTATCCTAGCTTCTTAAGTGAGAGACTAAGATCCTTGCTACTCAAAATATGGCCAAGGTACCAATTGTGTATCAGTTTTCAAGAGCTGCTGTAACAAAGGTTCATCAACTATGTGGCTGAAAACAATCGATCTTTATCCTCTCTCAGTTCTGGAGACCAGAAGTTTGAAATCAAGGCCAGAAGTCTGAAATCACTTCCCCAGGAACCTCTAGGGGAGAATCCTTCCTGCCTCTTCCAGCTCCTCGTGGCTCCAGGCATCCCTGGGCTGGTGGCCACATCTATCTCCATCTTCCAATGGTCTTCCCTCTGTGTGTGTCTGTATCCAACTCTCCCCTTCTTAAAAGGACAGTAGTCATTGGCTGTAGGGCTCATCCTAATCCATTATGACCTCATCCTTACTTGATGATATCTGCAAAGACCCTCTTTCCAAATAAGGCCATACTCACAGATATGTGAGGTTAGGACTTCAACATAGCTTTCAAAATATTTGATCACAATTTAACCCAGGACAGGTGGCATCAGCATAGCCTCCAAGACTGTTAGAATTGCAGAAGCTCCAACTCCATCCCAGACTGACAGAGTCAGAATCTGCATGTTATCAAGTTCCCCAGGAGATTCCTAGGCATAGGAACGTTTGTGGAACACTTCTCTAAAGGCAAGAGAGAATAGGACCAGTTGTTTTTTTGTTTGTTTGTTAGTTTGAGACAGGGTTTCACTCTGTTGCCCAGGCTGGAATGCAGTGGCACCATCTCAGCTCATTGCAGCCTCAACTGCCAGGGCTCAAGTCATCTTCCTGCCTCAGCCTCCCAAGTAGCTGGGACCACAGGCATGTACTACCACACTCAGCTGGTTTCTTTATTTGTAGAGACAGGGTCCAGGCTGGTCTTGCTCTCCTGGGTTCAAGCAATCCCCATGGCTTGACCTCCCAAAGTACTGGAATTAGAGGCATGACCCACTGTGCCTAGCTGGGACCAGTTTTAAGATATGAAAATAGCTCATATGCTTGTGCTAGTGACATGGGAGTGGAGGTTCAAGAGAGGATGTTAGTTAGAGAGCAAGATTAAGAGGGAAGGAGAGGATAAATCTGGAAAGTCACAGAGCATGTGGCTAGAGACAGTTGTTTTTTATTTGGCAGATGGGAGAACAGCACTGGGGGACTTTGCATCATGTGGATATCATGATCACAGTTGCCTTTCGAGAATGTGTGTGTTGCTGCCATGGGGAAAACATGATGGGGTTAAACTAGACAAGGGGACCTACATCAGCAAGATTATCCAAGGTTGCAGGGCAGAGTAACAGGGGCTGCTTTGAGGCAACTGAGACAGAAGCCAAGAGATTCGAAATATAGTTGTGTGTGTGTGTGTGTGTGTGCGTGCGTGTGCTCATGTTGGGGGTGAAAGGTTGCCTCCGTGACTCTTGATGGGCAACTGAATTTGGAGAACCGAGAAGGAAAAGTGAACAATGACCTGTAGTGGCGGTGAGCAAGCATGCATGGTGAGTGTATTAGTCTGTTCTCACACTGCTAATAAAGACATACCTGAGACTGGGTAATTTATAAAGCAAAGAGGTTTAAATGGACTCACAGTTCCACATGGCTGGGGAGGCCTCACAATCATGGCAGAAGGCAAAGGAGATGCAAAGGCACATCTTGCATGGCAGCAGGCAAGAGAGTGTGTGCAGGGAAACTCCCCTTTATAAAACCATCAGATCTCATGAGACTTATTCGCTACCATGAGAACAGTATGGGAGAAACCACCTCCATGATTCAATTATCTCTACTTGGCCCCACTCTTGTAATTGTAATAATGTGGGGATTATTGTAATAATGTGGGGATTCTTACAATTCAAGGTGAAATTTGGGTGGGGAGACAGAGCCAAACGATATCAGTGAGTGACTCACCAGCCCACTAAGGAGGACATCCAAGAAGAGGAGCAACTTTGGAGAGGTCATGGAAATGCTGTTTTCCAATATTTACATTCCCAGGTTCCTGTGCCACTTGAAGAAACATGGAATATACATCTGGAAATTTCAGGATTGGATCTGTTTAGAGACTCATTTTTTAGTCTGCTCATTTGAAGTCATAGAAAAGAGTAATTATATCAGGAGAGCATTTAGAAAGAGAAGACAAAAAGGCAGGACCAGGTCAGAATCTTAGAATAAATTTTCTAGAGTTAGTGAAAAACACTGCTTGTTTGGAACAATATATGGAAGCGATAAAATCATTAGGATGCAATAAATACATATCAGTTTGGGTTTTTGATATGGTTTGGCTGTGTCCCCACCCAAATCTCATCTTGTAGCTCCCACAATTCCCATATATTGTGGGAGGGACCCAGTAGGAGATAATTGAATCATGGGGGCGGGTCTTTTCTGTACTGTTCTCGTGATAATGAATAAGTCTGATGACATCTGATGGCTTTAAAAATTGGAGTTTTCCTGCACAAGCTCTCTGTTTGCCTGCTGCCATCCACATGAAATGTGACTTGCTCCTCCTTGCCTTCCGCCATGATTGTGAGTCTTCCCCAGCCACGTGGAACTGTGAGTTCTCTATTAAACCTCTTTCCTTTGTAAATTTCCCAGTCTTCGGTATGTCTTTATCAGCAGCATGAATATGGGGTAATACAGTTTGTGGGAGGATCAAGGGTGAATTCATTCCTGGAGATAGTAATACAACATATTTGTCACATACCTGGACTTGGGATCCAGACTCTCTGGGTTTTTCACCAGCTCTGTAATCTTGGATTTGATGTTTAATTTGATTGGCCTCTGTTTCCCCATTTGTAAAAATTAGGGATCATGGTCAAATCTCCTCATTAGCTTGGAACAATTGTCTAACATATATTTAAAGCTATCTGAATATTTGCTGCTTTGATCATCACCATTAATATGTTATTATTATAGTTTCTTGCTGAAGGAGCGTTTTCCCTTCTATGAGGCTGTGGTTAACACTGAGTGCCCTTTTTAGGAAAGTGGATTAGGGAAGTAATTTGTTACACTGCTATCAACCAGCAACCACTGTCAGCAACTTCCTGGTTGTCTCAGTTGTGGGGAGTAACCTCAAAGGGTATACCCCTTGTATGTTGGGAGCCTGAAAACTTGGCCACCCAAGCCCCACTCCTCCAAGGCCCCTCTGGAGGTCTTCTACCCTCCAGGGTTCACTTGGGGTTGTTTGAGGTTTTGTTGCACCAGCTCTGCAAGTCCTTTTATCTTCTCCACCTACTTCCTCTAACTTCGCTCAAGCACACCCTACACCAGCCTCCATCTCAGCATTGCTTTGTCAGCCTTCAACATGCAACAATCGGTATTTCATGCATGCCGTCAGAAATGCGTTCATTGACACATTTATGAATTTTTTGAGAGAGAAAGCAAATATTAGATGGGGTGATTCTTTACAATTTTCTGACAATGCAATATGGTTGTTCTATTCTATAAGTAGAAGAAAATGAATCACTCTTTATCTCATCTATTTTTGTCAGATACTTAATGGACACTCAGAGTGCCATCTCAGAAGAGGTGACACTCAAATTAAGATAGCTTAAAGGAGGTATTGACAGAGTGTTTTGGTTCCCTGTGGCTGCTGTAACCAGTGACCCAGACTTGCATTAGCTTACAGTTCTGGAGGTCAAAAATCAGAGATAGGTCTCAGGAGGCTGAAATCAGTTTCTCATCTCTACTGGTTCATTCTGGAGTCTTTAGAGGATAATCTATCTCTTGACCTTTTTAGCATCTAGAAGGTACCCGCATTCCTAGGCTTGAGGGTCTTTCCTTCGTCTTCGAATCACATCACATCTCCTTCAGTCCTCACATCTCTGTCTCTGATCCTCCTGCCTCTCTCTCTAGACAGAATGTCTGTGTCCACCAAAACGCACATGTTAAAATGGCCGCCCCCATGGTGATGGTCTTAGGAGGTAGGGCCTTGAAGTCATGGCCCCATGGAAGGCAATGACATCATGAGGGTGGAGTCTCATGAATGGGATTAGTGTCCTTATCAAAGGGACCCCAGAGAGCTCCCTGGCCCCTTCCACCATGTGAGGACACAGCGAGAAAGCACTGTCTATGAACCAGGAAGCCGGTTCTCACCAGACACTGAATCTTCTATTACTTGATCTTAGACTTCCAGCCTTCAGAGCTCTGAGCAATAAACGTCTGCTGTTTATAATCTACCCAGTCTATGTTTTTTTGTGTTTTTTCAATAATAGCTTGAACAAACTAAGACAGGTACAGACTGCAGCTCTGAAGCTGGTCACATGACCCAAGTGACAATTATATCTGCCTTTTTTTATCCTGGGTTTCTGTTCTTCTACCCATCTGCCAGCAGGCTAACTGGTTGGTGTGAGCAAAACCCAATAGTATTTAGCTTTTTATTATTTTCTAAGAAGGTTCCATTTTCATCCTCTTGTCAATGAGGTGTGAACTAACTTGCCTATGGTTATACAATCCTGGGTACGGCCCTGCAGGAGAAAGAACACCTGATTTTAAAGAAGCTTTCTCTAATGACTTCCATCACATTGTTTGCCTAATCAAAAGTTGCAGGTGTCCCAACCCAGTTAAAATGGCTTATATCTAAAAGACAAGCAATAACAAATGCTGGCAAGGATGTGGAGAAAAGGGAACCCTTGTATCCTGTTGGTGGGAATGTAAGTTACTACATGAGCACATTAGAAGTTCCTCAAAAAACTAAAAATGTTCTGAGGAAGCTAACATTTGGAAGCAACATAAGTGCCTGCCAGCAGATGAATGGATAAAGAAAATGTGGTACATATACAAAATGGAGTGCTATTCAGCCATAAAAAGAATGAGATCTTGTCATTTGCAACAACATGGGTGGAACTGGAGATCATTATGCTAAGTGAAATAAGCCAGACACACAAAGACAAGCATTGCCATGTTCTCACTTTTTTGTGGAATCTACAAATCAAAACAATTGAACTCATGGATGTAGACAGTAGAAAAATGATTACCAGAGGCTGGGAAAGGTAGTGGGGGGCTGTGGAGTGTGGAGGTGGGATGGTTAATGGGTACAGAAATAGTTAGAAAGAATGAATAAGACTTACTATTTGATAGCACAACAGAGAACAGGGTGACTATAGTCAATAATAATTGTACATTTAAAAATAACTTTTTAAAAAAGTGTGTAATTGGACTGTTGCAACTCAGTGGGTTAATGCTTGAGTGGATGGATACCTCAGTCTTCATGATGTGCTTATTTCACATTGCATGCCTGTATGAAAACATCTTGTGCACCCCATAAATATATACACCTACTATGTACCCACAACAATTATAATTTTAAAAAAAATTTTTTTAAGTTGCAGGTGGGCCCGGACCTTGGCAATGTCAGTGGCTGGTCACTAGGAGGAGGTGGGAAAGAACTGCATAGATTGCAGGTTTCATGAAATACTGATCATGCTATCCTTTTAATGTATCTCAGTTGACAAAGCAAGTATGTGTGAGACCTTCTGAAAATGCCGTTAAAGAGACTCCTGCAATAGAAATGAAATAAATGCAGACAAGTTCAGGGTAGACTATTAGGAAAATTAAATACATGATTCTATTTTATGTACGAGAATGTACAGATTTTTTTCTTAGTAAGGTAAACTTCACATAACACGAAAATTAATTATTAGCTGTTTTCTAGTGTACAGTTCAGTGGCCTTTAGTACATGAACAATATCTTGTAACCCTCATGTCCATACAGATCTGAAAAATTTTTCATTATCCCCAAAGCAACACCATTCCTATTAAGCAGTCACTCCTTATTACCCCTCCATCCAGACACTGTCTTGGGGGTGTGTGTGTGTGTGTGTGTGTGTGTGTGTGTGTAATATTATATTGTCACATAGGAATAAAAAAAATCATTCCACTTAGATCTTGTTTTATTTTCAAATGGCCGACCCTGGTAACAATTAATGTAGTTGTATGTGTTTTTAAAATCTTATATTATTTTGCTTTATTTTTAATTGGTAAAAACAAATTCTATATATTTATGGGGTGCAATGTGATGTTATGATATATGTTGATATATGCACACACTTTGGAATGATTGAATCAAGACAATTAGCATTTCTGTCACTTTATATACTTATTTCTTGGTGGTAAGAATGTTTATAATCTCTTTTAGCAATTCTGAAATATACAATGCATTATTATTAACCATAGTCACCATACTGTGCAGTAGATCACCAAAAGTTATTCCTCCTGTGTAACTTAAACTTTGTATCCTTTGAGCAACATGTCCTCCTCTCCCAGTCCACTCCCTCTCCCAGCCCCTGGCAACGACCATTCTACTCTCTACTTCTATGCATTCAACTTTTTTAGCCCCCACATATAAGTAAGTTCATGCAGTATTTGTCTTTCTTTGTCTGGCTTATTTCACTTAACAGAATGTCCTCCAGGTTTATCCATGTTGTTGCCAATGACAGGATTCCTTCTTTAAGGCTGAATAATAGCATTATTCACAATGGTAAAGATATGGAATCAACCTGCATTCATCAACGAATGAGTAGATAAAGGAAATGTTGTATATATACACAATAGAAGATCATTGCTTTTTAAAATATTTTTATATAGACTGTTTTCTTATAAATACACCCAAGCACATACAAAAAGAAAAAAGAAGGAGGGAAACTCCATAGACCTGTTATGGGGGTCTCATAATAAAGACTTCCCAAACTTTTTTCCCCTTTATACCTCTGTTTCTGTTTTATTTGTGTCTTTTACAGCCAGTTCCAGAGACTATACCTTCTCATCTGTAATCCTTTCAACACTCATCTCTTACAGATATGAATTTTACAAATAAACTCAATGCTACTATCACACCTGTAGTGAGTTCGATAGTGTCCACCAAAGATATGTTCACTTGGAATCTACGACTATTTAGGAAAAGACCTTCAAAGATGGAAGTTAAGGATCTGAAGATGAGATCATGCTGGATTATCTAGAAGGGTCCCAAATCTAATGATATGTATCCTTATAAGACACAGAGGAGAAGATACAGGCACAGAAGAGAAGGCCACATGGAGGCGAAGGCAGAGATTAGAGTGATGTGGCCACAAGAAAAAAAACACCCAGCCACCAGTACCTCCCAGAGAGGCAGGAGACCAAGTCTCCCTCTGTGCCTCCACAAGGAATCAACCTTGCTCACACCTTGATTTCACACCCTGGCCTCCAGAACTATGAGAGCATAAATTTCTGTGGCTTTAAGCTCCCCACTTTGTGGAAATTTGTACGACATTCCCTAAAAAACTGACACAACATTTAATAAAATTCACCTTAGTTCCTTAATAACATCATCTAACACTGCTTCCATCCATGTTTCACTGATTTTATAAAAAAAAAATGGCGTTTGTTAAACAGTTTGTTTTAAGTTCGGGTTTGTAGAACCATCTTAAGAAGACACACAAAACTGCAAAATGTCATATTTTGAAGGGTGGTTAAATTTAGCCATGCACATAATAAACTCAGTCTCTGTAATTGCATAGAATAACTTGAATAGAAAATAGTTTGCTCAGATTTATATTAAACCTATAGGTAATCAATCCAAAAGGCACCCAAGGCTTAGGATGTCTCTGTGGATACACTAGGGTAAAACACAAAACCTAAGCAAAGTATCAAAAAACAGATGTTTGTGAACTGGAAATAGCTCATCTAGGATGACTCAGTACAAAGATTTGTGGTTTTTTTTTTTTTTCGTTCCCCAAAAGACATCTGAGATAATCTATGCCCTAAGTAGAGGGTAGTAATGGATATGAATGTATTTCCCTGTTATTCCCCATCGTAAAAGATCTTTTGAAGCCGCCCTTGTTTTGAATCAAGATACTTAGGGGATTCATATATACCTTACAGTTTGAGACATACTGCCTTAGTAGCTATTAGATTCTCAGTAAGGGCTTATTGAACTCAACTGAGGTTTACTGTGCCAAATTTGGGGAGTAGGAAAATGAATCTCACTTGTCTTTTGTCCTCGGTGGAAGTAGCTCGTGGGAATGAAATATTTAGAGCCAAAGTTGATTTTCATCTTCTTTGGCTTTTGTACATAAACCTGGCTCTGACCTTCTTAGCTAAACACCTCAATTTGGGATAGAGTGGGCACTCCCTGTAGGGGTCACGGTAGTGATTTTTCATGATTTTTACTTTCATTAACTTTCCCACTCTACGATGAAGCTAATGAATGCACCAAATGAGAGGTAATTAATAAATGGTTTTGAGCTATCTGAGAGAGGTAATGAATTTCTTATATGTTCCTAATTTTCCCCTTCCTCATGGGCAGACTTGCTTACATAAAGATACTAATTTAAAACTGTGATTAAGAAGCCTAATGCCTCCGAGTGATGGATCATGGGAGATAAATTACTCAATATTTTCACATCTCACATTTTAATTTTGTACTCCATATCACACTTTTGATACTACCACAAATAGCTTCTTTGAAGGTCATCATGTGCTTTTTAATGTGTTAAAAGTAGAACTGTAGTTAGGACTAGGTGCTTTTAAACATTCTGTGGGGAAAAAAATCTTTAAAAAATTAGTTAAAATGATCCTTTGGCTGCTCAAAAGGTATTTCAATACCTTTGAATTTTTGATATCAATATTTATACTGAATATGAATATGATTTTTAAAATCAAGTATTTATTAAAATGAGATTTCATTAGGATGTAGTTTTAAAATCATGTCATGGAGTTTTACTATACCATTAAATCTTCAATACTAATATATCTATATAATGTGTTACTAAGAATTAAGGATAATCATGACAATTAATTCTGATATTGTAGGTGGATAATGAATTCATTTTAAGTGGCATGCACCAATAATGAATACTTAAAATATTTCAAGTGATGTCTTCCCTGGAACTAGAGGAAGCAGGAATATTCATGCGTTTAGGTAAATTCAAAAATGTAGGTGATTTTTGAGCAGAAATCTACTAACCCTTTCCTCTAGATTTAATAGATTTAGATTAGGCTGAGTTTAAACATAGTTTGTTCAATTTAAACAAACTTGAGGTTGAGTAATGCTAAACAATTCTGCAACTTCATTTTCCAAGCTGATCCCCAGCCCTGGATTCTATCAAGAGTTGCATTCATAAAGAATTTTATATTCTATATGCACAGAGCAAGGGGGAACTGAAAGGGGTTCAACTATCACAGAAGTACCTGTACATGGTCCTTCATTTCTTTATCTATTGCATATTAAGGCAAGGCTTCTTTCTTGGGATGCTCAAATGTTTCTAGTAAATGATGCTATGAGTTTCCAAGGAGGTCACTGGCTGGCCGTGGCATTTCTCTTTTTGACCAGAGCTACACTTAAAATGGGAATCTTCTGGTTCCATAAATCCATGCAGGTATTGACCTTAGCTTCATGAAAATGTCATGATGATCTGTCAACCCTAACCCCTTTTGCATGATTCTTTGTTACCAAGGAAACCAACCAGGTCCATTATTACACTTGTCTTTAGTAGAGTAGGACTAACCCAGTCTATTGAAAGGAGACCATCAATAGCTTCAGCTTGCAGTAAAGAAGTTAGCAAGACACCTTAAGACAATTTGGCTGAATCCTTTGGCTAAACTGTCCAACCCATGTGATACCTCTCCCCACTTGTGTCCCTAGCGACTTTTCCCAATAACGGCATAACATGCACACAATAGAGGGACATTTTTATGCACTTTTGGAGGTGAACATGTTTAGCGTCTTAATCTATCAATTCATAAATATCAATATCCCTGATTCTTGTAGTTGCAGGGAAGACAACCACTGGAAACATTTCACATATTCATTATTGGTGCATATGAAGTGCCATACTCCTTGTATTACTAACGTTTTTCCCAGTTCAATAAAGCAGAAAAGCAATATTGTCTCATTATTGCTTTCTCCCATTCCCTCATTTATTCCATTTGCATATTTTCCATGCAGCCTGCATGAGTGCCATAGCACAGCATGTTTTAATTCAACAGAGAGTCATCCTTACATCAATAGTTTCTCAAAATTTCAAATCTCACACCTGACCTATTTTGAAAGCAAAACTTGCAAGTAGGAGAAACGTTGTTTAATTCATAGATGTTTGTTGCATTCTGTAATTCTTCCATGATACATTATTTGAACATTAATTTTAAGAAAGCATCTGAATTTTAAAGCATCATGAAATTTTGAAATATCATGAATACTCATGCAAACATTATTTTCAATGGATCTTAAAAATATTAATAATACAGCATTTTTTATGAACACATAGCAACTCTGATTCAGACAAGATAAAATGTTTTGAACTCATGTGTTTAGAGAGAACAGAAGGGAAACATCAGTCTCAAGTGAATGCTAATCTGACATTGCCCTTGATTTATAGTAACTGGATGCAAACATAATTAGGGAAAAGGTTTTGTTGTTGCTGTTGTTGCTTCACTACACACTTATGTAATTATACAAACCAAAACTGGTCAGGCACTCATTTTATTAAACCTTTTGTTCATGAGCTTAGGAATCACGGAAGCTGACTTTCCATACTTGTTATCAGTGGAACATAGAGAGGATGAGATACAATTCCTACCTCAAGGAATGGCTTTGAGGATTACACGAGGGAAAAGCTGTGAGCCCAAAGAAGTGTCTGCTGTCCTGCTTTATTTTATAATTTATCCATTTTATGTTTTGGTCTGCTCCTTGGAGACACATATGTATACACACACACACAGAGTTATTATTCTGATGCTGGTTAATTGGCTTATCCATCTTGAATATCAACATCATTTCTATAACAGTGCAGGAAATCTGCCCTCTATAGAGACCTACTAATGAAAAATCTGGAAGATACATATTTTCCTAAGTACTTTATCATAGCTACAAAAAGGAGTAGTACTCTAGTAAACTTACAGTTCTGTAAATTTCCTAAAACTTCGGGAAATATATACTTAAAATGGGTGAATCATAAGGTTTGCTAATTATAACTTATTAAAGATGTTTAAAGAACACTGATATTATTATACAGCCAATTTGAGCGCAGCTTTACACACACACAGAAATCTAAATGATAGACTAGACATTACATTTTTTATTTAAAAAATCCCCTCCTTTTTACAACTGATTAAGGGATTGGTTACCTTCTCTAAATCATTTGCAGCCAAGGAAGCAGATGGTGTTTTTGCCTTATCTATAATGAGTTTCTTCTGCTATTGTCTAAAACCTGCTAAGTTTCTTTTAGGTAATCTTCCTTTTCCCTGTCTCATGGTGACATGTTCTGGGATGTCATGTTCATGGAAATGACACTTAAGACAAGTTTTGGAAAACTCTTCCTTTCTGCACATCTTAAGTACTATGTCTTCATTAGCGTTGTTTCCTCAGAGCTTTGCATCCTCCAATATGTCACATAAAATCTTGACCATTTCATCCTAATTATTGTAGAAATGAAATTATATCTCTAAAGGAAAAGAAAATGCTTGTCTACCTAGAATGATATGCCTAGTAAAAAATATTCTTCAGAAAGAAATTCTGAAGAATAGAGTGGAGAAAGAAAAAATAGAGAGTTGTAAAACAATACAGAGAAACATTGAAGATGTTGGATGATTGAAAACAAACCAAAACAAAAAAACAAGAGTGAACACTTCGCTAGCCTGACCAAGGAAAAAGGGTTAGTGAGGGCCTCATCTGAGAAGCAGACAACCCAGTGGTCCAGAAATCAAACATGACAGAGTTAGAATATACTATTTTGTAGATTTTTTATGTGCTGGGGAGGAGTGGGGAAAGTGCGTCTTTCTAGTGGGAAAGCTGCCAATACGTGGAACATCCAAGAAAACCTTGACTCCTTTTTAAAAATACTTCATTAGTTGTGTCTCTGCCTGGCTTTGGTATCAGGATGATGCTGGCCTCATAAAATGAGATAGGGAGGATTCCCTCTTTTTCTATTGATTGGAATAGTTTCAGAAGGAATGGTACCAGTTCCTCCTTGTACCTCTGGTAGAATTCGGCTGTGAATCCATCTGGTCCTGGACTCCTTTTGGTTGGTAAGCTATTGATTATTGCCACAATTTCAGATCCTGTTATTGGTCTATTCAGAGATTCAACTTCTTCCTGGTTTAGTCTTGAGAGAGTTTATGTGTCGAGGAATTTATCCATTTCTTCTAGATTTTCTAGTTTATTTGCGTAGAGGTGTTTGTAGTATTCTCTGATGGTAGTTTGTATTTCTGTGGGATCGGTGGTGATATCCCCTTTGTCATTTTTTATTGAGTCTATTTGATTCTTCTCTCTTTTTTTCTTTATTAGTCTTGCTAGCGGTCTATCAATTTTGTTGATCCTTTCAAAAAACCAGCTCCTGGATTCATTAATTTTTTGAAGGGTTTTTTCGTGTCTCTATTTCCTTCAGTTGTGCTCTGATTTTAGTTATTTCTTGCCTTCTGCTAGCTTTTGAATGTGTTTGCTCTTGCTTTTCTAGTTCTTTTAATTGTGATGTTAGGGTGTCAATTTTGGATCTTTCCTGCTTTCTCTTGTGGGCATTTAGTGCTATAAATTTCCCTCTACAAACTGCTTTGAATGTGTCCCAGAGATTCTGGTATGTTGTGTCTTTGTTCTCATTGATTTCAAAGAACATCTTTATTTCTGCCTTTATTTCGTTATGTACCCAGTAGTCATTCAGGAGCAGGTTGTTCAGTTTCCATGTAGTTGAGCGGTTTTGAGTGAGTTTCTTAATCCCGAGTTCTAGTTTGATTGCACTGTGGTCTGAGAGACAGTTTGTTATAATTTCTGTTCTCTTACATTTGCTGAGGAGAGCTTTACTTCCAACTGTGTGGTCAATTTTGGAATAGGTGTGGTGTGGTGCTGAAAAAAATGTACATTCTGTTGATTTGGGGTGGAGAGTTCTGTAATTCAGACCAATATCCTTGATGAACATTGATGCAAAAATCCTCAATAAAATACTGGCTAACCAAATCCAGCAGCACATCAAAAAGCTTATCCACCATGATGAAGTGGGCTTCATCCCTGGGATGCAAGGCTGCTTCAATATACACAAATCAATAAATGTAATCCAGCATATAAACAGAACCAAAGACAAAAACCACATGATTATGTCAATAGATGCAGAAAAGGCCTTTGACAAAATTCAACAACCCTTCATGCTAAAAACTCAATAAATTAGGTATTGGTGGTACGTATCTCAAAATAATAAGAGCTATCTATGACAAACTCACAGCCAATATCATACTGAATGGGCAAAAACTGGAAGCATTCCCTTTGAAAACCGGCACAAGACAGGGATGCCCTCTCTCACCACTCCTATTCAACATAGTGTTGGAAGTTCTGGCCAGGGCAATTAGGCAGGAGAAGGAAATAAAGGGTATTCAATTAGGAAAAGAGGAAGTCAAATTGTCCCTGTTTGCAGATGACATGATTGTATATCTAGAAAACCCCATTGTCTCAGCCCAAAATCTCCTTAAGCTGATAAGCAACTTCAGCAAAGTCTCAGGAGACAAAATCAATGTACAAAAATCACAAGCATTCTTATACACCAATAACAGACAAACAGAGAGCCAAATCGTGAGTGAACTCCCATTCACAATTGCTTCAAAATGAATAAAATACTTAGGAATCCAACTTACAAGGGACGTGAAGGACCTCTTCAAGGAGAACTACAAACCACTGCTCGATGAAATAAAAGAGGATACAAACAAATGGAAGAACATTCCATGCTCATGGGTAGGAAGAATCAATATCGTGAAAATGGCCATACTGCCCAAGGTAATTTATAGATTCAATGCCATCCCCATCAAGCTACCAATGACTTTCTTCACAGAATTGGAAAAAACTACTTTAAAGTTCATATGGAACCAAAAAAGAGCCTGCATCGCCAAGTCAATCCTAAGCAAAAAGAACAAAGTTGGAGGCATCAAGCTACCTGACTTCAAACTATACCACAAGGCTACAGTAACCAAAACAGCATGGTACTGGTACCAAAACAGAGATATAGATCAATGGAACAGAACAGAGCCCTCAGAAATAACGCCGCATATCTACAACTATCTGATCTTTGACAAACCTGAGAAAAACAAGCAATGGGGAAAGGATTCCCTATTTAATAAATGGTGCTGGGAAAACTGGCTAGCCATATGTAGAAAGCTGAAACTGGATCCCTTCCTTACACCTTATACAAAAATGAATTCAAGATGGATTAAAGACTTAAACGTTAGACCTAAAACCATAAAAACCCTAGAAGAAAACCTAGGCATTACCATTCAGGACATAGGCATGGGCAAGGACTTCATGTCTAAAACACCAAAAGCAATGGCAACAAAAGCCAAAATTGACAAATGGGATCTAATTAAACTAAAGAGCTTCTGCACAGCAAAAGAAACTACCATCAGAGTGAACAGGCAACCTACAAAATGGGAGAACATTTTCGCAACCTACTCATCTGACAAAGGGCTAATATCCAGAATCTACAATGAACTCAAACAAATTTACAAGAAAAAAACAACCCCATCAAAAAGTGGGCAAAGGATATGAACAGACACTTCTCAAAAGAAGACGTTTATGCAGCCAAAAGACACATAAAAAAATGCTCATCATCACTGGCCATCAGAGAAATGCAAATCAAAACCACAATGAGATACCATCTCACACCAGTTAGAATGGCAATCGTTAAAAAGTCAGGAAACAACAGGTGCTGGAGAGGATGTGGAGAAATAGGAACGCTTTCACACTGTTGGTGGGACTGTAAACTAGTTCAACCATTGTGGAAGTCAGTGTGGCGATTCCTCAGGGATCTAGAACTAGAAATACCATTTGACCCAGCCATCCCATTACTGGGTACATACCCAAAGGACTATAAATCATGCTGCTATAAAGACACATGCACACGTATGTTTATTGCGGCACTATTCACAATAGCAAAGACTTGGAACCAACCCATATGTCCAACAATGATAGACTGGATTAAGAAAATGTGGCACATATACACCATGGAATACTATGCAGCCATAAAAAATGATGAGTTCATGTCCTTTGTAGGGACGTGGATGAAATTGGAAATCATCATTCTCAGTAAACTATCGCAAGGACAAAAAACCAAACACCGCATGTTCTCACTCATAGGTGGGAATTGAACAATGAGAACACATGGACACAGGAAGGGGAACATCACACTCTGGGGACTGTTGTGGGGTAGGGGGAGGGGGGAGGGATAGCATTAGGAGATATACCTAATGCTAAATGACGAGTTAATGGGTGCAGCACACCAGCATGGCACATGTATACATATGTAACTAACCTGCACATTGTGCACATGTACCTTAAAACTTAAAGTATAACAATAATAAAAATAAAAATAAAAAATAAAAATAAAAATAAACAAAAAATAAAAAAAGAAAGGGAAGGAAGAAGAAAGAGCATGTCTACTAAATGTAAATTAATCATCAAGGAACATTTATTTTATTAATAAATTTGTCAACTTCAGGTTGCCAAATCTAACAAGATACCAACATGGCATTCATGGTGATCACACCTCTAGTCAAATTTTAGTTTAGTTCATTGACTATACTATTAATATCCTGAAATACTCAAAGCTTCTGTCTTAATTCTGTGAATAATTCACTTATTAATCACCCTATACACTACTTAATGAATGGAATGGTGCTTGGAATAAAGATAATTACAGGGCTAAAAGGGTTTTCTCTAGAGGCAGATTATAGGATTTTGTTGTCTGACTGGAATAAAACAAAATTAATAAAATAAATAAAAAAATAAAAATACTTCATTAGGTTAAGTGGCCTGAGGGTAAGGGCTATTACCTAAAAATACTGTCAGTGATCTGACAGTTGCATTTGTAATGCTTAAAGTATAAATGTTTCTAGAATTTATGCTCTAGAGAAACATGTGGACTTAGGTAACTGTTGGTGCATATTTTTTTCCGGAGGTTTATCAAGGTATTAAGGCTACGCTTGTATGGGTTCTGCCCATATTTATTTGAAATAGTTTATTAGGATTAGGTCCAGGAACCTCTGTTACTAAATTTATAGAATCTTTTAATCTCATACCTTCTTGACTTCACATTGCCGTTTTCCAAAATCAGAATTTTATAGCACTATCATTTCAGAAACTTAATTTTACAGAAAGGAAGTCCAGTAGATCTCAGAGAACAACACTCAAAAAGTTCTGTGACTCCACAAGCTCATTAAATAAGTTCAATAATACAACTATATTCAAAATTCCCAAATATTCAAAAGACGTGGAAGGGTGGATCTACTCAATAATAAGATATCTAGGGAAAAAGAAAGGTTCAAAATGAACCCTGTTCTATTTTTCATCATAAGTTTTATGATTTTTTTCTTTGAACAAAAAATCCATCTGAGCATCAGCAGCCATATCTATTGCTTTTTGTTAATCCCATTGTACCATTTCTGTGAAGACAAAATAAGTGTTAAACCGAAAAGGGAAATGTGAAGGAGAAAGAGCGTAGCTTATTTTTCTGCTTTATTCCTCTAGGAATGAGCTCTGGAGATGCCTTCTGTTCGTCTCAAAAATATAAATCCAAACACATACATCCCATTAATAATATAACTGTGGCTTCTGTTTCTAACTTTTTTTTCCCTAAAACTTGGGGCAAAAATCAGCAATTATCTGAACTGACAAGACTTTGCCTGTCCGTGCGTTTAAATTGGAAATCTTCACCTTAAATGCATAGGTATAAAGAAAGAAGGTTCCCCCGGCTCCTCTTTCCTGTTTTGTTTTCAATTACTTTAGTGAAACTATCTATGGCAGGTGAGTGATAGGATGGAGTTTATGAAAACCATGCAGAGACTTTTCCCTTCTAGGGTCTTATTAATTCTCAGTAAAAGGTTGAGCTCTTCTTGGGATATTTATGCTACTTGAAAAGATCTAAACTGGTGTATTCCATTTATGTTCTGTTCAGAATCATTTCTTTGTATGAAGGTTTAATTCTTTTTCCCTGAAATCGTTCAGACTTTCATTTCTCCTTTTATACTTTACAAGAAAAATCCCTTAATCTCTCTTGCATGGAATTTTGTAACAGTAACCTAAATCGATTTGAACCAGTTGCAAAATTTAGTTTCCAAGATTGTTTTATGTGCATTTGCCATTTTTTGAATTAAGAACACATCATATTTTATATAATAAATATATATGGCAATAAGTGAATTGTATCTATTACTTGCTCATAAGAGTTTATATTCATATTTCTGTTGTGCTGACATTTAAAAGTCACACTCTATATATGTATATATCTGATTAAGTGAATTTATTTCAAATAGTGTCCTCATGACATTTAGACATTAAGTTGATACATACTATACAATCATTTTAAGTCAATTGATAAAGCAAGGCTTTATCAGGCAATTAATAAAGATAATTCAGGTGCTTCCACATGTGAAAAAGAGGGATGCCTTAAAGTTATGTATGATATTAAAGAAGTTCCATTTAAAGAAAGAATGTAATATGTGTAACCATTACTGGAGAAGAGAATGTACTGGATTTGTCTTTAAAGCTGCTAGTGAAGCGTTGCAAACGTAAGCATTAATAAGATGCTTTTTTATTAGGTGCTCACTTGAATCTTTCTAATCCATATAGGGAGATATATTACAAGATTATTTTCCCATCTTTTTGAAGACAAATCTTGAACATTGCCTATGATGCAATCATTTTGCTGCTACATAAAGTAAATTAAATTTTTTTCCTTTTCTTTTGTTCGCTTGCAAATTGAATTCTGGTAATTTCACTCCAATGGCAGAAAATTCATACAGGGTCAGAATAAATGGTATTAGCACCACGGGCTCCGTCAGAAAAACTTGAATTTGCTTTTTAATTTGTCTATTATTGTTTTATGTCACTGAAGTTCCAGCTGAATTGGGAACTCTTTTGCCTGTATGATGCACATTTTCAGGATATTTTCCTTTGTGCGGAACAGACAAGAGCACTTCCCTATGGTGTGTATTAATCCACTTTTTCCCGGATGCTTTTAAGAATGTGTAACAAAACGAACTCCCTTGACTTCTGTGATAAACCCCAGATGGGGAAAAGAAAAAGTACCTCTTTATTGCCCTGCAGCAAGAGGCATTGGAGACAACAGGGACACATTTTCCAAATGTAGGACATATAGTGGAAATAATGTGTTTTTTAGAATTCCATCATTTTATATATTACATAATTATACATATTACTATAAATACAGATGATATGCTATTCATCCACCCAATCACAGAAAAAGCTGTGTTAACTGTAGTCACCCTATTGTGTGATCAAATAATAGATCTTATTAATTTATTTTAACTCCATTTTTGCACCTATTCATTATATATTTAAAAATAACTAAAAGAGTGAAACTGGAATGTTTCTAAAACAAAGAAATGATAAATGCTTGAGGTGAGGGATACCGCAATTACCCTGGTCTGTTTATTACACGTTGTATGCCTGTATCAAAAAGTCATATGTACCCCATCAATATATACACCTCTTATGTACACATAAAAATTAAGTGATTAAAAATTAAAGAAATCTATGTTAATGTTCAGTCGGTTTATTATTTTCTTTATCACTACTACATACACTTTAAATTAAAGCTAGGAACTTACGCAAATATCAATTTGACAACATTTGGTTCCCCTGAAGGTAAGTTTCACTCTGTTTTCTAAATCAAAGTATAGAACATGCAAGAAAACTAGTCTCACGTAACACAAACACACATATACACAATTATACAAGTAACACACACAAAACTCTCAACCTTGTAAATAATTTCAGTATGTGGAAAGCTAAGTGCCTGAATACAGAGCACATCAGGAAGCATTAAGAAGTTAAACATGATGACAGATTTAATATAGACTTGTTTATATTAACTGTGTCAGAATAATAAACAGCCCTATGGGGGAATAAGTGTGGATCTAATTTCAGAACTATAGGATATTAGATGTACCAGTGTGGTATGGTAGTTACAGAAACTTTAATAATAAAAGCTTCAAATACAACTTTCATTTTATTCACTTATATAGATGGCCTCTCTCAGGGCATTGTGTGGATTGAGCCTTAAAGCGGCTGTCACTGGAATGTCTTCTGTTATTATTCACCAAGGACAATGGAGCTCAGAATGATAAGGGAGAAAATGCACCCCGAGCCTGTGTTCCACCCCGAGGGGCTAAGTCATATGCATCCTTCCATCGTAGCATCAATAACTAGAGTACGTTGTGCAACTTTCTTTCCTGTGTCTCTACTTTTTTGCCTGCCATATTGGTTTTGCCTGTACCATTGGGCACATGCCTGCCATGGTTTCTTGCTCATTTCTTTGCAATGACCGAGACTGGGTAATTTCTAAAGAAAAGAAGTATTAAACGGATTCACAGTTCCACATGGCTGGGGAGGCCTCAGGAAACTCACAACCATAGCGGAAGGGGAATAAACACATCTTACATGGTGGCAGGCGAGGGAGAGCATGGGTGAGAGGAGGAACTGTCAGACACTTATAAAACCATTAGATTTCATGAGAACTCACTCACTATCATGAGAACAGCATGGGGAACACCACCCCCATGATCCAATCACCTCCCACCTGGTCTCTCCCTGGACACGTGGGGATGATGGGGATTATGATTCAAGATAAAATTTGGGTGGGGACACAAAGCCTACCCATAACAGGCAAAAAAGTATACATTTTCACAATGAACTCAGTAGTGAGGACTGAAGAAAAAAATGAGATCCAATGTGTAACATCAGAATCTGGAAGATTCTTAGAAGACTTAAAGAAGGGAAATGTCCACTTTTAAAACAAACAATCCCATCAAAAAGTGGGCAAAGGATATGAACAGACACTTGTCAAAAGAAGACATTTATGTGGCCAACAAACATGAAAAAAAGCTCATCATCACTGGTCTTTAGAGAAATGCAAATCAAAACCACAATGAGATACCATCTCACGCCAGTTAGAATGGTGATCGTTAAAAAGTCAGGAAACAACAGATGCTGGAGAGGATGTGGAGAAATAGGAATGTTTTTACACTGTTGGTCAGAGTATAAACTAGTTCAATCATTGTGGGAGACAGTGTGGAGATCCCTCAAAGGTCTAGAACCAGAAATACCGTTTGACCCAGCAATTACTGGGTGTATTACTGGGTATATACCATTACTGGATAGATACTCAAAGGATTATAAATCATTCAGCTATAAAGACACATGCATGTGTTTGTTTATTGCAGCACTGTTCACAATAGCAAAGAATTGGAACCAACCCAAATACCCATCAATGATAGACTGGATAAAGAAAATGTGGCACATATACACCATGGAATACTATGCAGCCATAAAAAAGGATGAGTTCATTTCCTTTGCAGGGACATGGATGAAGCTGGAAACCATCATTCTCAGCAGACTAACACAGGAACAGAAAACCAAACGGTGCATGTTTTCACTTGTAAGTGGGAGTTGAACAATGAGAACACATGGACACAGGGAGGGGAACATCACACACTGGGGCCTGTTGGGTGGTGTGGGGCTAGGGGAGGGATAGCATTAGGAGAAATGCCTAATGTAGGTGACGGGTTGATGGGTGGAGCAAACCACCATGGCATGTGTATACCTATGTAACAAACCTGCACGTTCTGCACCTGTATCCCAGAACTTAAAGTATAATAAAAAAATTTAAAAATTAAAAAGAAGGGAAATGTCCTCATATATTTGGAAAGATGTGCATTTTCTTTCACTAATGTTTATAACACACAGGTGGAAATTTTTATTTTTTCATTTTTCATTTTTAATTATTATGGGTACATAGTAGGCATATATATATATATGGAGTACATAGGATTTTTTTTGGCACAAACATACAATGTGTAATGATCAAATCAGGATAATTATGGTATCCCTCACCTCAACCATTTATTATTTCTTTGTGTTAGGAATATTTCAACATTCCTAACACAAACATTCCTAACACAAAGAACCCTGTCAGGGTTCTCCAGAGGAACAGAACTACTAGAATATATATATATGAATTCCCATATATATGGGAGTTTATTAAGTATTAACTCATGTGATCACAAGGTCCCACAATAGGCCATCTGCAGGCTGAGGAGCAAGGAGAGCCAGTCTGACTTCCAAAACTGAGGAACTTGGGGTCTGCTGTCCAAGGGCAGGAAGCATCCAGCACAGGAGAAAGATGAAGGCTGGGAGGCTAGGCCAGTCTCTCCTTTCATGTTTTTCTTCCTGCTTATATTCTAGATGCTCTGGCAGCTGATTACCAGTGCCTTTCCCAGCCCACTGACTCAATGTTAACTTCCTTTGGCAACACCCTCACAGAAACGCCCAGGATCAATACTTAGTATTCTTCAATCCAATCAAGTTGACGCTCAGTATTAACCATCACATCCACTCGTTAGTTATTGTGAAACAGACAATAAAATATTATTAACTATAGTCACTCTATTGTGCTACCCAATACCAGATACTATTCATTCTACCTAAATGTATTTTTTGTACCCATTAACCATCCCCATGTTACACCACATTGTTCTCTACCCTTCCCAGCCTCTGGTAACTATTATTTTACTCTATATGTCCATGAGTTTAATTTTTTAAACAGTTTTAGCTCCTACATATGAGTGAGAACATGTAAAATTTATCTTTCTGGTGTAACTCTTTTCACTTAACACGATGACTTCCAGCTCCATCCTTGTTGATGTGAATGACAGGATTTCATTTTTTATGGCTGAATAATATTCTGCTGTGTATGTATGCCACATTTTCTTTATGTTTTCATTCATTGATGGATACTCAGATTGATTCCAAATCTTGGCTATTGCAAACAGTGTTGCAATAAACATGAGAGTGCAGATATCCTTTCTATATACTAATTTCCTTTCTTTTGGACAAATACACAGTGATGGGATTGAACTCCATACTCTTCTCCATAATGGCTATAATAATTTACATTCAACTGTGGAAAGTTTTAGGGCATATTGACGTTGACATTGGTTTTAAGAAAGTTCATTGATTAATTAATTAATTTTTAAGGTTATTGCACAGAGGTGAGCAGGTGGCATGCACAATTAGCCACATTCATCCCAGCCTGATTGTTCTCCTTCCACTCTTTTCGGTGGTTTTGGGAAGGGATGATGATCTAGAGATTCTGGAGCATGGTAACATCACGTAGATATTCTCTACTTATTAGTTCTTCTGACACCTGCTCTTCAATGGAGTGAGGTTGAGGGTATAAAAAAGAAATGTACCATAGACACATTTCCCTTTTTAAAAATGTGGCTTAGATTGGTGAGGAGGGGTTAAACTTTTTGCTATTAAAGGAAATGTATTCGTTTGCTAGGGCTGTCATAACAAAGTACCACACACTGACCAAGATTAAAAAATAGAAATGTATTATCTCAAAGTTCTGGAGAACTTCTGGAGTTCTGGCCAGAAGTCAAAGATCCAAATGTCTTCAGGATTGGTTCTTTCTGAGGGCTCCGAGGGAGAATCCCTTCCAAGTCTCTTTTTTAGTGTCAGGCATTTTGCTGACGATCTCTGGCATTGCTTGTCTTTTAGACACATCGCCTGGATTTTTGCCTTTATTCACATATGCTCTTCTCTCTCTGTGCACGTTTGTGTCTAAATCTCCTCCTTTTATAAGGACTCTAGTCATTTTGGACTTGGGGCCCACTCTACTCTAATACAACCTCATATTAATGAATTATCCCTGCAATAGCCATATTTCCAAATAAAGTCACATTCTGAGTCACTTAGAATTAGGATTTTAACATATGGATTTGGCAGCAGAAGACAGAATTCAACCCATAACAGAAGTCATGAAAAAAATGAGAGTTTTGAAAGGTTAGTAAATACGACTAGTGTAGAAAATTTCTTATGTAATAATTTTGCAAAGTTGGTCATAGCCCACTGCTGATTATGGCTTTGATTTTTTTGATTAATGTCTATTTTTATTACCTCCACATGAGGAATGTGGTTTCGGTTTTGGTGTTAGAAAACTTGGGAATATTAGTAAACTTTTATTTTATTATATTTATTTATTTTTAATTAATATCATTTTTAATTGAAAAGCCGTAATTATATACACTTCTGGGTACAAGGTGATATTTTTCTATATGAATATAATGTGGAAAGTATCCACAAGGATCTGAACTTTTATTATTATTATTATTGAGACAGAGTCTCCCTTTGTAACCCAGGCTGGAGTGCAGTAACACGATCTTGGCTCACTGCATCTTCTACCTCCCCGATTCAAGTGATCTTCCTGCCTCAGCCTCCCATGTAGCTAGGACCACAGGGATGTGCCACCACACCCAGCTAATTTATTATTTGTAGAGATGATGTCTTGTCATGTTGCCCAGGCTGGTCTTGAACTCCTGGGCTCAAGCAGCCTCCCAAAGTGCTGGGATTACAGGCATGAGCCAGATCAGGCATGCCCGGCCTGATCTGGACTTTTAGAATTACAATTTTGATGAAAAGTTTAGAGAGTAAAGAGAAAATTGAAAGTGTCAAGAGATGTTGTTGCAAAAATAAAGGAGGTCCTGTGAGGTCTTATATGCCATTATTGTCCAATTAAATTTATGAGAAAAGTTATCAAAAAAGCGTATATAGGATAAACCAATGAATGAACTATGTGAGATGATGGATGTGCTAATTAGCTTGGCTGTAGTAATCATGTCACTATGTATATGTATACCGAAACATTATGATGTCTACCTTACGTAGATACAGTTTTTAAAAAGATGAACCAATAAAAAAGATCCACTATAAAGCAAAATAAATAAATACAAAAAGACTTGAGATCATATCCTATGTCTAGCTAGTTCCTAGTTATGGTTAAATTTTGTATGTCAACTTGTACATCCATCTCCAGATCCCCATTGAAAACAGTGATCTACATCTCACACCACAGGGCTCTTGGGAAGTTCGAGTAAGACAATTTATATCTCCAAGTACATTATACACATCTCAGTTGATTTGGCCACTTTCCAAAAGTGCATGTTTTTCTGGGAAGGGAGGTCTGATTATTCCAGCAGGAATGGCAGGCTGTGATAGGAGCATTCCGCGTGCATCCATTCTTGATGTCTGAAGATTCCAAAGGCACCTTGCACAGTGTGAGCCCTCAATAAACATTAGTTATTGTTTTTGTGCATGCCCCATGTATTGTTCACTTAGCTGTGGCGCTTTCTGGTTCCCATGGCTACTCAAGAATTTTGAGAGATGTAACAGAATCCTTGGTGACTTGAATCTGTAAAGAAAAGTAAATGGAAATCTGGACAGATTGGGTGGTCATTCTTTGATGAAGTATTTTTATTATATTAATGAAATGAGTCCTGTGTTTTTTTGTTTTGTTTTTGCTTTTGTTTTTGTTTGTGCTTGTATTCTTTACAACACACGTTTTTGTCATCTATGTCCTGTACTCAATGGTAAGAAAGTTATGTTGGCATCATCCAATGTTTAAAAATATTTTTTAAAAAACCACCCAGAGACACCATTGCCCAAAGCTTGTAGATGCTCATCTTGAAATTCACTTTGTTCCATAGTGACTGTTCACTGGAAATTAAAATCAGAAGTAGCCTGGGCAACGCAGCAAGACCTCATCTCTATAAAAACTACATATAAAAGAAGAGCTGGGCATGTTGGTATGTGTCTTGTGGTCCCAGCTACTTGGGAGGCTGAGGCAAGAGGATTGCTTGAGCCCAGGAATTTGAAGGTGCAGTAAGCTATGATTGTACCACTGCACTACAGCCTGGGTGACAGAATGAGTCCCTGTGTCTGAAAATTTTTTTTTTAATTTAAAAATCAGAAATTACCAAAGGAAATGAACTGCAGATAATATCATACATGACCCTTGGAGTGTGTTCTCTCTAGTAAATCTGCAAGGTTTTATGCAAGGGGAAAGGATGACAACTAGAATGACAGATGAATTGTTTATGCATATTAGAGACATACCTGAAAGTGTTTGAACAGGCATGTCAAAATTGTGGTATCCATCTCCCACTTTTCCCAACCCTTTAATTCTGACTGATACGCAGGGCTCCGAAAGTACCGGATGAAATAGTCATTTCCCTCAAATTAGGAAAAATGACTTTGCCAGTTACACACACAAACACGGGTGCTAAAAGTGCATTTTTTTAAAGTAGCAAAAGGGAACACATTTTTTTTTTTTAAAGAAAACTGATGGTAAAATACACAGACGAAGAAGTTGGTGAAGTGTGGGAGGAAGAAAGGATGGAAGGAAGAAAGAAAAGAAACTAAGAAGAAAGAAAGGAGGAAGGAGGGAAGGAAGGAGGAAATAATGAGGAAGGAAGGGAAGAGAAAGGAAGAAGAAAGGAGGGAGAAAAGGAGAAAAAAAGAAGCAAGTCTTAAAATTAGTTCCTGGAACTAGAATCTCAAAGAAAACACAGCCCAACACAACGCAATGCAGCAAAACAACCGCTGTCTTAAGTTGAACGTGTGTCATGAGTATATAACTCCTTTGGGAAATCAGTATTAGGGCTTCCATTTATTAAAGTGCTTCTGGTTTTCAAAGTTAATAGTTAAATATCCATCATTACCCCTTTTGTTCTTTATAGTAATGTTTTAATTTACGGAGAGCAGGTACTAATACCACTGGCTTATTGAGAAATACAATGAAGCCTTATTTAACATCTTCCAGCTCATTTCAGAATACAGGATTCTTAACTCTGGGTCCAGAATTTCCCAAGCTTAATCTTTGTACCCTTCCTTGCAGGGCATATTTTCTTTATCTCTTTAAATATAAATGCCTTTTCCTGCGAGGCTAATTCTGGCTTCATATAGAATTTCGTTTATTACCTAGGATGAGTGGAGAGGAAGTTGTTCCATAGAAGTGATTGCTCCTTTTGGCTTCTGTAATTCACATCATCACTATCTTGATAAACGTTTCAATAACTTTAAGCAATTGGGAGGATGGATAGCTTAGGAAGTGCCAGCACAGAGTAAATAATTCAGATGATCCTGTGGTCGTGAACTTTGGGAGGATTACTAGACAAAGTAGTTAGGTTTTTTTGCTTATTTATTGAGTTTCTTATCTGAATAATATCACAACTGCAAAAATAGATCACTTCTTATTTCTGGCATTAATTATTTTTTAAAAATAATTTTTTAAAAAGCAGTTACATTTAAGTATTTTCAGGCAATGGATACCAGTTCTGTAAATATCCACATACTTACTTTCGTTTCCATTGTTTTAGATAGGAATCAATCCTCCCTCCCTCCCTGCCTCCCTCCCTGCCTCCCTCCCTGCCTCCTTCCTTCCTTCCTTCCTTCCTTCCTTCTTTCCTTCCTTCCTTCCTTCCTTCCTTCCTTCCTTCCTTCCTTCCTTCCTTCCTTTCTTCCTTCCTTCCTTCTTTCTTTCCCTCCTTTCTTATTCCCTACTTATGTGGCTCCCTGGAGCACATGTGCCTGTTTGTATCTGTGTATAGATTCTGGTCTCTCCTGTTCTTGTCAGATGATTATTGCTTTACTTATTTTTTATTCAATTCATTCCTCAAATGTACTATTTCCACGTACTAATTATTTTCTTTCCAAGTTTCTGAATGTAGAGGCATCAATACCACCAAATTATTTAATGTAGTGAAGAGTTATTCCATCAAATACAAGACCTTAGAGGGTCAACGAATACCCTACAATTTCAGGAAACATCTTACATACAAGTGTATATATGCATTTTTTCTCTAAATATAATTTTCTCTCTATATATTTTTTTCTAGGAAAAGGTATATAGCTTTCATCAGCTTTTCAAAGGAGAACTAATTAAAACCCACGACACAAAGTAATTATGTATGTGTGTTTACATATGTGTGTCACATTTATTTATTTTAATAGTGGTAAAATATACATTATATATGATTTACCATTTAAACCATTGTAAGTATATATTCAATGATATAAAGAACATTCACACTGTTGTACAACCATCACCATCATCTATCCCCAGAATTCTGTCTTGCAAAACTGAAACTCTGTACCCACTGAACAACTTCCCATTACCTACTCTCAGGCCCCCAACAATCACCATTCTACTTTCTCTCTCTGTGATTTTGTCTACTCTGGGTAGCACAGATGAATGAAATCCTAGACTATTTGTTCTTTTGTAACTAGTTTATTTCATTTATTATATTGTCCTCAAGGTTCATCCATGTTGCAGCATGTCTTTCCTTTTTAAGTCTGAATGATATTCCCTGTATTGCACATCACAATTTGTTAGCCAATATTTCTAAGATTCTAAGTAAGAATAGACCATGTAGAAGGCACATTTCCTGAGGTGTACTCTTTTCTTAGAATGGCAAACCTCCTTAGTAGAACATTGAATGGTATATCTAGGCTTCTTCAAACATCACTGGATGATACTGATGTTTGAGTATGGATGATTTAAATAACCAATGTTAACCAGGAATTTTAAGAAAATATATTGATAATTAAGACACACACACACACACACACACACACTGGTCCCCCCTTACACACACACACACACACACACACACACACACACTACATTGAATCTATAGTCCCATTTTGGAAGAAATGATATCTTTACAGATTCCAATCCATGAACTTGGTATACCTCACCATTGCTCAATATGTTCTTTAGATGGCTATGTAGAAGTTCAGCATTTTTTATTAGACTGGTTCCTATTATTGGAAACATTATCATAAAAGTAATTTTAATTATTTTTACTAGCATATAAAAATAGAATGGATATTTTTGGTGTTCTTGCTTTTATTAACTGCTAAATTCACTAAATCTCCTAGCTCGGTTATAGATTTTTTCTAATTTTTAAATTTACACATTCATGTTTTAAGACTGGCTTAATCCTTCCTTTTCAATCATTTTACTTTCAACTTTTACTTTCAGCTTTGACTTTCCTAATTATGTTACTACAATTACAAGAACTAATTACAAGTACTTCCCAGTATGTCGTGTAGAGACCTGTCCACAACAGATATCTTTGCCTCATTATTGATGTCCAGGAAATTTTCACCATTTCATATGCTCCATGCTGTATTTTGTTTGTTGGTTTGGTTTCTTTTGTTGTTGATCTTTTTCAGGTAGAAATCATTCCTGTGTTTAAGGAAGTTTAATTTTATTCCAGATAGTTAGTATACTTTATTAATTAAAATTTATCATCCCTTGAAAATGTATTTTTTGCATTTATTGCGATGCCACATGTTTATATTCTTTTTTCTTTTAATACAATAATTTACCTCAAATGATTTACAACTCCTGGCCAGGTGCAGTGGCTCATACCTCTAATCCTAGCACTCTGGGAGGCCTAGGCGGGAGGATGGCCTGAGGCCAGGAGTTCAAGACCACCCTGGCCAACACAGCAAGACCCCATCTCTATTTTTAAGAAATTTTAATTAAAAAATGATTGACAACTCTAAACTATCCTTCTACCCTGTATTCCTGAAATAAATCCCACTTGAATTATGGCACAATATGTAAAATTGTTTCCCTTTTGTTAATCACTGGAATATATGGCATTTTTTGTCACTACATATATAATTTTAGATATTTGGCATTACTAAGAAAGACTGTTAAAAATTTTAACTCTAATTTCATTTTGTTTTTGTTTCTGTTTTTGAGACAGAGTCTTGCTCTGTCACCCAGGCTGGAGCCCAGTGGTGCAATCTCAGCTCACTGCAATCTCTACCTCTCTGGTTCAAGCGAGTCTCCTGCCTCGGCCTCCTGAATAACTGGGACTACAGGTGTGCACCACCATGCCAGGGTAATTTTTGTATTTTTCATAGAGACGGGGTTTCATCATGTTGCCCAGGCTGTTCTCAAACTCCTGACCTCAGGTGATCCACCCGCCTTGGCCTCCCAAATTGCTGGGACTACAGGCATGAGCCATCACACCTGGCCTTCATTTCTTTTTGTTTTTTGTCAGGTTTCAGTATTAAGCTTATGCTGATCCCAAGAACATTTTGGGGTAGATTCAGTAGTCTTGATAGTTCTGGTCAAATTTATCACTACTATAAATTCTTCCATTTTTCTATTATATATTCTTACAGTTTTTTTAATATATAAAAAATTCTATTATATGCCTTTCTTTTAACTTACTTGCCTTGTTATTTGCTGTTATTTTTTTGTTGCCATCCTTGGATTTTCTATTTGCGTAATAAAAAATCTGCAAATAATAATAAAAACAACCTTCTTCCTTCCAATGTGTATGCCTTTAATTTTCTTACCTGTTTAGTTGTGTTAGCCAGTACCTACAGAAAAAAGCTACTAGAGTAGAATGTTCTTATTTATTTACCACTATGATAGATGCCTTTTGATTGATATTTCTATATATTTTTATATATAGTAACATTGTTTATATTTGTGTATTATATAAGTAATTTATATTATACATACATATATAGTTACATAACATATATATACATGATATCTTAACATCATGTATATATAAACATTATACACATGAAGAAAAGATACCTCTACTTCTATTTTTTCTTGAAATAAAGAATAAGAATAAACTTCCATTAAATGAATTTCATCACTTACAGTGATAACCTATGTTTTCTATGATTATATTAATAACTTTAATAAATTTCCTAATATTGAGATTTGCATGTGTTGAAATAAATCTCAAGCCATCACAATGAATTTTTCTTCGAACGTCAGCTGTAGTCTATCAGCTAGTTGTTAAAAAATATTCCTATCAAGTATTTGCTTCTTGTGCTATGTTTTTAAATTTTATATTGATGCTTTGCAAGCTTTATAATAAAATTTTAGAACTATTTTCCTTTTCTAAATCAATTTAGATATCAGGGAATTAATCTTGTTTTCAAAGAAAAAACTGTGAAAGCATTTGGAACTGATGTCTTTGAGGGGGAGAGTGTTTGAGGCAGAGAATGAGGTTTGGTCGCTCTGTGATGATATAATTAGTCTGTTTTGAGTTTCTATTTCTTCTGGAAAAAAATACATGTTATGTGTAGGTCTGGAAAATTATCCATTTCATCTAAGTTTTCAAATGCATTTGTATGGGATGGATCAAAGGAGTTGGTTTTAATTCTTTAATCTCTTTCCATAGCAAGGATTTCCTCTGATCATTTGTTTCATGCATTTTGGTATCCTCCCCTTTTATTTGATGATTATCATATTAAACAGTTTTTCTGTCATGTTTTTTTGCTTACCAAGGAACTAATGCTAGGAATTTCATTCTCATTTATCTCCTTTTTGGTTTTTAATCTTTATTAATCCCTTTCTAATTCCTGCTGTGCTCATGTAGTTTTGCTGTTGTTGTTGTACTTTGTTTTTTTCTTGAGAAAATACAACTTATGGTTAGATTCCTTCCTCAGAGCCCCTCCCCAGCACTCCACCCTCTGGAAGGAATAGCAGCACGGTGTAGTTTCTGGCACAAAATAACTAAGCAAATTACTCTGCGTGTTTCTTTATGGTCCCAATACTCTTGGCTGCAACAGTCTGAAATGTTACTATTTAAAATTTCATGCCCACTTACGCATAGGGCATACTGCAAGTATATTCAAAATGAGAGTGAGGAAATAGCATGGATTTCGGCCAGCAGACGTAAGAGCGCAATTTATATACACTCTTGGAATGTAAACCCAGTATCGTTGTCCAAAAACTCAAGGGAGGCAGGAATATTTAGTTGAACACATTATGAAGAGTTTAAAGTTGTCCTGCCAACAGAACTCTATTTAATAAAAAAAGTTCTGTTCTCCAGGAGGCACAGCTTGCAGTGAGCCGAGATAGCGCCACTGCACTCCAGCCTGGGCAAAAGAGCGAGACTCCATCTCAAAAAAAAAAAAAAAAAGTTCTGTTCTGTGTTGAGCAATGCCCCAGTTTTTTATCCCTAGTTCTCAGAAGTTTCCTTTTCTTTTTGCTTCTACTAGATTCGAATAGTCTATATTTGACTTAGGCATGGATTTCCCATTGTATGCACAATTATAAGAACTCCCGGATATTTCCAATATGGTTTTTGCTGTTGAATCTGAAATAGGATTCATTTCATGAACCCAATCCCCCCATAGAGCCAACCAACTTTCTTGGTGCTGCTAAGAATATTTTTCCAGCTTTTTTTTGCTGTCAAGCCCAGTGTTCAATTTTACCACTTATATGATGGTGTTCTACTATGATAGTGACCTTCAACTATTTCACAGTGTCCGTCCTTATACTTTGTACTGAAAAAAATGTAATTGCCTGTATTAGCCTGAACGAGAAATGTCTCAAAGCCAAACCATTTTCAATAAACATGCATTAGGACACTCTGAACAGAGCTATTGCTGGCGATGAAAGTGCTGCCTTAAGAAATTATGTGATTTTTGGAATTTTAGTCCAATTTTTCTTTGTTATTTAACAAAAAAAAGAACTTGTAAAACTAACAGATTAAAAGTAAACTTCTGCTTTATCTCTTATTCACAGCAAGGCTTCTTAAGGTTTATCTTCATTCTTTTATTAACGACTCTAAGACTTTAAACCTTGGGTCACAAATGTAAGACAGGCATATTAGATATGCACATTCGTTTATATTGTGATAATTTTATGTAAACTACATGTATGAGGTTCTTTAATAATTTAACTCAACAAGGAAATGAAATGGCTGTAAAATAAACACAAGTTATCCAAAGGGAGGAACATTTTTTCCTGATTTACATGAATTGTTTCTTTTAGAACTTTCGAATGATATAAGCCCCAAAGCAAGAAAAATTACCATGAAATGGTTTATTTTCAAATTCAAAGTCATTAGAGGTAAATCTGACTGCTCATCATTTTCTTAAGGCAATTTTCACTTTGCCAAGTAATTGTCTCTAATACTTTTATTTCTAACACACCTGGGATCATTGCATTATAGCTTTGATTGGAGGGAAGGGAAGAATGCAATAATCAGACAGTTAAGTCAGAAGGATGGGATGTGTGTGTTAGTATCTTCTGCTGTTTTGTAGGGACACAAATTTTGTATGGCTGGCAGCTAACACTTCCAGTGGTGTAGGAATTATCTAGACACTTGAAGGTAGCGATGGGCATAATAGAAGTTCCTATGTCTCAAATTGACACGTTATAGTTTCATCTTTTTTTCCTTATTTCTGATGGAAGTACTAATAAGTAGAAAAATGGCCAAGAAACTGTCAAAGCAAAAAAAAAGAATATTAGAAAAAGAATAGCTGGTTGGAACGTGACTGGATTTTTAAACCATTGGGGAATGATACCCTGTTATTATCATTCTTTTATTGTCTTTGTTTTTAAGAAAACTATTACTATATTATCCTTTCAAACAAACTTTAAAACAGCTTGCATAAATCTTGCTGGTTAATAAGAGAGAGGGAGACAGAGACAGAAATAGAGACAAAGAGAGAGAATGAGAGATGGAGAGAAGGAGAGACAGACCAGAGAGAGTAAGAGGGCAGGTGGGAGAGAGAGCAAAGGAAGGAGAGAGAGAGGGAGCAGAAAGAAGAGAGAGAAACAGAGAGCCAGAGAGAGGGGAAGGGAGGGAGAGAGAAAAGGCAGAGAGAGGGCAGGAGGAAGAGAGAGAAATAGAGAGAGTGAGATAGAGAGGAAGGGAGGGAGAGAGAGACTGATTGAGTAATACTTTCAGTATCATAATTTGCAATCCTGGACAAGAGAGTGCCTTTTTTGTTGTCAAGGAGTATTCATTTATTACCAATTCACGAGATTCATACAAAGAAAGAAATGACACTAAATCAGGAGCAATTCATAACAACACATGGAAAAGAAAGAAAAGCGGTAAGAAAAGTTCTCCCTTCTAAAGTCAACACACCATGTTCTTTGGGTCCTCTCCTACCCAGTGGAGCCTCCAGAAAGAATCCACAACCACGTTTTCCCTCCTTTTCTTCATTTGGCATTCAGATATTACCACGATGCTCCCTGGGAAGATACTATTTCACATCCCCAAACAACAGGCCCAAATCCTTTTCTACCTTGGATGATTTCCTGTCTTCATTATTCATTTCCTGTTTTTGAACAGTGTAGCCTCCACCATTTCCCCCAAATGCCTTCATAGAATCTAACAATGACTTCTTTCTTTGCTCCAATCGTGTGATCTTTCTCTTGTCTCTTTCTCTTTGACTTTTGATAAGATTGATCATCTTCTTTGAAATATCATGGCTTCCTTGGCTTGGGTTGCGTTGGTGACTCCTGCTTTTTCTTCATGGTTTTTGTAAGCCCTTTTAAATAGGCTTCCGTTTCTCCTACCTCATATCTCCCTAGCCACTTAATGTCCCTTTATTGGACATAGTTATCAGTTCTCAAGGCTGTTAGTCATGCTTCTGTTATAGGTCCCTAAACTACCTATCAGTTTATTCCTACTTTCTCTACAATACTTTAAATTGATTCCAGGAATATATCCAGGAATATATATATATATATATATATATATATATATATATATATATATATGCCCTGTTATTATCATTCTTTTATTGCCTTTGCTTTTAAGAAAACTATTCCTATATTATTCCTTCAAACAAATTTCAAAGCAACTTGTATAGATCTTGCTGGTTAATAAAAGAGAGGGAGACAGAGACTACACACACACACACACACACACGCACACACACACACACACATATATATATATATATATACACACACACAATATTTGTCCTGGAATCAATTTAAAATATAATATATATGTAATCAAATATATGTATTTTATAATATATGTGTGTGTGTGTGTATATATATATATATATATATATATATATATATATATATATATAATTATCTTGGAATCAATTTAAAATACATGTATTTGTATTTGGAGACAGGGACTTGCTCTGTTGCCCTGGCTGGAATTCAGCAGTGCAGTCACAGCTCACTGAAGCCTCAATCTCCTGAGCTCAAGCAATCCTCCCACCTCAGCCTTTTGAGTAGCTGGGACTACGGCCATATACCATCATCCCCAGCTAATTTTGTATTTTTTGTAGAGATGGGGTCTCACTATGTTACCTAAGCTAGTCTCAAACTCCTGGCCTCAAGCAGTCCTCCTACCTCCGCTTCCCAACAGGACCATTTTATTTGAGGGCTCTATTCTTATCTGAAAATCATGCGGCCCCCTCCCCCTTTTCTAAATGTTTTCTCATTAATGAAGAAATGCTGTTTCTATTAATGGCACTGACATAATTTGAGCCATTTAAAATTTTTAAAAAGTGTTAGAAATACCTACCTTTCATTTCTTGTAACCAATCCCTATGTAAACATTCCTTATATTCCACAGCCAGCTGAAGTCCAAGTGCGTTTCATAAAATATGGTCAAATATTCCTCTTTACTTGTTTCTAGTGTCATCTTTCAGAGTAGATTTTTGTTGCCTTGGGTTCATGTGACCGAATCCACATTCCAGCAGCTCTTTCAGCTTTTAATAACTTCCACAGGCCTCTTCTGCAAGCTCCATTCAAAGCGTCCTTATCGGAGCTATTGATTCCAAAAAAATCATTTCCATTACACCACTGGAACAGCTCAAACAGTTCTGCAGAAATTCTGTTAAATCTGGCTCACATCCTCCAACTATTCTTTATAAGATGCCCTTTCTTTACCCCACCTCTTTGCTGTGAGTGTTCTTTCCCATTTAGAAGGGACTTTCCTTGCCCGATGTTCCAATCTTGCGAATTCTGAAGGTGCCTCTTACGGTCTGACGTCTTCATGAGACCACTCTATTCGGATACTCTCTTTTTTAATAGTGTGAGCTGATGAATTAGATACTCAATCTAAGGGGCTGTGTTCAAAGCCTCCCTCGTCCATTTACTCCCTGTGTGATCTAAGCAAGCTATTTAGAATCTCTCACACTCAAGTTTCTCCACTTTAAAAACAAAACAAAACGCATGACTTATAGCATGTGCGTAAGTGGATTGTGATGAGTATTTCTGTTATTTCATGTATCTAACCCAGATTGAAGTAGACAGTGAATGCTTAACGTATTGAATCAAATTATTACTAAGTAGACATGTAAAGGTATTTGATAACATCTGGACTGTTTTTTCCACAAACCTCTACCCCACTGAAGTGCTGAACTGCTTCATTAAGCCAGAGCAGGTCACAATCAGAAGGGCCGGGAGAGGGAGTGGGTGTCCGCTGCCAAATTCAGAAGCTTCCATAGGGATATGGAATTTCCAGGAGAGGAGTAGTCTCCCAGAGTGAGGGCTATCCCTTGTGAACAGAAGACCAGGAAAAGCTGTTTACTGAGGACAGTGAACTAAGGAGAAGAGAAGGACTAGGTAGAGTCAGTGACAAGAGATCTACGGGTGGACACATGCTCATATCCCTGTATCATCCCAGTCCTGCTTCCAGTCCTATCTGAGTCCCAGGTATAGTCACATCTTGACCAATTTGGAGTCTGTGACACAGTCTATATCTGTGCAATAAATACCCTCCCTTGAGTACACAACTGTCTCCTTCAATCAACATGTAATTTATTTTATTCTGCCTTTCTGATTCACCCTCAGAAGAGGAAAGGGGGGTTGAGAAAACTTCTCAGTTGATTATGAAACTCATCCATTAGTTTATAGGAGATATTCATATCCAAGAAAAAACTCTTAGGGGTATCAATCCATGGTGTTAAATCTTTCCAGTGGAAAGTGACTAATTCAAGTTGCTTCTCATTGTATTACTGGTTCAGAGAAGGGCTAAGAAATAATAGAGTAATAAATGGTTGATGTGAAATAGGTCACAAATCTGGTGGTTTCTACTCCTTCTTACACACCTGGAGAAAAAAGCACAGAGAGGTTAATTGATCAAACTGATTATAGTCAGCTGGCTGTGGAGTGGGACAACAGATTGAAGGTCTCTTACCTCTGTATCTTCTTCCCATTTTGCTGGGATATCCCAGTCTTTAAGAACTTTAATTCCAATGAGAAAATCATGTATGTGTCATCTCCTTCATTCAGGTTTAATGGATGGTCACAGCTATTTAATCCATTAACTAAGCTAACATGGCCTACCATGCACACCATTCCCCAAAGACTGCATATGCCTTGGGCAAAAATCGATGCAGCCATGAAAATATTCCACAGATTCTTCACAGGTGGTGTGCAAAGTTCACCTTCATCAAAGCAGTGGATTACAGAAAACATGAACATTTTTCCTTATATTTGTTAGAAGGACTAGAATGAAGTCACTAACAAATTGAACATTTAAGCAAAAATAATAGGTCCGTCGAATCGGATCAGTCAAGAGTATCAATTGAATTAAATCCATTGGCACAAATTAGTGGTTCTTAAATGCCGTGGAAAAGGGGGAAAAGAACAGGTCATTTGGGTATTCCCTTTCTTTCTTTCTTTCTTTCTTTCTTTCTTTCTTTCTTTCTTTCTTTCTCTTTCTTTCCTTCCTTCCTTTTCTTCTTCTTCTTCCTCTCCTTCCTCTCCTTCCCCTCCTTCCCCTCCTTCTCCTCCTTCTCCTCCTCTTCCTCCTTCCTCCTCTTCTTCTTCTTCTTCCTCATCCTCTTCTTCTTCTTCCTCTCCTTCTTCATCATGACAGGGTTTCATTCTGTCACCCAGGCTGGAGCACAGTGGTGCGATCACAGCTTCCTGCAGCCTCGACCTCCTAGGCCCAATCCTCCCACCTCAGCCTCCCAAGTAGCTGAGACTACAGGCACACACCATTGGCCTGGCTAAATTTTTATATTTTTTTGTAGAGACAGGGTTTTGCCATGTTGCACAGGTGGGTCTCGAACTCCTGGGCTCAAGCATGCAATCCTCCTGCCTCAGCCTCCCAAAGTAGGATATTTTCTTAAAAGTACGCAACTCTCTCCTTCAACATGTAACTTCTTGTATTCTGCCTTCCTTATTCACCATCAGAAAAGAAAAGGGGGCTTGAGAAACCTTCTCAGCCAATTATGAAACTCATCCATTATTTTAAAGGAGATATTAACCTCCAAGAAAAAACTCTTGATGGGTATACCCCATGGTGTAAAACTTGGGCAATGCTAGTTATAGTTTCTTGAGTTCTCACAGGTGTCTATCCTGATTAGAAACTTGCACCCATTATTCCTGTACTTTGAAAAGTCCTGCAAAAATAACCTCACATCTTCACAACCCAAGACTTTTCTGAATCCATTTTGCTAGTTGTGACTTTCTCATCCTCTCCATATGACAGTTATTTTCAATCCATACATGTGTAGGTCTTAGGAGATCCTAGAGATATCTATGTTTTGGGAGAGAGGAAAATGCCACGAACCAGGACAACTTACTCTCTCCAGCGCTAATACTGGGAAGCATACCCTGTTCTTATACATCAGGACTTAATTCTCCACACGTAGCATTTCAAAAGCTCCAGGACAGCCATACCAAAATTTTAAATTCTTGCCAGTGGAAATCTTCCCTCAACATCATGCAGTAAGTGACAGACCAGGAGTTCAAATCCAGATCTTCTGTTTACAAAGTCAGTACAAAATAGGGGGCGCACCCTAGGGTTTGTCTTGTTATTGGAGCCAAAGGTTAATGGGAAAAATAACTGTTTTTAAAAACTCAGGCTCCAGTTTAATTGACTGCTTTCTGGCTGGGAAATATTGGACTAGTCACATCCTGATCTAGAGCTACATTCCTGTCTCTATAAAATTGAACTAATAAAGCTTATTCTCCTCTCAACTTTTTTTTTTTTTCACTGCAAGAATCAAAAGAGAAAATCCATGGGGAAGCACTATGTAAATTTGGCAGCATTCTAAAGATGAAAGGTGGCATTACTACAGTTATTTTATGCTTCACTTAAAAGCTCAAAGAAAATAGTTTTTTCTTTTACTACAAAGAGAAGTCTGCTTCTGCCTGGAATAAATTCTACTACTGAAAAACCTCAGATTATCATTTTTTTCCTTAATGAGAAGTGAATGCATTGCCTCTATTATTTTGGCCTCTGGCTTAAACGGAAAACTGAAAATGGACTTTTGTGTGAAAAGCGTATTCTATAACATGAGCTACAATACAATAGAACTTGGACAATTATCCAACTATCATGACCCCAGGATTGACGTATTACAGTCTTGTATTCATAGAACTCAGTGACACAGTGGGCGCAGGCAGGTGGACCTCCTACATGAAGGCTTACACAAGTGGAAAGTTATAGGAAATTGATCTTCTGTTGGGGAGTATTCAGTATGATATCATTCAAGGCCCCACGATTACATTTTGTCGCCATGGATGATTTATTTTTACATTTGAGGGCAAGAGATATGGCTTCTCATGCATGTAATCAAGGGCAATGTCAGAACAGGGCTTTATATGACATGTCCTCACCGTATCCTTGTCAGATAGAAAGAATCAACAGTGCATGACTTCTTTTTTTCTTGATTTCCCTAATATCTGCCTTTCTCCCTGGGTCTGATGTCAGTTCACTTCTTTTTCCACCCTAATCTTGTGCTGAAGCTATATCCATTGACTTATGGTTATAAGTATTGATTTATAAACATTGTACATTTATTTGCAAGCATTGATTTTGTGATAAAGCACAGGTTATTGTTTTTGGTTTACCAGCATCTTAGAGCTGATATTTCATGACATTAAATGGACTCATTGACTTGTGAGGCTTAATGTGATTTCATCAGATCAAAAACATCAGCTGGACATTTGAAATTTTTGTTCTTGTTGTACATATTGGAAACTCTGATTTTTTTTCTTTTGTTGTTGTTGTTTTTGTTCTTGTTGTACATATTGGAAACTCTGATTTTTTTTCTTTTGTTATTGTTGTTTTATTGGGAGTAAGACATACATAACACAAAATTTAACATTTTAACTCTCTTTGTGTCATTAAATACATTCACATGCTTGTGCAGCTATTACCACCATTCATCTTCAGAACGTTTTCACCTTCCCAAACAGAAACCCTGTCCCCATTAAACAACAACTCCCCATCCCCCTCCCTGAGTCCCTGCCTTGCTCCATTCTACTTTCTGTCTCTATGAACTTGACTCCTCTAGGTACCTCATATAAGTGAAAATGACAAAGGAGTTAAAAAGAAATTATTTAGGTAGATAGTCAGGGTAAGGAAGTCCTTGGTAAGGCTTCCCTTTCCATAAAAATAAGCCTGCAAATCATTTCTTTTGTAACAAAGAGCAGCCTGTAAAATCATGTTATAAACATAGATAAGCAAGCTGGAAGCTTGCATGGGTGAATACCAGCAGCTGTGCCAATAGGAAAAGGCTACCTGGGGGCCAGACGCATTCAGCATGGAGGCTCCATCTTCCCTTTTCCTTATTAACCACATGTATAGTAAGGAACAGACAACATGGCGCTGGCCAGGGAAGACCCCATCTGCATAATAAAAGATTAGGGTGGAATGGCCAGCTTCTTTGCGTGCTATCCAGATGTCACACCTGGTCCGACCAATTTCTTGGGCCCTATGTAAATCGGACACCATCTCCTCCAGGAGGTGTCTACAAAACCTGTGGATTTCACCACAAAACCGGAAGACCCACTGGGTGTCCCTCTATCTTTCTAGGAGAGACAGCTATTCTCTTTCCCTTTTCTTTTAACTATTAAACCTCTGCTCTCAAACTCACTCCTTGTTTTCTCTGCATCCTCAATTCCCTTGGAGTGAGACAACGAACCTCAGGTATTTGGCCCAGACAACAATGCCACTTCAAAACCATGCAAGATTTGTTCTTTTGTGACTGGTTTATATCACTGAGCAAAACGTTCTCAAGGTTCATTCATCCCTGTTGTCATCTGCATCAGAACCTCTTTCCTTTTTAAGGCTGAATAAATATTTCCAGGCATTTGGATTTTAAGAGTGATCATTTTCATTATTAGATAATAATTGTTTCTAAATTTCATGTTCATGATAAGCCGTATTCTCCTTGAAAAGTCTACAAGACACAGTGATGTGAGTTGGACAGAGGTGGACACTGTTCACTTGGGTGAACTTTGCTATGGTTTATGCAGCTGTTTTTCTAACTGGACTGCAGGGCTGCTGAGAGACAGGACGTGTTCCACTTATATCTGTTTCTGGTCTGGTGCCTTCCCACAAGATCTTTCATTTAACAGGAACTCAGCAAATGAGTGACATCCTGTACTAGTCAATGCTCCAGTTGTAAGAATTAAAGGAAGAGGAAAGAAACATGAAAGGTGGCTTGCCAGTCAAAGATAGGTTTATTTTAGAGACAACAAACCTGAGAAGAGCTTCTGGCCGAGTTAGGTCAGAGCCCACTCTCTTACAGACTAAGAGTTTTTAAGGATTCAAGGTGGGAGCGTTTATCAGAGGCTTGGACTACTTCTGTGTCTCTTTGTTGTGCTTATCCAGGAGGGAGAGTTTTGTGTCTGTTCCCATACATCTTCCTGCAGCTGCAGGCATACCCCCTGAGTCTGCTTTTAGCTTCCCTATCTTAGTGCACCTGAAGAGAAAGGAATGTGCTTACTAAGGCCCACTGTTTTACTGGGGCCCAGCGTATGAGGGTGAAGTTTGGCGGTTACCCAAGAGACTTTCCCTCCAACTCCCTCTGTGCCTGAGCTGTCTTTTCTGTGTTTTACTGTCTGCTCTTTCTGGCTGCTTGTAGTTAGAAGAGAAGTGATTTCCTTGAAATGCTTGAGGCTAGAAAGGGAGCTGGAACTTAAAGTGGCAGTGTTTGTCCAAGATGATGGTGCTCCTGTTCTGTCACCAGTGAAGATATTAAATGTGTTTATGCTTCACTATGGGTTGAATTTTGCCTCTCCCAAAATTCATATAGTGAAGCTTTAGCGCCAGTTTCTCAGAATGTGACTTTATTTGTAGGTAGTGTCTTTCAAAAAAATGATTAAGGTAAAATGAGATCACTAGAGTGGGCCCTGATCCAATAGGACTGGTGTCCTTATAAGAAGAAGATATTAGGACACAGACACCCACAGAGGGATAACCTTCTGAGGACACAGGGAAAAGATGACATGAAAAAGCCAAAGAGAGAGGCCTGAGGAGGAACCAGCTCTGCCCACACCTTGATCTCAGACTTCCAGCCTCCAGGAATGTGGGAGAGTGAATGTCTGCTGTTTCTAAGCCACCTAGTCTATGGTATTCTGTGATAGCAGCCTGAAATGGACTAAGACATCTCATAAGAAGATGAGAAGAGAACACAGACACACACAGAGGGACGACCCTGTAAAGACGCAGGGAGAAGATGGCATCTACAAGCCACGGAGAGAGGCCTCAGGAGGAACTAGCCCTGACCACACCTTGATTTGGACTTCCAGCCTGCAGGGCTGTGAGAGAGTAAATGTCTATTTGTTAAGCCACCCAGTTTGTGGCATTTTGTTATGGCAGCCCTAGCAAATGAATACATGCTTAAATTTAAAAGTAGATGAAATATAAATCGTATTCATATTATGGTCAAGATGGAAGTAGCTGGCAACCTTGACAAGGGCAGTTTCTGTGGATCGCTGGCCATGGGAATGGAATTGAAATGGGTTGGAGGCAGCACGGCTGGTGAGAAATGAAAAACTGGAGACAATGATACTGCAACCTCCCTTTTCCCCTATTTTCTTTATTTTTTAAGTGCCACCCTTCTAAGAAGGGTCCTGGAGTTTCTCCATTTGATGAGAGTAAGATGTTTGTGTGATTCATTGTGGAAACACATGCTGAGATCCCCTGGAAGCAGGGTGGAGGAACATCTTTACTGTGTGCCCTTTTCTATGAAGAGTACACATTGGGCTGGTTACTGTGTGGAACCCTGAAAATGACCTCTTGGTCCTTCTTATAAGGACAGAGTTGGACACTGTTCACTTGAGAGACTTCTTTACTAGGGTTAATGCAGCTGTTTCTCTAACTAGACTTGAGGCCTTCACCTGCCTTTTGTAGATAACAAATTACAAATTAATACAAAACAAACACTAAATGTGGGTGATGAGTGAGTTGGACAGCTTGGGCTGAAATCCCTGCTTCACCTTTATGGGGCTATCTGATTGTGGATAAATTACTCAATTTCCCTGTGCCTCCTCAGACTCCCATATCTATAAAATTTGGAGAGCATTAGGACCTACTTCACAGGGCTGCTATGAGGATTGAATGCATTACTACATAAAAAGTGATATTTAAAAAATCACCTTTTGGAGACAACATACACAACTCCAGTGATGGAAAAGCCCAGACTACAGGGACTGTATAGAGTTCACTACAGGGACTACTATACAATTCATCCATGTAACCAAGAACCACATGTACCTATAAAGCTACCGAAATTTTAAAAATAAATGAATACATTTTAAAAAATAAAAAATAAATAAACATATTTTTAAAAGTAACGTTTAAAGCACCACAAACATAGGACATATAGATAAGCACTAGCCATTATTACTATATCAAATATCAGAAAAGTTGCAGAATAATTCTAATAATTCCCCAGTGTACTGACAATGACATTTTAAAATAGGTCACTCAATCATATTTGCATGTATAATTCTGTATATAAAATTTGAAGTAGCCTCTTCGGAAATATGATTAAGGAGAAAAAAACCCAGGTTCTAGTGATTTTCCGGGTGAATTCTGCCAAACATTAAAAGGAAAATTAACATCAATTTTACACAGTGTCTTTCAGAAAGTAGAAGAAAAGAAGACACTTCAAAATCTTTTTTTTTTTTTTTTTTTTTTTTGAGATAGTCTCTCGCTCTGTCGCCCAGGCTGGAGTGATCTTGGCTAACTGCAACCTCCACCTCCGGGCTCCAACCATCCTCCCAACTCAGACTCCTGAGTAGCTGGGACTACAGGTGAGTGCCACCACAGCCTGGCTAATTTTTGTACTTTTGGTAGAGACAGTGTTTCACCATTTTGCCCAGGCTGGTGTTAAACTACTGGCCTCAAGTGATCCTCTTGCCTCAGCCTCCCAAAGTGCTAGGATTACAGGCATGAGCCACCGTGCCCGGCCCAAAATCTTTTTATGAGGGCTATATTTATTATCTTAATACCCATATCAAAGACAATGCAAAAGAAATAAAATACAAAATTGTAGCCAGGCACGGTGGCTCACACCTGTAATCCTAGCACTTTGGGAAGTCGAGGCAGGAGGATTGCTTGAGGCCAAGTGTTTGAGACCAGCCTAGGCAACATGGTGAAACCCCATCTCTACCAAAAATACAAAAATTAGCTGGAGTGCAGTGGCACATGCCTGTAGTCCCAGCTACTCCAGAGACTGAGTTGGGAGGATGGTTGGGGCCTAGGAGGCAGAGGTTGCTGTGAGCCAAGATTGCACCACTGCACTCCAGCCTGGGTGACAGAGGGAGACCCTGTAAAAAAAAAAATACAGAGAGAGAGAGAAGAAAGAAAGAAAGAAAGAAAGAAAGAAAGAAAGAAAGAAAGAAAGAAAGAAAGAAAGAAAGAAAGAAAGGAAAGAAAGAAAGAAAGAGAAAGAAAGAAAGAAAGAAAGAAAGAAAGAAAGAAAGAAAGAAAGAGAAAGAAAGAAAGAAAGAAAGAAAGAAGAAAGCAAGAAAGAAAATATAAAATTATAGACCAATATGGCTCTTGAATTGAGCCACAAATCTCCTCAACAAAATGGTAGCATAAGAATGGTTTGGACATTACAACTTTGGAGTAATCATTTTAAAATGCAAATCTCTAAGAGCTATACTTTCTTCCTGCTGTGAGGATGGCTTACCAGTCGCTGAAGATTCAGGCCTTCAGCCCATTGCAATGAACACATACAACAGGAAAGAGGGATGAATCTTTTTATTTTCAGTTACCAGATTTTGAGGATACTTGTTATCATGGAAAGATAAATCTCATCCTGACTGACAGCCCCTAACTGGGAATGTTTGGGGATGTCGAATTATACTCATAGGGAGCTACTGAATTTTGTATGATTTTATTTTATTTGAAGATTCCTGCATTGCTGTTCAGTAGTGCAAACAGGTAGTCATTTTCTTTTCAGTGTGCTCTTTTCTGGTCACTTTTGGTGTGCCATAAGGTCTCATTGGAAGGGCTATCACTGGAGTCATGTTTTAGATCACCTGACAAATAGACTTCAATCTCTGAGATGCAAGAATGAAGAGAAATTGTTAGTTTCCATCTTGCAGCTTTTTTTCTTTATTGATTGCCATTTTCTATTTTTCTTTATTGATTGCCATTTTCTATTTTTCTCATTAATTTCTAGCATACTAAATTGTGATTAGAAATTATGCACCTTTCCTAACTTTTCAAAATTACATAATGTACTTAAATTTATAGAATAATACATTTTTAAATATTTTAAAAGCTTTCTGTATATTTATTTTTGTTATTTATAGAGGCAGTGGGTTAAAACAATACATGAAGTTAATCTCTTTCCATCCTTTGTTCTTTCTTGAAAAAATTTGTTGTTTCACTTTTCAGTAAAATTCTTTTTAAAAGTCTTAATTTTTACAAATGATTTGAATAGTCAAATTAGAAAAATAATGTGGTCTTGGGAATAATTGGACCAAAACCACCAAAATATTCCTTATTGAATAAAGTACATACCTACCTAGAAAAAATATTTGGCTCTAAGACAATACAGACACATGTTGAGGGAAATACTATTAAAGAAGTTTTAAAACAAAATGACAAATCTAGGGAATAAAAAGAAACAGATCTAGTATTTAGTATACTGACCATATCTAGTATTTAGTATACTGACTGAATTTGAGAATCTCTCCCTTTCCTTTTCTACCTTTTTTACTTTACTCAATCATCAACCACAAACAAATGGATGCATCAAAATACATGAAGCAGATTCAAACGACTGAGTGAACATTTTCTTCTATTATTGATAATATATTTTCTTATATTGAGAAATTGCTATAACAGTTTAAAAGTAAATAAAAACTTACACAATGCCAAATTAACTAGTTAGAAAACAGCTGGGTGGAAAGCTTTGCCTAATACTTCTGTGTAACTATGATCCTTTCTATCCACATTGCCATGAATGAGAATTTAGCCTTGGTGTGACATAAAGACTGCTTTAACATATTTCAATTTACCCTTCTTTAGTACCTTTCACTTCTCTCCAATCTCAATTGAAAATTAAATTTACTAATCTGAACTTTATGCTCAAATTAAAAAAAAACCCTGCTCTTATTAAATGGCAACTATTAGTCATCCGTGAAATTTTGTTTTTTAACTTCTTCATGGAAGATGAGTTATTGGAGCAAGAAACTAATCAACATTATTATAAATTCAGATAATCGTTGGTGGGGGGGTGTCTGTGAATACACTTTACAGTAAGAAAGCTCCTTATTGGAATGTTGGGACACACTTTTGTTCATACATGTGTAGGTGAAGGTAATAATGAGTAGCTTCTTGTAGAACCAAATGAGGAAAAGTGAATTTCATATATTTTGTCTCAGTCTTTCTCTTTCTCTCTCTCTCTCTCTCTCTCTCTGCGTGTGTGTGTGTGTGTGTGTGTGTGTGTGTGAGAGAGAGAGAGAGAGACAGAGAAGGACAGAGACAAAGAGACAGAGAGAGAGACAGAAACAGTCTGTTTTTGTCTCTACTGAATGCATAGAAAATGTATACAAATTGTCATTTGAGCTTTAAATTCCATGAAACATGTATTTAATTAAAAAATGAGAATGGTGTGAGTCATCTAATGTTTCCAGTTAATTTTATGAGTAAGTTACTCATTACATTTTTTAAAACAGTCATTAAAATAATCTGTGAAAATGGAAATTTAAAACAAGGCTTTCAGTTTTGAGTTTGTTTTCTTGCTAGGGATTATGATGAATATATGAGTCACAGGACAGTTGCCATGAGAAACTGGCTTTTACGAGTGAGAAGACACAAATCGTGTTAATTACAAAGACTATCCTATCACATCATTGTAGGAGGAAACGCAAATAACTTGGTAAGAGTCAGGGCTTAAGCAACAGGTGTTATAAGACCAACAGGTAAATGTGTCTGCACCATAATGTGTTTGGGTAACCAATTACACTGAGACAGAAGGGTTTGCAGCAGAGAAAGAGTTTGTGATTGCAGTGCACTGAGAAAGGAGATGGGAGAAGATCCTCAAATCCATCTTCCCAAGGAGTTCTAGGCTAGAGCTTTTAAGGAGATCATGGAGCACAAGGGACTGGAACATTGGGATCAGTGATTGGTTGGGGTAATGAGGATGAAGTCATCAGCATGTAGAAACCGTATTCTTTGGAGAGTCAGATCCTCGTGGGATCCTTCAGACCAGCTGAGGCAGTAGTTTGATTGATATGCAGGACCTGAAAGAATATCTTAAAGGGAAAACATAATGTTTCATCATGTCCCTGTGCTTCAAAATGATAAGAAAAGATGAGATAATTAATTAGTATTGATTCCTCCTTGTCCCATAAATGCAAGTACTGAGGGATGGTTGCTGTCATTCCATTTACACAGTGGAATCCCCATTGGGTGTTTCAATCATTCTAACTACTATGGCTGAAATGATTAACTCGTAGTCTCAATATCTCCAGTTACTGCATTTTTCTACTCATCAATTCTTTATTAACCAGATAGCAACAGTCACATTACATAAACCATATGAGTTACTCTTCAGTATTATGGCATATCAGACCATGAAAGTTGTACATTTATCCTCCATCCTGTATTATTTATTTCATTTTTAAAATGTGCTATTTTGTCATCCTTGATGAATTTTGGCTAGTAACTAGTGACAATTTTTTATCTTATTGAAGCAGTGTTAAACGTGTACAATGTTAGGATATTCAAGGGCTCAACTGATTTTTGAGTAATTTTCTGATTGCTATTGAATTCTGTTATTGGCAGACTTGATTTATATGAATATCCTGTTTCAGATATTTCAGTTACATGTTTAAAAGCTGCACTTGAATCTCAGCAGAGAAAAATTATCCACATAAGAGAGCAATTCAGGTTCTATGAGATGTTATATTTAAGAATATATGTTTATTCTATGTTGCATTTCATAATGCATGTATTATAGATTTCTTATAGCCTGGAGATAATTATATTTAAGGGAAGTCACTGAAAAAGGCTTGTTACGGGCACAAGCCACAACAAAACAGTCTCGCTCTGTCACCCAGGCTGGAGTGCAGTGGTGCGATCTCAGCTTATTGCAACCTCCACCTCCCTGGTTCAAGCAATTCCCCTGCCTCAGCCTCCTGATTAGCTGGGATGACAGGTGAACACCAACACATCTGGCTACTTTTTTTGTATTTTTAGTAGAGACAGGGTTTCATCATGTTGGCCAGACTGGTCTCGAACTCCTGACCTCAGGCAATCCACCCTCCTCAGCCTCCCAAAGTGCTGGGATTACAGGTGTGGGCCACTGCGCCTGGCCCACATTTTACTTTTTAACACCTACTTTAATTAACCTTTTCAACCTCATTATCCTCTGCATCATTACTGGCGGATCATGCACAGATGAGACTCGAATCTATAAATTAATTCCTGGAATACGTAAAACAGCATTCACATGTTCATGTTTCTCTTGCCATCAGATCTTTTAAGTTGTTACAACGTCTAATATTGATTGACATCATTCAAACCTAAGATAAGATTTTAGATGTTGGCAATAATATTGCTTTGTAATTTTTTTTTTGAGGCAGGGTCTTACTCTGTCACCCAGGCTGGAGTGCAGTGGCACAATCATGGCTCATTGCAGCCGTGACTGCAGGGCCCCAAGCGATCCTCCCGCCTCAGCATCCTGAATTGCTGGGACTACAGGCATGTGCCACCATGCCTGGATAATTTTTATTTTTATTTTTTGTACAGATGGAGTCTCACTATGCTGCCCAGGCTGGTCTCGATCTCCTGGCCTCAAATGATCCTCCTGCCTCAGCCTCCCGAAATGCTGGAGTTCCAGCATAAGCCACCACACCTGGCCTTTGCTTTGTATTTTTAATATGTTCCATGACTGAGTTGATTTTGTGGGAGTTCTTCAATATGCTATCAATACTGAGGCTTTGTGTGGTCAAAGACTGTTTTAAAATGTAGGTTTGATTATTACTGAGATATGGCAAGGCCAAGAGATCAGGAGATAACTGCTATAAACAGTTTGTTGCTCACAGTTCCTAAGAGTTGAGAGCATGCCACACCGTGGAGGGCCACATGGGAGAGCACCAGCATTGATCAGGAGGCAGTGTGGGTGTGATGAAAAAGGCATGGCATGGCAAGAGTTTTTTGTGGTTTTCACATGAATAAATGGGTGAGGCAAGGTAAGTAGGTTTAGGATTGGCTGGTTTTAATAATTTCAGCAGAATCCCGCGTGTAGGGGCTTCCCCTAGTTGTCTCATACCTGGTCCTGGGATGATGAGGACAATGAAATAGAAATGTGGAGTGTGAGAGACCAGTAAAGGAGGTGGTTAGGGTGTGGCCTCTGGACTGGTTGATTTGCATGTGAAAGGCACGCTTCTACTGATTCTTTAGTATCTCTAGGAAGTGGCTAATTCTAGGAGTTACAGCTCCCTCAAGGTCAACAAAGCCCCAAAATATCAAAGCATTAAAATTAAATTCATGCTTACAACAAAAACATTTGCCTTATATATCTTTCCATAGTGTATTCATTTTAAGATCGTTTCCATTTGCTTCTTGGGTTGTATTTAAGACTGTAGTTATATAGATGGTTATTAATTCTTCGATATTCAATGTCTTCTCAGCAGCAGGGATATCTTTCCACTCCTTATTTCCTCAGTCCACCTCTGATTTTGGCAGCAACCAAAGTGGACAACTCCAAGTGGTCTCTGACTCATCTTTAATCCATGTAGATCCAGTAGAGTAAAACATTCTACTCTAGGCAAGCACCATGCATCTTTCTGCATTCTGGCCCAAGTTCTTCCATGCCATGTGAGCTCATGTGGTCTTTGAAAATACTTGGGAAGTTGAAGACAGTCACCATCCCTTAGGATAACTGCCCATACATGGTGGGCAAGATTCAATTTTCTTACAATGTCCCACATCTCTCAGAAGCAGCTGGCATCATCATGAAAATAAAATGTATCCATTATGGTATCAGTTAAGATGTTTGCTCTGGGATAAAATCCTGCAGGGATGGGACACCGACTTTCAAGATGCATTTTATGCAGCTAACCAACTACCTATATATGATGCTCTGTCCCCAATATCTAGTAGTACACACATATCCAGGAACAATTGTGTGATAATAGGTGTGTCCCTTTTTGTCACCATTCCCAGCTATGCTTTTGCAGAATTTGGGGCTCCCTTATGTGCAACTGGCCAGTCTGCAACATGGCAGTCCTGGTTCCCAGGCATCAGGATACATCCAAGGTTTGCTCTCAACCTGAATGTGCACTTACCACATGATCACCTTAGGCTGTTCATGGCAGTGGGCCAGAAGCAAATAAATGAGATATTATATTGACAGAAGCTTATCCTTAAGTGTTAGAGATGATGCATTATAATGGGGGCAGGGAGGAGCATGTCTGGAACTTGGGACATTTACTAAGTTATGGTCCAATAAAGCAAAGCAAGGCAATGGAAGGGACATGCCTTGTCTCAGATGAGACTTTACACCTTGGGCATTTGAGTTAATGCTGGAATGAATCAAGAGTTTGGGGGACTGTTGGGAAGGCCTCATTGTATTTTGCAATGTGAGAAGGACATGAGATTTGTGAGGGATCAGGGGTAGAATGATATAGTTTGGATATTTGTCCCTGCCAAATCTCATGTTGAATCGTAATCCCCAATGTTGGAAGTGGGGCCTGGTGGGAGGTTTTTGCGTCATGGAGGTGGAGCTTTCATGGCTTGGTGCTATCTTTGCAATAGTTCTTGTGTTCTCATGATATCTGGTCATTTAGAAGTTTATGGCACCTCACCCTTGATCTCTTTCTTGCTCTGTTCTTGTGATGTGATGTGTCTGCTCCCCTTCTGCCTTCTGCCATGATTAGAAGCTTCCTGAGGCCTCCCCAGAAGCAGAGGCTGCTGTGCTTCCTGTGCAACCTGTAGAGCCCTGAGACAATTAAACCTCTTTTCTTATAAATTGACCAGTGTCAAATATTTCTTTATAGCAGTGCAAGAATGGCCTATTACACTGGTATTTCTGTGGAAGAGATGTGAAGATGTGTCTCTTTCTAATCCAGAGACCAACTTAGAGAAAAATATTTATTTCTCTATTAAATTAAAATAATTATTGCCTTCTATCCACTATTTGTGTGAATATCTGGTAGTTTCTCCTTATCTTTAAGGCTCATAATATATAGAATAGCAGCTTATAACATAACATTCTGATAGTGTAAAATTAAACTTTCCAAGCTATAAAACTACTCACCAGTCATTTATAGAGAAGTGACCTTTTCATTTCATTTATTTTTTTATTTCCTTGGCCGGAACAAAAAATCCTTTTTTATTTCTTTTGTAGGCATGACACATCCATCACCTTTGGAATTTGCATGTACTTGTTCTTTGAGGTTACCTTTTGTGTTTTATAGCCCACAAATGCAAAGACTTAATATCTTATGAAAACCGAAGCCAAGAGGAAAACATACTGATTTTCAAAAGAGGTGAACGTAATTTCTGTCTGGCTTCTCTTCTTTGTTTGATGCTTTTGTATCTGAATGTTAGAGTGGATGCTTTTGGTGTGGAGGATGCTTATACAATGATATTTACACACAGTCAAATATCTCCCACTGTATTGATGTGTTTTGTTAAAATAGGCAATCTATTATGAAATATATTTTTCCTTTAAAATTTAGAATAGGACAGAGAGGAAATATTAAAATGAAAATTTCAGTTTGGTATTTTGTTCCCATTTAGCTTGTTTTTAAAAACCTCTGAATTCTTTCAAAGACCCTTCTGAATTGGTTAGGATAAAGCAAATCTGGTAAATCTACTTTCAGATTCTAGACCACTTTTCCCTATTAAGATACTGATTTCAGTAAAACTACCTTGATTTTTCTCCTCTGGCATTGATAACTTTTCTATCACTGACTCAACTTCAGTGTTTACTTCCAACCTCTCATTTCCTGCCCCAAGATATTCACAACAGAAAATGACATAGCTCTGATTTTTAGAAAGTGATTATTACAAACACCAGTAGACATTAAAAGTAGAAATATTCATGGTTTCATCATTGGATTCACTTGGGATCAGTGTCCTAAATGTTGCTTCCTTTATTTCATATCAAATCCAACTTCAATTTCTACAGAAGACTTACTTTATCATTTGTACAGCATTTTCCTTCTCTCTCTGCTGCATCTTGTGTTTATCCGAGAACTGTACACAGAATGTATTTTACTGAAAAAGTCCACAAATTCAGAAGTCATCATGGAGATACAGATAAGGGTTTAAGAATAGGGCATGTGTTTTTATTTTATCACAACTGGCTCACCTTTCAGTGACTATCGGTTGTGTTGGTGCTGGAGGGGTTACTGAATCAGAACGCTTAAAAACGTTAAATACGGAAGAATAGTAGACTGTCCTGAGAGCAGGCATTGTATCACGGGGTAGGACGGTGAGGGGATGCTTGATGACTCTGTTGTTGCAATGGTCAAATTTTCATTATGAAAATTGTGCTACTAAAAACGAACAAGCAAACAAAAACATTCCTCCAATGCATGAAGAAAAACATTTAGCTTCTTGAATTTGAATTTTTCAGAAGCAGAGAGAAACCTTCTCAACGTCATGAGCTCTCTTCAGATTTGCTTTATGTTTGTGCTGTCTGGCCTTGTTTCTGATCAAGATTTATGGGTATGTGCCTTTTGCATATTTTCTGAAATCTTGAAAGAAAAATTCAGGTCTCTAACCTCTTTCTTCCTTTACAGCTTTTCACATTCTTTAATTGAACAAACGTGTACCCTAATCTTAGTTGAGTGCTAAATGGTTGTGTATTTTCTACAGGGCTGAATTCTAAACATGCCATTCTCATAAGTGCTGAAGGGTAAAATTAAAATTTCTACTGTATTGAACATAACCCTTTTAACTTCTCAAAAGGTGTAAATATTATTCTTGGGCTAAATTGATAAGCTATTTAGATCACTGCAGAAACTTGTCTCTGTCTATTCAATATCAAATGCACAAAATTACAGTTTTGGGCTTAAGAGGCTAACACAAATGACATAGTAGGTGCCTGTGCTCTGTTTGGAGAATTCTAGATTTCAAATTAACTCTGTATAACAAGGGAGAAACAAAAAAGAAAAAGAAGCATAATGAAGAGAAACCAATGTAATTTTAAATATTCTAGGAGAAAAATTTAAAAGATAACTTCACAAAGACATTTTACCATCAAAAGAGAGGATGGTGTTCATTTTGCTTCTTTGATGTTGTTTGCATTAGATTTCTGAGTTCTTCTGCCGTCCTTCCAATGAGGGTATAACTTTCTACATTTTTGCTATGTGCAAAAATCTCAAGTCTTAGTGTCTTCATGTTTCTCTCTTTCTTGCTATTGCTACAGCTGTTAAAAATTATTGTCCATGTAGTGAATTGAATTGTGTCACCCCAAAAGTTATGTTGACATCCTCCATCCTGACAACTGTGGCTTTGACTTTATTTGGAAATAGGGTCTCTCTTTAAAGAGGTAATTAAGATGCAAGTTAAGAGGAGGTCATGCTGGAGTGAAGTGCAGCCTTAATCCAGCATGACAGGCGTCTTTATAACAAGAGAAGATGAAACCGACACTGCAAAGTTGTAACTGAGATGGTGACAGGCATCTGACCTGACCAACTCCATCTTGCTTCTAACCTCCAGACTGTCCTTGTTGACTCCTGGGCTTAGGCTGAACTAACTTTGGGGAGGAATTTAGTTTATATAGTTTATAGTTTAAAACAAAGATGATAACAGCCCTTTGCCAAAACAGAGCTCCTTCTTGCCTGGGGACTAGACTGCCTTTGTAGGACTAACAAATTAGCCACAAGATTGGAAATTATGGTGTAGGAGTCATGCAGCTGGAGGCTACAGGATTCTGACCCTCCCTAAACTGCTCCTAAGATCAGCGCTTAGTATTATTTTGCAGACTCTGCACTTGATGAATCAGCTGGCACCACCCAGATGGATAAACTGTCTCATCTGATCTTGTCGTCCCCCCCCAGGAACTGACTCAGTGCAAAAGGACAGTTTCAATTCCCTATGATTTTATCTCCGACCCAACCAGTCAGCACTCTTGACACACTGGCCTTCCCCCACCCACCAAATTATTCTTAAAAATCCTGATCCCTGAATGCTCAGGGAGACTGATTTGAGTAATAATAAAACTACTGTCTCCCACACAGCCGGCTCTGCATGAATTGCTCTTTATTGCAATTCCCCTGTCTTGAGAAATCGCTTCTGTCTAGGCAGCGGGCAAGGTGAGCCCATTGGGCAGTTACAAGGAGACACGGAGACACAGAGACACAAAGACAGACACACAAAAAAGAGACTGTCATGTGAAAAGACAGACACACAGAGAGAACATCGTAAGAAGACAGAGGAGGAGATTGGAGAGAAGCAACTGTAAGCCAAGGAACACCAAAGACTGCAGGAAACCCCAAAAACTAGGAACAGGGCATGGAACAGATTCTACCCATATTCTCAGGAAGAGTCCCTGCCAACACCTGGAATTCAAGCTTCTGGATTCCAGATCTGTGAGTGAATACATGTCTGTTGTTCCCAGCTATCCACAGTCGCAGGAATCTAATTCAGTCATTATTTGTTTGTCTTTCCCCATATTTCTATGTCCCATGGTTGAATCTTTGTCATCGATTTCCATTTTCTGATTCATTATCTCTCTGGCTACTTTTCTTTTTTCCACTTGTGATTTCTTTTCCCTGCTTCCTCCCTAACTGGCAAGACACAGAGTCAATTGGGAAGAGGGAGAAGGACATGAAGAACCCTCTGGTTTTCTCCCTGCATAGCCCATGTGCTAGAGAGGACATGAATCTACACCTTTCCTTCCTGCAGGGAGTTGAGTGGATTCCATAGGTATAATATGTTCTTTTTTCTTTCTTTCTTTCTTTCTTTCTTTCTTTCTTTTTTTTTTTTTTTTGAGACAGAGTCTTGCTCTGTGGCCCAGGCTAGAGTGCAGTGGCATGATCTTGGCTCACTGCAACCTCCGCCTCCTGGGTTCAAGCGATTCTCCTTGCCTCAGCCTCCTGAGTAGCTGGGATTACAGGTGCACACCACCATACCTGGATAATTTTTGTTTTTTTAGTAGAGACAGAGTTTCACCATGTTGGCCAGGCTGGTCTCAAACTCCTGACCTGAAGTGATCCACTTGCCTCAGCCTCCCAAAGTGCTGGGATTACGGGCATAAGCCACAGGACCAAACCTCAGAAAATACATTATACTAGTAAAGCAATACTCAAAACCCATTTTCCTGTCCTTGTTAGCAATGTGATGTCTCACTTTCCTGTCCTAGCTCCTCGGATTTGCAAAACAAATTTCTATATTTTATCATGATGTTATGCAAATTATGACCATGATTTTCCTCTCACTCAGAGAGCTTAAGAAATGCTTTTTCTACCTGCATTCAAACAGTGTGTATATATTGAAGTGTATGTACTGAAGAACATACAGTAGTTATTTTGCACATTGAGACTGGAAACTAGCTTTTTCTATGCATTTTCATTTTTGTTTAAAGGAGGTTATGTGAGCTCAGTGGTTATTGAACTCATTAAGTCCTTCCCATCCAGCACAGAGATTAAAGGGTAAATATTTTTGTCCATGCTCACTGTAATAGTACTCATAAGTGTGTCTGCTGGAGCCAGTAACTTCATCAATTAAAACTTAAGTTTGCTTTAAACATATCATTTGAGACTCAACATAGATTAATAGGTTAAAAAAAGCACAATAACCATAATAATTAGAACAACTGTAGTAACGCATGCTTTAATCCCTCATGACGTTGTCATTTAGTATCTCACATCAAAGAAAAATTATATTGTCTCATTGCAGCTTTAAATTATTTCTTCAAATATTTTATAATAAAAGAGCGCATTTTGTCCAAAAGTTTTGTGCCTGAGAGGACTACAAGTGACTTTCAAAGTTATGACCGAAGAGATCAAAAGAAAATGTTCAATATATACATGTATACTCTGGCAAAAACCCAATACATACATATAATTCTTGCAACAATCATTGAAATCCATAGACATGTTTTTGAAGAATGTTGACAGTATTTTATTTGCATGTTGTTGTATGAATTGTACGCATGGAACTTGCCTTTTGACTAGCTCTTCTCTGACGTAAATGCTGACACTGACAATTTGTTTTTCCTACAATTTCTAGGTGAGTGCTTCTCAAAATTTAACATGCATATGAATCATCTAGGGATTTTGTTAAAATACAAGTCCTGCCTGGATTGTTCAGGGGTGAGGTGCACGGAATCTGCATTTCTAATGAACTCTGAGGTTGAGCTGATGTAGCTGCAAGGATTCGATCTGCAGATCTACAGTGTCCAATATGGTAGCCACTAGCCACGTGTGGTTAATTAAATTTAATAAATTTAAGGTAAATTAAAAATCCAGTCCCTTACTTTCAACAGCTGCATATCAGTTGTCAACAGCCAAGTGTGGCTTGTGGTTACTCTATTACAAAGCTCAGATATACAATATTTTCATCATTGCAGAAAGTTCTATCGGAAAACTCTGTTCTTCAAGATGGGAGAAGAAAGAGCAAATTCTGTTTCTGAAAGGAATAGTATATTGATGTTTTTCAATATGGTGACATAATTCTGAAAGTAAAAATATTTTCAAAAGCATTTTCCGACGGTTTTCTAGTGATGTTTAAGGAATTACTACAATTTATAAAATATAGGAGAGCACAGTTGAATCAAGATCAAGAATTTCTTTATCTGAGAACTGATACTCATTGTATTTTTTTAATAGTCACTTTTGAAATATCAACCATATATATATCTAGAGACTTCATTTCAATCAAGCAAATGTGCTTAGAAGATGACCTTTCCATGCAAGATAAGTTAAATGTGGTGGCATCATAATACTGTATGTTTTATTATTTCTGTATTCTTCAGTTTAATGCAAAGTGGAAAAAATGATGGCTTTTTTTCTAAAACTCAATAAAGTGTTATTAAGTGAGCCCTTGAAGGCATTTATTAAACTGTTATAAGCCAGGGTGCTGGGGCAGCAAAACGGCAGGATATTGGTTTCCAGGGTCTAACTTTGTATTCCTGAACTAACTTAATTTGTGTGTTTTATGGACTTGATGTTCAAGAGAAAGTATCAGATTTCATAGAAAAAAGTGACCATATCTTTCAGTTCTCAATGGCCATTTCTCATGCATTTTGAATAAGTGCTAGTCATCTAAAAATCAACAAAGTGCCTTAGGATAGGAGGCTATTGGTAGAGACTCAGGGGTAGGTCCCTGAAGAAGTGTCAACATCACTTCAGAATGAGGTAAAATGAAATGTATTTTCTCTACTCACCCTCATTCTTTCAGTTTCCTAGATACCTACTCATCTCTTATTCATCAAGTGGTACCTTTTAGGAAAATTTTAACTATCTTTCTGTTACGCAAGATCTATCTTGAAAATAAGGAAGGAGGCGCAATGTTAGGAAATAAAGTAATGAAGTGGCTCACCTGTGTAATCCCAGTATTTTGAGAGGATGAGGCTGGAGGATCCCTTGAGCCCAGGAGTTTGAGATGAGCCTGGGCAACATAGCAAGACCGTATCTCTACCAAAAATAAAAAAAATTAGCTGGGCATGGTGGCTTGTAGCATGTAGTCCCAGCTACTTAGGAGGATGAGGTAGAAGAAACACTTGAGCCCGGGAGATCAAGGCTGTGGTGAGCTTGATCACACCACTGCACTACAACCTGGATGACAGAGTGAGACCCTGTCTAAAAAAAAAAAATTATTTAGATGAAGCATGTGGCTGTTTCCCTGAGAAGTGCCTGTCTGTTAAATCATGAGTTGATTGTAGGAAGAATGTCTTCTTCCTCCGAATATGATCAATTATCATAATATACTCCAACAAAATGAAGACAATATTTTAAAGAAATGCTAACAAAATATTTATTGTGAACTGTGTTAACTTATTGAAATATTTATGGTCTCACAATTTTAGTAAACTACTTTTAAAAAATTCTCATCTCTTTTCTATTTCACATTCTATTTGGTAAACATTCTTGCATACATAATATGCCTTTTACATGCTATATTATATGTAATTCATCATGCCTTTTGTGTATTAGAAAACTCACCATTAACATCTGTTCATCATTTCTCTCCATCGTAGTTTCAGTTAAATACATTTTTAAAAGCACTTGTCTCAAGTCTAATTGTAGTGCTTTTGTTTTGTTTGTTTGTTTTTTGAGACAGGGCCTCTCTCTGTCACTCAGGCTGGGGTGCGGTGGCATGATCACAGCTCACTGCAATCTCTGCCTCCCAGGCTCAAGCAATCCTCCCATCTCAGCCTCCTGAGTAGCTGGGACCACAGGTGTGTGCCACCACACTCGGCTAATTTTTTTGCATTTTTAGTAAAGACGGAGTTTTGCCATGTTTCCCAGGCTGGTCTCGAACTCCTGAGCTCAAGAGATCCACCCACCTTGGCCTCCCAAAGTGCTGGGTTTACCGGCATGAGCCACCATGCCTGGCCTAACCGCAGTGTATTATTGAAATGTTAAAATATGGTTGTCTATTAATCCCTCTTTCTCTCCCTCTCCCTCTCTCTTTCTCTTTCTTTTTGTCTCCCTCTCTCTTTCATGTAAATAGTCTTCAAAAATATTGTCCATAATACATGTGGATTGCCAATATTCCCAGTGGTGATTGTTAAAAATGATGGTGTGTATGTTAAAGAGTCTTACCAGGGGAATTTTGTGAAACTAAAATTTGAAATCCACTATCTCCATGCAAAGTTTAAGGACCAGATTTTGACTGAGCTATTGAGTGTGAATCAGCCACCAGTTAACTTTTCTTTCATTGTATTTTACTTGGCTCTTTACCATATCAGCTGTTTCCTGGGCTCTTATCTTTGAAGCCAATTGCATGACCAGTGATTAAAAATATATTTTTTAATTCAACTTTGATGTTTGGAGACCATTTATTTGCTAGTTTTCACTCCAAACAATGCTCTTTGTTTTCCTCTGTGAATTCTGACATTTGCAATTTTTATTAAAGAAAGCTACATTGAAATCAGAAAATGTATGCAGTAAGTAACTCTTGGGCCTCCTTATAAGGAATATTTTTAAAGATCTGAATTATCAAAGTAAAATAAATGTCCAAGAGAATGATGTTTTACAGAAGTCCCAAAAACTGGTACCTTGATTTCAGTACAATGAAAGATATCTGAATATATGTCAATAGGATCGCCTTTATTTCCCTCATCTCAAAGTTTAAATGCCTGTCACTCAAATTGACAGTTTGCATCTTAAGTCTGATGGCTGACTTATGACTCTGTGCATGTGAAAATTAGCGTGTTCAGAATCTTTAGTTTTTAGTGAATACAGCAGGTCATGCAAATAATAGTTCAGCTCAACATTCCAATTATGTCAATATGCTTACTTCTCTAAATTAATTACTTAAGGTGGCATCTGTTATAAACATAATACTTCAATTTTGTGGTCATGAGAAGGGATGCAGCTTTAATGTACACAAGAAATTTACAAGTTTATTATAAACTTTTCCCCACCTGGAAATGCATGGAAGTGGTTAGCTACTTATGAAACATTCTGATGATGTGTGAATGAGGGCAGACATGGTATATATGAAGGCTTTTTAATTGCTTTGGGTTTAATCTTGATGATAACCCAACTTAAATGCAGTAATCTTTTACCGCATAGCTTCTTCGAAATGTGTGCAGAACAATCTTTTGACATACATAAGTAGCAAATATTCACAAAACATCATCATGCATTTATTAAGATACAGTGTTTCTTCCCACGTGATACTGTCTACATATAGGTTTCATTTCTATCAATATGGCAAATTTCTCAGACAATTCCAACAGCTGTATAGACTTGTTAAACAGATTAAAGGGTCTATAATCCATGGTACCAAATGGTCTTATGGAGCCACATTGGAAGAAATTAGTTGAACTTGACAAAAACATTGTTCATCAGATTTAAAGATGATGGTTAAAAACAAAACAAAACAAAACAAAAAAAGAGTCAATGAATCTGAAATGTATGAATCCCTTTCTGGGGCCAACAAGAAGATAATATTTCAAATGGAAACCTGCCTAGAGAAGGTAGGATACCTACATCTCCTTCACAGGATACTGGCTTTAAAAGCAATGGAGCCATTCTGAATATTTGGAAGGAAAAGTTTAAGTTCCAGTGCACTGAGATTGGCTGTTACAGAGGTGTTTCTGATGTTGAGAGATTCCCATTTTAGAGAACCCTTAGATTAAGATGGTGGGAATCTTTAATGATTATTCCCACCTCTACTGTTTATTGACTGCTCTTTAAGAAAGTGGGCCTGTCGTGGCGTGGGGGAAGGGGGGAGGGATAGCGTTAGGAGAAATACCTAATGTAAATGATGAGTTAATGGGGCAGCACACCAACATGGCACTTATATACATAGGTAACAAACCTGCACGATGTGCACATGTACCCTAGAACTTAAAGTATAATAATAATAATAAAGAAAGAAAGAAAGTGTCGTTAGACTCTTAAGAGAAATCTTGTAGGGTAAATGATGTTTGCTTCAATCTCATAGCATCAACTCTCTTTCTCCCTTTTCAGAAAAAACCTGGGCTTAGATAATGATTACGCCAAACCACTGGATTCAAGAAAAAGCTCGTCATGCCCAACTATTGCATGACAGTATGTGAGAGCCAACCGACTAAAGATATTTTAGGAGAATAAAATATTTGGAGAGCATTGGAGTAAGGACTGTCATTCCTGGAATGGAAGCATTTAATTAAAATGACCATAAGCCTGAAGTGACTGGGGCATGGGAATATCCTTGATGAGAAGATAGTGAAGCATGTAACACCCTGGGATAGATGGTGCTGATGGAACATTTTGAGGAGACCCAAGTTGTTGGTGGAGGTGATGGGAGACTCAGGACAACAGAAAGTATGGGATTTTCAATGCTGCAGAAATGGGGCTGATATGGTTTGGCTCTGTCCCCACCCAAATATCACCTTGAACTGTAGCTCCCATAATTCCCATGTGTGGTGGGAGGGACCCAGTGGGAGGTAATTGAATCATGGGGGCTGGTTTCTCCCATGCTATTCTCATGATAGTGAGTAAGTCTCACGAGATCTGATGGTTTTATAAAGGGGAGTTTCCCTACACAAATTCTGTCTTGCCTGCTGCCATGTAAGACGTGACTTTGCTCCTTATTCACCTTCTGCTGCGATTGTGATGCCACCCCCAGCCATGAGTGAGCCAAACTCACTGTTACTGTGAGTCAATTAAACCTCTTTCCTTTATAAATTACTCAGTCTCAGATATGTCTTTATTAGTAGCATGAGAACGGACTAATACAGGGGCTCTGTTCTGACTAGGACAGAAATTTAACACTTGGCATCACAGAATGGCCCCAACCTGAGCTAGCAGTGGGTGAATGGTCAGCTCACAGTACAAGCTGCTTTTGGTAAACGTCTTGCAGACTGCAACCAGCCTAAAGCTAAAATCACAGTAAATAAGCATGAGCGGATATAAAAGAGAGATGATAGATTTGTGATTTGTTGACATAACCACCAGGACATCTGTATCACAAGTGAAAATTATAGCCTGATTCCCAGATGCTGACCGCCATGCAGGGAAAGGCCTAGCAATGCAGTGAATTCCTAATTCATTTATTAGCTTTGATGACTTTTCATGGACTGGGAAGGAAATCCCTAAAACATATGGATCTTATATCCTCTTGTGAAGAATGTTGGTTTCACAAGGCAGAAGGAAAAGAAAGAGCTAGTAGGAGAGCAACATATGAGGTGGCTTCTTTCTCTTATATGAAATTTGTGGATATTATTTTCAACTAAGACCTAGAATCTGCACCATCATCTTCCCTTATCACCAGCCACAGACCCACCAACCCGCTCACTCTTACACACACTTAAGGACAAAAATAAACAACAGATACTCTGTTGCTTCCAGATGCACTCTGGTCTCATTCAAAAATCTCTGTATGTTCCTGCATTTTGGAAGCCAAAATGACCTCAGTACCAATCTATCCATTTATGAGTCATGTTTCCATAACTCATGCAATTCAAAGTTTGAAAACACAGAGACTCAAACAATTAAGGCAAAAATGATTTTTTTATTTCAATTTTTATTTTAGGTTCAAGTGTTCCATGTGCAAGTGTGTGACATGATTTTATGTGTGGTGTTGAGGTTTGGGGTCCAAATGATCCCACCACTCACATATTGAGCATAGTACCCAAAAGGTAGTTTCTCAGTCCTTGCCCTCCTCCCTCTTCCCCCCTCGAGTAGTCCCCAGTGTTTATTGTTCCCACATTTACGTCCATGAATACTCATGTTTAGCTCTCACTTACAAGTGACATGTGGTATTTGCTTTTCTGTTCCTGCATTAATTCTCTTAGCATAATGGCCTCCAGCTGCATTTATTTTGCTGCAGAGGACACAATTCAATTCTTTTTTATGGCTGCATAGTATTCCATGGAGCCCATGTACCACATTTTCTTTATCCAGTCTACCGTTGATGGGTACCTAAGTTGATTCCATGTCTTTGCTATTGTGAGTATTGCTGTGATGACCATGCAAGTGCATGTGTCTTTTTGATAGAACAATTTTTTGGGGGAGGGGGGGTGGTATATATCCAGTAATGGGATTACAGAGTCAAATGGTAGTTCTGTTTTAAGTTTTTTGAGAAATCTCCAAACTGCTTTCCATAGTGGCTGAACTATTTTACCTTCCCACCAGTAGTGTATAAGTGTTCCCTTTTCTCTACATCCTCACCAACATCTGTTGTTTTTCAATTTTTTAATAATAGCCATTCTGACTGGTGTCAGATGATTTTTTAAAAAATATGTGTCATTTTCTCTTTCAAGTGTGAGATAGAAATTAACAGCTACCTCAGGCACACGTACTTGGATAAAATAAGCCTTGGGAAGAACTTGTTATGCCTGGCTATTTCCTGCTAGAATAAGTACAGTTTCTAAAGCTAATTTGTCAAATACATCAAGAAAAGCATTGCAACTCTCATTAGCACGACTAGTTTTTACAAAATCAATATTTCATTGTTATGTGGTGTTTCCTTAGCTCCATTTCTTCTTAATTGCATACATTCAGAAATTTAGTTGAATTTGGTTCATTTCCAAATCCCATGGTTTTGATAGCCTTTTCTTGGATGTGTTTGTTTATTTTAGTTATAACAAGAATATAATCTCATAATAGAAAATTTAAAAATAAACTTACTTTACAAATATTTTTATCTATATGTCTATCATCTATCTTTTTCGGGTTTTAAGTTGTGCAACTTAAATATGCTTCACTTTTCTATACTATATTTTCTCTCAATATATGACATTTCCCACATTTATAAATGTGCATTCCTCTTACTTATTTCCTTTGCTAGCCCATGTATTGTTTATAAGAGGAGGCAAGAATTAAACTATTTGCAGTATTTTGGCATAATAAAAAATGCTACCACCAACACATTTTTGCTACAAATTTTTCAGTATTTCAGAAGGAATACTTAGTCTACTTACTCAGTAATTCAATTGCCAGATTAAAGGGTGTGAATAGTTTCTTGGCTTATTCAAATTGACAAACTGTTTTTGCCAAATCTGTGCTACTTTACTAGTTCATGAATATGGCAGGAAGAGTTGCCCAGCACTCATGCCAGGCAGGGATAATGCAATCCGCATGAAATTAATGGAAGACATAGGGGAACATGGTTTAAACCCTGAATATGTTTACTATTAGCAAGGATATTTATTTTTCCTTAAGTCTTAATGATTGTTTACTTGCTGAACGATATTGCTCATTTACTGGATATGTTAGTCTTGATATCTGAGTATTTTTCCCAACAGAATTTCAAAGGGCTGTATATAAGATAATTTTATAACTTACTTGTTTCTAGTGTTTTACTTCCAACCTCTTATTTATTCCATATTTTACTTTCCATTTTTAATTGAATTAGGAAATATTTTAATATCTAAAACCCTGAAACCCATTCATACTTAACAGATGTGAATGCATGAACCCATAGTTATTTCAGACCCCTCTTTTTCTAAAAATATAGATATTTACATATTTTATATATATTCTTACTAATTTGAGAAACATTTGAACATAAAGAGTAAAAAGATTGTATAGATTTTTAACACAACAGATTGTATTCTGTAATGTAAAGTGTGTTCAGCATTCACAAATCAATTAATGTGACTCAATAGTTTAACATATTGAAAGGCCTATTGAGATATAATTGATATAGGACACATATTCAAGGCCTTCAAAATGATTAATTTGTAGATATACCCATACGTGTGTGTGTGTGTGTGACAACATCGTGATGATAAAGATTATAAACATAGCCATCACCTCCAAATGTTTTCTTGGGTTTTTGCCTGCTACATCTAGCAGACTCCAATCCCTTTCCTTAGGCAAACAATTATCTGTTTTCTGTCTCTGTAAATTGGTATGCATTTCCTATAATTTTGTATAAATGGAATCATATAGTACTTGCTCTCTCTCTCTCTCTTTGCAATCTGTCATTTTTTAACTCAGCATAATTATTTTAAGATCCACTTAAGTGTTTGCTTGTATCAATACTTTGTTTCTTCTTATTGTGAAGTAGTATTCAATTGTATGATGACATAATCATGCATTTATTCATTTGCTTCCTGATGGATATTTGTGTTGTTTTCAGTTAGAGGTTACCATAAAAAATATCTATGATCATTTGCATCCCACTATTTGTAGGCATGAGTACTTTCATTTCTTGGGGGTAAATGCTGAAAGTAAAAGATTGCTTCATAGGGTAGATGTATGCTTCACTTTTTTTTATTATTATACTTTAAGTTCTGGGGTACATATGCAGAACGTGCAGTTTTGTTACATAGATATACACATGCCATGGTGGTTTACTGCACCCATCAACCCATCATCTACATTAGGTATTTCTCCTAATGCTATCCCTCCCCTAGCCCCACACCCTCTGACAGGCCCTGGTGTGTGATGTTCCCCTCCCTGTATCCATGAGTTCTCATTGTTCAACTCCCACTTACAAGTGAAAACGTGCGCTGTTTGGTTTTCTGTTCCTGTGTTAGTCTGCTGAGAATGATGGTTTCCAGCTTCATCCATGTCCCTGCAAAGGACATGAAGTCATCCTTTTTATGGCTGCATAGTATTCCATGGTGTATATGTGCCACATTTTCTTAATCCAGTCTATCATTGTTGGACATTTGGCTTCGTTCCAAGTCTTTTCTATTGAGAATAGTGCCACAATAAAAATACGCGTGCATGTGTCTTTATAGCTGAATGATTTATAATCTTTTGATATACCCAGTAATGGGATTGCTGGGTCAAATGGTATTTCTGGTTCTAGATCCCTGAGGAATCGCCACACTGTCTTCCATAATGGTTGAACTAATTTACACTCCCACCAACAGTGTAAAAGTGTTTCTATTTCTCCACATCCTCTCCCGTATCTGTTGTTTCCTCACTTTTTAATGATTGCCATTCTAAATGGATTGAGATGGTATCTCACTGTGTTTTTGATTTGCATCTCTCTAATGACCAGTGATGATGAGCTTTTTTTCATATGTTTGTTGACTGCATAAATGTCTTCTTTTGAGAAGTGTCTGTTCATATCCTTCACCCACTTTTGAATGGGGTTGTTTGTTTTTCTTGTAAATTTGTTTAAGTTCTTTGTAGATTCAGGATATTAGCCCTTTGTCAGTTGGATAGATTGCAAAAATTTTCTCCCATTCTGTAGGTTGCCTGTTCACCTGATGATAGTTTCTTTTGCTGTGCAGAAGCTCTTTAGTTTAATTAGATCCCATTTGTCAATTTTGGCTTTTGTTGCCATTGCTTTTGGTGTTTTAGTCATGAAGTCTTTGCCCATGCCTATGTCCTGAATGGTATTGCCTAGGTTTTCTTCTAGGGTTTTTATGGCTTTAGGTCTTACATTTAAGTCTTTAATCTATCTTGAGTTAATTTTTGTATAAGGAGTAAGGAAGGGGTCCAGTTTCAGTTTTCTGCATATGCCTAGCCAGTTTTCCCAACACCATTTATTAAATAGGGAATCCTTCCCCCATTGCTTGTTTTTGTCAGGTTTGTCAAGGATCAGACAGTTGTAGATATGTGGTGTTATTTTTGAGGCCTCTGTTCTGTTCTGTTGGTCTATATATCTGCTTTGGTACCAGTACCATGCTGCTTTGCTTACTGTAGCCTTGTAGTATAGTTTGAAGTCAGGTAGCATGATGCCTCCAGCTATGTTCTTTTTGCTTAGGATTGTCTTGGCTATGCAGGCTCTTTTTTGGCTCCATATGAACTTTAAAGTAGTTTTTTCCAATTCTATGAAGAAAGTCAATGGTAGCTTGATGGGGATAGCATTGAATCTATAAATTACTTTTCACAATATTGATTCTTCCTATCCATGAGCATGGAATGTTTTTCCATTTGTGTCCTCTCTTATTTCCTCAAGCAGTGGTTTGTGGTTCTACTTGAAGAGGTCCTTCAAATTCCTTGTTATATTCCTAGGTTATATTCCTAGGTATTTTATTCTCTTTGTAGCAATTATGAATGGGAGTTCACTCATGATTTTGCTCTCTGTCTGTTATTGGTGTATAGGAATGCTTGTGATTTTTGCACATTGATTTTGTATCCTGAGACTTTGCTGAAGTTGCTTATCAGCTTAAGGAGATTTTGGACTGAGACGGTGGGGTTTTCTAAATATACAGTCATGTCATCTGCAAAGAGAGACAATTTGACTTCCTCTTTTCCTGTTGGAATACCCTTTATTTCTTTCTCTTGCCTGTTTGCCCTGGCCAGAACTTCCAATTCTATATGCAAAGACACACATAGGCTCAAAATAAAGGAATGGAGGAATCTTTACCAAGCAAATGAAAAGAAAAAAAAAAAAAGCAAACAGGAGTTGCAATCCTATTCTCTGATAAAACAGACTTTAAACCAACAAAGACCAAAAGAGGCAAAGAAGGGCATTACATAATTGTAAAGGGATCGATGCAACAAGAAGAGCTAACTATCCTAAATATATATGCACCCAATACAGGAGCACCCAGATTTATAAAGCAAGTTCTTAGTGACCTACATAGAGACTTAGACTCCCACAGAATAACGGTGGGAGACTTTAACACCCCCCTGTCAATATTAGAACGATCAACGAGACAGAAAATTAACAAGGATATTCAGGGCTTGAACTCAGCTTCAGACCAAGTGGACCTAATAGACATCTACAGAACTCTCCATCCCAAATCAACAGAATATGCATTCTTCTCAGCACCTCACATTTATTCTAAAATTGACCATATAATTGGAAGCAAAACACTCCTCAGCAAATGTGAAAGAACGGAAATCATAACAAACAGTCTCTCAGACCACAGTGCAATCAAATTAGAATGCAGGATTAAAAAACTCGCTCAAAACCACACAACTACATGGAAACTGAACAACCTGCCCCTGAATGACTACTGGATATAAAACCAAATTAAGGCAGAAATAAAGATGTTCTTTGAAACCAGTGAGAACAAAGACACAATGTACCAGAATCTCTGGGACACATTTAAAGCAGTGTTTACAGGGAAATTTACAGCACTAAATGCCCACAAGAGAAAGCAGGAAAAATCTAAAATTGACACCCTAACATCAAAATTAAAAGAACTAGAGAAGCAAGAGCAAACAACTTCAAAAGCTACCAGAAGACAAGAAATAAAACACCTCTTACACAAATAAACTAGAAAATCTAGAAGAAAGGATAAATTCCTGGACACATACACTCTCTCAAGACTAAACCAGGAAGAAGTCGAATCCCAGAATAGACCAATAATAAGTTCTGAAATTGAGGCAGTAATTAATAGTCCAGGACCAGACAGATTCACAGCCGAATTCTACCAGAGGTACAAAAAGGAGCTGGTACCAGTCCTTCTGAAACTATTCCAAACAATAGAAAAAGAAGGAATCCTCTCTAACTCATTTTATGAGGCCAGCATCATCCTGATACCAAAACCTGGCAGAGACACAACAAAAAAAGAAAATTTCAGGCCAATATCCCTGATGAACATAACATCGATGCAAAAATCCTCAATAAAATACTGGGAAACCAAATCCAGCAGCACATCAGAAAGCTTATCCACCACGATCAAGTCGGCTTCATATCTGGGATACAAGGCTGGTTAAACATAAGCAAATCAATAAACATAATCCATCTATAACAGAACCAATGACAAAAACTACATGATTATCTCAATAGATGCAGAAAAGGCCTTTGACAAAATTCAATACCCCTTCATGCTAAAAACTCTCAATAAACTAGGTATTGATGGAACGTATCTCAAAATAATAAGAGCTATTTATGACAAACCCACAGCCAATATCATACTGAATAGGCAAAAACTGGAAGCATTCCCTTTGAAAACCGGCATAAGACAAGGATGTCCTCTCTCACTACTCCTATTCAACATAGTATGCTTCACTTTCTAAGAAACTGCCAAACTTTTCCAAATTGGTTAGACTGTTTAACATACCAGCAAGAAATGAAAGTATCTGTTTTCTATATCCTCACCAAAGATGCCGTGATGAGGATTTTAAAATTGTATCCATCCTAATAGGTGTGTAGTGGAATCACATTTTGGTCTTAACTGCATTCTCCTAATGACTAATAAATTGAGTATATTTTCATCTTCTTATTTGCTGTTCATATATCTTAAGTCCTTGGTACAGTGTCTGTTCAAATCTTCGCTATTCTAAAAAATTGCATTATTTGCTATTAATCATTTTTGAGAGTTCTCTGTCTTCTGATTACAATTTCTTGATCAGAAATGCAAGTTCTCTCAATCTGGCTTATCTTTTCATTCTGTTAACAGAATATCTTTCAAATATCTTTTGTAAAGCAGATATTTTAATTTTTATGTTCTATTTATTTGTTTTATGGAGTATGAGTTTGGTGTTAGATCCAAGAAATCTTTTGTTAGGCCTAGGTCACATTTATTTTTCCTATGTTTATTCTAGAAGTATTAAAGATTTAGGTTTTAAATCTAAATTTAAATTTAGGCCAATGGTTCATTTTGAGTTAATTTTTTATATGGTGCAAGGTATATATTGCTATTCTTTTTTGTTTGCATATGGATATCTGATTATTCCAGCACCACGTGTTTAAAATAAACATTTTCCACGGAATTGCCTTTGAAACATTTTTCAGAAATCGATTTTCTATATATATATGTGTGTGTGTGTGTGTGTGTGTGTGTGTGTGTGTGTGTGTCTACTTCAGGATATGGTATTCTATTCCCTTGACTTACTTGTCTGTGTTGGTTGACAATAGCATACTGTCTTGATTATATTACCTTTACAATAAAATCTTGAAATCAGGTAAAGTATGTTCTCCAACTTTATTCTTCTTTTTCAAAGTTATTTTGACCAGTCAAGGTCCTTGGCATTTCCATATGCATTTCCAATTCAGCTTGTCATCTTTCCCCCAGAGAGCTTGCTGTGAATTTGACTGTGATTTTATGAAATGCCCGGGCACATTTGGGGATAATTGACATATTAACAATTTCGAATGTTCTGACTTTTAATATTGTATATTTCTTGGCAATGTGTTTGGGTTTAGTATGCACAGGTCTTTAAAAACTTTTGTTAGATTCACCCTGTAAGTATCCTGTGCATTTGGTATTGTGGTAAAAAGGTATCTAATTTTTATTTTAGTTCTGATTGCTACAGCTAGTATAAAGAAACACAGTTGATTTCAGTATATTGATTATGTCTTATGCAATCTTTTTTATTGGATAGTATTAATTCATTATTAATAATTTACTAATCTACTATTCATTCATTTTAATGAATTATTAATTCATCGTGAATTTTACCTTTTTGGGTTCTTGATACGTTAGTATTCCCGTAACCGTCCTCGGCATTTGTTCTGAGACACATTTAAATTACTTGAGTACAGTTTGAGTCTCAGTTTTAAGATCTTATTTAAATGTTGGCTGGGCACAGTGGCTCATGCCTGTAATCCCAGCAGTTTGGGAAGCCAAGGCAGGCGGATCACCTGAGGTCAGGAGTTCAAGACCAGCCTGGCCAACATGGTGAAGCCCCGTCTCTACCAAAAATACAAAAATTAGCCAGGGGTAATGGTGGGCACCTGTAATCCCAGCTACTCGGGAGGCTGAGACAGGAGAATTGCTTAAACCCTGGAGGCGGAGGTTGTAGTAAGCCAGACTGCACTCCAGTCTGGGCGAGAGAGCGAGACTCCATCCCCCCCGCCAAAAAAATCTTAACTTCTATCTCACTTTTAAGACTTACTAGATTGGACTGGAACCATTCTCAGAAAAGGGCTAATTAATTATTCCTTCCCAAGGCAACATCATTCTGTGCACTTTACCCTAATGCCCCGTGTTTCATGAGATTCTCTAGTCAAGCTGGTTGGAACAGAAGTGGTTTTGGCCCTGAGTTATCTTTGAGAAATGTTCATTTTCATCTTCTAAGGTGCTTTATTGCTGACCTGTTGCCATTTTCTATAGATTGGTGCTAAACTTGTCAGCTGGTGATATGGTTTGGCTGCGTTCCCACCCAAATCTCGTCTTGAATTGTAGCTCCCACAATTCCCACATGTTGTGGGAGGGACCAGGTGGGAGGTAATTGATCACGGGGGTGGGTCTTTCCTGTGCTGTTCTTGTGATATGAATAAGTCTCATGAGATCTGATGGTTTTATAAAGGGGAGCTCTCCTGCATACACTCTTTTTGCCTGCTGCCATGTAAGACATGCCTTTGCTCTCCTTTGCTTTCCTCCATGACTGTGAGGCCTCCCCAGCCATGTGGAACTGTGAGTTCATGAAACCTCTTTCCTTTATAAATTACCCAGTCTCAGGCAACTCTTTATTAGCAGTGTGAGAATGAACTAATACGGGTGGTTATTTCCCCATCCTTGTGTATTTTCTTCATACATATGCAGTGATAGACACTTGGAGGAAAACTTCAGCAGTTCCCTCTGCAGATCTCCATTCTCCTCTGGGTGAAGCTACCTCTCTCCTGGTACTCTGTCCTGAGAGCCCTTGCAGCCTTGTTTTCCCAAGAATCAAAATCTTTTGAGCTCAGCCTGACTTCTCCCTTTTTAAGTCAGGCCTGGGAAACACTTCCAAGCCAATAAGCTGGGGCAATAGTATATCTCCACTTGTTTTCGTCTCACCAGGATCACTACTCTTAATTTCTTGTTGTCCATTTTCTTAAAAGCTGTCATTTTCTTTATTTTTGGCTGTTTTAAGAAGGATGGTGTAATAGGTCCCTTTTAGACAGTTTTGGCCAACAACTGATGCAGTCATTTCCTGATTTTTAATTTAAAATGTGGTAGTTCTCCATTAAGTCCCACTTTTTCTACATCAATTTGTACTAAAGTTTTTAAAATATGCACCTTTTGGTGATTTGAATGCAATTGCTCTCAATTCACTTATTGTTTCTCTGTCAGACTTACTGACATTGGTATTTTCACCTTTCACCTCTCTGCTTCCCCGAGTGGTTTTATGAAGTCTGCTCGTTTTTGTTTTCCTCTTTTGCTTCCTATCTCATTGCATTTTAGCTTATATTTTATTCTTTGTCTCTTGGGATTTCTCAAAGCAAAGGAAGACCTAGGTCATAAAAGTTGAATTATCTTTTAACTTGAAAATCGCTTTGGCATTTCATAACTCTCTCTCTCTTTCTCTCTCTCTGTCTCCAGATATTCCATTAGCAACATGCTTCCCATTTGACATAATAAGTATAGTATACTAAAATATCGATGCTATTAGTTTCATCACTTAAGTTTAAAAGACCCAGAGGCACTGTAAATGTGGTGCCAATAAGATTTTCACACCCTGTCCATGCTGTGCTTTAAATTAATGGCCTTTCTAAAACAGAATACACCGAGCCACCATATCCAGGAAGACAATATTTTAATGACCTAATTTAATTTATATTTGAGAATGTTACTGACTACTCCAGTTATACATTCTCACTAGAAGACTATGCTCAACTGAAAAGGAAAGGAAACCACAACTGCTGTTGAGTTAATAAAGAATGACTAATACAATACCACAGACCAAGTTCGGATGGATCCAAAAAGGAAGAATTCTATTTCGGGAAACCTAATTCAACACAAAGAGCTCTGTAATCTTTTCCCTAGCCCTGATAGAGATAGGTCGCCTAGGCTTACCCAGGATCCTGGGACAATATTTTTAGCCATTTCATGTTGTCTCATCATCTTTAATGGACTCATGCAAATATCTGCATGGGCTGTTTTTGAAAGCTGAGCCACTTAACAAAGTGAGCTTTTGTTAAAGGATTAAATCGCTAATAAATGAAGAGTGTTTATCCGCAGAAGAGCTTCAAAGCCTGTTTTGATGAAGATGAGCTTTCTTTCTGTGTTGCAGGTGTCCTAGCTCATGCAGGGGACCTGGCAGTCCAGGGTGGGCATGAGTCCAGAGAGAGAAGGGGAGGGGGTGGCCGAGGCTGCAGTGGAGGCTTCATTGCAGATGCTCACTCAGAGCTCGATTTAGACTGCTTTCTGAACTGGATCTGGAGAAAGGAGGCCACTTCCTCCTCTTAGAGATCTTTCCATCCGAATTAATTTCAGATGTGTTTGGATATCATCACCTGTGCAATTAGTGAAGTGATTATCCCTTCTGTATCATTCAATTACTACAAGATTTATAGAAAGCATATCGAAAGCATGTCAACCCAATTTCTTCAAATCTCCTGATTTGGACTTAAATTTAGGTCAAGTTTGCAGAAAAAAAATTTTAAAAAAATTCCTAGAGAGTAAAATAAATGTTACCATCCCAAACTATGACTTCTTACAGTTACAGTGGAATGCAAAGTGCATGTCATTTAAATGGAAGCTGCTTCATCAGATGATGCTACTCATATTCAATATTGATATATCATAAAGAATTGGGCTGCATAATGTGTTTCCATTGTGGATCATTATTAGAAATCAGTCATCAGTGCATTAAATGAGAATATGTGCAGCTGCAAGTTGAGTTGTGTGGAAGCTTCCATGCTATCTCCAATTTCCCAGAGCTTCTTTCTTTGGCAGATTGTGGCTAAGAGCAGCGACCTGGACATCACACTGCCCAAGAGCTGCCTCAACAACTCCCACGGCCCCAACCTGCCACAATGTGGATTTTTCTCCCAACCTCCAATTCATTGACTTTAAACTGTGAAATGGGGATATAATGGTATCTCATTGACTTTTCAAAAATATTAAATTGCTAAATATATGAAAAATACCTGAACATTATAAACTGGTAATAAATATTAATTACTAGCCACCTGACTATTGAGGAGCTACTCTCCCCTGTTGTCAATCACTATTCCTTTTAGGGTTGGGGTAACAATAAATAAAATATACACATAGAAATATACATAGATATATCCACACATGTATATATATACATCTATGTGAATATATATATTTTTATATACACAAATCTGTGAATACACACACAGAGATAAATATGATGGGTAGATAGAAGATATATATATCTTATACATGTATATCTTATATATATATATCTTATATATATTAGAGAGAGCTAGATATGGTGGATGGATAGATGGTTGATAGATAGATAGATAGATATAGATAGATAGATAGATAGATAGATAGATAGATAGATATATGCTGGATGAATAGATAGAGAGATACCTGTGATGGATGCATAGGTGATAGATAGATATTCAGAGATTAAATCTTCTAGAAATGTAGTTATTCAGAAAGACCTGGAATTGTTCTGACATTTTGCAGCAGCATTAAGGTCATGCCTCTGACTTCTTTAATGAGATTCCTTCTGCTTTCTCTACTGGGAATTTCTTAAATCATTGGCTCCTCTGAGCATCCCAAGGCAGTGATTTCCTTTGATTTCAAGCTGTGTGAACTAACAAAGAGTGGCTGGTTGGTGTGCTCAGTTTTACCATCTTGATATCTCATTGTTGAGTATGGTCATCAGGATGTAATGGAAGCGTCCTGGATATCCAGACATAAGGGCACCAATAAGCAAGTACATTCTTTGGCCATTAAAAATGATGATGTCGGCCAGGTATGGTGGCTCACACCTGTGATCCCAGCATTTTGGGAGGCTGAGGCAGGAGGATCATTGGAGGCAAGAGTTCGAGACCAGCCTGGGCAACATAGAGAGCCTTACCTCTAGAAAAATTTTAAAAAGGAATAGCTGGGCACGATGGTGCATGTCTATAGTCCAAACTACTCCAGATCGTCCCTCAAGGGAGGATCTCTTGAGCCTAGGAGGTCGAGGTTACAGTGAGCTATGATTGCACCACTGCACTCCAGCCTCAGTGACAGAGCAAGACCATGTCTCTTAAAATTTTTTTTTCGAAAATGATCATGCAAGTGCATATATGAAAACGAAAATAGGTCCAGCCCAAAAGACTGAGGGGGAAGAAAAAGGTATTCAAAGTGGCATTTTAAATCCCATTTTCACAAATAAAAGTCTGTGTACATATTTAAAGGCATAAAGAATGTAAGAAGAGTCAACAGTTTGCTGAGTGACTGCCCTGACTCATGAGATTAGAGATTCTTTTTGTAGCATTTACTGTTTTGCTTATCTTTACTTTCTAGTTTGTATGCAACATACATATATGACATTTGTCCTAAAAGTGTTTAATGTTTTTGTGTACCTTCACAGGGTTCAGTATACTCCTAATACCTTTCAGTGACCTTGACACAAAAGGTAGAGGAAGAAGAGAGAGAGGAAGGTTAGAATTGGATGCTAATGACAGGAAACAGAAATATTTACACTTGGTAACTGGCATCAAGACTCTTTTGCAGAATAATAGAAGCAAGAAAGTCATGAGAGGGGCCAGGTATGTAGAATAACCATTCTTCTTGACCCGATAGGGAGTGTAAAATAGATTTATTTAAAATATTGTTTTAACCTAATCCATAAGAAATCACATTGTATTTCTCATTGATGAACAATTTTTAACACATATTGCCAGTTGTATTAGAGTTCAGCATTATGACAATTATGTCTAGATAAAAATTCACAAAGCCTTAATGTCCCAGACAGAGTGTTACTAATTGTCTTCATTCTAAAGCAATTTACAGGAGTATGTTCTAGCTTAAGAACAAAGCTACAGTTGCAAAAATAACAACAACAAGAACAATGAAAAGATTAAGATAGAATAAGAGCCTTGAAAAATAATTCTCTGGATTGGATCCAAATCAAAGCCACAGGAAACTGTATAAATAGAAGAAAAATTACAGGAAAAGATTACATAAATAAATTCTTGCATTTACATTGGACGTTGTCAATGTGATTGATAGTTACTAGAATATAAAGTTTATATGTAGTAAAATATTAATTTTACTGTAGAGATTATAAGAACTTCAAATAAAATTGTATAAAATGAGGCCCTTATGCCTCATTTATAGAGTTTTTGGTCTGAGATTTCACACACACACCCCAAAAAAACCAAACCAAAGAAAACAAATACAAAAGCTAAAGATACAATCTTGGTTTAAAGAACATCTTTGCTTGTGAAATACATGTAGGCATGCAAATGAAGTAAACAAACTCTGAACATTTTCAATGAGATATTAATGACTTTTTCCAAATGAATGAATTGGTTTCATATTTCTTGGTTTTCAACGCATCGATATAGGTATTATAGGAGCTTTCTATTTCCACACTCAGTATATTGTTTCACAACAAATTCATCTTTCTTTATAATGTTTATAAGTGTATTTTATTATCCTCAGAAACTTATGTCTATTATCTTTAAAAATTCATCTTCACAAAACATTCCTCTTCACTGACACAGAAAGGGGGAAAATAAGACAGAGATTTGATTCCAAAGAAACAAGCTAGAAGGGCTGGAAAACTCCAGCATCCAGAAACAATGTTCAGAAGCCAAAGTGGGAATGAGGTTAATGGTGAGGGAAACAGATAGATTTGCAAGGATGCTGTGGAAAAGGAAGGCTGTCACATCATAGTTACGTTGACAATGACATTTTCTTTATCCAGTCATCACTTGGTGGACACTCAGGTTGATCATCTTTGCAATTGGGAAGAGTGAAAAGGTGCACTTTTGACTAATTGGTTCAGGAGGTAAATATGTAGATGAAAATTATATGAGTAACTTGGTAGTATTATTGCATGATGGGGAATTTCCTTGGAGATTATAGGATATTCTAGAAGACACAGTGGCTATGCAGTCTTTTGAATCATTCCAACCTCTGCAATTTTAATACAAAAATACATGCTCCTCCATTATCATGGGGTCTTTAGAGTTTACTGGAAAATATATTTGGTTTAAATATTTCCACAGTATGTTGTAAAATTATCCGTAAATTGAGTTTCTTGCTTTATGACATTCTTTAATTTTATATCTAGCAATGTAGGCTTTGGCAAATAGAGCAAACATTAAGTCCTCATTAACAATCACTTTATCAAAATGAGTCTTAACAATTGACAATATTATAAATACCTGAATGTAAAATATTCATTTTGGAAGACTGCCCATATAATTGTGAGCTTTTTGTCTCTCAAATGTGCATGCATGTGTGTTGACTTTAGAGAGATATGTTTTCTGTGAGAACCAGAGATGATTACCTCTCAAATCTTACCTAATCAAAACAGTGTTCTGCAGAATGATAAACACCAAACTATTGCCTCAGTGAGTTCATTTTATTTAATTGTTTACCCATTGCTTATTTGTTTCAAATGAAAATATAAGTGCAGCACATCAGAAAGCACACACAGGGAACTGGTTCTCTACCGTGTACATTTAAAATAATTCCCGCCTGGGCGTGGTGGCTCATGCCTGTAATCCCAGCAGTTTGGGAGGCTGAAGTGGGTGGATCACCTGAGGTCAGGAGTTCAAGAACAGCCTGGGCAACAGGGTGAAAACCCGTCCCTACCAAAAATACAAAAGTTAGCTGGGCACCGTGGCTCAATGCCTGTAATTCTATCACTTTATGAGGCCAAGGAGGGCAGATCACCTGAGGTCAGGAGTTCGACACCAGCCTGGGCAGCATGGCCAATACCCATCCCTACTAAAAATACAAAAGTTAGCCAGGCCAGGTGGCATGTGCCTGTAATCACAGCTACTCAGGAGGCTGAGGCTGGAGATTCGCTTGAACCCAGGAGGCAGAGGTTGCAGCGAGAAAAGATCGCACCATTGCACTCCAGGCTGGAAAACAGAGGAAGACTCTGTCTCAGAAAATAATAAAATAAAATAAAATAAAATAAAATAAAATAAAATAAAATAAAATAAAATCATTCCCATGTTTCCACATAGACATATCCATTAGTTTAGTTTTCTTTAATGTAGGTATGTTGAAGAGAAAGTGATACTGATTCATTTTGAATCTGATACTGATACTAAGAGCAAAACAAAGTCAGCTTTATAGAATTGAGGAATTAAATTACAGTAAGTCTTTTTCATAACTGTAAATCATCTCCATGCAGGGTGGTGGCTAGGATCTGTTGCATCTCCTATAATTTTTTCTCTTTAGGAAAATTTGAGTTAGTATTTTCTTCAGTTCGTACTCATCCTAGTAAGCCACCTGCTACACCAGCTGTTCTCAACTGAGACAACCAAGATGACAAGGCTTCAGAAGTCAATTAATGCATAATGTTCTTTCCTTGCAAGATCGGTTACTAAATCTTAGAGGTTTAGGTTTGATAGAAACTGGCCCACACAAAATGCTGCTTCCCTCAGGAAGCTATGTATTATTAGAATATTCTATAGTTTCTACGGCTTATACAAAATTCAGGAAAACAGCACAGTCCAGAGAATCTTAAATGACAGGTGTAAATGGTGCACTATTACAAAATACTTTGAGCTATTTATTATTTCTAACTGCTACTCTTTTTTTGTCTTATATCTTTGAAATGTTAAGCTTAAGATACATGTCCATCTTAAATCTATAAATTAAATATAGGCCATCAGATGGATGAGAATTTTGGCATAAGCTACCAAATTGAGTCTAATATTTTTGAGATTAACAAATCTGCAAGAATAACTAAGAAAAAATATATGAGAAAGAAGTATATGAATGAAATCCTGTTCTCCCAGATACAAATATGTACCCCTTTGCTACTGCCATAGAGACGATGGATACATGAAACACAGAGAGCAAAACATAGCTTTACAGAACAATATTCAAAAGCTACAGGCAGATCCACAAATATGAGGCATTGATCACACATGAGAAGATTATCTGAAGTCAGTGAGAAAATTCCATTAATGGGGTTTGGATATTTGGTGATCTATGGAGTTGGCGTGATGAAGAGAGATTCTCTCCCCTCACAAATAAGATCTAAAATGCCTTACAAAATGTAAAACAATAACAAATTATTAGAAGAAAATAGATGATGTTTTCAAAGAGTTGGAAGTGAAATGTCCTTCCAAAGCTTTACACAATACCCGGAAAATTCATGGTACCATGATATCAGATATCAGAACCCACGATATCAGGGACTATATTGATTGACCACATGGAAGTCTAGAAATTATAAATAAACAAAAATATGAAATAGTTTTCTTATTTCCTTGATTATTGGACACATACAATGAGCAATGGATCAGTTTCAGTATTTGAAAAAATCTTAAAAATAAAAATTTTATTATAATATTTTATCTTAATCATATTAAAGATATATTAATACTATTTAAGATAATCAGGCCAATAAAATAATTTTAAAATACGAAATAAAGTATCTATATGAAAATAGAAATGGCCAAAGAACATATGATAAATGATTAATTATACTAGCAATCAAACAAAAAGGAAGTAAATGTAGACATGGGAACATTTTTTAGCTTATCATGTTGGTAAAATGAAATGGTTAAAATATAAAATTTTGGTAACTAAGTGGGGAAAAGGGAATGCATTTATCGTTTGGTCTTAAAATGACTAAATTTATTTTCTAAGTTAATTAAAACTACCTGCCACACCGAAACTATTTTAATATGTTTTATGTACATATTATATTTATAGTAGCTTTCAATTATTCATATTATTTATTTGTTATATTTCTGGCATCTTTCATCATATGCTATACTGAATCCCAGAAACATGTTTCTATGTTGTCAAACATATGAAACCTTTTTGTTGATGATCCTTGAGTCTTGTGTCAGGCTTAAAAATGGTTTTTTGTTTGTTTCTTTGTTTTTGTAGAGAAGGGAGTCTCGTTATGTTGCCCAGGCAGGTCTCAAACTCCTAGGCTCAAGCAGTCCTCCTGCCCTGGCCTCCCAAAGTGTTGGGGTTACAGGCGTGAGCCATGGTGCCCAGCCAAGCTAAAAAAATCTTTTAATAGAGACACCCTACTGCTAATGTGAGAAATAGAAATACAAAGCCACTGCATCATTTACCTAGCTTATAGATATAGTCCTATGCATTAAACAGAATCATCATTTAGGTAAATATTATAAACCTCATTTATCTTATAATAAATGATCAACATTCATCAATGGAAGAAAATCTTAATTTCTCCTAGAAAGAGGGGAGTTACAAAATAAACCACGTATGTCTTAGACCCTAAGACTGGTGTTTTAAACCATGAGAATGGTTACAACATAAACCACTTGTGTTTTAAGTTTTGCCAAGGACTGAGACCTCATGCACATTGTTATGTGTTGTTTATCAAAAATTCAGTTAGGGGTCGTGTGTGGTGGCTCACTCCTATAATGCCAGCACTTTGAGAGGCTGAGGTGGGAGAATCACTTGAGCCCAGGAGCTTGAGACCAGCCTGAACAACATAGTAAAGCCTCATCTCTACCAAAAAGATAAAATAAAATATTAGCAAGGCATGGTGGCCTGTGTCTTTGGTCCCAGCTACTCAGGAGGTTGAGATGGGAGGATTGCCTGAGCCTGAGAGGTCGAGGCTGCAGTAAGCCGTGATCACGCCACTGCACTCCAGCCTGGATGACAGAGTGAGAACATCCCTCAAATTTTAAAAAAAGACAAAACAGCAATAGCAACAACAATAACTCAGAGTTAGTTCTGAAGGTGCACAACGTATTTAGTTTTCAAAATAATTGAGTCTTAATCAGGGATGTTCATCTATATTTCCCCAGAAGCACAAATCTGTATTTTCTGTTGTGTGTGTGGATTTGCATATTTAGATGCTTGCTGGAGTCCGACTATTCTAAAACATAATTTAGACTTATCTGTAGAGGAGTACATTGCATATGAGTTTGGCTTCTGAACCATCTCACTCATTAATCATGTTTTGTAATTGTGACAGCAGATTATTTGTGGCACCTTATGAGAAACAGCCTTCAAGAAGCCAGTTTGTTCATGGTAGCTTGCTGTTTAAATTATTCTTCTTCGAATTCCCAGGGCTTTCCACTGATAATATGTTTTTTTTCCACTCAATATCAGGAATATTCATGCTTATTTTGTGTCAAGGGTTGGTTTTTATCTTCGAACTTTTGTGGAGACATACGAGTGAGACAGACATGTAACCCCAGTTTAGCAACACTTATAACATGATATCATGCATTGCTTATGACTTTTGAGCAGACATTCTGTCTTCCCTAATGTTTCCCCTTTTTGTTCTATTGCACATTCCTAAGATATATATTCCTTTATCAAAGAGTTTATATAGTACACTATTTTTTTCTTATCTCTATTTATGAATGCCCAATAAAACAACTTCTTGAAGAAGAGTGTGCACATGGGTTTGTGTGTGCATATGTCTTCTATTTGTCCTTCAAGTGCAGAACCATGGTTCACTTTGACTAACATTCTCATGTTAGTTAAAGAATGGTTGGGGCCATGCCTAAACCATATAATTTCAACCCCACATCTACAACTGAGAACAACAATGGCAGCCACTTGCCAAAGAACACTTGTACCATATTGTTCTTCACTCTTGTGTTCTCCTGGAGATGGTACTTAATGCTCCCTGGTTTCTGTAGGAAGCTCTATTATAATTAAGTTAGCTAGAAAGACTATCTTTAGAAATCTCTAGCTAAAGTAGAGATCCAGTTGGAATTACTCTGCATCAGGAAGCAAAAAGCTCTTGAGATATATACACCCAAGCATTCCCATTGTCCAGATAGAAGAGAGGATATGGGATGTGTCCCAACAGCCATTGGTCCCAACAGGCCTGTTGACTATCTCCCAAGCACAGAAGATGGTGGAAACAGCGGTTTTTAACAATAGCAAGAATATTTTGAAACCAGTACACCAGACTGGGAGACAGAGCCTGGGGAAAGTGTCCTTCCCTTTTTGCTTGGAGGATGTAGAGAAAGAGAAGAAAGAGCAAGGGTAGGCACGAATCATTCCAGCTTCACCATTGGCTTTCCTGACACAGAGCCTACTCAGTGGAAAACGCCTTGCTGTCATGCGTTCCAAGAAGGTGATGGTGCCATACAACATGTAGCAGCAGGAGCAAAACCAAGCATCTCTCCCGGGCTTTGTGGTTTCCTCCGCTGGTATCACAAAGCTGGAGGGAGACTGCAGGGAAAGGCACACTCTCCAAGGTAACTCTGAGAACTGCTTTGAGGAGCAGGAGAAAATCATCTGAGTATCAAAATACTAGGTCTTCTGGAAACAGAATGTAACACAGAGCTTGTTATACAGGTGATACACTGAGGAGGTGCTCTCAGGAGAAACTCAGATGGGGTTATCAGGCAAAACAAGGGAAAAGAAGATACCAAGGAGTCTCAGCCTGATCCCACAGGGAGCTCAAGAATGTGAATAGTGACAAGGAGTTCGTTTTGCTTGTGGCAAGGGGTCTAACTTCTTATTAAATTACATCAGGTAGTCCTTGAACATGTCCCTCTCCCAAAGGGAAGACATAATCTTCTAAACATATTTGAGCCTCCAGAAATCCCCTGGAGAAGAAAGCAGGGGAGAATAATTAGAAGCCAAGCCCATAGCAGTGGCTGGATAGGGTGCACCACCATAGAGATAATCTGTTTGTGCCTATTTGCCATAAGAAAACAGTTAGCGAAGAGGCTGGACCCTACCATAGCAGTTGTGAACCTAGATATACGAGCCACACATGACATTTGGAACCCAGCCATAGAAAGAATGACAAGAGGATGCAGTTATCCCTGCTCATGTATGTTATTTGACTATCGATTCCTCTCAAGTTGATGAAGCTTCTCACTTCCTGATTCCCAACTTTGCCACCAACCTGAATATGGACAGGCAAGACCTTAGCAGGTAGGTGAAGCAATACATGCTTGAATTAGAATCCATTCATGTACAACTGGCTTTGCTTTATAAAAATATGTTTTTCTAGAACTTTGCATTTTGCAGCATACAACAAGAGCAGGATTTAATAGGATCCAAGAAGCATTGTTTAATATTCCTCCTAGGTTGCATGTCTTATTAAAGCTCTGTGCATCTGGCTGATATGGATTAGCAGACACACTCTTTGGAAAATAATTACTTTGTGCCTTTGGGTGTGGGCATTAATTTCTTAGTCTTGGAATCTGTTCCTTTAGACATTTCAAATTGCATTGTGCTTTCTAACTAGAAAATGTATTTACTTCCTGATCTGAATTTATCTTTGGGGAGCTGGGGAGAAGAATAAAATTTTAAAAAGGTGGTAACTCATTGTGTAACTAAAATGATTTGGTTTGAAATATCACAAAACATTCGAAAAGATTCCATGAAAACAAAGGTCTTGATGCGTTATTACAGGGTGGAAATGCTTTCCAACATTAAGAGCTAACATTAATTTCTTCTGAATCAATTAACACATCACCCCAACATGCTGCCTTCAGACTTGATAACACTGGTCTAATTTATGCTGCCAGCATTGTTTCTCCACATTTCAGAGATGAGGCTCAACAGTGGCCAATGGCCTTCTATGGAGAAGTTAGCAAATATATCAAATGAGGTAATACATGAGATATTTTGAAGAAAATTTTAAAAGCAGCAGGACACAGTGTGTTATCATTATAATAAATCCATTTGTACAAAATTGTCTAGAAGTTTTTGAGGAGAAAACAGATATGAGAGGAATTATACTCATGATAGACAGACAGATAGATAGATAGATAGATAGATAGATAGATAGATAGATAGATAATAGGTAGATAAATGAGATAGATAGATGGATGAGACAGACAACTAGATGAAAAGATATAAGGATAGATAGATGAATAGATATTTGAGACAGATATATAGATATATGATAGGTAGATTGATGGATGGGTACATAGATGGGCAGAGAGATGGTAGATAGATGATAAATGACAAATAGCATGATAGACAGATGGTAGGTAGAAAGATGATAGATATGAATATAAATACACATAAGTATATATAAACATGTATATACTATATCTTTATCTACATGTAGATATAGATACACATACTTATGTGTATATAAGTATATATAGTACACACATGTAGTATATATAGTACACAAAAGTATATATAGTATACACATGTAGTAGACATAGATATAGATACACATTCAATGTGTCTGTATATATATATTTAGTATATATAGATATAATATAGATATACAGATAGAAAATAGCATGGAATGGTGACTGTATAGCCACCTCCCCATCCCGAGAGATAACCACTATTACAATTTTGTGTGTTTTTCCCATTTTGGCGCTCAAATACATACATGCATGCACAGATGCATATATGCATATTCATGTATATTTTATATAAGTGGGATATAGGATAAAAATTATCTACATTTATATCTATATGTAGTTATATCTATATCTACATATACAGTCATGTACTGCATAAGGATGACATTTCAGTCAACAATGGACCAGATTTATAATGATAGTCCCATAAGACAATCTTGGAGCTGAAAAATTTCTATCATCTAATATTTGCAGTGCTACACTTTTTGTTGCTATTTTAGAGTGTACTCCTTTACTTATTAAAAAAATTAAGTGTAAAATAGCCTCAGGCAGGTCCTTCCAGGGTTATTCCCAAAGAAGGCATTGTTGTCCTTGGAGATGGGGACTCCAGTAGTAAAAAAGCTTCCTCTGTCATGGATCCAGTGAAAGCATCCATGAGACAAATAGATGAGGCAGTAGGTACCTCTCCCTTTATTTTCATTCCAAGTTTACAAGGAATTTTTAAATTACTGATTTGGTTTCCCAGATATCTTCAGAATGGTTTAACACTTATAACAGATGAGAAGCATTTTCCCAACAAACAGACATTTGGCAATACGAGTGGAAGTTCTGTCTCCTCTAGGTTTGGCTAACACCTTGGTGAGCATCACAAGATGGATTTGTTCAACATTCCTTTCATGTGTGGGAAATGAATCCCTTTTTTAGATGCTGTTCCTCACCCACTACCCTCCCTAGATTTAGTTCTGTTTCTGTGGCATACGATTGAACCATGTCCAACCGATATGGATTTGGGTGCCAGTTCCTCTGCTCCCACCAGACTGCAGAAGGAGGTAAGTGAGCGGCTTCCTTCTTTTCAGCTCAACCGACAACGTTTTACATCCGATGGTGGCAGCATTGGAAACTAATGTCTAGTATTTGGCATTATCTATAAGCTATTTGGGAGTACATGGCACATTTTTACTAAAGCATTAGACAAGTCATCATTTAATCCATTCACTTTGAATTACAAATTCAAGTTTCAAGTATGATAGAAGATAAATACAGTGAAATGGCAAGTGACCCCATGCCCACCTCCCCCTACCCAGACATAACTACTATGAAAATTTTGTGCGTTTTTTTCCCGTTTGTGCATTCAAATACATATATGTATGCACACTTGCATACACACACACAGTGATGTATATTTTATATAAGTGGGACAGAGGATAAAAATTATCTGCATTTTAATACACCTTGCCAAATTTTCCACAGGTGAATGCATTTGCTTTTTCCAACCACTGAATGTGATATGGTTTGGGTCTGTGTCCCCCACCCAAATCTCACCTTGAATTGTAATAATCCCCACATGTCATTGGAGGGACCTGGTGGGAGGTAATTGAATCATGGAGGTGGGTTTTCCCCTTGCTGTTCTCGTGATAGTGAATAAGTATCACGAGATCTGATGGTTTTATAAAGGGGAGTTCCCCTGCACATACCCTCTTGCCTGCCACCAAGTAAGATGTGACTTTGCTTCTCACTCGCCTTCTGCCATGATTGTAAGGCCTCCCCAGCCATGTGGAACTGTGAGTACATTAAACCTCTTTCCTTTATAAATTACCCAGTCTCAGCTATGTCTTTATTAGCAGTGTGAGAACAGACTGATACAGAATCATACTTCATAACATGTAGTGGATTAAAGTTGGGCCTGAACTGTTTGTTGCTTTTCTAATTTTGTTGTAGTTTCCTCCCCCTCTGCTTGAGTCTAGGATACCCTATAACTTGCATCCACCCATAGTATTAACCTATTGACCTGTACTGAGAATGGCACATTACAGGTTGCAAAACGTGTCTTAGAAGGCCTCCTAGCCTCTGCAAAAACCCAGTATCTGTTACAAAAATGGCATAATTTTTGTAAGTAGCTATGTTTTCCACCCGAAAAGGAAAAACAGTGGCATTATTTTACATTCTAGTAGATGTCTTTAATGCCTAGCTTACTGAAACAGAGCTTAGGTCGCATATCTACTTCTGGACTGAGTTTGTTGTGAGATCTCAAGCTGTGTAACTTGAGCAAAACATAATTGTAAACTCTCAAAAACAAAGGAAATAGTTAATTAAGACCTGTTATTATTATGAATGTAGTTCTTATTTCATGGACTTCCAAATGTTTCCAGACCAGACTTAAAGAAATGCTGATCTAAAGGTCTCCTTTCTTGTCTCTCTATTCTTTGTTAGATGTAGGACCTGCTAGCATTTTGGGTGAACCTCAATTGCTCCTGATATTTGAAACAGAGGCACTAAATCTGCAATTAGATAGGTTTTGTCAACTTATGGGACTCACACTTAAATTGGCAACCTATGATTTAAATGGAGACATGTAAATATCAGTATCTGACTCTTTTTTCTTGACTTCTCAGTTTTCCTAGAGAGAACTGTTTTCCTCCCTGCTGTTGGCATTTTTAGAATCTACTGTGGGAAGTTGCATGAGTTTCTCAACATTCTGTGTGTAGACTTTTACTTACTTTCCATATTCTGCTTAACTCTACCCCTGCCCTCGAGCTGTCACTAACGTCTGGAAGAATGCCCCCTCTGCCCTCGAGAGATAATTCATCTCTGCAGATCAACTCTCAGGTCAAGTCAGGAGCAATTATTTAGCTATGTGGGACGGAGATATTCAATCTTCCAGAGAAGTCCTGCTTTAGGGGATGGGGCAGGGAGGATGAAGAGGAGTGAGTTAAAAAGTGCAAACACACACAGTAAAATAAAACCAATAAATTCAGTGTTTTGTAGCAGAGTAAGATGACTTTACTTAAACATGTATTGTACTTGGGTGACAGACACCTGCAATACTGCATATTATATACATGTAACAAATTTTCTCATGTACCTTATACACTTGCACAAATTTTAAAAAAGGTAAAAAGGGAGACAGAGAAAGGCTTGCTTTTAACCATATCTGAGACCTCGCTTTCAGAGGCCTTTGTGTGGGCCAAGGGCTGGCCTACTTCCTAGTTTACTCCCTTGACCCTGAGTACTTCCAAGTTTCTCTGATGAGGATAAATTGAGATTCGCCCATCTGCTTTCTAGCTTGCAATGTTTCATTGAAGTATGTTGTTGTCTGCTCTCTTATTTAATTCCTTTGAATTATTGCCTCTTATTTAGACTTTTATTTTGTCCTTTTAGTGAGTTTATGGGAAAGAACAGTGTTTTCAATTCTCTATGTTGAGCTGGATACACGAAACACACTCATTATGTTGCGTCTCTTTGTTATACTTCAAGGTGGTGTGGACATGAGCTACAATGGTGTATTTGCCAGCAATTACTTGCATAATGAATCAATTAGCACATGACTTCACTCCATGAATATGCACTAACCATCCACTTTGTGATACCTACATACCTTCATTCCCTTCCCTTTTCCGGGGATGTCCACCCCTCATCCTTAGTGAACAAAAAGCAGAGGTGGAAATAAGAATGATTGAGTGGAGTCAGTGAGGAAAAATGGCAGTGGAGGAGCAAGCTGGAAGGATGTTTGAATCTGGAAAGATGTTTGGACGTGTCGGAATTCAAATAACCTGCCAATGAGTTTATTATATGCTCTGCAGCTATATCTATATCTACACAGTATACACACACTATTACAAAGATCATATCCTGGACTAAATGTGTTTCCTTTTTTCATACTTTTTTTTCCTCCAGAGTAAAAATTGCATCATTTAAGGTTTACAATTTTTTTTAGCTTTCTGTCATCCCTAATTTCTCTGTAGAAACATAATTATACTGCCAAAATCTTCTGATATATGAATATACGCATATATGCACATACATATGCATATATGTATGCATATCCACACTGCCTGGAGATACTTTCCTCACTATGTATATATGCGTGTATATGTATAATTGTATATGTGTGTGTATAGGTATATATGTGTGTATGTGTATATACACACATGTGTATGTATGTGTATGTATGCACATATATGTATATTAAAGTATATTAAACTTTTAAATCATGTGTGTATATGTGTATACATATATGTAAACATATACATATATATCTTATATACATGTATACATATGCAAGTATGATGTATATGTATTATGTGTGTGTGTATGTGTGTGTGTGTGTGTATATATATATATATATATATATGAAGAGAGAGAAAACGAGAGAGAGAAATTGTATAGATTACTGACTAGGAGAGTGTCCCTAGGTATTTGCTTTCTTATAAAAAGTTATCTCACAAAGATGAACATGAAAGATTGAAGGAGAATCACTGGAGAAGGAAGAGCAGGAAGAATTAAAGCCCAAGGGTAGGAAGATTTGGACTAGGGGAGAAGCAGGCTGAAGAGAAAGGGTTGGCTGAAGAAGTTCGATGCCAGGCAAATGCAGACTCATTCTGCCAGACCTGGTTCAGCGTCACCTTCTCTCTTCAGCCACGCAGATACTATACATTGCTTTGTTCCCTTGCACCCTGGCTATTGCATCCTCAGCAGGAACAGGGCTTTTGTAAAGTTGGTCATTATTTTTGTGCCCACCAATGGGCTTCAGACAGAGCCATAAACATTTTGAGCTTCCCTCAAACTGTTGAGACACCTTAAATACATCCCACTATTTTAACTTGTCATTTATATGAAGCCAATCTATACTGATAACTAAAATTGTTTAAACACACAGACAAAAAAATGGCAATTTTGCATATGTAAGAAAACCATGTTTTTCTGTACAGTAGATTAGCATTGCAACAATAGCACATTTTTATTAAAAAAGAAAAAAACTCATTGTGCCTACCTCATTCTACACTAGTATGAAATTCCAAATATTTACCTACTTGTCTTACCCAAATATTTGAAGAGTTGACATAGCTAGTATCATTTACAGAAAGAAGAAGTTACAAAGTATACACGTAATTAGAATTTTGACTTTGAAAATAGAACATGTATCGACTGCAGTATTCTTTCAAAGTATCTCCCATAATGAAACATTGCAATTCCAGGAAAATTTAGAGATGCTTGTCTGGAAACACACATGCATTATGTTTATTATATCATGCAATGTGGATGTCTTACACACACTGAAAAATACGATTCTTATTATCAAACTATTTTTAATTAAACTGTAACTATAGAAACGGAGCCTATAGTAAATTGCTTTGTAAAAGTAATACACGGGAGAATACACTGTACCATTTTAAGGTGTAAACCATATTTTAAAGTAGATTTGGATTGCCTAGAATGTGGACTTGGTAGAAAAAAAGAGAAAACAGAAAAACGCACATTATCAAGTGGCTTGAACAAGACAGGGTATATCTGTCATCTTCACACTGCCTGGAGGTACGTACTTGCCTCAATCAAAGACTTTTCTGCTTTGCTCCATCTCCAAAGTCATTTCCTGGTTTAGGATAGATCCTTAAGCTTCGATTAGGAAAGGAGGGGCCAGTGAAAAGAGCAGACCTCTGATCCAAGGAAGATTTCTGGAAATCTCTCAGACAGCTCACGCTTACCTCAGTTGGCCAGATGCGGTCACAGAGGCACACCCAACGCCAAGAGTGACTGGAAAATATAGTCTGTTCTCCTCCTGGCTACAGCCTAACAAAGACCATGGGACATTAACTAAAAAGGAAAATTGGCACAGGCGTCAGGGAAAACCTGAGGGATTGATTTCTTGTCATTTATAAATAGAAAACCACAAGATGCCACAGATTATAAACATGAACACACATATATAGATTATAAACATACATATAGGTTTAGATGATCTCAAATACACATAGATTATAAACATAAACATTTGTTAATCTTTCCTTCTAAGGAACAAATATGTGTTTTTTGATTTAACTTTAAGTTCAGAGGTACAATTGTGGATTTGTTATATAGGTAAACTTGTGTCATGAAGGTTTGTGGTACAGATTATTTCATCACCCAGGTTATTTTTTTTTTTTTTTGAGACGGAGTCTCGCTCTGTCTCCCAGGCTGGAGTGCAGTGGCGCAATCTCGGCTCACTGCAAGCTCCGCCTCCCGGGTTCACGCCATTCTCCTGCCTCAGCCTCCCGAGTAGCTGGGTCTGCAGGCGCCCACCACTACGCCCGGCTAATTTTTTGTATTTTTAGTAGAGACGGGGTTTCACCATGTTAGCCAGGATGGTCTCGATCTCCTGACCTCGTGATCCGCCCACCTCGGCCTCCCAAAGTGCTGGGATTACAGGTGTGAGCCACTGCACCGGGCCCATCACCCAGGTATTAAGCCCAGTACCCATTAGTTATTTTTCCTGATCCTCTCCCTCCTCCCACCCTCCACCCTATGACAGGCTCAGTGTCTGCTGTTTCCCTTTATGTGTCCATGTGTTCTCATCATTTAGCTCCCATTTATAAGTGAGAACATGTAATATTTGGTTTTCTGTTCCCGTGTTAGTTTGCTAAATATAATGGCCTCCCGCTCCATCCATGTTTCTGCAGTTAACATGATCCTATTCTTTTTTATGGCTGCATAGTATTCCAGGGTGTCTCCACATTTTCTTTATCTAGTCTACCATTGATGAGCATATAGGTTGATTCCATGTTTTTGCTATTGTGAATAGTGCTTCAGTGAACAAACGTGCAGGTGTCTTTATGAGAGAACAATTTATATTTCTTTGAATATATGTATGTGTACATACACATATATATATATATATGCCCAGTAATAATGGGATTGCTGGGTTGAAGGGTAGTTCTTTTTTTGGTTCTTTGAGGAATTGCCACACTGTCTTCCACAATGTTGAAATAATTTACACTCCCACCAACAATGTATAAGTGTTTTTGTTTTGTTTTGTTTTGTTTTGTTTTTGAGATGGAGTCTCACTCTGTCACCCAGGCTGGATTGCTGTGGTACAATCTCGGCTCACTGCAACCTCCATCTTCCGAGTTCAAGTGATTCTCCCACCTCAGCTTCCCGAGTAGCTGGGATTACAGGCGTGCACCACCACACCCAGCTAATTTTTGTATTTTTTAGTAGCAGCAGGGTTTTGCCATGTTGGCTAGGCTGGTCACGAACTCCTGACTTCCGGTGATCCGCACGCCTTGGCGTCCCAAAGTGCTGGGATTACAGGCATGAGCCACCGTGCCCGGCCAAGTGTTTCTTTAAAAAAAAAATGTAATTTTCTTCACCTCTTAATAGTAGTTGTATCTCAACATATTGATTTTATCCACTTTTATCATAAGAATTGAGGTCAGAAAAGGTATCCATGAAGGACAATGTGTATTTTGTTGGTTTGTTTGTTTTTTGGACATGAACATGCTCATTAAAGTTCACATCTAACACCACCATAAAAACCTTAACCTAAAAATAATCTTTGAATTTTCACCAAAACTTTTTCTAGGAGTAGGTTATTTATGAGCTTCAGATGCCTCAACTGCACTACTTTTCAGTTACTAGATTTCCGTGTTTTTTGTATAAAGATGGTTTTGTGCCCTTTAAATTTTCAGTTTGCTGCATGGGGCCACGGGGCCACTGGAAATTCTTGGTACTAAGGGGAAGTTCTGGTTTGAGAAGATCTGAAAGCAGAACCGTACAGGTTAGACTGAGGTGTGGGGGTCAAATGGAAGGTAGCTAGGCAATTGAAGAGATTACAGATTTATGAACTCAAGAAGAGACAGGAATAATGGAGGAAGATGATTGAGAGTGTATACTGCCATACCCTGGAAATTTCTGAGAATAAAAACGCTGAAGGCTCCAAATTCAAGGGAATAAAAAGACTGTTTATGTTCTACCTGTAGTTGTATGAAACCCCAAAACTAGATTCAAAAGTGACACAATCTTTCAATCAACCTTGGGTCAGGAGCAATGCTTCCGAAAGCCACTCAGCCATGAAGCTCGGTGCTTCCCAAAGAAAACCCATCAGCAGCCAGCTCACACCAGAAACCGGGTTTCTGCATTAGGACAAAGTGCCCCATAAAATTCCATTTTCTCCAGGTTTGGTGGCATGCCCCCGTAGTCCCAGCTGAGGTTAGAGGATCATTTGAGCCCATGAGTTTCAGGCCAGTGTGGGCAATATAGCAAGAAGCTGTCTCTTAAAAAAAAAAAAAAAATCTGTTTTGAAAGTGTACCAGGACTGACCGAACTTTACAGTACCCAAATATAAGATAATAGCAGTGGCTGGCCTGCTTCAGAGACATCACAACCTATAATCGGAGCTCCTTCTGGCTTAGCAAGCAATACATTTAGCTTTTTTCTTTCCCCAGAAACTGAGTGGTGGCATATTTCTACCAACTACGTTTGGTTTGTTAGCAACTTCTAGAAAATAAGCCATTCCTAGATGACTTAGCATTTGAAGGTATGCAGTGTATACCTTCTTATTTCTTGTGTCCATTTGTCTTGCTGCTTACCTGTCTGCCTTCTCATTTCATGCAGACAACAAGGCTAACAAACACACTTTAATGCAATTGCTAGGCTATGTGTATTTCAGCCCCTTATGCTGACTCTTAAATGTCTTGCAAAGCCAAGACAGCAATACCAACAAATCTAAAATTTCCAAATTGTGGTGTGTCCATGAAAAAACTGTTTAGATATTTGTTTCTCTTCACACGGGTAGGTCTAAATATATTTCCTTGCTTTCTCATTGATAGCTTTAGTGTCATTTTACCTGGAATAAATTGAGATGGAGTAGAAGTGATCGGAGGTGCTGTGCGACAGGAAAGTTGAACATTAGAGCAGCCGGGAATTATTCTTATTTTTTATTACATAATCCAGGATGGTTCCCATTTCAGTGTGTAGTTTTCTGATGGCAGCAGGGTTAGCTGTGATTCTTTTTATTGGAACATTTGTAATTCACTCTATAAAGCCAGTTTCCTGTTTTGATATCCCTGAGATATGCAGTATTTATTTCAAAACACTGGAATTAAAATTTTCTATGTAGAATTTTAAAAGTACTTGAAAGATAGTGTTTGTTTTATTTTGCTTTTTTTTGTCAGTAAGATTCTATTGAATAAATACTGGTTTTAGTGTCCATAAGCAATATTTTTGTTATATGCTCTACAGTTTTAATAACAACTACTTATATCACATTTAATATATTTCAAACTCTTCTAAAAATGGAGAAAAACGCATCTCCCAATTCTGTTTTTATAGATTATATTGTGTTATACATTTCTCATACATGTATATATCCCTAAATAATGTTCTATACATTTATTACAATATATATTTACATATTACATACATATATACATTATATATATATATGTATGCTGTATGTGTGCATGTGTATGTGTATGTATCAGGTTGGTGCAAAAGCAATTATGGTTTTTGCCATTACTTTTAATGGCAAATGTGCAATTGCTTTTGTACCAAACATATATATATATATATTTCTTTTGCTACCCCCTCTTTGTGCTAGAAATAGTGAATGCTCTTTGGGGGTACAACTGGGACACCTAATACAGCCAACATTAGTTATATATAATATAGGTGTCCAATCTAGCCTATCTACGTATCAATCCACATATACATACATATGTGTGTATATATTATATATGTGTATGTGTACAGTTTAGAAATGTTTCCTTATTTCTCTTTTCCTTCGTTCCTTCTTTCCTTCCTTCCTTCCTCCCTTCCTTCCTTCCTTCCCCCTTCCTTCTCTTCCTTCCTTCCCTCTCTCCTTGCTTCCTTTTTCTCTCCCCTCCTTCCTCCATCTTTCTTCTCTCCCTCCCTTCCTTTCTTTCATTCTTCCTTTCTCTATATATACATGTATCATACACCTATGTGTGTGTTTGTGTGCAATTTAGAAATTCTTCTTTTTTCTTTCTTTCTTTCTCTTTATGTGTGTATGCATATATACATATATTCATAAATCTAAGCAATTTAGAAATAAGATTTAGCTTTATTTTAAATACAACACAAGAGCATTAATACACTGTACCATGAGTATCTAAAGAGATGCATGTCCTTTTTTCAATTTTTTTTTGAACAGGTTTAGAGGACATTATCTTTCAAGTTTCGATCTGATTTTATAGTTTCTGGCAGATCGTTACCTTGTCATGTTGCATTACCTGCAAAATCAAGTCCAAACTATTTGAGAAGACATGCCAGCTCAGTAAGATGCAATGTTTAATACAAATATTTATGTCTATGGAGCCCTGGAATGCGGTTAAGTGGCATTTGCCGCACACCTGTCAGTATGCAATGGCGGCCTCATAATGCTTATGGGATTGGCCTAATGTCCATCACTTCATGCCCCAACTCATATGATCCCACTTAGAGATCTTGATGCTGTGGAATGGAGTAGGTTTCCTAGTTGTAACCCATAAAAACATTGTTATTCTTCTCATGAAGGCAAGGGAGAAGTATGCTTATTATTTTGTTTTAAATTTTTTTGTAGAGATGGAGTCTCACCCCGTTGCCCATACTGGTCTCAAACTCCTGGCCCTAGGTGATCCTCCTGCCTGGGCCTTCCAAAGTTCTGGGATTGCAGGCGTGAGCCACCACACCTGATCAAGAAGTAATCTTGATTGATCATTCTGACTGACCTGATTTGAGTTGAATAGAAGAGAAAGGTGTCATTACGTTGTTCTTTCTTAGCAAGAACAATTCATGACTGTATTTCCAGGTTTCTCCCAGTGTTTCTGAAATTAACCAGCTCTATCCAAAACACACCCTTAGCCCATAGTTGTAGATTCTAGTATTTTTTCATTTCATTTTTTTTCTGAACCCAGCTTTCAGGTGGATTTCTTGTGGGCTTTGCTTTTTATGACTAATCCAGGGGCCTTCTCCGGCTTATTTGTAAAGTAGGTGGCCTACATACACTTCTTGTCTCTCCCTTTTCAGGAAGTGACATTGGAAAAGCAGTTGTTGTTAGATTTGTGACCTAAGATGTGCCAGGATAATTTTCATTGCCTGCAATGAAATCTCAACGTCCATGTGGTTTGTGCAAAAGTAAAAGAAGCATGGAGCTAAATTGCATCTGAATAGATTATTGAAGTCTGAGTAAGACTCCACCTGGGGATGAGAACCTCTGCAAAAGGTCCACCATCTCACTGTTTAGCTATGTTGTGGCCTCTTTAAAAGGAGAAGCATCAGCCAAATATGAATAGTCAAAAAGATCAAGAAAAAAATAGTCACAACCTCCTGAGCACGTTTGTATTGGCTAATGACAAAAGTTGTCCATATAAAATGTGTCAACAGCAATAAAAGTCATTAATGCTTTGAATTAGAAATAGCTGGAGTGGTAGGGAGCTTTTCCCTTCTTAAAAGGGTCTCTGTTTACAATTTACATTTATCTCACGTAATTTAAAAATTGTGTTTGTTGTTGGTGGTGGTGGAGGTGGTATTGGTGTTGGTGGTGGTAGAGTTGGTTGGAATGGAGGTTAGTATAGCCATTATAAAAAAAGATATGTAAGTTACTCAAAAAATTAAAAATAGAATTACTATATATTCCAGAAATACCAGTTCTGGGTGTATTTCCAAAGGAAATAAAAGCACTATCTGGAGGAGATATCTGCATCTCCATGCTCATTACAGTGCTACTCACAGTAGCCAAGATATAGAAACAACCCAAATGTCCATGGACAGATGAAAGGGTAAGGGAAATGTAGGGTACATATTCAATGGAATATGATCCAGCCATAAAAAGAAGGAAATTCTGCCATTTGCCACAACATGGATGAAGCTGGAGGACATTAAGTGAAGTGAAATAAGCCAGGTACAGACAGGCAAATACTGCATGATCTCACTTAAACACAGAATCCAAAACAGTTAAATTCAGCGGGGAACGGTGTCTTATGCCTGTAATCCACGCACTTTGGGAGGCTGAGGTGGGTGGATCGCTTGAGTCCAGGAGTTTGAGACAAGCCTGGACGACATAGCAAAACCTCATCTCTACTACAAATACAAAAATTAGCCTGGCATGGTGGCACACACCTGTAGTCCCAAGCTATTTGGGAGGCTGAGGTGGGGGGATCACTTGAGAGCTGGAGGCAGAGGTTGTAGTGAGCTGTGATTGCACCAGTGCACTCCAGCCTGGGCAACAGAGCAAGACCTAGTCTCAAAAAAAAAAAAAAAAAAAAAAAGAAAAAGAAAAAAAAAGAAAGAGAGAAATGAAAATAAAAGAAATATAAAACAGTCAAATTCATACAAGCAGAGCGTAGAATGGTGGTTACCAGAGGCTGAGGAGAGGGAGAAATGTAGAGATGTTAGTCAAAGAGGACAAACTTTTAGTTATAGAACAAATACGGTTTGGAGGACTAATGTACAGCTTGGTAACTGAAGGCAATAAAATTGTATTCTATAGTTGAAATTTGCAAAGACAGTGGAGTTTAAGTATCCTCACCACAGATACACTAGAAAAAGATAACTATGTGAGATTATGGGTGTGTTAATTAGCTTAATTTTGATAATTATTTCAGAATATATACACATGTCAGAATACCCCCTGGTACACCTTAAATATATAAAATTTTGTCAATTATGCCTCCATAAAGCTGAGGAAATTTTTTTTACTAAAAATTGCTTTCTAAATGGAAATCATTACACTTGTATCACATTTCTGTATGAAAGCAATATCCTTTTCTTTTTCACATCTTTTCCCAGAGCATCTTGTCTTTTCATTTACACATCAGGTAACATTCAGCAACCTCTCTCACTTCCATTTGACATGACATTCGAGTTATTTTGGTTCAAGCTCCTTTATCAGTTATTATTTGTGGTCAGTGGCTTAGACATTCTCGGTTTCTAGAGGTTGGATTTAGGTGGAAAGTGAAAGAGAGAGACAAGAGGTTCACAGTCTAGATTGGCTGCTGGATTTTTAAAATTCAGTCTGAACAAGTATGCTTGGGCTTCTGTCCTGGTTTATATAGTTATGGAATGTAAACAACTAGACTGGGACTCATTGTATTGGTTCATTTTCACACTGCTATGAAGAAATACCCAAGACTGGGTAATTTATAAAGGAAAGAGGTTTAATTGACTCACAGTTCTGCATGGCTAGGAGGGCCTCAGGAAACTTACAATCACGGTGGAAAGCAAAGGAGAAACAGGCACCTTTTGCATAGGGCAGCAGGATGGAGTGAGCGCAAGCAGGGGAAATGCCAGACACTTATAAAACCATCAGATCTCATGAGACTCACTCACTATCACAAGAACAGCATGGGGGAAACCGCCCCCCATGATTCATTTACCTCCAACTGCTCCTGCTCTTGACATGTGGGGATTATAGGGATTACAATTAAAGATGAGATTTTGGGTTGGGACACAGGCAAACCATATCACTCGCCGTGGTATTCATTTCAGAACTAGAAGAAGACAAGAGTTGGGAATCACAGACAAAACCCCCCGTGTTCTACTTCAAAAGCAAAAATAATACAAATTTTTAAAAAGATGATTCACCCAAACTCCAAGGAGCTGAAGAGCTGCAATTCAACTTTTAATGCAGTAAATCCTCACCGGATGTTTTCCCAAAGGAACACAACTCAGTGGCTTCCATTGGTGTGAGAACAGCTCTTTATAGGACACTAAATACTGTTCTAATTCATAGATGATAAAATGATAATTATTATTATTACTGTTCTCATCACCAAAGCTAATTATGAATATTTGCCATGGTTCTTATAGGTTTGATGTACACCACAGTCCTCATTTGCTGATAAGTCAATTGTGGCTCTAGGAGGTGAGGCATTTTGCTCAGGGTAGTAAACCTGATAGAAGAGAGTGTTTAGAGAACTCAACCTGTCTTGAGACTAATTTAGGGTTAAATTCTAGCACTAACTCTTATTAGCTGTGTGGCTATAGGTGAACCACTTAATTTCTTGGAAGCTCAGCTTCCTCATTTTGTAATATAGTAAACATAAAACATAGCAGAACATCACATCACATCACAACACAACTGCATTAGTCTTCTAGGGCTGCCATTACAAAATATCACAGGCTGTGTGCCTTAAACAACACATATGTATTTTCTTGCAGTTCTGAAGGCAGAAAGTCCAAGAGCAAGGTGCCAGTAGCGTTAGTTTCTTCTCCTTAGCTTGCAGAGGGTGGCCTTCTTGCTGGCTCCTAACATGGCCTGTTCTCTGTACACAAGAATCTCTGGTGTCTCTTTTCTTATAAGGACACCAGCCCTATTGAATTAGGGTCCCACCCTAATGACTTCAGTTAATCTGAATTACCTTTCTAAAAGCTCTATCTCCAAGCATAATCACATTGGAGATTATGGCTTCCAGTATATGAATTTTAGGGAGACAAAATTCAGTCCATAAACATAAGATAGCATGGCAGGAAGACATAACACAACACAACATAGTAACATGATACAACATAGCACATCAATATAACTCAACAACACAACATAATGAAGCATAATGTGTCAATGCAAGATGACCTAATATAACATAGCAAACGTAACAATATAACACAACATCACAACATAACATCATATAGTGGTAATGAGGATTAAATTAGGTAATATGTCTAAAGTACCTAGCAAAGTCTCTGTCATTTAGCAAATACTCACTCAGTGTTAGAGGTAGCCAATCCCTGACCACTGCCCCTCTCTCACCAATAAAATAAAATAAAATAAAATAAAATAAAATAAAATAAAATAAAATATGGCACATCTGAAATTCAAGCCAAGGTCCTCTCTCTCTGTAGCATTCTGCATAAAAAGACAAAAGTTAGAAAGGACAGATGCATACTAGTACATAAAATCAGAATATATATTATAGTCTTAATGCCAAATATGTATTTATATTTTCTTTATGCATGTATTTTTAGGAAAATGCCTATTCCCTATACTTAATCCTACCTCTATATGGAAGGACACCAGTAGTGTAGCAATTTCTCATGATGCATATCTTGCTCTAGTCTTCACTGTTTTCCAGGTAAGGAGAAATGACTTTATGTTATGGACATAATCCAGCACTAATCTCCTCTTCACTCCACTCCACTCCTCTCCTTTCCTCTCCTCTCCACTCCTCTTCCTCCTCCTTTCCCTCATTCCCTATTTCCTCTTCTTATTTTTCTTTTTTCCTTTCTTTCTCCCTTTCTTTATCCTTTCCGTTCTCCCTTCCTTCCTCTTTTTTCTTTCCCTTCATTTCTTCCTCTCCTTCCTTTCTTCCTCTCCTTCCTTTCTTCCTCTCCTTCCTTCCTCTCACTTCCTCTTCCCCTTTCTTTCTTCATTTCCTTCCTTTCTTAACCTCAATTCCTCTCTTACTTCTTTTCTTCCTCCCCTTCCTTCTTTCCTCTCACTTCCCTCCTCCCTTTCTTTCTTCCTCTCCTTCTTCCCTTCTCAATTTTTCTCACTTCCTTTCTTCCTCTCCTTCCTTCCTCTCTCCCTCTTTCTTCCTTACTTTCTTCTCTCCCTCCCTCCCTCCCTGTCTTTCTCACTCCCTCCTTCCCTTCCTTCCTGCTTCCCTTTCTTCCTTCCTTTTTTTCTTCCTTTTCCATCTCCTCCTCTTTCTCTCACTTTTTCTCCCTCTTTCTCTAAAGATAAGCAGGAGCCTAGCATTCTCCGTCCTCCTTCATTAAGTGACCTCTTTCATTTGCATAGGCATCTCATGTGGGGAGGACTATCTTCACTCAATATCGCCCTCTGCATGTCATTAGGTGTATATGTCCATCTGATAATGGGACTCAGGATTAGAAAGCCCATTTGCTCACAGATAGACTGCCACAACCTGGCTTTCATCTTCCATAAGGGTGATTTTGGCTCCCATCTGTCTTAGCCCATGTCAACTTTCTCATTTTGTTCAGATCCCGTATTGGAAACAGAAGAGTTAGTGATTGGGTTTCTTAAAAATTCCGTGAAGGACACTCAAGTTTGCCCTTGTCCAGGCACCACGATTTGTCACCAAAAAGCTAGTACTGAGAGCAGTGCTGAATTCTATGAAGAACGGTTTTGACTCTCCATGGAATTCATCTGTGATCCCTTGGGGGCTCTAGACAATTTATTGTAGGACTCAACTGTAATCATCAGCCTTAACCAGGTCTTCCTTAATAAGGAATGCATATATGATGGTTTTATTTATAAACCTAATCAAACTATCTCTCCCTTGTTTTTTTGGTTGTTTGTTCTAATAAAATTTATTTGTTTTGATGCTAGACAATGATTTAGAATTATAATTTAACATATGTCCTTTGATCAGTTACTTCACAAATGTTACCACTTCTTCCCTTACCCCCACGTTCAGACCTCACAACAAAGGACAATGGCCCAAACCATCTCCTACTGTTTGATTTCAGTCTGCCTCTCTGGTCTTCACCCAATAAATTACACTGAGTCATTAACGGATCCCTTACACTTAGATACGGACACCAAAGAAAGATGAACAATTGCGATGTTAGGTCAGGTGAAAACTTAACAAAATGTTTGATTTTTGTAATACTTTTGTTTTTATTCTTTTAAATAAAAAACAATAAAAGCAATGATTAAGCGTCTGTTCCTCATTATAAGTTCTAACAACAACAACAACAACAACAACAAATCCATCTCCAAATGTGAGACAGGTTTGAGAGAGGACAGAAAGAGAAGAAGGATGACGGGAAAGATTAGGCATTTTTTATTATCACCGGTGAAAAAGGAAACGTAGTTACTAAGAAAAACATGCAGGAGATACCTTTAACCTTCCTGCTAATGTCATTTAATGTAAACTCATAATAATTTTATGTTCTTCTCATTTGCATTATTTCATGTTCATATGTCCCACTTTATTTTGTTTTATTTTTAAGGAGTTTTGAGTCAGAGTCTTGCTCTATCACCCAGGCTGGAGTGCAGTTGCACAATCACAGCTCACTCCAGCCTTCAACTCCTGGGCTCAGGTGATCCACCCTCCTCAGCCCCCCAAGTAACTGGGACTACAGGTGCATCAGCACACTCAGCTATTGTTTTCTTATGTTTTGTAGAGACAGGGTCTCCCTATGTTACCCAGCCTGGTCTGGAACTTCTGGGCTCAAGCTATCTTCCCGCCTCACATTCCTAAAGTGTTGGGATTACAGGCATAAGCCCCTGCACCTGGCACATATGTCCCACTTTAAAATGAAACTATCGTTTAAAGTGAGATTTATGTTCCTAAATCGTCCTTGGAATTCGAGTTGGATTTTGCAATGCTGCCTATTGTGTACAAAGCTCTCTGAACATTTATGTTCAATAAACGAAGTAGCCAGATCTTCAAAACCATCTGCTAATGTGCATCAAATTATTTAAATTAATAATGAGGGAGTTGGGTAAAGAGGGAAATATATGTTGTATTACTTTTAAATAAAATGCTTGGATAACTAGACTGATTTCTCTTAGTGATAATGGCAACATTTAAATGTACAATAACTATAGACAGGAATACATTTGTTTTAGTCTTTTGCAACCAGGGTTATCTTGGCTTGTTTATGATGAAATCATTTTTCACAAAGTCTAAAGAATGTTGGTTGTCAAAATATACGGTTTCTGTGGTGCCCCATATCTGCCCCATTTCTCTGCGCCTGCGGTCTGGTTACTCCCTTATGAAAGTGCATAGAATCCCCTCTTCCCTGTTCCCCACTTTGCGGCATTCTCCATGTGACTGAAAACTTCCCACAGAGGCCAACTCAGAATCTGGCATCACAAACGGAACCAGAAAATTAACTTCTATGGAAAAGAGAAATGGCCAAAAGAAAGAAACCAAACACATCGTATCTTAAGGGGCACTTGTCACAGGCAATGTAAATTAAAATATATATATATATATATATATATATATATATATATATATAATAGGTAGTTGACAAAACATGTCATTTCTTTGCAGTGGCAGGCTGACATTTCATGAGATATTTTAGGTGCATTTTGACAACAAGGAATCAATAACTGTGGCTGCATTTGGGGAAGAATTTTTTTTTTTTTTTTTTTGCTGCGAAGATCAACTGGTCCAGATTGCCAGGGTAGAGAGTGATGTTATTAGCAAAGGTTCTCATTCCTCTCTGGATTTTGCCATTAGGCCCCCTCTAGGAGTTGCAAAGCAATCACCCATCTCTTCTAGAGACTGGCAACACACTAAAATGTGCAAAAAGGAAAACAAATCAGATTTTACTTGGGAGTGAAAGAATGTCTAAGACTAATTTATAGTGGTGGTTTTCAAGCATTTCTAGGGACTATCTAAAAACCATTGTTCAACTCACATCAGCCAGGTAATTGGTCTATTTTAGATACTGCTTAACATTCTTCTAGATATTATTATGTAAGAAAAAGACATAATAAATATGAAAATAAAGAGAACAGACCAAAAAAGCACAGGTTGTGACTGAAAATCATGTACAGGAAGAATGAAATGGAGCCTTGCTTTCAGTGGCGGGCTTAGGTAACATCTAGAAAGTCAATGAGTTCTTAGTTGTATTAGTCAAGGTTCTCTAGAGGCACAAGACTAATAGGAGATGTATATATGACAACCAAGTTTAAGTTTGGGGGCTCTTCCTATGAATTTAAACTTTTCCAATGAATAAAGCAATCACAAGCACGTATATTCATTTTATTTTATTTTATTTTACTTTACTTTATTTTAAAGTTCCAGGGTACCTGTGCAGGATGTGCAGGTTTGCTACATAGGTAAACGTGTGCCATGGTGGTTTGCTGCACCTATCAACCCATCACCTAAGTATTAAGCCTAGCATCCATTAGCTATTTTTCCTGATGCTCTCCTTCACCAACAGATATTTCATCACAGGTTGTATAAAGAGAGACAAAGTTAGAAGTAACATCCTTAATATATATTTGCTTTCCATATCCTTTCATTCATCTCGAGAGAATCTGATATTTTTCACCAGAATATGTTTACCAACACGGCAATGCCATGGGAAAAATACCGCAGGAACAAATTCTCTAATATATTAAAAAGAGATTAGGTATTGAATAGACATGAAGACAAAGATCAAATAGATAGTCTGAAAATGATGAAGTTTTAAGTTTAAACAAATAGTTGGTAAATGAGATTTAATAAAACATATCTGTTGGTTCAATAATTCTCAGCTTTTGGAGGTGGTCTACACATTTACCCTCCACCATAGATTTGTATGAACTTATCATCTTTGCCATTTAGAAAGCCTCATTCCTGTATTTTGATAAACATCTACTCACGTTGGTTATAAGAAAAGTAATATTTATAGATAAATGTCAACAGTATTGTCCTCCAAACATGGAATTATTATTCAAGGGAAACATCGACTTTTGAAAAGAGTTTTATAAAATACACACGTTTCCCCATCCATATGTAATCTGTGAATGCTATTTTTGTGGCATGTTTAGGATTTATAAAATTCGTTCATTATAATAGACTGCCAGACTAAGTCATCAAAATCTACCTTACATATTGAGCGCTCTGCTAGGAGTTATTCAGCTGGTGTTTATTCCATACTCAAGTGCTTAGATTTGAAAGAGACTATGTAAAATTGTTCCATTACTTTTAGTCATTCCCGATTGTCTCTTTGAATTCATCTAGGAAGTATTTCTGCTTTAAATAAACAAATAAACATCGTATACAAGTTTCTTGCTGTTAAAATCCAACCTATGCAATCCGGAGAGTTTTTGTGGGTGAGACTGCTTCACGAGTCTTTTTGGATTTAAATGCAATATAGAATTGTCTTAAATCAAAAAGTAAAGGAACTGACTCAGCAGCAAAGGTATTTTGCTCATAATTGAAAATGACAACATGGTAGAGAAGTTAGGTATGTACATACTTTAGTTACATGGTGCTCATTTTCAATCTTGGACTGGTTCAGCCAAGTGCAAACTGCCCAACCTTGAGACAATGTATTTAGCTCCATCGGCCTCAATTTCATCAAATCCAATTGTCATTGTGAGGATCTATTTATATAATATACATAAAGTACTACCTTGACATATAATACATGACTGGCACATATTTATACATTTCATAAGGTAACATGACTTCGTATAATGCCTGTAGTCTCATTAATGGCATCTTTCCAATATTAGCTTTTCAGTATTGACTGTGTTACATAATTATGCAAGACAATATTTTGATGAGCTGAGTGAAGTTCTTATATGGAAGCTCCTGGACTATCATTGCAACTTTTTGTATATCTAAAATTATTCCAATTTTAAAAGTTTATTTTTAAAAATAGAGGAAGAAGTCTGCCTGGCTGAGTGAAAACCTGTTATTAACTAGAAATCTGAAGACTTGAGTTCAAATTTTCCTGACTCCCCTTGGAGTCAAGTTAAAGCACTACTTGTAGCCCAAAGCTCTTGGTCTACGGGATAGATGTTTCATTACTAGCTCTACCTAGATCAAAGGTTTGTGGTAAAATCAGTAAATGCAGTCAGCTAATCTACAACCACATCATCTATAAATATAGCCATCTATGAATGCATGGCAGCGCTATTGCATTAGTTTTTATTAACCCATAGTGTTTTACATATCTATGGGACACATATGAGTATTTGTTCCATGCATAGAATGTGTAATGATCAAGTCAGGATATTTGGGGTATCCCTCACCTTGAGTATTTATCATTTTGATGTGTTGGTAACATTTCAAGTCCTCTCCTCTATCTACCTTGAAATGTACAACACATTGTTGCTAACTGCACACCTACAATGCACTTCACCAGCCCAGTAAATGCAGCCTGGAGTGCTATGACATCCACATTTATTGTAGTTAAAATCACAGCTAGGGACTTAACAAAAAGAATGTAGTCATATTACAAGTCATTCCAGGCAAATTTAACTGCATTATTATAATATAATTTATATAAAATATATATAATAATGCAAATTTAGTATAATTATTATTAAAAAGGGAAAATAAGCACAAGAAAACAAATGTCTGACACATGTTTTTGGCAGAGTTCTGTCAAATCCTCATGTGCTTTACGAATAGGCTTTTCCCAGGAGGCAGGTAGCGGAGAACTCTCAAGACCATTAAATCCTAAAGGAAACAAAGGCTTTGGCCTCAAAATGACAGCTTACTTTATAATTCATTTTTAGAGGGCTGTGGATTTAGGACTAAAGGGAGTTACTCTGATCATGTTACATAAGGCATTATCACATCTGTCCTAAAATGGATATTTTAATGCTTGGCAAAGCACTGCTCTTTTGGGCTGGTTTATCTTTTTTTTTGTGTGGATTGTTGATGCTTTTATATGCCGTGAATAGGATTGAAAAATCTTAACGATGAAAACACCTTCTTTTGAGAAATTAGGATCACACGAAGAAAAAACAACATTAAAAAAGAAAATAGTTTTGACACTGACACAGAATTTTTAAGAGAACAAGCTTTACTGCCTCATACTTGACAGCATTTAAAATAGGTTATTAAAGACAGTTTTCAATGTGATCAAAATAGAAGCTCACAAATGACTTCACCTTTATCTACTTTCCTTGTGAGCAAACATGATTTGGAATAAGTCAATGTTTTATACCCTCCACTGTGGAGTGACTCAAGACGGAAAGATTGAGTTCAAGTTCTGGCGATGCTTCCCGGCTTGCAGTTCCCCATAATGTTCATCCGTGACACTCCAAGAGCTACTTAATTGACTGTTGCAATCTAATTATCCACTATGGAAAACTAGGAACAATAGTATTATTAATCTCAATGATTCTCTCTGAGCTCTTTACTTGATAGACTTGTACATAAGATCAAATATCATTACAGGAACTTACATATCCTGAGATACGACATTCAAAAAACAAATGGAAACAGAATTTTTATTGAGTCATATATGCCTCAGTTTTAGAATTTCGACTTTTTAAAATTTTCTCAAGAGCTTCTAAATTTTTTTTAAGTTTTGACTTTTGACACGAGAATTATTTGTTTTGTTTCTATTTTTAAGTTATTCAATTATTGGAAAGACGACATGCCGATATGCCTTTTTTTTTTTTTTTCTTGGAGAGAGACAGGGTCTCCTTCTGTTGCCCAGGCTGGAATGTAGTGGCATGATCATAACTCACTGTAGTCTGGAACTCCTGGGCTCAAGTGATTACCCCCACCTTAGCCTCCTGAGTAGCTGGGACTGCAGGTATACATCACCAAGCCCAGGTAACTTTTTTAAAATTTTGTAGAGATGGGGTTTTGCTATGTTGCCCAGGCTGGTCTTGAAGTCCTGGCCGCAGTTGATCCTCCAGTCTTAGCCTCCCTAGTCCATGGAATTATAGGCACTATCCACCACACCTGGCCCCATTTATCATTAAGAAAAACAGACAAGCAACAACAAAAACACTAGAGCATTGACTGTAAAAGCACAAAATATATGATACAAAATAGCCAAAATAGATTGAAGATCCCTGTGTGCAGAAAAAACTTGTAGTGAGGACCTTTTGACTTCCATGAACTGTTCTTTATGGCCCTCCCTTCCCCTTCTCTCCTCTTCCCCCCCTCCCCTCCCCTCCCCTCCCCTCCCCTCCCCTCCCCTCCTCTTTCCTTCCCTTCCCTTTCCTGTGGATTTCCATCCTGTGATTACAGCCTTGGCTGCTCATCAAGAAACATTCATCGTCTTCTATCTGCATATCCCTGAAATTTTAGCACTTGTGGCTTTTGCCATCTCACTCAACCATCAGACTCACACCTTCAACAGACACTTCAATGAACACAGGCTATATACCAAAGACTGTAGAGAATTAGGATGCTGCACCAGAGAAAAAAAGAAGTCACCGATGAACCACGTTTCTCTGTCCACTCATTTGGGCAATGGTGATGTATTCTGAGACGAAGAAATGGCAGATTTATAGAAGTCATGTTTTGACTGTTTTATGTTTGAGATGGCATTTGTGAGCTGTATCAAGAAAGCAGTTAGCTCTATGGGTGTAGGGTTCAGGGGAGAGCTTAACTTAGCAATTATTAGCATACACTAATTAGAAAGTTTAATTCTCATCAGAAAATGTGTTTCAGCCATAAGATAATATTTCACCTTATTCTATACATTCTCTACTTTGTTGCGTCTGCCTTGGTGCTGCAGTCACATCTAATTTTCAGCAGATCCATGTATACTCATACCCAAAATCCAATGAAATAAAATAAAACAAGGTAACAACAACTGATGTGTAGCATTTTAATTTAACAGGACCAAATTGCATACAACAACACAAGACCTATTAGAATTTTGCTTTTCTTTCTCCCACCTTTCAAATGCTTCTTTTGGATTTCACATCCAAAATGAAAACATCCACAGGTCAATGAGCAACACAACCTTATTACTTATTTAAAAGTAATTTTTCAAATCAGCCAGTGGAAAAAGATTATGCATTGTAGCAGAACAATGGGATGGAGGGCACAGGACATGGCTGTAATTTATGTTTCTGTTACCTAAAGTTTACAATTTTAAGCAAACCACTTGAGCCCTGTTTAACTCTTATCTCAGAGGTAAAAACACAATTGGGTTCGTAATACTTCCTACAGCAGGATTCTCTGACAAATTCAAGCAGGTCTGAATGCACACAAAGAAAAGAAAGATTTGGGCAGGTAAAGTTACATACACAAGGGTAGTGACACCCAGATATGTGTGTGGCTACAGAGGCTAAAATCACTCCATCTTGGATGCTAATCGGCCATGTTGACTTCTGAGTAATCACAATTCTGGGAGTGCTTCTAAGATTTCTATTTTATCTACTATTAGCATATACTTACTGTAAATCCTGCCCATAGGTCAAAAGAACCTTGATCATACTTACCATAAATCCTGCCCTTATGCAGATTATAGGCTATGACCATATAGCCTTTCACTGAGGGGTCAACTTCAGTTGTCTTACACATCACTTCTGAAGCAGGTATATCCTTTCCCTATGGTATATAAGCCCTGGGTTTGTGATTAACAGTGGGGAGATCCATCTTCTCACAGATGGACAAGACATGGCTCCTGTTAGTAAGTCCCTATTAAATGTTTCATTCTTAGAAACTGAATTTATCAGCTTCTTCCGTCAGCCTCTCAGCTCCCTTGGCCTTTGTGGGTAGGTGTGCATAGACCTGCTCTCCTGGGACAGTAGGTATCTAGAAAGTACTAGCAATAATTCAGAAGCCAGCAGATTATATGAAGGTCTCATAACCCTGTGGAATGAGATGGAAAATTGGTTGGTAGGTAGGGAGGTACATAGGTAGGCAGGCAGGTAAACCAAATGTCAAAGTCATGTTGAAATAGCTAAATGATGGTGACAAACACCCTCCAAAATGAGTCCTGATAATCTCTCACCTCCTAGAATTTATTGCTTCGTGGGATACCCCTTCCATATTGTATTTGAGTCAGCCTGTGTGACCAATGACAAATGGAAGATGTAATAGTATGTCAATTCTGAGATTAGGTCCTAAAATGCACTGTTCAACTAAGTAAAATAAGGAGGACACAAAAGGACGAACACTGTTTGCTGCCACCAATAAGAAATATCTAGGCTGGATGAGGTGGCTTACACCTGTAATCCCAACACTTTGGGAAGCAGAGACAAAAGGATTGTTTGAGACCAGGAGTTCAAGACAAGCCTGGGCAACATAACAGGACTCCAAATCTATAAAAAAAAAAAGTTAAAAACTAGTCGGGCAGAGTGGCATGCACCTGTAGTCCCAGCTACTCGAGAGGCTGAGGCAGAAGGATCACTTGAGCCCAGGAATTTGAGGCTGCAGTGAACCATGATCTCACAACTGCACTCCAGCCTGGGTGACTGAATGAGAACCTGTCCAAAAAGGGAAGTATCTAGAAGAGGCAAATTTATTGAGACTGAAAGTAGATTAGAGGTTACTGTGGATGTTTTAAGTTTGGATGTGAAATTTGAAAGCATTTGAAAGGTGGAAAAAACCCCACAAAATTCCAAAAGGTCTTGTGTTATTGTATGCAATTTGGTCTCATGAAATTATAATGTTTACACATCAGTTGTTGTTGCTTTATTTTATTTTTTCTTCTATTGGATTTTTAGTATGAGTTACACAGGTCTGCTGAAAATTAGATGTAACCAAGGCACTAAGGCATACACAACAGTAGAACACAAGCACTCCATTAGTCCTTGCACAATATGTGCTCAGATAAATTCCTGCTGAAGGAATGAGTCTCATAGTCTGCATGTGATGTGCTTTGGCTGTGTCCTCACCCAAATTTCTTCTTAAATTGTAGCTCCTATAATCGTGGGGGAGGGTCTTTCCTATACTGTTATCGTGATAGTGAGTAAGTCTCATGAGATCTGATGGTTTTATAAATGGCAAGTTCCCTGCACTTCTCTCTCTTCTGCTGCCATGTGAAGAAGGATGTGTTTGCTTCCCCTTCTGCCATGATTTTAAGTTTCCTGAGGCTTCCCCAGCCAGGCTGAACTGTGAGTCAATTAAACCTCTTTCCTTTATAAATTACCCAGTCTCAGGTATGTCTTTATTAGCAGAATGAGAATGGACTAATACTGCATGAGATAACAGAACCCACATTTTCTCCAAATCAAGGAATTAACTGGATAGGAGATTGCAAATGGTTTTTTGATGAACGACCAAGGTTGGAACTATAGAATGGAAATCCAGGGGGAACTGCAAAAAGGAAGCATCGAAGACAGTTTACAGATATCAAAAAGTCCTGGCCACAATTTTTGTGCATGCAGTAATCTAGGACTCATGTTGGTGATTGTATTAATACATCCCCAGGGGCTTGGGGAAATGTGGAAGGGAGAGTTATTGAATAATGGTTCCAGAGTGATGAAAAAGACTTGGAAATAGGCAGTTGGTTGTACTAGTTTGCTAAGATTGTCATGACAAAGTACCACACACTGGGCAGCTTAAATAACTGAAATTTATATTCTCATAGTCCTGGAGGCTGGAAGCCCAAGATCAAGGTGTCGACAAGGCTCGTGCTTCCTGAGGCCTCTCTCCCTGGCTTGTAGAACCCATCTTCTCCCTGTGTCCTCACACAGTTGTCCCTCTGTGAGTGCCTGTATCCTAATCTTCTCTTCTTATAAGGACACCAGTCCTATTGGATTGAGATCCACTTTAGTGACCTAATTCTAACTTAATTACCTCTGTAAAGACCCTAACTCCAAACGCAGTCACATAGGAATTTAGGCGTTCAACATGTGAATTTTTGGGGGAAGCAATTCAATCCATAACAGTGGTGATGCTTCCACAACATTTTAAATGTAATGAATGCCACTGAATTGTACATCTAAAAAGGTTAAATGGCAAATTGTATTATACACACACACCTACATGTATATATCTACACGCATATGTACATATATATAGTATAATTTGCCATTTTAATCATATTTAGGTATATGATTCATAGGTATGTAATTTCTGTATATGTATATAAGATTTCTAGATATGTATGGACATAATTACAAAATTGATATGCATTTATGTATATATATATAAAGCCACAATATAACTTACATAAACTAATAAATTAAAATGTGATGTTTATTTTAATAAATACAATGTGACGTTTATTTTAATAAATAAAATGTGATGTTTATTTATTTTAATAAAATGTGACGTTTATTTATTTTAATAAATAAAAAGTGATGTTTATTTATTTTAATAAATAAAATGTGACGTTTATTTATTTTAATAAAATGTGACGTTTATTTTAATAAATAAAATATGACGTTTATTTATTTTAATAAATAAAATGTGACGTTTATTTATTTTAATAAATAAAATGTGACGTTTATTTATTTTAATAAAATGTGACGTTTATTTATTTTAATAAAATGTGACGTTTATTTATTTTAATAAATAAAATATGACGTTAATTTATTTTAATAAATAAAATGTGAAGTTAATTTATTTGAATAAATAAAATGTGACGTTAATTTATTTGAATAAATAAAATGTGACGTTTATTTATTTGAATAAATAAAATGTGATGTTTATTTGAATAAATAAAATGTGATGTTTATTTGAATAAATAAAATGTGATGTTTATTTGAATAAATAAAATGTGATGTTTATTTGAATAAATAAAATGTGATGTTTATTTGAATAAATAAAATGTGATGTTTATTTATTTGAATAAATAAAATGTGATGTTTATTTATTTGAATAAATAAAATGTGATGTTTATTTATTTGAATAAATAAAATGTGATGTTTATTTATTTGAATAAATAAAATGTGATGTTTATTTATTTGAATAAATAAAATGTGATGTTTATTTATTTGAATAAATAAAATGTGATGTTTATTTATTTGAATAAATAAAATGTGATGTTTATTTATTTGAATAAATAAAATGTGATGTTTATTTATTTGAATAAATAAAATGTGATGTTTATTTATTTGAATAAATAAAATGTGATGTTTATTTATTTGAATAAATAAAATGTGATGTTTATTTATTTGAATAAATAAAATGTGACATTTATTCTCTCTCCCTCTCTGTTTGATCATTCCCTTTTAAGAAACCCATGCTATGGACAGCCCTATGGAAAAAGCAACCTGGAGAAGAATTTTAGCCTCCCAAGCATCACCATAGTTGTCCTTTGGAAGAAGATCATCCAGCTCAAGTTCAGTCTCAAATGACTGCACCCCCAGCTGACAACTGGACTGCACCAGAATCAATCACCTGAACTGCTCACCAAGTCCCAACCTAAAGAAGACATGTGAGTTTATATTTACTGCTTTGAGCCACCGTATTTGGGGATTACTTGTTACACAGCAACTGATGACTGTTACAATGGCCATGTCTAGTCTTTCTGCATTGCTCGAAATGCCATGAACTAGACAAAGAAGGAAAAGAGTCAGCAATGGCCAATTCAAACACAGAGCTGAAGGTAGAGAGTAGAGAATTTCCTTGTTTGTGGGGGACAGAGGACACTTCATGATGACTGTAAGTTAAGTATCCCAATATTTGAGATATATGCAATTATGAGCTTGAGAACTTTTAAAATTTAAAAGTTAGAATGAAAAGCCCAATTTGTGTGTTACCTAATCCTAATAGTAAAAGATTAACTGAGTCTTGATGCATAGAAGGCATTTCCTAGCTTTATTATTTGTGCTGTCAGATGGTGTGTACACATACACAAAGCACAGCTTAAAAAATGTGTTGAAAAACAAATCTGCATGCTATGCAGAGATCATTCAAATGATCTACATCACATCACATTCAGCTTTAATCAATTTCAGTGCTTTTATGGGGGCTCTCATATTTTGCTTCTAAATGAATAAATATGTATTAATACCAACACACAAAATGCCCATGTCTTTGTCCTCTTAATCCATCCATAAGTTACAAAGATTACATACATAAAAAATAGATTATAGATTATAGAGGACATAGGCTTTGGGCATAGGAAATTGAGTATTACTGACCCAGTTTTGACAGATGTGGAACAGCATGCCTCTTTGAGACAACTTCCATTTACGGAGATGCAGCTCCATCCACAGAAGTGAACATTATGATCTAGGCACTGACTTTTCCAGAAAAGAAAGTTGAGGACCTTATTCTATTTCCATTTCCCTAGATTTGAAAGGCTTCATCAAAAGAGAGATTTATGCCACTGTTAGCCACTCTGCAAGCACACACACACACACAAAAAAACCAGAGAATAATAAATTGCCTTATGAAACAGTTAATCCAGAACATGAGAAAATGTCTTTACTACTTCAGGACAAATGACACACCATATATAACCTGGGATTAATATTCAGAGAAGAAAGATGAAGTCTTAATGACAACAAATTTGCCATCATCTTTTCTGCACATTGCTATGCATTCAAGCTGCTACACGTCTGCAACACACACACTTAGCTGCCCAAGAATTCTTACTCGAAATCATTGGTTCCTTCTATCCTCAAATCCATAAGTAGGCAAGCAAACACTTTGTATGCTTCCTGTCCTTCTGACCTCACCTTCTGCAACCCTGGCAAGAAAATGGTCAGCTGTTATGGCTCCTGTTGCTTAAATTGGGATCACTCGGCTATTCGCCATTTTGTACCATAAAACAACCAAATCATGGGAGTAATCACTCATTGTATTCACACGTTCCACTCACCCTCCAAGAGTGAAGGCCATTGAAGGTCATTCTTAGTGCACAGTAGTACATTCTGAGGCCACCGGAAATCTAACCACTGAGAGCACTTCTAACAATTTTGCGAGTGTTTTGTTCAATAATTAACAAGATTCAACAGGCCAACATCTTTTTTTTCCCCTATGATTAGAGCAAGTACAAGGTTATCACCCTAAAAAATATCATAGTCTTGCAGTTTCATGATACTCATTTTCTGGAGTTGGAGAAAGAGGACAGCTTTGAAAGAATGTTGGGAATGTAATCTAAAGTTCCGCGTCTGAGCTGAAACTGGTACTAAAAAACTATTGTTAAAGGTCTTAATAGTTGGGATGATAATTTTATTTATTTAATTCTCCCAAAGGTGTTCTGTACTTTGTAAAAAGGTGTACTTGCTTCTGATGCAAATTTCTTCCTTGCTCATTGTTATGAAACCCAACTGGGGTCCACTCACCCAGCACAATAAGACCAGATATCCATTCAGAGGCTTTGTAGCAGGAGAAAGGAGGGTGTTTATTTGCAGGGCACCAAGCAAGAAGAATCAGGCAGCTCATGCTTAAGACCCAGCCTCTGCAATGGCTTGCAGGTAGGGATTTTCAAAGGTAGAGCTAAACTTCAGGAAAGCAGAAACTACAGGCAAAATAGTAAATCAATACCAAAAAGTTACATATTGGTCTTGGCCTAACATGGAAGAATATTTTGAAGTGAGGGCATACAGGTCATAAGTAGATTAGAACATTTTCTGATTTGAAATTGGTTAAGGAGAGAAGGTTTTGTTTAAAAATTTGGGGTCAGGCAGGGTGCAGTAGTTCACTCCTATAATCCCAGCAATTTGGGAGGCCAAGGTGGGCAGATCACTTGAAGCCAGGAGTTAGAGAACAGCATGGCCAACACAGTGAAACCCCGTCTCCACCAAAAAATACAAAAATTAGCTGGGTGTGGTGCTGCATGCCTGTAGTCCCAGCTACTCGCTACTCAGGAGGCTGAGGCAAGAGAATCACATGAACCCAGGAGGCAGAGGTTGCAGTGAGCGGAGATCACGCCACTGCACTCCAGCCTAGGTGACAGAGGAACACCCTGTCTCAAAAATAAATAAATAAATAAATAAATAAATAAATAAATAAATAAATAAATAAAAATTTGGGGTTAACAGAAAAGAATGTTAGCTGTGGCTCGTGAGCATGACCTCCTCTAGGTCCCTCAAAAAAATACATAGAACAAAGAACAGGCAGTCAGAGTTCAGTCTTTAGTTCCCCTTACCTGAGGTCTACATGCCAGGAGATCTGTTTGGTGACAGTCCAGATATCTGAAAAAAACATCTCAGGGATATATGCTAAGATATTATCTTTAGTCTTTCTAAAGAAATCAAACATCATGTGATTCTAACTTCCTTGGCTATTGTTTTAGCCTACTATTGAGATGGAAGATTTCCCTTGACCTCTTTGCAGGACTTGCGACGGGTGTGGCTCACTTACTGTCATAGCACTGGTGGGAGTGTAGTAGTGAGGACACCAGAGGTTACTCTCGTGGCCATCTTGTTTTTGGTGGGATTTGGCTGGCTTCTTTACTGCCACCTGTTTTATCTGCAAGGTCTTTATGACCTGTATCTTGTGCTGACCTCCTATCTCATCCTGTGACTTAGAATGCCTTAACCATCTGGGAATGCAGCCCAGTAGATTTTAGCCTCATTTTACCCAGCCTCTCTCTATACAAGACGGAGTTGCTCTGGTTCAAATGCCTCTGACAAGAACTTACAAGTCATAGGTGGATTCATAGATTTTCTGATTACCGATTGGTTGAAAGATTTAAGTCTGGTCTAAATACCTGAAGTTAGTAGAAATAAATGTTTGAGTTCAGACAAGAGGAATTGTGGAAACCAAGATTCTTGTTATGTAGACGAAACCTCGTAGACAGCAGCCCTCGGAGAGAATAGATGGTGAATGTCTCTTTTCAGACTTGAAAGGTGTCAGACTCACTCATTTAATCTCTCGTAGATACAGGAAAGACCTAGAAAGGGAAGGCCTGGTTGCATTCATGGAGATTGTCTATAGATGCAAATTGCACACACACACACACACACACACACACGCACCGCCACAAGAGATGGCTTTGCTAGGGCATTTCAAAATACGTCAAGTAAATTATTTTTGGTGGTAAAATATTTTGACTTTCTCCTTTTGGGGTCTGCTGTCTGTCATATGATGCTATATCTTGGCATTTGGTATCTTATTCCACAAAGCATCTGTTTTATCAGTCTTATGGTTTCTAGTTTTACGTTAATGTTGGTCAGTTTTGCCTAAACTCCAAAAACGAGTTTAACACCTCCACCTCGCTCTGGTGATGGCTGGGAATTCAGCTTTTCAGGTTTCTCTTGGGACTCTTGGGCAAAAGCGGGGCCCATTCAGTTATTTGGGGGGCTTAAGGTTATATTTTTAGTTTACAAGGCTAAACTGATATAATAGTGTGTCTAATGTAGTGTGTCACTGGGCACACAGCCCACAAGATGTTACAACTAATTTCCATTTTTGAATTAAGTCATGGACTGTCTCAATGTTCACAAAAATTACTTTAAAGCAATATTATGGGGTCACTTGAGGATTTGTTTTTGAAGAAGCAGAGAATCCTGATCTATTTTGTTCCATGACTCATCCACAGACATCTCATGCTGGGAGAAGACTGCTGGAGGTGTCTGTCTCTCCCCAACTTTTTCTGCATTCAAAGCTAATAACTGGAATGTTAGAGCAGGTAGTCAGGCAGACATGAGCAGAGCAAGAGAGCCCCTGCCCCGACCAAGGAAAGTCAGGCAACCATCAGGTGATAGCAGGCAGTTGTTAAGTTGTCTGCCTAAAATAATAATTGGTCACAGCTGGCACCAGGGAAAGACAGTCTACCAATAGGTTTTTTTCAAACCCCGAAACTATTGATCAGCAACTTCCCAGTAAGTTCTCAGGGGTTTGATGAGCGGGCTCAAGCATCCACATTAAGAGGCAGAATGGCAGAGTTGAACTGGTGTTTGACCTTCCTTTAGGAACACTCGACTGGTAAGGGAAAAACGCCTCAAGTGAGCATGCGTACAACTCCAGTAAACACACTGTGCGTGCAGCCCCTGCCGAGTACTGGCAGCCGACTGTGCATGTGGACAGCCCACCCCAAGGGAAGAATCAGGGCAGAAGGAATGTGACACCCCAGAAGTATGTCCATGTATAAAATACCAAGTCAAAGGTCAAACCGTGCACTTGGATCTCTCAAGTCTTCCACTTGGCCCTCTTCCAAGTGTACTTTACTTCCTGTTGTTCCTGCTCTAAATTTTTAATAAACTTTCACTCTTGCTCTAAAACTTGACTTAGTCTCTCCCTCTGCCTCATGCCCCTTGGTCAAATTCTTTCTTCTGAAGAGACAAGAATTGAGGTTGCTGCAGACCCGTATGGATTTGTAGCTACTAACAGGATCACTGATGTCAATAAAACTCTAATTGAGCAGACTGACTGCTGCGCATAGTGAGTGCTTGAGAAGAAAAAAAAAAAATCCTTGACTACTAAGGTTCGTGCTGGAATCAATAGGAATATTAAGATTTTACTGTGCTGTAGTTGTGGGTTTGAGGAATATGCTGCTTATAGATTTGGAAACGAGAATATTAGAGAAAACCAATAAAGATCACAGACAATGCTGAATGTCCAACCTCAGATGGGAAAGAGGGGGAGACAGAGCTGAATACAAAGAAAGCTTAGCCATGTGTTTCCTCCTTGCTTCTTTCTCTGCAAATGGGAGCCACTCTGAGACACAGCTTTGCAAATGGGAACCAAGTGGAGAGAGAGAGAGCGGGTCCAGCCTTAGGGATGAGCCTGTAAGAAATGATAGCTGGATTTGAGGAGGCTCAAGTGTCATTTTCTAAACTGGGCTGGGAGTGGATATTTAATCCACACATCGGAAGAAAAAAATTAGGCAGAGGTTTTAGTAATTGACAGATTGCCCTCAGGATCCCCAGGAAAAAGAAGACAAGGGCAGCTATTTTATAAATTCCCACTCTATGACCTGTCTTCTGGAATCTACCATCTAACACCCTCATGCCTCTTCTTCTTGAATTCCCTGATACTGAATTTTAAATGTCAAATCATCTAGCTTCTCTCTTTTAAAATTTTCTTCCATTCAAATGTATCAGCTAACCACCAGCATTGTGCCCATGTGGTTATCTGATTGCAATACTTTATGTTATTTTTGTGTATGTTGTCAATGCCTACGTTCTCCAGCAGGGTCATATTTTATCTCTAATGCTTAACACTTTGAGGGGTACACAAAAGAGAGATCTATTGGGAGCTAGTGGGAGTTTTTCATTTTTAACACTGGGCATTTCTATAAATTCATATTTCTGCATCTCCTTATTTTGTTAGGGAGTGATGTATGGTCCATCCTCATCATTTATGAATTCTGTAGTTGCAAATTTGCCTGCCAGACGACATTTATTTTTTTTTCTCCCCCATCAATGCTGGTGGTGCTTTTGCAGTCAGTTATGGACATGAACAGAGCGGTCAGAAATTTGAGTCTCCTGATACGAAGTTGCCCATCTGAGGTTAAACAAGGCAATGTGTTGTCTTCTTTCAGCCTTTGTACTGTAAGCAAGTGTACTTCTTAAAGTCTACTCAGTGCCACATTCATTTTTTTTGCATGTTCGTGCTTTTTGTTGGTGATGTTACTATTTAAAATGGCACTGAAGTGGAGGCTTCAGTGTCTTTGTGTGTCCCTAAGCACAAGAAAGTGTTACTGAAACATCAGGGGTTCAGCGTAGGTCAGTATCTCATTGCACAGAAAGCCAGTCACTGAGACAATGAGTATTGCCAGGGAAGAAGGCTTCATTCGGGTGACATCAGCCAAGGAGATGGGAGATAAGTCTCAAATCCATCTCCTCAGCTAACTAAAATTGGGGGGTCATAAAGCAGGCAAAGAATACAGCCATAAGTGGAAAACAGGAATTAGGGAGAGGTAAGGAAAAGGAGTTTGTCAACAGGAAGCAGATGGTCAGTTAGGCAGTCAGCGTTCTGCCTTCTCTTTGTCTGGATGCAGTGATCTGGTGATACTATCAGGGAGGCCTGATGGTGAGTTTCCTGAGAGAGAAACTCAGTTAAGAGAATTGTAAGTTGTAAGCCTTAAGAATGGGAGGGTCAATTTCTGTGTTTATTCAAAAAGACTGTAAACATCACTTCTATGGAGGAAGTTCTGGTTTCAAATACTCTGATGTGCCTTGCAGAGATAATATGTGTGTTAGGTAAGCTTTGCTCAGTCATGAGTTATAGTGCTGCTGGCCATGAGTTCAATGTAAATGAATCAGCAATATATTATAGATTAAATAAGGTGTCTTTAAACAGAAATACACATAAAACAAGGTTATATGTTGCTCCACTGATGAAAATGTAACTAGAGTCTCACAGAAACCCAACTCTGTATTTCCCCAGGAAAAACTATTTAGCATTGGCTAATCCATTGTCCATGGTGAATTTCTACAACATCAGTGTTGTGAATGATGACAAATTGACTGTCTTTTGATGTATGAAGGTTTGCAAACTACAAGGCATTATTCCACATAAAATCTCACTTAGTGAAGTTATGAGCACTGATGTCACATGCACCACCCCTCAGTGTTCAGGGGTTTCTGGACCCAAACAGTAAATAAAATAAACAAGAACTCCTGGTAGCATGTGGCTGTAGTGAACTGCTAACATCCACCCTAAAGAGGTGGTTGCTGGTTTCTGAGTTCTCTCACCTTCTTACACCAAATCCTTACACCATTCCCTGTGATGGTCAGACTTCTTACATAGCCCCGATGAGTTCACTTTCCTGGTATTGATGCTCCAGGAAAGCATCATCTTCAATAGACATCTATGATGTCACATCAGTGCTTAAGTTGTCCAAGATGGTGACATGGATACCATAATAAGACTAACTCCATTTCTTGTTATATGACTGCTATTAGCTTTTAAATCCCACTCATCCCTCTTCCCTTCTGCCGGATGTTTGAACATCTAAAAAATCATTATATCTAAAAAGTCATCAATATTTATATTTAGATTTAGGATGTCCCACATCACAATAAATACCTCAATAAATTCCATTGTGTCTATGTTGAAAGCAAACCTTACTGAACTTCCATTTCTACCATGACTGCCACCATCTGCCTGGACAACCTCAGAACCTTCTCGCACATCCTTGCTGCCTCTACCCTTAGCCCACCACAATCTGTTATCCACACAACATCTAAGAATCTTTTCCTCTGTAAAACATTCAAATATTTTTATATTATTGTTAGAACAAGCTTCAAAGTATGTATGGCCTCCAAGGACCAGTGCAGTGAGAACTTACTTGTCCCTCTCTCACCTGAAATTGATTCAGTCTTTTGTTCATGCACTGAACCACATTATGTCAGCTCCTCCAGCTGAGCAAGTCCTCTGCCTTTTCATGGTGTTCACACATGTTTCAACCCTGTGTGTGGAACAGCCTCCAGAAGCAGGCACCGTGCTGATCATCACCTCTGTCTTAGTACATTTGCATTGTTATAACAAAATATCTTAGACTGGGTGGTTTGTAGACAATGGACATTTATCTCTCAAAGTTCTGGAGGTGGGAAGTACAAGCTTAAGGCACAGTGGATTTTGTGCCTGGTAAAGACCCCCTTCCTGGTACATAGATGGCGCCTTCTTGCTGTGTCCACACATAGTGGAAGGGGCAAGGGAGCTCTCTGAGGTCTCCTTTATAAAAGCACTCATCCCATTCACAAGCAGTGCCCCTTCATGACCTAATCACCTCCCAAAGACCCCACCTCCTAATGCTGTCACCTTGGAGATTGGGATTTCAACATAGAAATTTGGGGGGCACACCGAGATTCAGATCATAGCACCCTCTTACACACATACACACACACAGACACATACATGAACACAAACTTTCTTTACATGGCTGGTACCTGCTCTCTCTAGGAGTCTCAGTCTTTTTTTTTTTTTTTTTTTTTTCTGTGAGATGGAGGAGTCTTGCTCTGTCACCCAGGCTCGAGTGCAGTGGTGTGATCTCGGCTCACTGCAAGCTCTGCCTCCTGGGTTCACACCATTCTCCTGCCTCAGCCTCCCAAGTAGCTGGGACTATAGGCGCCAGCCACCACGCCTGGCTAATTTTTTTGTATTTTTAGTAGAGACGGGGTTTCACCACGGTAGTCAGGATGGTCTCGATCTCCTGACCTCGTGATCCGCCCGCCTTGGCCTCCCAAAGTGCTGGGATTACAGGCGTGAGCCACCGCGCCCAGCCATTACAGACTAGTATGTCTAGAAATGTTTAAAAGTTCAAAGAAATGGACGCCTGCATTTTGTGTACCTACTTCAAAAGTGATCCCAGCTTGTTCAACATTTCCAAAAGTAACACTTCCTGACAGTGTTTCAAAATGAACTGGGTTTGTGGAAATCAGACCTGTTTTATGTCAGACACCTGCAGTTTCTCAGCACTAAAAACAGTACCTCCCTTAAGAGAATTCTGAACTTCACAGTAAACTTTGCTGAGCAAAGTTTTATGGTAGGATCACAGTTTCTCAATAGTACAATTCTTTTGTTCCTCTGCTTATAGTCCGCACCTTCCATATCACGATGCAATTAAGAGTCTCGTAAATTATTACTGTGCTTAGAATAAATAGAATAAAATCGGTTTTACTCATGGACATCTGCAAAATGAAATTCTATATATCACAATTACTTATACTTTATTAAGTTCATTATTGAATTCTTTGAACCTTTTAGATTGTTTTCACAAAAACTTACCACCAAACTGAATATAATTTGTAGCCCAATCAGAAATCAGAGGCCTCTTTCTCATCTTTAGGCTTCCTTGAAGGTCAGCCTTGTTACACGCTATGACACCATGTCAAATAGAAAAGATGTTTCCTCCTCTACCCCTTAAGCCACAATATGATCTATTATTGATCACTTATTCTCTGAGCAATTCGTAGGCATATGGAACTCCAAAGAGTGTTAACTTTAAAAAAAAAAAAAAGACAGACACACACACATTTATTTGGGGTCTACCTGATGATGTTCTTGGAATTTATTTAACACCAGACTTTGGACAAAGTGATGAATCTATACTATACAATAGGCTTCTTTTTGTGGGGGAGTCATGGCTTGGCGTCCCAATGAATGAAGCCTTCCGCTAAGTCAGCCTTCATGTACACTTTACGCTTTAAATAGGGGCATTCACAAGACTGACTGCTGTACAAGCTTTCGATCTTTGCTTCTCCTGAGAAACGCAATCCCTGAAACTCACATCATAGGCTTAGCTTTCAAGGAGCAAATGTTAAAGTACTAGCCCCGTCTTCTTCCCTGCCATAAGGCTACGTAAATGACAGTATTGTAGGAAGACAAACAAATCTGTTAATTTGTTGAAGGGCCCTTCACCATTACTCCAAATTTTAAAGAAGATACGTTTCAAATAAAATAAAATAGGAATAAATAAATGTGTTCACACTGTATTAAGTGCACGTGCATTACTTTCTTTCCAGGAACTGCAATATTGCCTTCCCAGTCATTTGATTTTGAGAACATTCAAATGTACAGAAATAAAGAGCAAGTACGATAATAACACCAAATCCTCTGCCCTAGACCGCACAATTCTTAATATTTTGTGATACTGTATTTGCTTCAACTGTATGTGAAATGTTTTTATATATAGTTGATATATAGGATATCAGAATATATCCTGATACAGGATATCAAATGAAAGGCTATGTGGTGGTTTTTCACTTGTTTGTTTGTTTTTGAGACAGAGTCTTCCTCTGTCACCCAGGCTGGAGTGCACTGGCACAATCTCAGCTCGCTGCAACCTCTGCCTCCCAGGTTCAAGCAATTCTCGTGCCTCAGCCTCCCGAGTAGCTAGGACTACAGGTGTGAGCCACCACGCCTGCCTAATTTTTGTATTTGTAGTAGATTTTAGTAGAGACGAGGTTTCACCATGTTGGCCAGGCTGGTCTCAAACTCCTGACCTCAAGTGATCCGCCCGCCTTGGTTTCCCTAAGAGCTGAGATTACAGGTATGAGCCGTCCAAGGCTACATGTTTTGATGCACCTAAGAATTTCAACATCCTTTCTAGACAATGTCTAATTCTAAGTCTAAATCTCACCTATGCAATTCTAGTTGTATTCTTGTGAGTAAATAATAATTCCCGGTATCTAGTACACAGTTAAATTGCATTTTTTGGCACCAAAATATACTTGATTTTTGATTGTTGGAACTCAGAATTGGATAAAGAATGAGCCATGAATCTGCATTTTTTTTAAAGAAATTAAGGGTAAAGTTGAATGCTTTTTATTACAAAGTCTTTTTATAACATTATGTTGTACATTTTTAATTCCAGTATTAATAATGACATACAGGCATATTAAAGCATAAAATAGAGAATAAATATAAAATTAATTACTTATTACTTATTCTAATAATAGTAGATCTCTAAAATCAACTAACAACAATAGTATTTTCAAGTGTTACCTTTGTTTTAAGTATCACCTTTATCTAGTGTAGTTGGGTTATTTTCTAAATAAACATTTCCTTTATTTTGTTCTTCTTTAAATATTCTCCACTTACAATTTTGTTCCCACTTTCTTATTCATTTTTCTGAGTATGCTTATGCCAATCATATACATCTCATACTTATTCCTGTCAATATTTAGAGCTTTCTACCACTTATTTAACATTTTTTCATCTAGACTATAAATGCAGAACTCTCTTTGTTATCTCAATAACAAAGATGATTTTTGTTTAGTGAACACAAATGCTAGAAACTGGATGGAAATTAGCACTTAAGGTCCATACGAGAAAAGCACAATATGACATTCTTGTAAGGCAGTTAGTCTGCAGTGTAATTATCTTTTTTTGTCTTTTCAGACTGGGTCTTGCTCTGCCATCCAGGCTGGAGTGCAGTGGTACAATCATAGCCCACTGCAGCCTCGACTTCTTAGGCTCAAGCAGTCCTCCCACCTCAGCTTCCAGAGTAGCTGGGATTACAGGCATGCGCCACCACATCTGTCTAATTGTCTGCATTTTTAATAGAGACAGGGTTTTGCCCTGTTGCCCAGGCTGGAATTACTTTAACATACTATGCTGTTTACGAATGGACAGCCACCTACTCAGTGATCTAAGCATATAGCTAAAGTAGAAAACCAACTAGTGAAAAACAACTTCCAAAAGAGATGTTAGAAGCAATTTCCAAATTTTCCTTACATGCACATTCCACCTCATGTTTGTAGGGTCACTTTGCACTACACTATATCCTTCCTAGCTGCTGATTAGTTACTCCTCTAATACTGAAGACAAAAAATGCCCAAAATACACTGCATTCAGATCCTTATCCCTACCTGTGGGTTCTGAAATAGAGCACTCTGTCAGATAACCAAGGGGAAAAAACAATGCCAAATAAATCTTTACCTGCCTCCAAATCTTTGCCCATTAGACTGATTTTAGTATCATGAGGGCTGAACGCTGTGTTATTTACACTTTCTCCTTTTATTAAATTTTCTTTTTATTGAGGTAAAATATGCATATATGATATATGATTGGCCATCTTTCCCATTTTTTGTGCACAGTTCAGTGGCAGTAAACCTATTTATATTCTTTTTCTTCTCTCCACCCTCCCCTCCCCCAGTCCCTTTCCTGCCTCTGGGAACCACCAATGTGCTCTGTCTTCACGAGATCCATTTTTAAAACTCCCATATATGAGTGATAATGTCATGTTTGTCTTTCTGTGCTTGGCTTATTTCATTTAACATAATGATATTCAGTTCTGTCCATGTTGCTGCAAATGACGGGGACTTCATTCATTTTTATGGCTGAATGTTCCATCATGTGTATATGTACCACATTTTCTGTATCCGTTCGTCTGTTGATAGGCACTTAGGTTGACTCCATATTTTCACTATTGTGAACAGTGCTGCAATAAACATGGGAGTGCAGATAGCTCTTTGATATAATGATTTCCTTTATTTTGGATATACAACCAGTGGTAGAATTGCTGGATCGTATGGAAGTTCTATTTTTTTTTTTTTTCTTTAAGAGACAAGGTCTTGCTCTGTTGTCCAGACTGGAGTGCAGTGGTGTGATCACAGCTCACTGCAGCCTTGAATTCCTGGGCTCAAGCAATCCTTTTGCTTCAGTTTCCCAAGTAGCTGGGACTACAGATACACACCACCATGCCTGGCTTATTTTAAGTTTTTTTGAGGAACTTGCACACATTTTCCCTAGAGGCTATACTAATTTACATTCCCACCAACAGTGTGAAAGTGTTCCCCTTTCTCTTTATCCTCACCAGCATTCATTATTGCTTATCACTTTGATAAATGCCATTTTAACTGGGGTGAGATAATATTGCATTGTTGCTTTGATTTGCATTTCTCTGATGACTAGTGATGTTGAGCATATTTTTGTACACTGTTGGCCATTTGTATGTATTCTTTTGAGAAATATCTGTTAGCGTTTTCTGCTCATTTTCAGCCTCCTGAGTAGCTGAGATTACAGGCACGTGCCACCACTCCTGGCTAAGTTTTGTATTTTTAGTAGAAACAGGGCTTCACCATGTTGGCCAGGCTGGTCTCGAACTCCTGACCTCAGATGATCCACCCACCTTGCCCTCCCAAAATGCTGGGATTACAGGCGTGAGCCACCACACCCAGCCCCTTTCACTTTTGTTGGCTGCCTGGGTGCTCTGCAGATAGCAGGGATCTTGTACTCAGTTATCAAGTTGAAGAATGCAAACCCTTCAGGCAGAGACACAGCAGTGTCACTGAGCTCTCGATGTGCTGTTTGTCTCATGTCAAGGAAGTTTGAGCAGACCAAAACAGCTTGCATGTCTACTTTACTCCCTATACCTAGAATACTCCACAGACCCATGCAGTACGTGCTCAAAAAAAATTTAAGAAATGAATTTAGGAAGGAATAAGGAATGAATGATAAATGAATTGCATCTTTCCTGACACAGGAATTTTTTTTCTTCCATAATAACTTAACTTATAAGGATTCTTCTTCATTTTTTTAATCTACTTCCAAATGGGCACTTGCATATAGTGCCTTTTGATGTCTGCTTTTGTGTTTTTCTCCAGCTCCCAGCTACTTACTGCCTTTGTACCAATCTTTTGTCTCCATGAAATACCTTCTTCTCTCCCTCATCAACTGGAACATCTTGAAGGGCTTTAATGCACAACTATCCAAAATACTTTCACAAATTTACAAAATCCTGCAAAATGTTTTAATCAATTGATACCAACCCAATAGTCCCATAGACAATTGTTTTGTTGTTTGGTTTTTGTGTGGGTTTGTTTTTGTTTTTGTTTTTGATACATATAGAAATGGGCACTTCTAGTCTTAAAGCAACTTGAACCTTACATTTGTTTTATCTGAGTTCCTTCCTCAGGAAATGACCCTCAGGGCTCTCAAAAATTATCAAAGAACAAAACCTCAACAGGTTACCACATCCAGACAATGAGATGCCAGACCCCTCATTCTTCATGATTGCTTTCTTACCACTCCCTAATTCCCGATTTCTTAACCAATCACCTACCTCCTGTTGAATACTCCTCTTCCTTACCCCTCCCTAATTCCTGTTTTCTCACACACAGTTACATTTCTTCCCTGCTATTATTATGACCCCTAAGTTGAGTCAGTTAGGGAGATAGATTTCAGACTCATCTTCCATTTCCTCGACTGCAGCACCTGATTTAAGTCTTCTTCCATGGCAGTACTCATTGTCTCAATGATTGCCTTTCTGTGTGGCAAGCAGGAGGACCTAGACTGAACCCCTGGCATTTCAGTAACAGAGAGACAGTAGCTATTTTAGTAATCAGGTTGTAGGAGAAAAAAAAACTTTGCAGTTATCCCACATAGTTACTATGTGAAGTTGAGTTAAATTTCTCCTAATGATACAGATGGGGGGCAGGAGAAAATTCCCCCACAAAGGCCTCACCCTCAAGCCTGGAAACCTGTGGCCCTCAATGGAAAGAGATATTCTTATTTCCACGCCCAAATGTTGCCTCTTCCAAGACCACTCTGGCCCACCATGTCCCCATCCTTTATCCATATAAACCCCAAGCCCCAGGCTCCATAGGCAGAAGAGCAGCAGAGTGGAAGAGTAACAAAGTGGCGCAGCAGACAAGGAGAGAATAGAGGAAGCATCTGAACATCGACAGGAGTTTGGCTGGAGGCAGTTGGAGAGGAAATTGGCCATGGTACAGACGAACTCCAGGGGAAAGATCGTTTTCCCACTCCATCCCCTCTCCAGCTCCCCATCCCACTGAGAGTCACTTCCATCACCAAATAAAATCCCCACATTCACCATCCTTCAAATCCAAGTAACCTCATTCTTCCTGGACACCAGACAAGAATTCAGGACCAACTGGGTACAGGAACCCAAAAGGGTTGTCACACTAACTTTTCACTGAGCTGTTTAACACTTAAGCCATCCCCAGGCAGCAGGGCTAAAGGAACACTGTAACACCCCTAGGCACCGTCATGGAGCCAGAGCCCAGATGCACTCACCCTGGCTCCTGCACCTGCTCACCTGCATGCTCTCCCACCTGTAAAGGGTTTGAATATGCAGTGGCAGAGTAAGCAAGTCACAATCCTGTCGCAAGTCCTGTGAGGGGGTCAGGGAACTCTCCCATCTCACTAAGAAAAGCTGTAGACATTTTTGTGCATTTGTGCATGTACTAGTTGATTTATTCAGTATTTATTTTATGAGCAATGAATATCCCAGGAAGGGTACTGAGAATATGTTGGCATCGAACAAAACAAAGGGAGATCCCTACCTTTGAGGGATTTATGTTTTAGTAGAAGAGACACACAATGGCAAATATATCATACGAACTAAGTAGTATTTTATAAGATGACAAATGTTATAAAATGGTTAGTGTAGACCAGGTTGGCTCCGGGGGGGGGGGGCGGGGGGCGGGTGATGGTGAGGGTGGAGGTTATGTGATGCAATTTTAACCAAGATCAAAAGGTATCAAAGGAATGTATCACAGCGATGCCAGCACATGAACAAAGACTTGACAGAGATAAGACAGTGAGCAACAGAGAGAGAGACTTGAGAAAAAAGCCTTCTCCACTGCAGTGGAAATAAAACCAGTCCCCTTAGGATTTCTATACCTAGCATTTTTAGTGACTGGAATCATGACAATTCTGCTTCAGCTCTTGCTTGCTTGCACAAGTTAACTACTCAGTTTTTGCCCATCATCCCTTGTTCCTGCAATACAACGATAAATTGCTGATGTACTGTTTCTTTGTCAAGCAGGAGAAGGTCACTTGAGGGTCATGAAAAAATTTGCAGAAGGAATGAATGCCTTGAAGGACGTTGCGACCAGCTGCTGATACCCAGGAATCTGGTTGCTCAAGATGTTACCTGAGAATAAAGAAACGCAGACTTTTCCCCCTCACTTCCCTGAAACTGCCTCTCCTTTACTCCTTAGCTACCTAAAAACTCACTGCTTCCTCTTTTTGTTAAGATGGATTTGAGACATCTTGCTCTCCCAACTTCTTGCTTTGACCAAATTGAATAAATCTTGTTTGATCTCCAAGCATCAATGTCTCAGTGCTTGGCTGTAGCTGCATGAGCCTGAATTTAGGGTTCCATAAGGGGAACATCCAGTGAGGATACCTCAAAGTAGAGTGAACCTGGAGCCTCCTGCAAAGCAAGGTAACTTCTGGCTGGAAGGCAGAGAAGCAAGGGAAATCTGAGGTAAGGACTCAATGTGAGATGGTGCCAGATATCTTAAAGTTTTGATGCTGACTGAGTTGGGGGACTATTGGAGAGCATTGTGCAAAGGACTTATCCTCTGCTGAATGGGTGGAGAGTGTTGGAAGTGTGCCCAAGAGTAAGGATCAAGGATGTTTGCGTAAATTCACAGGGAAGAAAAAGGATGGTTCTGAGTAGGAGGAGCTGTGGTGTTTTCTCAGAAGTAGTATCTGCCTCTGGATATATTTTGAAGGTTTGGTCAAAAAGATCCATCAAACAAATTAGAAACAGGATATAAAAGAAAAAGAGAAGACAGGAAGATCGTCACAGTTTTAGAAACCCTATGAACAGTTTCAAGAGCTCACAGCCAAACTCAAAGCCCGCAGTTGTATAACTCTCTGTATGCGGATCTCTTTGAAACCAATAGTTTTGAAAGATGAAGGAATTTGGTTTTCTAAAATATTAGTGGCTTCAATCACAGTTATCACTGACATTTTGTGTGTGTGTGTGTGTATGTGTGTGTTTTGTCAGCTTAAATAAAAGTGTTTTGCTTTAAAGCCAAATGATTTTTTCCTCTGGATTTCAGGGTTGTACTTACTTTAAAATTTCTCTTCGGTGGTATTTTTTATTTTATTTTTTATTTTTTATTTTATTTTTATTTTTATTTTTTTTGAGACGGAGTCTCGCTCTGTCGCCCAGGCTGGAGTGCAGTGGCGGGATCTCGGCTCACTGCAAGCTCCGCCTCCCGGGTTCACGCCATTCTCCTGCCTCAGCCTCCCAAGTAGCTGGGACTACAGGCGCCCACCACTACGCCCGGCTAATTTTTTGTATTTTTAGTAGAGACGGGGTTTCACCGTTTTAGCCGGGATGGTCTCGATCTCCTGACCTCGTGATCCGCCCGCCTCGGCCTCCCAAAGTGCTGGGATTACAGGCGTGAGCCACCGCGCCCGGCCTCTTCGGTGGTATTGTAGAGCAGTTTCATACAAAGATTCATGCAAACAGTGCTCTTTATGATTTAATTAAATTTAAACAAAAATAGTGGTAGAGATTCTCAAGATAAATTTAGATGTGTACTTGTGGTATTTGAGAGGCAAACTGACTTTTTACTAATTCTTGAAAATGTGTACATACACCGTTCTGAAAAAAAGACAGGTTAGCATTATTTTGGTTTTGTTTTTCTTCTAAAACTAAAATTCCTATTTAAAATTATATCTGGAAATTTACTAATGTGGCAGAACCTATTTATTCTAGTGCTACAGGTAAAATGTTTATAAATAAGCAGATTAAGTAAAAATACATCACAAAACTAGTGGGTAATAAGAGGCAAACAACAATAACAGAATTATATCATGATTATTACAGATGGGGTCTTGCTCTGTTGCTCAGTTAGGAGTGCAGTGGTATGATCATGGATCACCAAAGCTTTGACCTCCTGGGCTCAAGTGATCCTCCCACTCAGCATCCTGAGTAGTTGAGACTACAGGTGTGCACAACTCCAGGCTATATTTTTAAGTTATTTTGCAGAGATGGGGTCTCACTAGGTTGCCCAGGCTGGTCTTGAACTCATGGCCTCAAGCAGTCCTCCTGACTTGGGCTCCTAAAGTGCCGGGATTACAGGCATGGGCCACCATGCCTGGCCAGAATGAGATTAAAAACCTCTAGCTAAAAAAAACAATGCATGCAAGTGGAATAAATCTTTTTTTGTTTGTTTCTAAAAGGACTGCTCTCCAATAACTTTGAAATAATATTTTTATTTTAACTGAAACCAAATCAATATGAGTGAAATGAAAATAAAGCAATTCATCTGGATAAGACAAAAACAATCAAAAAAATCCCAGAAAATTCTATTGACTTTGTAATCTGTTTTTCTAATATGAAAGGAAGTATTCATGCACAGTTGTCAGTATTGGAAAGCATCTGCAGGAGAAATTACGATGAATTCGTAGTGTCAGAGGCATTTGAACCAGAGCAACTCCATCTTACATCGGGGCTGGGTAAAATAAGGCTGAGATTTACTTGGCTGCATTATGAGGAGGTTAGGCATTCTAAGTCGCAGGATGAGATAAGAGGTCAGCACAAGATACAGGTCAAAGACCTTGCTTATAAAACAGGATGTGGTAAGGAAGCTGGCCAAAACCCACCAAAACCAAGACGGCAATGACAGTGACCTCTGGTCATCCTCACAGCTCATTATATGCAAATTGCAATGCATTAGCATGCTAAAAGACACTCTCAGCAGTGCCATGACAGTTTACAGGTGCCATGGCAACATCAGGAAGTTACTCTATATGGTCTAAAAAGGGGAGGAACCCTCAGTTCCAGAAATTGCCCACCCCTTTCCTGGAAAATTTATGAAGAATCCACTTCTTGTTTGGCATATGAGCAAGAAATAACTATAAGTGTTGCAGGACTTTTCCTCAGTTCAGCTAAAGATGGGGTCCTTGTGCATCCCATGGCTACCAAAATTTAAGCTTGCACATGGTTTGAAGCGTGAGTGAAGCAGGGTTTTATTGGGTGAAAAAGGAAAAAAAGGGGAAAACAGGGATCGTCCAAAAAGCCAGAGTCCCTGCTAGAGCCCTTCCCGCCTGCAGCTTGAATCCCAGGTTTCACACAGGAAGAGGAGGAGCCAGGCTCCTCCCTGCTGCAAACTTGTGAACTTCCCCAGGCTCCATCCACCTCGGAGCCCACCAGTGGGCAACCTGGTTGGAGTTTCTCTAGGGAGCCCCTCCCACCTGACTGTTTCATAAATATCCTTAGTCCAGCAGCTCAAGGCACTGCTCTGCCTATGGAGTAGACATTCTTTTATTCCTTTACTTTCTTAATAATTGCTTTTACTTTACTCTGTGGACTTACCCCCAATTTTTTCTTGCACGAGATCCAAGAGCCCTGTTTTGGGGTCTGAATTCGGGCCTCTTTCCAGTAACAGTAGCAATGAGTCAAACACAGTGAGGAGGGCCTCTTTTTAATATTCCAGTCAGGGTCTCGCTGAGTTTTCAGTGTCCTGCAAAGAATGTGAAAACATAGTGAAAATACATGTTCCTCTTCAAATATTGAGCGAATTTAAAAAATTATAGATTAAAAAATTGCCCATAAAGATAAACACATGTACAGTGCATGGTTTGTTTCCCAAAATAAAGATTGTATTTTATTTTGGATGTGGAATTGGCACTTTTAAAATTTACAATGTATATCACTTTAATTTCATCATACCACTAAAAATTCTTCTATCACATGATTTTTAATAGTGCAAATTAGTCCATTCAGGGTATAAACCAAATTTGGGGGAATTTAGTTAGTATATCCGGCAAAATGCAATCACAGAAGCCGATCCAGGGGTCTATTCTTACACAGTGTTGAGAGCTGATTAACAAACTCTATAAGACTATCATTTTTATGTCGGATGCTGGCTCTCCAAGTCTACAGAACAAGCAGTTGAAAAGAGCAGAGGAACATGAAATGTGTGACAGCAAGAACAAGTAGTAATACACAAACACAGGTCTATACAATATAGCACCACTTAACTCATTCACAATATTGGAACAGTAATAAGACCTAACCCATAGGATCCTTACAAAGATGAAATGGGTTGTTACAGGTGAAGCCCTTAAAAAGAGAACTGATACGCACCACAAACTCAATAAAAGTTATTTCCACTTCAGTACAAGTAGTTGTAGTGTAACCAAACCACCTTTGCGAAAATCGTATCAGTGAGAAAATATTTTAACAGTAAGCTAAGCTAACCCACCCCCTATCTTGCCTTCCCCTTAATTATTCCTGAGCTATCGGGCCAAGCTAACTTTGGAAGACATTGAAGCTATAGTTTAAATGATAATAGGCCTTGTCCCCAAACTCAACCGCTTTTATAAAGCTAATGGAGGCCATTAGGCTGGGCAGAGGAGAAGAGTCCTGCGAAGGTGCAGACATAAGTAGTTTTCAGCTATTATTCCCAATCACTCCTGCAAATAACACCACTATTGTAGATTGGCCTTTTGAGGTAGCGTTCCAGGTTTTTTGCATGTCTGACGCCCACGGCTCTACCTGGACCCTGATGGCTCCACCTGGACTGCCAACCCTGCTCCTGTAGCCCCATCCAGAAGTGATTCAACCCACAGTAGGACAGCTTGGATACCCTATGAGTTCATCTCCGCCCCAACCAATCAGCAGCAAGCGCCTGTTACCTGGCCACCCCCACCCCTTCCCCCAAACTGCCTTTGAAAAACCCCTAACCTAAGAGCTTTGGACGAGATGATTTGGCTAGGAACTCCGTCTTCCACTTAGCGTGGCTGGCCTCATGTCTGTTAAACTCTTTCTCTACACAATGCAGTGGTCTTTACGCAGTGGGCAGAAAGAACCCCTCAGGTGGTTACAGCAGTACTTGCAGTAGTGCTGGATCTGGTGCTGGTAAGATTAGGAGCAGTAATCTTCCCACACCAGCTTAGATAAAGCATATTCCTCTGAATGCTACTGATAGCACATTTGAGATTCACTCACATTTTGCCTAGCAATATTTGACATGACTGTTTCCTTTTCTCTCCATTACCTAAAATAATTTTCTTCTCTTAAAAGCTTCTAAAGCTCTGTTTAAACATTTCAAAGACTTGCATGCACTTTTGGTCTCTTACACACAGAAAGAAAGACGTCGAGTCTGTCCTAAGAAAGATATGGGAATTATTCATTATTTATTATTAGGAAACATGGTGAGGTATTTATGTTGAACGAGGTACATATCTGAAAGGCACGCTTTCGGCAATTTTAAATGTACTAATGTATATATGATTTTTTCCTTCTTTGATATTTGGAAGGGTATTTCGAACATAAAAATATGGTCAGATTTTATTTTCAATTAGTTTAAAAAAATTGTTGGAAGCAAGGCTGGTAACAAGAGATCATCGTTTGAACGAACATTTGATTATATCACCTGAACAAAGGCAAGGACAGTCAGATAATTCTGAATAGTCCATAAAGGGATAATGTTAAATTTTAAATAAAGGTCTAAAAATATGCGTCAACATTTTCAGGCATGAACCTTTGTATATACATCAAAGACCGTCGCTCACCTTGAGCCTAGCACCTGCAGTTTCATCTCAAAACACCCGTTGGGAACAAGAGCCTCAGGGGATTGTGTTTATAGTAACTACTGTAGAGCATTTATGAAACCAACTCTCTTTTACATGTAATGAAAGATGCTTTTAGATCGATGGGCTGCTAGGTTTTGCCAATGTTTTATCTATTTCCAACAATTCTGTGGAAAATACAAGACAAATGCAGCTCTTTTGTAAAACCAGGTGACCTGAAGTTAATCTCAGTAGTTTCTTTCTTAGGAAGAGTCAGTCAAAGAATTTTGACCACTTGTGTCATCCAAGTTATTTTCAGTTTACTTCTTTAAAAGGAAAGACATTTTAAACAGTACTTACACTTCTGTGAAAGAAAATTAAATTTTGGGACTCCAAATTAAAATTTAGCCAAAGGGAAGAGTTAAGCTGGGAACTGGGTCATGCAAACCTGCCTCCCTGTTTTGCAGGGTTCCTAAATAAGATGGCTGCAAGATGAAAAGCTACATGCCTCCTGCATATTTTGCCCACAAGGAAAATCCATCAGGAATTAGATTTCCTAATAATCTAGGATAAAAAGATCTAGGGTAAAAAGATCTTTACCCTAAGGTGTTTCTGTTAAAATTTCACCATGGCAATGATAGCTTATCTTTACAGGTGCAGTCGCCTCTGGCCCACCAGACACAAATGAGTATCTGATTGTTCCCCTGCCCCATTTTGTCTATGTTATCTTATGTAACATGCAGATTCCCTGCATTTTTCCTCTGCCACAATTGTCTGTCACCTTATGTAAAAAGATGCAGATTCACTGTACCAGACAAAGGCATGAATAACTATTTTTCCCTACCTGCCTCTTACATGAAAATTGTGTACTTCTCAATATCTCGCCCTTTTCCCTTTAAATTTGGAGCCCTCAAAATTATCTTCAGAGAAAGGCATAGACCTGTCTCCTGGGCGTGCACCCTTAACTTTGACAAATAAACCTTCTAAAATGGTTGAGACTCGTCTTGCCATTTTTCTTGATGGACACTTCCAACTGATAGGGAAATGTTACACATACAAAAAGCAGAGAAGCCTTAGAAACCCTGGAAGGGAATTCAGAGGGAAGATGTCCAGAGATGAAAAGATAAGACCATGCAAAGCTTTGCATGAAGGATATTTTTAGGCACTGTGGTTATTCGCGAGACTGGGGGAAAGTGGAACTGAGAGTCCAGTGCACACGCATTTGCTTCCTGTTCAAGGCTGGAGTCCCCATGTGAAATGTGAGCTTACAAGACGACTGCCTTATCATGCATTCTGGTAAAACTTTTCAGAGTAAGTGGTGTCACAAACCATAGAGACCTTGATTTCTAAGTTCACTTCCTTGTTAAAATATTCCAACAGCTCAGAATCAGTGGCCTGAAATCTCTTTCTAATTTAACCGGGGTCCAGAACTGGTCCAGTGGCCACATAATTGCTCTGACTTTATTTTTTTAAAAGTAGGGTGGGATACATGTATTTTGAATTTGAACAGCTGCTCAATTCATTTTTAGGACATACATATTTGATGCAAGCACCACAGATTCACTGAAACAACACCTCTGCTGTCATTGTATTCATTTCCATTTCTTACTCTCAACCTCTAGAAGAAATTTTTTTTGTTAAGATATAATTTACAGGCTAGTGCATTTTGACTTTGTGTGTACATAAGTACATACATGCATTTACACAGATAGAGAGACGGATGGCTGGCTGGCTGGATGCATGGACAGATGGAAGGACGGATGGATGGATAGATAGATAGATAGATAGATAGATAGATAGATAGATAGATAGATAGATAAATGGATACATGGAAGGATAGATGCATAAATGGATACATGGATGGATAGATGCATAAATGGATGGATAGATGGATTGATAAATGGATGGATGGATGGATGGATGGATGGATGGATGGATGGACAGACGGACGGACGGACAGACGGATGGATGGATGGATGCATGCATGCATGGATACATAAATGGATGGATGGATGGATGGATGATGGATGGATGGACAGATGGAAGGACGAACAGACAGACGGACAGGCAGACAGACGGATGGATACATGGATGGATAGATACATAAATAGATGGATGGATGGAGTGATAGATAAATGGATGGATGGATGGATGGATCGATGGATAGATACATAAATGGATGGATGGACGGACGGATGGACAGACAGAAGAACACACAGGTAGATGGATAGATGGATAGATAGATACATAAATGGATAGTTGGATGGATGGATAGATAGATAAATGGATGGATGGATAGATAGATGATAGATAGATAGATAGATAGATAGATAGATAGATGATAGATTTGCTTTTCCCTCTCTTCTCACTGTGTATTTGTTATACATCATTCACATTTTCACCCACTGAGGAATCCCGCATTCCAAAGTTTAAACTCTGTAACATCAGAATACTTACTCATTACAGAGAGCCTTTCCATGCAATCTTACAGAGAAATCTTGCTTTGCAGTTTTAAATGGTGTCTTTCAGTGTGTCCAGCCACTAACTTCTCCTCCATGGCAGCAGTGTTAATATCGTTAGGAGGCTTGTTAGGAAGAGGCCCCACCCGAGACCTGCAGAAAAAGAATCTGCATTTTAACTACATGCCACAGCAATCTGTGTGCATATTAAATTTGAGAAACAAGTAACCCATATCCTAATCAGCTTTAGGTCACAAACATTCAGAAGCAGTCACAAAGCAAAATTTTAAAAACGGGTGAAATAAATCAGTTCAATGACAAAGTCACAAAATAAAAACATTGTCCTGAAGGGAGTTAATCTAACACAAGAGGAAACTGAATTTATTACAACTAGTCAGGATGAGAGGATGGCTCAGGAGGTCTGCAAATATTGTATATCTTTCCTGCCTGGTTTTGTGTCCATAGTTTATTACATATGCCTCAATCCTCACATGAAGTTTACTGATATGGTTGGATATTTGCCTCCCTGACTGGCTTAGGAGCTTTTTAAGTATGGGGACTGCATTTGCCAGTGCTTGTCTGTGTAAGTGCTCAATACATCGAATTGAAATAAATGTCACATTTTATTCAATCATAAAAAAAAAAGACAGCAGCTGATGTCTTCATGGTCTCTGCATGATCTATGGAAAGCACAGCTCTGTTCTCCTGCCCCCCACTGCTCACCTGAAAGGCTATTAACACTGAAGCTGTCAGCATGACACCTGGGTTTCTGCAGCTAGCTGACAAGCTGCACAGCTGCCAATGATCCTTTATACGATCGCACCTGGAAAGCTGTTTCACGATCAATTCAAGAATGCTCTGAAACCGGCAACTGCATTGAGTTGCTCTATTTTCTGTACCAGACACTTGATAGTCCCAGTGAGACAGAGCAGGGACCTCTGCCGCACCCCCGCGCTGAGCATGAAAATAAAGGAAAATCTTGAGTTCTTTCAGGGGAGACTCCAGGCACCTAGCTGGCCCTGAGGAGTAAATGAGCAACGTGACAAGCAAGAAGGTAATAGTAGCCTAAAACAATAGCCAAGGAAGCTAGAGTCATGAGATGTTCAGTTACCTGTAGAAACTAAAGATAACATCTTAACATATGCCCCTCAGTTGTTTTTCAGAAATCTAGACCTCTACCAAACGGATCCTCTGCCACGCAGACCTCAGATACAGGGGAATTGAAGACTGAATCCTGACCTCCCATTTTTGTTCGAAATTTCTTCCTAAGGGGCCTGGGAAGCCCACAAGCCAGACTGAACATTTCTTTCTGTTGACCACAAAATTTTAGACAAAGCTTCCCGTTCTTAACCAATTGCAAATCAGAAAATCATTGAATCCACTTGTGACCTATAAGCCTCCACTTCAAGATATCCTGCCCTTTTAGGTCAAACTGATGCATAACCTCCGTGTATTGGTTCTGATTTTGCCTGTAGCTTCCATTTTCCTGAAATCCACCCCTGCCTTTAAAAATCCTTGCTTGCAAGCCATCAGGGACGTCAGGACGTAAGCAGGAACTGCCCGATTCTCCTCACTTGGCACCTTGCAAATAAGCACCCTCCCTTCTCCCACTGCAAAACTTTGCACTTAAATTTGAAACCTGAATTCTGACTTAGACCATAGAGAGCAAATCTTTCTGGCTATATGGACAGAGAACATGAGGAAAAGCCTCAGGGTTTTTGATCTGCCCTTACATGGATGGATATGCCTTTCAGGAGCATATGTGTCCAGCCTCACACCTGGAACCTTCTTACTTCTCAAAACCTGCCCGCCTTTGTCCTAATATGTGTAGAGATTCTAATCTTATCCAGTCCCATGAGCTTTGCCCTGCCCTGTGGGAGCTCAAGGGTAAGAGGGGTCACCAAATGAGGGTTACTGGCACCTGTCTCATTATCTCTCCTGCAAAAAATTCCTGGAGCTCAGTGTTTTAAATCTGCAAACACAAGTCCACAATATGACTTTTTTTTTTTTTTACTGGGGTACAATATGCATTGCGTACATGTGATGGTTAATATTGAGTGTCAACTTGAGTGGATTGAAGGATGCAAAGTATTGTTCCTGGGTGTGTCTGTGAGGGTGTTACCAAAGGAGATTAACATTTGAGTCAATGGACTCGGGGAGAGAGACCCACCTCAATCTGGGTGGGCATCATCTCATCAGCTGCCAGCACGGATAGAATAAAAAGCAGGCAGAGGAACATGGACAGACTAGACTGGCTTAGTCTTTCAGCCTCCATCTTTCTCCCATGCTGGACGCTTCCTGCCCTTGAACGTCGGACTCCAGGTTCTTCAGCTTTGGGACTTTTGGACTTTTGGACTTTCAACCACAGACCGAAGGCTGCACTGTCGGCTTCCCTATTTTTGAGGTTTTGGGACTTGGACTGGCTTTCATGCTCCTCAGCTTGCAGACGGCCTATTGTGGGACTTCATCCTGTGATCGTCTGAGTTAATATTCCTTAATAAACTCCCCTTTATATATACATCTATCCTATTAGTTCTGTCCCTCTAGATAACCCTGACTAATACATTTTACTATTGTAACCACCAGTGTACAGTTCAGAGGCATTAAGAACATTCACATTGATATCCATCCACCACCATTCACCCACAGAACTTTGTCTTCATCCCAAACTTAAATCCTGCATTCTTTACATCTGAATTCCCCATTCTTCCTCCCCCTTCCCCTTTCCCCTGGCAACCATCCTATGAATTTGACTCTTCCAGGTACCTCCTGTAAGTGGAATCACACAATAGCTGTCCTTTTGTATCTGGCTTATTTCACTTAGCATAATGTCCTCAAGGTTCATCCATGTTGTAGCCTGTGTCAGAATTCCCCTTTTTAAGGTTGAATAATCTGTTGTTCATATATGCCACATTAGGTTTATCCATTCCTCCCTTTGATGGGCACTTGAGTTACTTCTACCTTTTGGCTATTGGGAATAGTGCCACTATGAACCTGAATGTGCAAATACCTGTTCGAGTTCCTGCTTTCAAATTTCAGGGTAACTGTGCAAAGATTTTAGCTTTTCCACAGCCTGTATGAAGGTGATACTGGTGATAGCAGGACTCATTTGCTCAAGGAATTAAAATTCCTGATACTGAATTTCTTCACCTATCCATGAGAATCAACAATACAATTCTACAAAGATTAACTAACATCAAAATTGAAAGATGCAAGTGAAAATATTTTGAAAGCAACAAAACAAGGAAAAAAGTTAAAGCTGTGCCTATTGCTATTATATCCAGAAGTAATATGGCTCCGATGACTATTGGGACACCAGGTTCTTGTCTCATGTTGAATTAGATAAAACAACATGAACACACATGGAGTGGTTTTAAGGAGCAGAGAGTTTAATAGGCAAGAAAGAAAAGAGAAAGCAGAAGGAAGAGGCTCCCCCATACAGAGACAGAGGGAGGGGGTCTCCAAAGCCAAAAGAGGAGACCCCAAGTGCCATGGTTACCAGCCAGTTTTATAAGGAGGCTGGAGGAGGCGGTATCTGATTTGCATAGGGCTCAGGGAATTGGTTTGACCAGGCATGTCATTCACATAGCCTGTGAAAAAGCTGCCCCCCCGCCCGCCCTAGCCTTTTAATATGCAAATGCAGGGCGCCATGATGTTCTACACACGTGGGGATATGTGGGGGCAGCCATGTTGCCAGACACCAACCTGGGCAACATAGTGAGACCTCATCTCCAAAAAAAGATAAAAAATTAGCCAGGCTTGGTGGCACACACCTGTGGTCTCAGCTACTAGGGAGGCTGAGGCAGGAGGATTGCTTGAGCCCAGGAGTTGGGGCTGCAGTGAGTTCTGATCACACTGCTGCACTCTGGCATAGATGACAGAACAAGACCCTGTCTCAAAAAAAGAAAAAAAAAAAAAGAACGCTAACATGAAGCTCATTTCTTCATGCTACTTTATCTGACTTTACTCTGGTAGGCCGAGTAATGGCTCTCAAATATGACCAAAACCTAAGATTTGGAATCTGTGAGTCTGGCACCTTACATACAAAAGGAACTTTGCAGATGTTATTTACTTAAAGATCTTGAGATGGAGAAAGTACACTAAGTTTTCTGAGTGGATCCAATATCATCATAAGTCCTTCTAAGCTGAAGGCAGGAGGGTCAGAGTCAGAGAGAGGGGTTTTTAGGATTGACACGAAGGTCAGAGAGAGAGGTTGGATTCTCTAGAGAATGGAAAAGGCAAGAAAACTGATCATCCCTAAAATCTTCTGGAAGATACAGAGCCCTGTGGATCTATTTCAGCCTCTGGTCTTAGAGTATGAGATAATAAATTTGTCTTGTTTTAAGCGACTAAGTTTGTGGCTAAGTTTGTTACAGCACTTAATACACTTAAAATACAATAATGCTATTACTATTTTTTGGGATTATTTAAAGGTAAATTTAACTTATAGCAGAAAACGTGTATTTTCCATAAGTGTTAATAATAAATGAAAATATCTTTATGTCTTGCCTTCTCATCCTGACTATGAGCTTAGGAGTGGAGGATTTTTGTCTCTATTTTTAATTTCTTTCTTTCTTTTTATTTTTCTCAGATCGAGTCTTGCTCTGTTACCCAGGCTGGAGTGCAGTGGTGTGATCTCAGCTCACTGCAACCTCTGCCTCCCGGGTTCAAGCAATTCTCCTGCCTCAACCTCCCGAGTAGCTGGGATTACAGTCGCCTGCCACCACACCCAGCTAATTTTTGTATTTTTATTGGAGATGGGGTTTCCCCATGTTGGCTAGGCTGGTCTTGAACTCCTGACCTCAGGTGGTCCGCCCACTTCAGCCTCCCAAAGTGCTGGGATTACAGGCATGAGCCACCACGCCTGGCCTCTATTTTTAATTTTTAAGACTAACTTATTTACCTCGGATAGTAAAATGAACAGTTTCTTTCAAATATGAATTATAAGGGTAATTTCCACATGCCCTGTTTGTTTGCCATCCTGGGTAAAAGACCATCATGGACTTAAGAGGGTTGATATCAGGCAACCCTCATAAACTTTTGGAAACTTTTTATTTTGAAACAGTTATGGATTCACAGGAAGTTGCAAAAACAAAAAAAAGACAAAAGTTCAGTGAGGTTGTAGGTATTCTTTGTTCCATTGCCCCCAATGGTAGCATCCTGCATAACTATAGTACAATAACACAACTAGAAAATTGGCATTGATACAATATAGAGACTTTATTTAGAATTTATATACACGTGTGTCTGTGTGTGTGTGTGTGTGTTAGAGAGAGAGAGAGAGAGAGTTTTACTACATGCATATATTTATGTAATCTCTACCACCACCAATATATAGAACTACTCCATGGCCACAAACACCTCCCTCTAAGGGGATTATTGTAATCTCAGCAGTCCCCACACTCTGTCCTTCATGCCTGGCAACCACTAGCCAGTTCTGTCTATAATCTTTTCCTGTCATTCACAGCAGCACAGATGGAACTGGAGGACATTATGCTAAGTGAAATAAGACAGGAACAGAAAGCCAAACACTGCATGTTCTCACTCAAATGTGGATGCTAAAAAATAGCCGATATCATAGAAGCAAAAAGTAAACAGAAGATACCGGAGGCTGGGAAGAGAAGTGCGAAAGCGGGGAAGGACATATTTGTTAAAGGATGCAAAATTACAACTACATAGGAGAAATAAGATCGAGTGTTCTATAGCCCTAGAAGGTGACTACAGTTAACAATAATGTGTTATACAGTTTCATATAGCTGAAAGGAGGATATTAAATGTTCCTAACAAAAAAAAATGTTTGAGACAATGCATGCGCTAATTACTCTGATCTGATCACTGTATATCAGAATATGACTATGTGACCCATGAATATGTATAATTATTATTTGCCAAATAAAATAAAATAAAGATGTTATGCAAAGGGAAGCATATATAATCTTCTGAGAAGTTTGTTATTTTTTTCCCACTTAGCATCATGCTCTCATTTTCATTTTATGTTGCTTTTTGGAAACGTGCTGCAGTGAGGAAACCCAGAGGAGTCAAGGTGAGATGATCTGGAATATGTCCCTTAGAAGAGCTGGTCACCCACCTGCTTGACTGTTGATCTAAGAAAGTCAACAGATTTCCTGATCTAAAAAAAAATGGGAATAATATCTGTCTTAGTTCTGGCTGCTGTAACACAAATACCATTTACAGGGCGACTTACATATAATAGACATTTATTGCTCACAGTTCTGGAGGCTCGAAGTCCAAAATCAAAGTGTGGCAGATTCAGTGTCTGTTGAGGACCCATTTCCTGGTTCCTAGATGGCGCCTTCTCACTGTGTCCTCACATGGTGGAAGGGACAAGGGCACTCATTCATGGAGCCTTCACCCTGATGACCTAATCACCTCCCCAAAACCCCACCTCATAATACGATCACCTTGTGGGTAAGGACTTCAATATATGAATTGGTGGGGGAAAAACATGAAGTCCATAACAATATCTTATTACAGAATAGCGTGAGGATTGAATGAATCGATGCATGTCAAACTCTGACTAGACAGTTGGTTACAAGTAAGATGTCAATTAACATTAGCTATCTCCTGAGTGCCAAGCTTCTATGTACATGATCTGAAATGTATATTTGCTGTTGATTAATTGATACGTACTCATCTGGTTTTATTTGAGTACACATTTGAAGACTCAAAGCGTGTAGTGTAATGCATTTTTCCACACTGAGAACAGAGGACAAAAGTCATTAGTATCTTCATTGCTATACACAGTGTAAAAATTGCTATGATTTTGAGTGGATTCGTATGCTTTCTGGGGGCACCCTAGTTCCATACTGTTACTACTGTGAATTTAGACCCAAGTATTGAGAAAAATTATGGGTAGTAAGACGATGCCTTTTCTGTAGAAAACAACCTGCCTTCCCATTGCCACTTCCTGGTGTGTAGGACACAGACCTTGCTGCGATTGTGTTATTTCTGCTCCATCGGCTAACACCTACAGATAGAAACACAGGCATGATTTATCACAGAACACAAGCTGACAGCAATCCGCTGGAAACATTTAATACACAGTCGTTGCAAAGGAGAAAATGGTGTAACTCTGGAAATGCAAAAGTGGGGCCATGGTTTCCTTTAAATAATCCATGTTTTCTAGAGCCTGCGAGACAAATTACTTAAAACACATCATTCACACTCATATTGATAATTAAAAATACCAGCCTGTAATCTAAAGGTGTAAAAGAGAGCAAGAGAGAGAGGAGAGAGAGAGAGAATGAATGAATGAATCTTGGGCATTGTTTTGATCCTTACCACAACATCTCAAAAGAAAAGGCAAATATAACTTTAAGACACGTTAATATTGAGTTTTAACATAGTGAAATACAAATTATCTGGGCAATTTGAAAGAGGGCATTATGAATTAATAGGATACATGAATTGTAAAATTTTTCCTGTTATCAAGTTATTTCCAAGAGCAGAGAGTACTGTGTATAGGCCATTAAAGGATTTCCTTGTAGGTTCACTTAGGAGAATCTGTTTATGAAAGTAGAAGATATGATTTAATATTAACATACTAGCACTTGAGACTTAGTTGAGATTTCTTTTTTAGTTTCTACTATTCTAAGATGGTTTAAGTACTCAGAAATGTGTTATTACTTTTTCAAGCAAGTTGTTTAAAGAAGTGTATGAACATCAACCCAACTCCTGTTTCAATGATGACAAATCTGTCATTGATTAAATCTGAATTAATTAGTCATTTGGCATAGACACTACCAATGAATGAATTCTATGCATATGTTGTTTCTTCAGTTACTCAAGGTTTATTTAACTGAGTTGAGATGGGGCTTTACATTTTTGATTAAAATAACTGTAGCAATCCATATTTCAATTATGGTTTTTAATCATAGAAATATGCTAGAGCCATCTATGAAAAAGAGTAAAAGCATATTATCTTATTCTCATTACTTCTTTTGTAAAAGCTATTAAGTTTGTTAACACTGGTTATGTGCACATATATCTTACTTGTATGACGCTCAAAGTGTATGCCCTTATAATTTTTCATTTATTTTGCTAAATATATTTTTAAAAATTGTTTGACATTTATCTCTTTGTCCTTGGGAGGCCATTCTTTTGCTGATAGAACAGTATTATTTTCACATTCCAAATCCATTTCTACCTGTTTTATAAGAAATTCCTTTTTCTTACTAAAAAAATAATTTAGGTGTCCTTCAGGTTTTGCCTTTTGTATGTCACAACCCAGCTGAAGAAATTCTTTGTCCCAGATAAATCCCATACTATCCCCCAACCTGTATGGTGTTCCTTCACTTGTCTTTCCCTTTAAACTAACACAACACAGATATTCACCTCCCCCTGGAATTAACCATATTCTCAAGGCTACCAAGCACCAATCTTTATTACCAAGAACTGTTGACTAATATCCACAACTTATAAACCTTTATATAACATTTTCTGTTCTGCACTGCCTGTAATCACATGAATACTCTTTGGTAAATTAAAATAAACCAAAAAACATTTCCTGCTGGTAGACGGAGAGATGTTTCATAAAGCGGACTATATTTGTAACTGTACATTGTTTTATCAGTGCATTGACACTGACTCAAACAAATTATATCACAGGTGCTTTTCTTTCATGCCTTAAGCATCACATTTGACAAATGTAACTTCTTCATGAAGAGTCTATTCTCCAGTTATGTCATGTCCACTGCTGTGAAAAGCATGGCTCAGAAATGGGTTAAGTTTACTATCATCCTTAACATACTGCTTTAGTTAAAGCATGTCACTCTTTGCAGATGTCAAATAAGGTGAGACTTTTATAAGGTTCCTCAGATGTTTCAGATGCCCTTTCAAGCTAATTAATTAGTTCTGCTCACTTGAAGGCCAAGGGCTTAATTGCAGTTTTTCTATTCAGGTGAAATAAAGTAACTTTTAATATCTTCCCATAAGGGAGTATCCTGCAGTGGTTTCTCCTTCATGGATTAAAATGAGATGGGATGTCTGTGACCCGAAAGCCTTATTTAATATTAATTATAAACTACTGAAGGTCATCAGAGACTTAAGGAGAGTTTGGCAATAGGTGAGTGGCAGGGATTTAGTATTTCTCTGAATATGTGACCACTGGCTGCTTTCCCTTAGTAAATTTTTAATAACATCTTAATGGCCAATTTCATAATGTCTAAATTAACAGTAAATGCAACAGCTGTTGCAGCCTTCAGCCATCACAAGAAGGCCATGTCTCAGATGAAGCGGGGCATTGGTTCAGTGTGGCTACATCCGGGGATATTTTTGCGTCATGTTCAGCACTATTCTTTGCCCGAGGTTATCCCTTGAAAACATCCTACCATAGGTTCATAAAGTGTTCTGATTAACAGGGAATACTGGGAACACCGAGTTTAACATACATCTGGACTTAGCGGTCCCTGGATTATGTCAGTGTTAAAAGTGCAAATGCTGTATGGTAAACGATTTCCGTTTTTCAGTATTTATCCTGTGGAATAGGGGTACTTCCATATTGCAAAGCGTGAATATAGTATGTGTGTAGAATAAATGCACACAGGCTGGTGTGCAGAGGGTCACGGTGCAATAAGATGACAGTAGGTTATCTTTAAATGAAAATCTGTATATAATTGCAATAAGTTCTGCATGTAGCCATGTGCCATTGAAATATACCAGCTTCAAACAGATATGTGCTCTAAGATCAAAATACACACCAAATTTCAAAACTCTAGTAGGAAAGAAAGAATACAAACTATTTCATTAATGATGTTTTATACTGATTACATATTGACCTAGTAATACTTTGTATACATTGGGTTCCATAAAATATATTTTAAAAATTAATTTATCCCATTCTTTTTTATTATTTTAATGTTACTACTTGAAAATTTAAGGTTACATATGCGGCTCACATTTCTAATGGCAGTGCTAGACTAAATGATATGTACACAGATTTTATTGCAATAGCTCTTACTGCAATTGTATACAGATTTTTATTTTTGTCATCAATTAAAGGAAACATTGTGAGCAAGTTAAGAGCCCATCACTGGGAAAATTGTTAAACCGCTTACAGCACAACTGTGTCATGGAATTTTTCAAAGTGTGTAAGGAAGTGATGTCTATTCATATCACTTGACAAGAAATCTATGTACACTACAGTGTCCAGTGAACAAACAAAAGATACCAAAATGGTACATAAAGTAGGGCAGTGGAAATGGTAGAAAGTTTAGAGTGACTTTCATGGTTTCATTGTACTTTTATATATATAATAATACATATTTAATATTATATATACATATAGATATAATATTAGCCCATTTTCATCTGCTATAAAGAACTGCCCAAGACTGGGTAATTCATGAAGGAAAGACGTTTAATTGACTCACAGTTCAGCATAGCAGGGGAGGCCTCGGGAAACTTACACTCACGGTGGAAGGCAAAGGGAAGCAAAGCACCTTCTTCACAAGGCGGCAAGAAGGAGAATGGCAAGCAAAGGAGGAAGGGCACCTTCTAACATCATCAGATCTTGTGAGAACTCACTCACTATCACAAGAACAGCGTGTGGGAACCGCCCCCATTATACACCTGCTCTCTCCCTTGACGTGGGGATTATGGGGATTATAATTCAAGATGAGATTTGGGTGGTGACACAAAGCATAACCAGATCATACATATATATACATATAAAACCATATATATATATAACCATAAACATATATATTTTTTATATTTAAAAGAGTATGACTTTCCATATTACTTTTTTTTGTTTTTGAGACAGAGTCTCACTGTGTCACCTAGGCTGGACTACAGTGGCACAATGACAGCTCACTGCAGCCTCAAACTCCCAGGCTCAAGGGATCCTCCCACCTCAGCCTCCCAAGTAGGTGAGACTACAGGTGTGTGCCACCATGCTGGCTAGTTTTTAACTTTATTTTAAAGGAAAGTTATGGGGTCTCACCATCTTGCCCAAGCTGGTCTGGAACTCCTGGTCTCAAGTGATCTTCCCACCTCAGCCTCTCAAAGTTCTGTATTTATAGGCATGAGCCACCACACCTGACCTATTTCTGTATTACTTTGATGAGAATACGTTTAAATGGGGTTAACCTCAACATGTTCATTAAGACTGGAGTTACATTAGGAAGATCAATTCATTTGGAAGTAGGCTGTCCACATATTGATAATGAGAGCAGAGACAGCCCATCTTCAAAAAGAACAATTGATAATACCTCTCTAAATTAGAAATATCTATTACCTTTGATTCAGGAATTTCAATGTCTAGGAATCCATCCTGTTATACCAGATCATGTGTGAAATGAACTATTAGTATTAATTTATTGCAACATTATTTGTAATGGCATAAAACTGGCAATACCCTAAATGCCAATTAACGCAAGGTGGATGAACTAAATTTTGGTATTATCCAAGAAAAAGTGTGAGCCAGTTTTGTGTGTAGCAATATGGGAGGCTCTGGAATATGTGCTATTAAGTAGAAAACAAAAAGATATGTAATTTGCATTTGGCATGATACTATTTGCATAAAATACACATATTCACATGTATTGATATATGTATTATGTATAATATGCATATATGCATATATTAAATCATGATATATAATATTATTATACTTACATGTCCAAATAGATACGTGCCCAATTTTGTAATGCCTAGATTTGGTGTGTACATAAAATCATGCATAAAACTTGTTGGAAATTCAGAATTAGCATACATTACTCGCATCAAGTGTGCCCTCCGCCTTTCTCTATAGGACCCCAGAGCTGCCTGAATGAAGAGAACTGCAGACCCCTGGAGGTGACCTCTCTCCACTATATGCACAAGATTTCTGAGCTTAGAATTGATCTCCTTAAGCTGACTCTGCAAAGTCATGGCCTGAGCTAATGGCTGTGAACTCCCAAAATCTGAGACAGGTCTCAGTTAATTTAGAAAGTTTATGCTGCCAAGGTTGAGGACACGCACCCATGACACAGCCTCAGGAAGTCCTGATGACATGTGCCCAAGGTTGATCGCACCCAGAACAATTGCTTCCTCTCTGCCCCTCTTAGTCTTATGCATCCTTAGCCATGCAATTTAGATATCTACTCTAGTGTCATTTTGTCAGGGAAGTCTCTCGCAACATTCCCTGATTCGATCAGACCGATTTGAAATGACATTCCTATTTTCTATATGCATTGTACATAATACTTCACGTTGTCATTATAGAGTCATGAAATAATGTAAATAATGAGTTGTCTTCAATGCCCACGCTCTTAAACACTATGCTATGCTGATCTTCCTGCATGAATGATGAAAATGATGGTAAAATAAAATGGTGCTGTTGATGATGATGGCAGTGGGAGTGAATACTAACATTTCTGATGAGTATCATTGCATGAAGTGCCCAAATGTATAGGGTGTTAATAATGATGTCTGAAAGAAACTAATATTCAAAGAAAAAAATCTTCCTAAATAAACCATGCAAACACTCTTTGCTCTATCTCATTCTCTCTGTATTAAGGATGCTTTTTCACACAGGGTCTTAAACCATTTATGAGGAAAGCAAATGACTGAGACCTTATGTTGCAATAACCATACTGCCTCTGAGACAGGAAAATAGGGCCTGGTGGCAGGAAACTTAAGGCCAATTTGTACTGACACAAGGAAAATCACCACAGTCTGGGGACAGGGAATCTGAGGTCAATTTATACTAACTTCCTAAAAGAAAAAACACCAAGGTCTGGAGACAGGAAATCTAAGGCCAGTTCACACTAACTCCCCAAAACTGAATCAAGAGGAAAACTCCTGGGTCTGGGGACAGTGAACCTATGGCCAATTAACACAGACTTCCTAAAGCTAAACCAAAAGTGAAAAACCGCATCTCCCCAGACCAAGTAACAAAGGATCAAAGGGTACGCTCGTTGCAAACTTCCCCCTTCCACCATGTCTCAGATGGAAAGGGAGCATGCCCTGGATTGGCCATGGACCTAACAGGGACCATCTTTTTAACTGCATATGGCGCCAGTTCTCCTCAGCCTTTAATTAACCACAGACCAAATTCTTCATCCAGATAAGAGATAGTTGATAAGAACCTCAAACGGGGTTCTTAAAGCCCAGAAAACTTTGTAAATGGGCCCCTGAGCCATGTACTCAGCCCCACTCCCACCCTGCAGAATACTTTCTCACTTAATAAATTCCTACTTTCACTGGTTCATTTCTGCGTTTCATTCCTCTGCTACTTTTGTTTGTACGTTTTATTCAATTCTTTGTTCAAAAAACACCAAAGACCTGGACAACTCATAGTCAAGAGCTACAGGCTACTAGGTAGCACCTTGGACAGTTCTCCCAAAGCTATTTCCCCCGTCACCTTACCTTTCTGTCTGTGGCAATCTCTCCAGTTTTGGGGGGAATTCTCCAGGAATGAGCACTGTGCAGCCTCGTCAGGAGTATCAAACGGTTAAAGGTCGCATCTTGTCAATAAACGTTGGCTGTGAACAAAAGCACGGCCCTTCCTTCCCAGTAGGTCTTTGATTGCTTTCCTAAGGTGTTGATTGAAACCAGGGAGGACTGTGGCAGCAATTAACACAGACTGGGAGTTGCTAATTGGCTGCTTTCAGGGCAGATTGGATATTCTCTGCTGGTAATCCTTCATATCTCATACGTTTTAATATGTGGAGCAGGGATGTGTAGAAAACAGACTACGAAGGGGACAGACATCTAAGCCCTGTCTTTTTACATAAAGAAAATGGACAAAGAATGTAAGCAGTGCCTGGTTTGCAGCAGGCATATGCAAAATCAATTTCTTTCAGAAAATCCTATTTAGGAAAAAGAGAGAGATGGAAGAGAGGAAAGAAAACCACAAAGATAACAAGGATGAAGACATTTTATTAAATTGGCTTATTTGGAAATGTGAGTGATTCCCTTTGGTTTTCAAGCCCCTGGAGATAAGGCATTCTATCCTGTTCATCTTTCCATAATCTATAGGGTTTCTGTTCATACATGCTTGCACTGAAGCAATATGCAATAAATTGACTCCTAATGAAGTCAAAGCACATTTAATTTAGTAGCACCTAAAAGTGCTTGAAATAAATGAATTGCTTGTTTCCCCCCTTAGGGTAAATTCAGTGGTTATATATTTTGAGACTTTTGATTTTCTTTTGTTTGAACACAAATGGGCATTGTGTTCAAACAAAAAAAAAATCCAAGCTGAAGTTGATTTGTCTGAAATGTAGGACGCCTTTCAACCAAAATTTATAATTTGTCTCAAAGGCAATACCCATAGCCTAGTACTCTCCCTAACAAATAGAACCCTACACAATCAAAATAACCCCTTCAGCTTTAAAGAATGCCACAGATGTGGCATTAAACGGAGGGAGAAATTTTGGCTATCTCTCTGTTAACATGTTTTGGCCTTCAAACAGAAAATTCCTTAACCTCTTCCATTTCTCTGGACATAGGGCACTCCTGTGCACGTTTCATACCACTGATAGCCATGGAGATTATAGTTTATTTCTATATAATAATGTGTTGACTTGGGTGTTTATAAATTGACAAGCTTCCTCATGCATTAATTGTAAAATAATGGGATATTTTGTATGAAGAACTCTGTTTAGGTGAAATAATCAAAGAACAATTTTAAGCCCCAATTCCTAAATAATCTACTTTAGGCGACTTATAAAAGATGACGGAGACCTAGTTTAACTCTTAAAGCAAGCCCTTTAAGAATTAAACCTGATCTCCATCGTCTAAGTCCCCTAAAGCATAACCCAACTTACACTTATTAAATAAACATATTTTCTAACAACACTGAGGCATAATATCCCACACATTTTGCAGCAATCGAAACATCTGCAAATAGGAAAGTTTCATATGATTCTTTCTTTACTTAGTTTTTTTTTTTTTTGACCCTGAAGCAGGCTTTGTTCATTACACAGTAGACACCTAGAAATATTAACAGGGCTGTTGATAAGAACAAATTATTGCAAATTAGTTTAGGTAGAATAAAAGCTATGCAAGATACATGACATTTCCACAAGAAATTTAATTAGCATTTGTGGTTTTCCAGAGGGCAGTCAATGACACCCTAAAGGCTAAGTAAGCCCCACAAACAGTGCAAAGGATAAGATCTGTAGATGTTGACTAAGAAGTAACAGCCTGTATGAAAGAGGAAAATGAGAACAAGAAAGAAACAGGAATAGGGGAAAGGTTAAAATACAGAAGTAAAATGAAGATTTTCTAAATGGAATATGTCCATAAAACCCTCTTCCCCACAATACTCAGTATTTTCAGTGCCACTTGGAAGGAAAATAAGAAAATTGTTCAAAATGCCATTATGGGCCAGGTGCTTTCAAAGACCTCTCCCAATGCAGTCCTCAGGAAAGCACTTCTGGTCAATTTCACTTCTTATTTCACAGAACAGCCAAGCTAAAGCAAAGCTAAGTAACTCATTCAGGACACACAGATAAACTCTTGGCCAGCTAGCATCTGGATACCTTACTTTGTCTTTTTTCTCTCTCTCTCTCTGTTTTTGTCCACTATACAGGTGGCATGTCTCAAATTTAAACCAAAGTAAGAAGAGACAGATTGCCCCAATTAGAAGGTGATGATGACCTTCAATTAAAGCAACATTTAAAAGTATAGCTAGGCCGGGCGTGGTGGCTCAAGCCTATAATCCCAGCACTTTGGGAGGCCAGGCAGGTGGATCACTTGAGGTCAGGAGTTAAAGACCAGTCTGGCCAACATGGTGAAACCCCATCTTTACTAAAAATACAAAAATTAGCTGGGTGTGGTGGCAGGCACCTGGAACCCCAGCTACTCAGGAAGCTGAGACATGAGAATCACTTGAACCCAGGAGGCGGAGGTTGTAGTGAGCCGAGATATCACCATTGCACTCCAGCCTGGGCGACAGAGCAAGACTCCTTCTCAAAAAAAAAAAAAAAAAAAGTATAGCTACAATAATTTTATGTTTTAATAAGCATGAGGCTGAACTTTTGTTATTTTCCCAAATTAATTGTGGTAATGGTGACTTCTGCTGTCAGTCATATCAACAAGAGTTGGGAAGTTGCATACATAGAAACTTGCCCAAGTTGCACACAGCCATTTCACTAACCCAGGGTTTCCTGTATTTTATCAACTTATCTGGTGAACAGTACACCTCCTACCTGGGCATATTTGGATCCTGATTCCAGCTTTCTCTTGAAACTCAACAGTCAGGGTTTCCTGCCCACTCTGTACCCCTCAGGGTATCAGATCCTTGAAAGACAGTAAGAGTGCAAAGCCGTAGGTGAAACTGTTCCGATAAGTTGTAGGTAACTGACATCATATTTTCTGCATTGCCATATTAATTTTCAGAGATATGACCCCAGAGAAACAATAACAACCTCGAGAGAGCATAGAAACTCAAGAATTCAGGGCAACAACAAAGTGCTGTAAGGAAGGCCTGTAAAACATTAGCAGAGATGCTCAGGCAGTCCATCATTATAATGAAAATCCATGGTCTTTAATTCACTCCAGCCCCTGACACTGCCAAAGATGTAGGAGAGAAAGAGCATTTTAGGTCTAAAAGATCACTTCTTTTCCTTCTCTGCATAATGGAGGCAGTAATTTTCCTACTTCCTGCATTTGTCATGAAGAGGAAAAATAAGCAAAAACACTTTGTGAGTAGAAGAGACGTTCCCGGCTCGCTGGTAGCCATATCAGCATAGCATGTGTAGTATTAACCATTTCATGGTTAGTATTAACCATAGCAGCACAGCATGGATAGTGGAAATCCAACAGCTTGCAGCATCAGTCAAAGGATGCATTTGTGCCCGTTAACCTTTTCATAGGTTGACTTGGTGGTGCATCACTCAGATATTAATTTTAGGATTTATTTGATCAAAGTGTATCTATTACCACGTTAGTTAACAAGGCTGGGTAATCACATCACCACCACTAAAATCAAGATAGGGAATAATTGCATCAACCCCCCAAAAGTTCCTACTGGCAAATTATATCTCAGTAAAACTTACCTGTTTTTGTTTGTTTGTTTGTTTGTTTTGTTTTGTTTTTTGAGACAGAGTCTTGCTCTGTTGCCCAGGCTGGAGTGCAGTGGCGTGATCCTGGCTCACTGCAAGCTCTGCCTCCCGGGTTCACGCCACTCTCCTGCCTCAGCCTCCCGAGTAGCTGGGACTACAGGCGCCCGCCACAATGCCCGGCTAATTTTTTGTATTTTTAGTAGAGACGAGGTTTCACTGTGTTAGCCAGAATGGTCTCGATCTCCTGACCTTGTGATCCGCCTGACTTGGCCTCCCAAAGTGCTGGGATTACAGGCGTGAGCCACCGCGCCCGGCCAAAACTTATCTGTTTTGACATGCCAGATATCCCAATGTATTTCATGTCTGTAATAAATGAATAACATAGTGTGAAACTGCTACCAGGTTTGACAAGAGGGCTGGGAAAATATAACACCTTTTTTATTGTAGGCAATTCATTTTAATAAGTAAGCATTGAGAACAAGTTGTCCTTCTCTAATACCAAACCATATTCAAAGCTAAGGTGAATTCATGGAACTCAAAGTTCATGACAATAAAAATTGGTAAGTAAAGTGCCTTAGGTCACTCCTTTTGACCCTGAAAATTTGAGACAGGTCTCAGTTAATTAAGAACATTTATTTTGCCAAGGTTGAGGACACAAACCCGTGATACCTCAGGAGATCCTGATGACATGTGCCCAAGATGGTCAGAGCACAGCTTGGTTTTATACATTTTAGGGAGACAAGAGACGTCAATCAACATGTGTAAGATGAATATTGGTTCGGTCCAGGAAGGTGGAGCAACTCAAAGCAAAAGAGGGACAACTCAAAGTCGGGAGGGATCTTCCAGGCCACAGGTAGGTGAGAGACAAATGATTGCATTCTTTTGAGTTTCTGATGAGCCTCTCCAAAGGAGGCAATCTGATATGCATTTATCTCAGTGAGCACAGGGGTGAATTTGAATAGAATGGGAGGCAGGTTGGCCCTAAGCAGTTCCCAGCTTGAATTTTCCCTTTAGCTTATAGATTTGGGGCCCCAAGATATTTTCCTTCCACCCTCCCATGAAGAAATACCACTATAACCTATCTCTTCATAATCACAAATAAATTTAAGCATAATGACAACATCCAACTCCAGATGCATTTCCCTTGGCTGCCAAGGGCTCATGTGGAAGTGGAGAATTTTTGTTGGCCAGAGAACCAGATAATCTGGGAGGTTGTGCTGTCTCCTGTTCTTTCTAGGGTAGCCCACAGCCCCTGACCCACTGACACAGGATGCAATCCAGGCTCCTGGAGGTTCAGAAAGGATGCCCTGAGGTCAGGGTATTGGCATTGACCCTTATTTCACACATGTGCTTGTGTAACTAGGAAGAAGGGTTGAGTAGAATATTCCATTATTTGGACATCTCCATAAATGAAAACCATATGCATCAAAGATGACAAAATTGACATAAGGCAATGGCCTGCTGGTGTGTCTTTTTTCATAAATCTCTCCCCACTCCACACCATCCTGCAAACTTCTTCAAGCCTGAACACCATAGTCATCCTCCTAGGGCATACTTCTGACCATATTTGTATTTATCAATGTCCAACCGCTGCAAAATGCCAGCACCAGATTTCACAGTAACACTGGGTCAGGGTATTTTTCTTTAAATCAACATTAGGTAAAATGCTGTTATTCCCTCTTGTGATATCAACTGATTGCCTACTTCTTTCTCCCTCCCCTCCCCCTGAGACACTAAATCAATGGGTACTTCAAACTAGAGCCTAAATGATTCATTCTTTGTGACATCTCCACTAACGCTGCAAATCCTAATTAATATAGGCTTTCTCCTGAGCTTGCTTCCTTCCTTTCTCTCTTTCTTCCCCTCCTTCCTCCCTCTGTCTGCTCTTTCCTTCCTTCCTCTTTCCCTTCCTTTTTATCCCTTCTTCCTTCTTTCCTTCCTTCCCTCCCTCCCTCTCTTCCTTCCTGCCTTTTCCCCTCCTTCCTCCCTCCCTTCTTTCCTTTCTCCTTTCCCTCCTTCTTCCCTCCTAACCTTCCTTCTTTCCTTCGTTCCCTCCCTCCCTCTCTTCCTTCCTTTCTCACTTTTTCCCAATCTTCCCTCCCTCCCTTCCTTCCTTCCTTCCGTCCTTCCTTCCATCCTTTCTCCCTTCCCTCCTTCCTTCCCTCCCTTCCTCCCTTCCTTTCTTTCTCCTTTCCCTCCTTCCTACCTCCCAACATTCCTTCTTTCCTTCATTTCCTCTCTCTGTTCCTTCCTTCCTTCTTTTCTCTCTGTCTCTCTTCCTTTTTTCTCTTCTTTGATTTTCCTCACTTCCTTCCTGATTTCTTACTGATTTTATTAAATATCTACTATGCAACAGGCATTGGGATTGAAAAAAAAATTAAAAAACTTTCCACCAAGGAGTCTACATACAACGGAGAAACACAAAGAAATGACTGCAACATTTACTACTAAGTAATTTTCAGTTTTATTACCTTGATTGCAACATTCTGTACTTTACATCTTTATACTTCCCAGTCATTGCTTTAAACAGCATCTTCTCATTCATCTTTGTTTTCACAACAAGACCTACGTCTGTTCTTTTTAGGCTGATTGCTCCAATATTTCTTCAGGTGAAATACTGATCAAATTGAATAAACACAGTGTGATGCCTGCCTTTTTACATGAAAACAGCAAATCATATATTTGATACAGCCTCTACCACTTTCATATCTAAATAATTGCAACATAGTGTATTTAGCATAATGAGTTGTATAAACACACTAGAGTTATGCCAAAATGTGCAGGAAAGAGAACGAACAGTGCTAAGCAATTACTTTGCAGCTCCTGGAGCATGTTTCTAATGTCTCAAGATTTAGTTCTTCACAACATAATCACTGTGGAACACCTTCATGTTTTTAAGAGTCTAGGAGGCTAATTTTTCATCCTGAGGAAATTGCTGTAATTTATACTGAATGTCATTAGCTTCCTCCATGAAAATAGCAGTAGGCATCCATTGACAGGGCTATCACCTGCAGGCACTGCACCTACCTACAGATGCAGATGTGTTGCAGGATTGCATGATGCACTGGCTGCCTTTTCAGACATTCAAAGAGCTAATGAACTATGATGTGTTGGAAAGAACACACTACTTAAGTTAAAAATACCCAGTGATACGGTTTGGCTGTGTCCCCACCCAAATCTCATCTTGAATTGTATCTCCCATAATTCCAACCTCTCATGGGAGGGACCCGGTGGAAGGTAATTGAATCATGGGGGCAGTCTTCCCCCATACTGTTCTCCTGGTAGTGAATAAGTCTCATGAGATTTGATGCTTTTTATAAAGTGGAGTTCCCTTGCACAAAGCTCTCTTGACGGCTGCCATCTAAGACATATGTTTGCTCTTTCTTCGTCTTCTGCCATGATTGTGAGACCTCCCCAGCCATGTGGAACTATAAGTCCATTAAACTTCTTTCCTTTATAAATTGCCCAGTCTTGGGTATGTATTTATTAGCAGTGTGAGAACAGACTAATACACCCAGAGTTGAATTATACCTTGAACTTATTGTCCAACCTGAGTTAAAACAAATTCTTCCCTAAATGTAAGAGATCTATTGTACAACCTGGTGACTATAGTTAATAACAATGTAGTGTATACTTGAAAATTGCTGAGAGAGTAGATTTTAAGTGTTCTCACCACACACCCACAGACAAAGTGATAAGCATGTGATGTAGACATATGTTAATTATCTCAATTTAGACATTCCACAATGTATACATATTTAAAAACATCATGGTGTACACCATAAATATATGCAATTTTCATTTGTCAATTAAAAAATTAATTAACAAAAACATATTCCTTTCTTTAGATTTCAGTTATCTCAACAGTAAAATAATATATCATACCTACCTCTCAGACCTGTTTGACAATCAAATGAAGTTGTTATATATATGTATGTATGTGTGTGTGTGTGTGTGTGTGTGTATTATTCCATTTTCACATTGCTATAGAGATACTACCTGAGACTGGGTAATTTATAAACAAGAGAGATTTAATTGATTCACAGTTCCACATGGCTGGGGAGGCCTCAGGAAACCTTCAGTTATGGTGGAAGGCAAACGCAAAACAAGTATCTTCTTCCCAAGGTGGCAGGAGAGAGAGAGAGAGAAGGGGGAAGTGCCAGAAACTTATCAAACAACCAGATCTCATGAGGACTCACTCACTAGAATGAGAAAAGCATGAGGGAAACTGCCCCCATGATCCAATCACCTCCCACCAGGCCTCTCCTTCAACACCTGGGGATTACAACTTGAGATGAGATTTGGGTGGGGACACCGCCAAACCATATCATTCTGCCCTGGCCCCTCCTAAATCTCACGTCCTTCTCACATTTCAAAACCAATCATGCCTTCCCAACAATCCTCCAAACTCTTAACTCATTCCAGCATTAACTCAAAAGTCCAAGTCCAAAGTCTCATCTGAGATAAGGCAAGTCCTTTCTGCCTATGAGCCTGTAAAATGAGAAGCAAGTTATTTTCTTTCTAGATACAATGAAGCTACATAAATAGGTAAATATTCCCATTCCAAATAGGAGAAATTGGCCAAAACAAAGGGGCCATAGGCTCCGTGCAAGTCCAAAACCCAGCCAGGCAGTTAGTAAATCTTAAAGCTCCAAAATCTCCTTTGACTTCATGTCTCACATCCAGGACAGGCTGATTACAAGAGGTGGGCTCCCATGGCCTTGGGAAGCTTCACCCCCATGGCTTTGCAGGGTACAGGCCCTGTGCCTGCTTTCTCAGGCTGGCATTGTGTGCCTGTGGCTTTCTAGGTGCATGGTGCAAGCTGTTGGCGGATCTACCTTTCTGGGGTCTGGAATATGGTGGCCCTCTTCTCACAGCTCCACTAGGCAGTGTTCCAGTGGGGACTCTGTGTGGGGGCTCCAATCCCACATTTCCCTTTCACACTGCCCTAGCAGATATTCTCCATGAGGACCCCACTCCCGCAGCAAACTTCTGGGTGGACATCAAGGCATTTCCATACATCCTCTTGAATCTAGGCAGAGGATCCCAAACCTCGATTCTTGACTTCTGTGCACCCACAGGCCCAACACCACAGGGAAGTCACCAAGGCTTGAGACTTGCTCCCTCTGAAGTCATGGCCCAAGCTATAACTTGGCCCCTTCTAACCATGGCTGGAGCTAGAGCAGCTGGGATGCAGAGTGCCATGTCCCAAGGCTGCACAGAGCAGCAGGGCCCTGGGCCTGGCCCATGAAACCATTTTTGTATTTGTATGTGTTCTTATTTTGGCATTGTAAAATTTCTTTACATATTCTGTATAGGAGTCCTTTCTCCTATACAGAAGTTACAAAAGCTACAAGTTTTGCTAACAATTTCTCTCATTCAGTGGCCTGACTTTTCTTTAAAATGTCCTTTGAAAATAAGTTTTTCATTTTGATAAATTTTAATTAATTAATTTTATCTTTGATGACCCAAAGATATCTTTTGTGTTCTAAGAAATCTTTGCTTCACACAATTCATAAAAATATTCTCCTACATTTTCTTCAGAGAGTTTTATTTTAGGGTTTCCATTTTGATCTATAACACATATCAAGTTAATTTTTCATTTTTCATAGGGTACAGAAATTTGTTCAGATTTTGTTTCATTTGTTTTCCATATAGATGTGCAATTATTCCAGCACCCTTTATTGAAAGTAAAGAAAGAGAGTATCATCTCTACTAAATGGCTTTGATATTTGTATCCAATATTAATTTATATATGTAGATCATTTCTGGCTGCTTAATTCTGGTCCAAAACCGATGGGTCTATTCTTCTGTCAATAATGAGCTGTCTTGAATACTGTAGTAAGACATATAATCAGGGAAAATGACTTTCCACCTTTCTTGTTTCTATTTTTCCAACTTGTTTTGATTATTCATGGTTAGCAGTTTTCACATTTTAGGAGTATCTGTCAAGTTTTCTAAAATCCTTGCTGTAATTCTTTGGGGAATAATGTTAAACTCAGAGACCAGTCTCAGAAGGACCAACTTTGAACCAATCTTCTCCGATTTCTCTCATTAAATATTTTATTCCAGAATACAAATTTTGTGCATTTTTTTAGCTTTGTGTCTTCATATTTCACGTTTTTGTGCCATTGCACATAGAGTTTTACTTTATATTTCAATTTCCAATCATTTATTGTAAGTATACTTAAATGTAATTGTACTTTCTATATAGAGTTTATATCCTATTTACTTGATGTATTAGTCAGGTTCTCTAGAGGGACAGGACTAATAGGATAGAAAGATATATGAAAGGGAATTTATTAAGGAGTATTGACTCACATGATCACAAGATGAAGTCTCACAATAGGTCTTCTGCAAGTAGAGGAGCAAGGAAGCCAGTCTGAGTCCCAAAATCTCAAAAGTAGGGAAGATAGAAGTTCAGCCTTCAGTCTGTTGCCGAAGGCCCTAGAGCCCCTGGTGAAACACTGGTGTAGGTCCAAGCTGAAGAACCTGGAATCTGATCTTAGAGAGCAGGAAGCATCCAGCATGGGAGAAAGATGGAGGCCAGAAGACTTAGCCAGTTTAGTCCTTCTACATTCCTCTGCCTGCTTTTATCCTAGCTGTGCTGGCAGCTGATGAGATGGTGCCCACCCAGATTGAGGGTGGGTCTGCCTCTCCCAGTCCACTGACTCAAATGTTCATCTCCTTTGGCAGTACCCTCACAGACACACCCAGGAACAATATTTTGCATCCTTCAATCTAATCAAGTTGACACTCAATATTAACCATCACACTTAGGATTATCTATATAGTCAATAACATCATCTGCCAAGTAAGGCAGATTTCTTTCTTCCTTTTTAATCTGTGTGCCTTTGATTTCTTCTTATTTCTCAGCTGCACTGGCTAGGATTTCCAATATAACCTTGACAAGGAGTAGTGAGAGAAGACCTTCTTACCTTGTTTTCTAATATTAGGGTGAAAACATCCCATCATTTGCCATTAATATATTAATATGAAGAGCTGCTGATTTTTCTTAGATTCCTTTTCTTCAGACTGAGAAAGTTCTCTTGAACTCCTAGTTTGCTAAGAGTTTTTATCAGGATTGCATGTTGGATTTTCTTTTTTTTTTTCTTTGTTTTTTATGAGACGGAGCTTCACTCCTGTTGCCCAGGCTGGAGTGCAATGGCACGTCCTCAGCTTACTGCAAGCTCCGCCTCTCTGGTTAAAGTGATTCTCCTGCCTCAGCCTCCCGAATAGCTGGGATTACAGGTGCCCGCCACCACGCCTGGCTAATTTTTTTATATTCTTAGTAGAGACAGTGTTTCACCATGTTGGCCAGGCTGGTCTCAAACTCCTGACCTCAGGTGATCCACCCGCCTCAGCCTTCCAAAGTGCTGGGATTACAGGCATGAGCCAAAGTGCCCAGCCTTCCATTTTCTTAAATGCCTTTTCTGATGTTCTGCTGATATTAATTTTTTGTTTTTAATTTTTCTTGCTTGTTTAGTCGATTCTTAGATTATTTTGAATATTGAACCATCCTTTCATGCCTGGCATAAATTTCATTTAATCACAATGTATAGGTGGATTTATAGGTACTAATACATCATTAAAATTTTTATATTTATCATTATGAGGGCTATCAGTGTGTGGATTTCTTTTATTTGTCTTTGGCTCCTTTTGTTATATGGCATCAGACTTCTTAGAATAAGTTGAGGAGTGTTTTCTCCTCTTCTATTTTTTGTCATAGTTTGTGTGCATTAGATAGTTATGTACTTAATTATTTGAAAGAACTCTACTAGTAAAGCAAACTGGGCCTGGGGATTTCTTTATTAAAATGTTTTAACTGTGAATTCAATTTCTTTAATAAATATTCAGTAAACTAATACATATTAAATAAATTATTCCAATTATGTTTTTTTCTTGAGTGAGTTTTGGTAGTTCAAAAATTTTTTCCCTTTCATTTAATATGTATCCAATATATTGGTATAATGTGGATCATAATATTCCCTTATGCAATACTCCCCCTATATCTCTTTCTCTGTCTGACTAGAAGTACATAAATTAATCTTTTATTCCAGCAGCTTTTCCTCCCAGTTATTTTTCTCTTTTGTTTTTCCTTTTTGAGTTGTATTGATTTCTGCCCCTACTTTTCTTATTTCCTTTCTTATGCCTGATTTGATGGGAGCTTAAAGTATTCATTCATAATCCTTACTGTTTCTTAATATAAGCATTTAGTGCTTTGCATTTCCCTCTTAGCACTGACTTAGCTGCATCTCTCATATTTAGATGTGTTTGATTTTTATTCTCATTCAGATCCAAACAGCTTCTAGCTTTCGCCGTGGCTTCCTTTTGATTCATGGGTTATTTTTAAATGTGTTGCTTAATTTCCAAGTAATTAGAGTTTTTTGCAGACACATGTTTCATTTTATTACTAAGTAAATGCTATCAGGAAACATATTATACTTTGTATGATTTTTTTCTTCTCTCAACTTTGAGGAGAATGTATGATTCTAATTTATTTAAATATGTTGATATATGTTTTATCACCAAGAATATCAGCTATATTTGTGAATATTTGATGTGTACGCTAAAACAATGTGGATTCTCATGTTAGATGGTGTGTCTGTACATGTTAATTATCTCATGTTTACTTACAGTGTTGTTTAAATCCAATACTGAGATTTTGTCTGTTCTCTCTACTTCTGAGAAGTACTAAAAATTCCACTTGCAATTTTAGATTTGCTTATTTCTTCTTTCCAAACTGTTAGATTTTACTTTATGCATTTGAAGCTTGCATAGTTGAGAGCAAAAAAATTAAAGATTGCTATTTTTGTGTGTGGATTGATCTTTTTATCATTATATAATATCCTTCTTTATCCCTGGTATTCTTGCTGTGAATTCTATATTTTCTGATATCTATGTAACTATCCCAGATTTGTTTGGCATTTGCATTGTATAAATTTTCACTTAAAAAAAAACTTTTAATCATCACGTGTCTTTATATTTAACGTAGACTTCTCATGGAAAATGCACGCCAGGGTTTTTGCTAATCCAATCTGACAAGCTCTGCTTTTGAATTAGAATGATTAGATCACTGACATTTATTAAAATTTTACTGATGTGATTGGAATTACACCTACCACCATTCTCATTTTATTTTCTTTGTTCTATCTATTCTTTATTATTTATCCTATTCTGCCTTCTTGATTGTGGGAAAGACCAAGGACTTGCTTCTAACAAATAGAACATTGAAAATGTAAGGGCATGCCATTCTCTTGATTATGTTATGCTATTAAAAGTCTTAGTCTTGTTAGAAGATGGTTGCAAGTCTCTCTTCTCTTTCTCTTTTCTACCCTCTCTTCCAGCCCTCTCCATTGCTTGCTTTGAAGCTTCTGTAAATTCTAGAGCTACAAGAAAATACATTCTTCCAACCACCTCAGAGAGCATGAAACTGCCTTTGCAAAAATTGTATCAGTGAGAAAATTACAGCAGTGAAAGAGATCTGATTTAACCCACCTCTCATCTTGAATTTCCCTTAATCATTCCTGGGCTTAGGCTCAACTAACTTTGGGAAATACTTAGTTTATAGTTTAAATAATAATAGATCTCCCCCAAAATTCAACTGCCTTTGTAAAGCTGACGAAAGGTCATCAGGCCAGGAGGGGGTGCTAAGGTGTAGACTGGTCACAAAATATGCAACTTCCCTATTGTAGATTGGTCTTATGAGATCACTTTTCAGGTTTCTGCATGTCTGACATCCATGGTTCCACCTCAACCTGCCAACCCCACTCCTGTGGCCCCACCCTGGAGCAACTCAGCTCAGGAGAGCAGCTTCAACCCCCTCTGATTTTATCTCCAGCCCAACCAGTCAGCAGCAAACACCCATTACCTGGCCACTCTCATTCCTTCCCCAAAATGGTCTTTGAAATCCTCTAACCTACGAGCTTTGGATGGGATTGATTTGAGTACTAACTCCATCTCCCGCATAGTATGGCTGGCCTTGTATCTACTAAAGCTTTCTTTACTGCAATGCTGTGGTCTTTGTCTGTGCTGCCAGCAGGAAGAACCTGTCAGGTGGTTAAAGATATGCTATGGAAATGGATCCTTCCCCAGTCGATTATTCAGAGGAGCATGCACCCCTGGCCAACTCTTGAATTACAGCTTTGCTGATGCTGCAGCTATACTGTGCCCAAATTCCTATACCAGAGAGAATGTGATATAATAATTGTGTATTGTGCTAAGCCAATGAACTTATGATCATTTGTTATGTAGCAAAGAAATCTAATAAACTTATCTAGAGATTTTCATTTATTGGTCAAGATCCATGCCTGGTATCACAGGAGTTTTGTCTTCATCTCTCCCATGGGCTTGGGATAATATGATATTTCTTAGCATAGCTGCCTTTTTGTGATTACTAGCATGAAAGGGTCACTCTGTCTATCATTCTGTATTCTAGGTGGAGGCAGAAAATCCTTTCTTGCCTTTTTAATGCCTTCTATTCTCTTTCTGTTCCTCATGGGGTTAATTACAATATAATCTTACTTATTATTGCATTTTTTTTTTTTTACTACATAGAATCCTGGAATTGATTAAAGAGAAAAAACATACAGGTCTTTTATCTCTACCTTCAACCTGTGACTCCAATAATACCTGGCAATGAGAGAGAAAGTTCATTTCTTTTCTTATTTATTTATTATTATTATTTTTAGAGACAGTGTCTCACTCTAGCATCCAGACTGGAGGGCAGCAGCATAATCATGGCTCACTGCAGCCAGGAACTTTTGGGCTCAAGTGATCCTCCCATCTCAGTCTCCAGAGTAGCTGGGACTAAATGTGCACATCACAATGCCCAGCTAATGTTTGTATTTTTTGTAGAGACAAGGTCTCATTGTGTTGCCCAGGCTGCTCTCAAGCTCCTGGTCTCAAGCAATCATCCTTCCTCAGCCTCCCAAAGTGCTGGGGTTACAGGCATGAGGTACCACAACTGGCAGGGGCTCATTCCTGTATCCAGTTTTGCCTCACATAGATTGTATGCCCCATACATGTTTGTGAGGAGGAGTATTCTGATGAGCTTGTTATTCAATTCTTCCAATGACAGAAAACTCTTCCTCCTGAGCCAGTTGCAACCATAGACAATGGGGTTTTGTTTTACAAAGCACTTATTCCATGCTGCTACATGCCAGCTGTACAAGTGTGGTGAAAGATTTTATACAGCAGCAATCCCTGAATAAACCAAGTAAAATAATAACAGATAAAGAACAAGGCAGAATCTGAAAATGCCATGTTGACACATTTCCATCTGATCCTATCCAGAACAGAGAAAGGAAGGAGAAGGGAGAGCTATATGTGTCATTCTTAAATTCACAAGAGATACTGTCTTCTGCACAGGTAAAACTCTAGGAATTTTCTTACATGATCTCCCTTAGGTAATAAGTCTACACTGTAAGGTAATAATTATTATTTTCATTTTACAGATAAAGAGATCAAGACTCCCAAAGTAATTGAGACACAGCATAATTTATAATTTGACTATCAATTTACTAATGCATAGAATTATTATTCAAACATGGAACTCACACTCTCAACCATGAGTGTATATTAATCCCAAATGTGAGAATTTCAGGGGAATTCTTCTGCAAGCACCCCATAGCATTTTCCTCATCTGGGGTTGCTTGAGAGAAAGTTTTGTCAATTAACTTGGGCCATGGAAAGTCTGAGAAAGCATTTCCTACCCTTAAATTTCCCATAAGATTCACTTTCTTACTCTGTGTATCTCAAGTTTGTACCTTGATTTTTTTTCTATTAGTGTAGATGATTTCTCCAGATGCCCTTTTAACTTCAATTCATACATTGCTTTTAAAACGTTTATATACTGAAGGGCATGCACTAATCACACCGCACACAGCATTACCTATCTTCTCAATTTATTCTAATAATATTCAAATCACAGGCTATATACCTCTGCATAGGGGTATTTTTCTTAATCTCCCCATACCTCATTTCCCAAGGTTACCCATATAAAAGAAGATTTACAATTCTTTTAGGGAATTTAAATGGGTAGGATAACCTTTCTAGGAAGGCTATGGGGAAGATTTTAAGCATTTATTGCTTAGACAACTTGAAGAATATAGTACGTCATAGAGCAAAACACTTTTTTTCATCAGATTATCCAAATACCATCCCCTATTTCAGTTTAGTAATTTGTTTTTCTCACTGGTTCTGGTGTTACTAAAATATTTAAGTTTATTGATTTATACAGTCTATTTTACTTTTAAAAAATAAATTATTTAGCTCAGGATCTAAAAGCTTACTATTGTCTCTTATTAACAAGCATTTGATAGTGGGTTTCATGATCAAGTTTTTAATTATTTATAAACACCAAGGTCTGCTTTGTTGGTGAATGTTAAGTAGAAACAAAATAAAAAAAACAATGATAACTTAATGGAGGTTGCAAATATTAAACATAGACACAATACCTAGATAGAAATAAAACTTTGAAAAATAACGTTATAAGCAATATAAAATAAATTTCTTTGTAAATGACCAAGAAGATGAACTTTGTAAAGTTATTTTATGAATGTCATATTGTGCTCCTTTTTAATTGGATCTGTATAATGTAGCATTCTCATAAGATATCCGCTGTGCAAACCTTGACATGCTTATCTGCAAACTCACAGTTGTATTTTGCAAGGTTGACATTGCATGTTTTGATCTAGGACTTTGCAATGCTGATGTTGGATTTTGCATGTTATTGTAGTATTCTCCTGGTAATCTAAGAATATTGTTAACTCAATCAAAGAGTTACAAGTGATTTAGTAATACATGCCATGTCTTCTCTGGGTTTTAAAGGTAATGTTTAAATGCAATGTACATTTTGATGATTGAAAAGTATTGAAATTTTAGGTATAAGATTTGACTTTAATATTAATGTTTTGAGCCCCTAGAAGTTCATTCAAAACTGCTATCCTGTGAGCATTCATTTTACCGGCAAACAATTGTGATTTTTGGATGAAATTAATACTATTGGCCTATGTCTAAATTAAAATTTTGTGTTCCATGTTGGCATAATAATTTCAATTTTTAGTTAGATGTGTTAAAAAAAAAGTTAGAGATGTTATCTACTTTGGCTAGACTGGATGCAAGATTGCTTTCCAGGTTGATAAACAGCAAAGTTAATCAATGTATACATCAGTTTCACAGCAAAGTAGGAGATTAGTAGTTTGACAACTCAAAAGCCCCACCCTTGCTTTCATGTCAGTCAGGAAAATTATGGTATGTGTCTTAGAGGAATCTAACCTAAAAATATTTCAGAATTGAGAGTTCCAAATTCATATCTTTTGGCAGGAGTTGAACATTAAGAACACTATTAGCGAGATAATGATTTGCCTTCTCCAACTTTGGTTTGTATAGACTTTGGAAATCAGAAATGAATACTTCCACTGGGCCGTAGGGTGCCAGTCAACAGATACGATTCAGAATTGCCACAGGTGAGAAGGGAGGCTTCCTCTGTGGACCAAGATATGGGTAACTGTCAGGCAGAAAAATGCCTCTCCTCAAAAGTAAGTAACATCCCAATCCGGTGAAACTATAGGTAGGTTATGTTATATGACAAAGGGGAATTAGGATTGTAGGTGAAATCAAGGTTTCTAATCAGTTGATTTTAAGTCAGGGAGATTATTGTGGGCAATCTGCTTGCATCCAACATGATTGCAAGGGACATTAAAAGTGGAGGAAGTTATCAGTAAAGAGAATCATGGACAAGGCCATGTGAGAAAGACTCAGCCCAACGCTGCTGGCTTTGAAGATGGAGGAAGGGGCCGTGAGCCTAGGAGTGCAGCAGCAGCTTCTGGGAGATAGAAAAAAGAAAAAACGGATTCTCCACTGGAGCCTTCAAAGGGAAGGCAGCCCTGCTGACATCTTGATCTTAGCCCAGTGAGACTGATTTTGGACTTTGGACCTCCAGCACTGTAACATGACATTTTTTGTTCCAAGCGATTCCATTTGTACGCATGCGTTACAATAGCAATAGGGACCCAATGCAAGGTAGATGATAGATTTGCTGGTAGGAGCCGGTGGAGGTTTTCTGGACTGTTTCTGACTTCCCTGAAGTTGTCACCTGAGAAGGAGGGGGGATTTAGTAATGACGGTATCAAGGTGAAAAGTGTGAAGGACTCATCTCGATGAAGAGAGGAGAATAACGTGACCAGAAGAACATGGTAGACTTGGCTGGCTGCATGGACATCCTATTTGCTTTCAATGAAACTAAATTTAATCTTCTGTCTGGATGCACAATAAACACTGCTTTCATTACATAACACTTGTTCAACAAAACATGCTCAAAATGCATTGTCACAAGGTTATATACAAACACACAAAATAACTAAAAGTCATTGTCCTTATGAAAGAGGACCTCCCAACATTATAATGAATTGTTTTCCCTGGATCCCCCCAAAAAATGACGTGTTATCATAGGAAGAATTACATGTTATGAAGTATTACACATAATTAGGAAGAGTGGAAACGTTTCTCTTAGGACTTTTTGAATTTTTTCTCACATTTTAGTGATGGTTGCAATAGTCTAATAAAATTGTATCTTACTATATGGGCTAAGACAGTCAGTCAACATTGATTACTAGGACTTAATTATAATAATGACTGTGGGATTCAAGAACTATAATTCATAAGGGTGGCAGCCGTTCTACCAGCTGCGAATCTTCATCTGAAGATTTAGCTACTTTATAACCCAGATTGTATAAATAGTTTCACATTAATAGCACTTATACAATGATCGATTTGACATTCTCTAAACGCTAGGCAACTTCAGGCCCTCCAGAATCGAAATATTTCTTTTTTTTTGATACAAGATATAAGAAGTTGTTTCAAAAAAAGATACCCAAGAATTAATTTGAATGTATAATTTTTATAATATCTTTCTGTAAATATTTTGTATTCTACATAAGTTAAGGAGTATAAAACATAAACTATAGGTTCACATCATTTATGCCCATTAAGTTTTAAGTCATTTAATGATTACAGAATATATATTCACATATTTAAATTAAAGATCCTTAAGCCTATATGTATTTTATACAGTTCTTGTCCAAGTTAAATTTAACTGAATGTAAAACTTTAATAATTTCCAATTGCATTTCTAAATTCAGAATATAAAAAATCATGTTTTTCAGTATCTGAAGGTTAACATCTAATTTTCTCATCCCAATATACACAATTTCCTTAAAAATATAAATAAAATTTCAAAATCCCAGTGGCATCAGAATGTGTCTTTCAGTATTTGCATGCTGGTTTTCTCATACACAATTAAAAATTGTGTTGAAAAATCTACAAAAAAACAATCGCCACCTTATATCACCTTGCAGATAGCTAAACATGAGGATCAGAAACCCAAAATGTGTCAGTACACATTCTAACCAGAAGCTCTCTATCTCTGAAAATGTCATCAGAGAAGTTCACACCTATTTGTGGGTGAGAAGGAACACATACAACTTGAAGTCTTCTGTTGAGGTATCAGGAGTTCTGCTCATAGGACACTGTGAACAGTGTCCGTGGGTTGCTCGTGGGTGAATTGTGAACAGAGGATATGCCTGTTGACCAGTATTTCAATCATGAGTGTAAATGAGCAAAAATAAGATAGACCTCCCATGTCAGAAACCAGTGGCAACATTTAGAAGTTCATTGTGCTCACATCCTGAGGATTGAATATGAATTCATAATGTTGTGGGTTGTTCTACATTTCAACAATTGAACATGGCATTTTTCCCTATCCAGAATCCAATCATTCCTTTATTTTTAAAAAACTGATTGGTTATTTGCTATATGCTAGGGTCTTTCTCCATTGTGTTTCTACTGTGATTCAAGAAAAAGAAGATGAGCCATCTTCACAAATTTAGTAATTTAATTGTAATGCTTTGCAAAAATGCTAGAGGCTCAGAAGAAAGATAACCCATTTCAGAGGAATTGGTTGGGGTGAGAATTGATACATGCAATTCAATCCTGGAAATAGATGATGGATACATTTTGTTAGCTGAAAGGGGTCTTGGAAACATTTTGAGACAAAATAGCATGGAATGATGTTTAGTTATGGGGATGAAGGAGATAGGAAACCCTCCACTTTTAGACTTGTTGACTGCGGGTGGCCATGGATGAAAACGGCAAAAAAATAAAAATAAAAATAAAAATAAAATGGAAGAGGGGCATCTCTGAGCAAACTGCATTTTGGACTTGTCTATGGGATATCAGGTAGAGATACACAATAGAAAGTTGGATATCTAAAGATGACATTCAACAATCCATAAAACTAGAAGAATTCATTTAGCAATGGTGGATGGAGCAGCCAGTGGATGACAATAGAACCTCAGGGGACACTAATACTTAATTGGTCACTGAAAGAAGAGAAATCCCCAATAACAGTCAAAATATAGAAGCAGTGGTGTCTCAGTATGCAGAGAACCAGTATAGTGAAGTGTCAAAATAGCTGATGATAGAGAGATGCAGAATTGTAGTGGGTTGAACATTGGTATAGATATAATGATGCAATGAATGAGCCTGTGTCAAAGAGGATGTTTCGGGAACCAGCTTGACAAATGAGACCTTTCCTTTAACCATGCCTTGCTAAACACCTCTACCAACGACCTAGATAAAGGTGTGCAGCTCTTACAATGAAAGCTGAAGATGAGATGAGATAGGAATGGACTATGCATTATACTAATTGACATACGCAAGGAAAATCTAGATAGATAGAAGGTGTATATTGGGACTTTGCATTTAGGCACAAAAATCATTAGCACAGCTACAGAAGGAAGCATGATTTATAATCCTTACAAAAAATTATCTAACGGTGGCTATAAACTGACTTTCCCTTGTAATGGGTTAAATAATTCCTGGATTATTTCCTTTAGCTCAGGGTTCTACTTAAATATTTTTAACTATTTAAATATTACTTAAATATTACAAATATTTTAGTCTATCTAACCTTCTTTAAAAGGGGTTAGATATTTTAGTCTCTAACCCCTTCATTAAGGGGTTAAGCCCATTCAACGTTCCCCTGAATATTTGGGTTAGATAGACTAAAAAATTCAGGGGAACGTTGAATGGGCTAAACAAGGAATCTAAATCATTTTTTATGTGAAATATCCAAAGGAGGTAGAGATATTCAGTCTGGGAAAATGGAGGTCAAATATTTCAGCCATATTTATATATAAAATAATATGATCGCTTCCCCAGGAACTGTTGCTCCTTCAAGGGGGTGTTAGAGGAGGCCTGTTGCTGCATAGAACAGTAAGATCTGCTCATTGAGGGAGAGGCTACTCTGGAAGCTGTTAGAATTCCTTCCCAGTAGCTGTTTAACGAAAAGCTGTAGACTGGTTTGGCAACAATGTTCTTGAGTATCTACAATTACTTATGGGATGGTTGGTTGAACTGAAATCACTTCATGGATGAAGGTCTCTCTCTCTCTCTCTCTCTCCCCCCCTTTTCTTTCTCTCTCTCTCTCTTTTCTTTCTCTCTCTTTCTTTCTCTCTCTCTCCTCTCTCTCTCCTCTCTCTCTTTCTCAGAAATATCAGTGAATTCTGAGATTCACTGATATTTCAATTTGTTATCTGATGAACAATGATCAAGCCTAGAAATAATATCCCATGTCTCTACCTTGAACAATTCCGAAACCTAGAAATATTCCTTGTCTCTTTCTTGAACTATATAATAGTTGAATGTCTGCTGTATCTTCCTATTTTTTCATGTCACACATTGGCTAATTTACACTGTCAGATAATCTCTTAATTTCTATTTACCTTATAATTCATGGTTATCATAAACTGGATTAAACTGGTCTCAACATCTACCAACTTATAGTAATATATCCAATAACGCTGGGCATTTTAATTCTTTAATTTACCCCTTTAAGTGATCTTTAACTGTTTTCACCAAATTTCTGAGAACCAACTTTACCCCAAAATATTTTAGCCTCAAAGGATACATTTCTTGTTCAGTAAATAGACTTATGCACTTGCCAGGCTTTTCCAATCAATCATTATTAAAATATCTCAATTTCCCAATGGAAAAAGTCTTCAAAAGCATATCTTGCTTTTTTAAAAAAATTAAGTAAACATATGGGAGGTTTAAAGACAACCACACAAATTCAAATGCATAAAAATAACAATCAACTTAAGACCTTTCGAAATGTTACCCAATGATGTAAACACAACTCTGTGTAAAAAAACAACAATTATACAGTCACTAGATAGGAGGAAAAAAATAGGTTAAAAGTAAAACAGTCAACTTTTAATTAGCTTGGCTGTAGAATGGAACGTTATCAGCATCACTGAACAAAATCTCTAGCATATACTTCATGCTTGTAAGATTCAGAAAAGTAGTGAATAAGAGCAGTTAAAACAGATAAAATTGTTGAGTGTGCTTAGCTATCATAGCAGGCCTTTATCATAGCAGGCCTGTTAAAGAGCACCTAATTTTAATATCATTTCCACCTTTTCTTACATATCCTATACTCCCCTAAGCTAACTAGTGACCCAGTTAAGATCATAATGCTATTTTTTTTTTTTGCATTTTGTCAGGACATGCTTTAATATCCACAATATAACATTTAATTATATTCATAAGACAATGCAAAACCTTATTCAAAAAGAAAGAAAATCATGGTAACAGCAGTCCAGTCACCTCGGCATGCCATCTCATTAAAATTCTGAAGCCAAGTACCTCTAAAAACATTGAGTATCCTTAGCAACATGAAGTGATTCAGAAACATGACCTTCCTATGAATTCACTTTTAATCAATATCTTAGTGGAATGAGCATGATAAAGCAGAGTTATATTTCTAGGGAGTTATTTTAATTAGTGTTCTAGGTATTTTAATTAGTGCTTCAGTTATCTACTTATCAGAGAAAACTTTTGGATACACTATGCAACTTACATTTTTAGAAGATGTTTTTGCCATTACAAAATGCGTCCAAATATTTCGGAGAGTATATTTTCAAGTAGAAGTTGATAATTATATTTTCTTTTTCCTCTTCATTCTCTACTTATGCATCTATTTATATAATCTATTCATTCTTTTATCTCATAAGAAACATGTTCTTGTACATAAAATCAAATACATTTTAAGGTGTTTTAAAAGGAGGTTAGTGTATGCAATTAGTGAATTAAAATAATATGAAGATGCAATTTATATGTATATTTTCATCAGACAAATTTTTACAAACATGAATGTATACATTGCCAAATTATAAAAATAATTCATATTCAGTTGTTTAATACCTCAGGGTACTTTCATGGGTATATGAAATAGTAAAATAATTATGTAATATTATTTGAAATTATTCCAAGGTTTAAAATCATGTAAGTGTTTACAGATAATTTAAACAGCACAAAATAACTTAAAATTATCTCCCTGAGTCAATAAATAAATAAATGGAAAGAGTCAAAGCTTTTTTTTTAAGGAAACTATTGAATAGACCATACCTAACGTTTATATTATATAAGGCAATTATCAATTCTTCTTAAAAACCTATTTTCTAGGACATATTCATAATTTTTAAAAATGACACTCTATATAGAACAATACTATTTATGTTTCATAAATCATATAAAGTGTGTGTATTTAATAAAATGTGCACTAGTTTGCAGAGGAATATAACCTTAGGAGTAATGTTGCCAGATTTCTCTAGAGATTCTGTGAACATGGAGACAGGAAATTCATGGGACAAGAACAACATTAAATTAAATTTTACACAGTTAAGATTTCACAGGTAATGCACTAATGAAATTTTGTAAAATATATTTTGACAGTTCATTGTATTTGGTTGCAAATATCCTCCAAAGTACAAATTGTTGGTAGTTTTTAAGAAGTCATTAATGATTACCCACACAATATAATTGTTTTCTAAATATTGTATGTTCTGTTTTCCATTTTGTTTATTTGAAGAACTTTACTTTTGTTTGTTTGTTTGTTTGTCTTTTGAGATGCAATCTCTGCTCACTGCAACTCCCACGTCCCGGGTTCAATAATTCTCTTGCCTCCGCCTCCCAAGCAGCTGGGACTACAGGCACGCACCACCATGTTGGGCTAATTTTTATATTTTTTGTAGAGACAGGGTTTCACCATGTTGTTCAGGCTGGTCTCGAACTCCTGACCTCAAGTGATCTGCCTGCCTCAGCCTCCCAAAGTGCTGGGATTACAGACGTGAGCTGCCACACCCAGCCTGGCCTGAAGAACTTTATAGTTATGAAAAATAATACAACTTATTGATCCAAATTGAACATTTTTTGAATTTTTATTTCTAGCATTATATAAATATGGAAAATTGTAAACAGTATAGGACTAAAGAAAAATTCTGAGAAAGTATCCCAAAACATATCTTATGTTTGATCTTATAAGATATTAAACATTGTGAACTACGTATTAAGAAATATTGGAGGGAAATAGCTTAATCTTAAATCTATTAAAGTTTTTCCTTCATGGAAATATTTGCTTGATATCAAATGCAATGAACACTTACTTAATGGCTATTTTAAATGTTTTTGCCCAGCTCTATGTTGTTCTCTTTGTGTAGCAAAGATGACCAGTATGCTACCCTCATAGTCCCCTTGAGTATCTTCAAAATTCATGCAGTTAAAAATGGAAAACAACCATACAAAATTGAGGCCTATTGTAAACATCAAAGGCAGAATCCAGAAAAACTTTGAAAATGCACTGAGACTCCTGGTAGGCAATCAACTTGGCATAAGATACCACTAGACATCTATCAAGGTCTCTCCATGTGAATCTCATTGGATTCCCTGGCTTGTCAGTCTTTCCAGGAGAGTTACTATAAATTTAGACTAGAGACAGAGGCCATAAATCTGAATAATCATCTCAGACGTTCTCTGAGCTGTAAATTGAGAAATAAGTTCATGGAGGGGAAATGGCAGTTAGCTGCACCCAATTTAGAAAAGGGGTCTCTTACTATTACAGGCTGCTTAAATGATTCATATGAAAATTAAACGTTAATTCTGAAAAAAGAATTCCCATCATCGAGAAATAATTTTTAAAAAGGTGATTTATTAAGCATACTATATGCCCTATGAACTATGTGTGTGTGTGTGTGTATATACCTCATATACATACATATATGTTTGCCCTCCCTCCATCCTCAAGTAGGCCCTGGTGTCTACTGTTCCCATGTTTATGACCATGTGTACTCAATGTTTAGCTCCTACTTATAAGTGAGAACATGTCATGTTTTCTGTTTTCTGTTCCTGCATTAATTCCTTAGGATCATGGCCTCCAACTGCATCCACGTTACTGCAAAGCACTTGATTTTGTTCTTTTTTTATAGCTGTGTAGTATTCCATGGTGTATGTATACCACATTTTCTTTATCTGGTCTGCTATTTATGGGCATCTACTTTGATTCCATGTCTTTGTTATTGTGTGTGTGTATATATGAGTTATATACATTTATATGTTGCTATTGTGTATAGATACGTATGAGGTACATATATATGCCTGATATATATGTATATGTGTAGCTCATAGGGCATATATTTTATTTATATATATATATATTCAGACCCACATTCTTGTCAACCGGAATAAGAAGCTATTTCAACATACCTCACAGGTTTAAACAGAATAGTAATGTACATAACAATGTATCCACATATTCCATGCTGAATACAATTTACAATATCTCTCTTTCCAAATGCAAGACTGAGAATGCTGGGTTTCATTCTTGCCAGAGAAGAATATGCTTTTCTAGGACTAAATATTGATCACAGAATGAAAGCATATCTTATTAATTTTCAATTTTGAGATAACTTGAGATAAAAGTTTTGACCAGAGATTGAAACTCAAAGATCTCACATGTGAATGTGAGAGAAAACATGTGAACACACTCCAAACTTACTGCACAGTCCACCATTTCCACACATATTTCTTATATGATGGTCAGTTACACTTGTTAGAGCTTGTTTCTTCTTTCCAACTTTTATTTTAGGTTCAGGGGTATATGTGCAGGATTGATATATGGGTAAATTGGCTGTCACAGGGGTTGGGTGTACAGATTATTTCACCACCCAGGTAGTGCGCATAATACCAGACAGGTAGTCTTTAGGTCCTCATCCTCCTCCCTTGCTCCACCCTTGAGTAGGTCTTTGGCATCTGTTGTTCTCATGCTTATGACCATGTGTACTCAATGTTTAAGCTCCTACTTATAAGTTTCACTTGTAAGTGAGAACATGCAGTATATGCTTTTCTGTTCCTGTGTTAATTCGCTTAGGCTAATGGCCTCCAGCTGCATCCATGTCACTGCAAAGGGCTTGATTTTGTTCTTTTTTATGGTTGCATAGTATTCCATGGTGTATATGTACCACATTTTCTTTATCCATTCTGCTACTGATGGGCCTCTAGTAACAGTGTTTCAATGAACATAACGCATGCATGTGTCTTAGTGGTGGAATGATTTCTATTTCTTTGGATGTATACCCAGTAATGAGATTGTTGGGTCAACTGATAATTCTGTTTTAAGTTCTTTGTGGAATTTCTACACTGTTTTCCACAGTACTGAAGTAATTTACCTTCCAACAAGCAGTGTATAAGCATTCCCTTTTCTCCACAACCTTGCCAACATCTGTTCCTTTTTTTAAATCATACCCATTTGAATCAGTGTGAGATGGTATCTCATTGTGGTTTTGACTTGCCCGTCTCTAATGATTGGTGATGTTGCGCATTTTTTTCATATGCTTGTTGGCGGTGTGTATGTCTTCTTTTGAGAAGTGCCCGTTCATGTCCTTTGCCCATTCTTTTAATGGATTTTCTTTGTTTTGTACTTGTTAATTTGCTTAAGTTCCTTATAGATTCTGGATATTAGACCTTTGTCAGATGAACAGTTCGCAAATATTTTCTACCATTCTGTGGGTTGTCTGTTTATGCTGTTGATAGTTTCTTCTACTGTGCAAAAGTATAGCTTGATTTTTCAAAAGCAGTTAGTATATTTGGCATTGTGACTTTCTCAAGTCTGTGGCTAAAATGAAAACCAGCAGAAACAGCTGAAAATGCTATCAGGATTTTTCCTATCTTGGACAATCCTCCAGGAATCCCCATGTTGAAGACAAATATTCTGTATTTTCTTCAGTTCAATGGAAACAGATTTCCCCCCCCATATTGTCAACTTGTATGAAAAATGCCTAACTTTGAACATTACAATCCCATTCCTACCTAGTAAGATTTGCCCCTTATGCAAGACATTTTGGAACTGAGATGAGTAGAGGAGACATCTGACAGATTTTTGCTGGGATGTCCTGTTGGAGCCCTGTTCAATTATTTATCTATATTTCTCCCTTGTTCATTCCCTGTTGACAGGAAAGGACCGTTGAATTCACATAAGTTAAGGGCATACGTAATGCAGTGCTTATGCATTCCTATTTGTGGTTTACTCTTAAATACAACTGGGTTGCTTCTAGACATGGAACCATCTTCAGTCTCACAACTTATGCCATCTCTCTTGTAATATGGCAACCACTTTCTTATTTATTTTTAATTCGTTTTATTTTATTTTTCTTATTGTTTAAGAGACACAGTCTTGCTCTTTTGCCTAGGCTGAAGTTCAGTGTCATGATCATCCTTACTGTAGGCTCCAACTCCTGGGCTCAAGCTATCCTCCAACCTCACACTCCCAAGCAGCTGCGACTATAGGCATGTGCCACCACCAAACCTGGATAGTTCTTTTTTCTTTTTGTAGAAATGGAGCTCTTCTTTTGTTGCCTAGGCTGATCTTAAACTCCTGGTCTCAAGTGATCCTTTCGCCTTGGCCTTCCAAAGTGCTGGGATTACAGGCATAATCCACTGTACCCAGCCTCGCCACATTTCTTTTATGGTCTGTCAAATTCTGAAGTGAAGAGTCCAGCTCCTGGCTGAAAAACAATGTGTGATTTTTCAGGCCCTACCAAAGGCGATTACAAAAAGTTTGCCTGCTGGGCTTCATTGGAGAAGCTGCCCTCCACACACCAGGCGTGGTGCCCAGCCAGTGTAGTCTCTGAAGCACTGCAGGCAGGGCCTCGGGACCCCAAATGGCCATGTTTTGATGCATGTCTACATTCCTGGCCCAGGTAACTCCATGTGGAAGCCTCTTCATTGGAGACTCTTGGTGGTGGTCTTCCCTGGATGCCTCAGCCAAGACCTCTCTAATGAGAGAGGGTGGTGATATAGTTTGGCTCTGTGTCCCCATGCAAATCTCATCTTGATTTGTAATCTGCAGGTGTTGAGAGAGGGACCTGGTGGGAGGTGATTGGATCGTGGGGACAGGTTCCCCCATGTTGTTCTCGTGATAGCGAGTGAGTGCTCATGAGATACAAGTTTTATAAGTGGCAGTTTCCCCTGCACTCTCGCTCTCTCCTGCCACTGTGGGAAGATGTGTCTTGCTTCCCTTTTGCCTTCCACCATGATTGTAAGTTTCCTGATGTCTCCCCAGCCATGTGGAACTGTGAGTTAATTGAATCTTTTTTCTTTATAAATAACCCAGTCTCTGGTAGTATCTTTATAGCAATATGAGAATGGACTAATACAGATGGGAACACTGAAGACACTTTCTCCACTCTGAGTCAGCCTACAGGACTTTTCCACTCTTATCCACTACCCTCCTGTCTCCCTCTGCCCACCCCCAGGTCCATAAAACCACAGAAGCCCTTCGTTTGCGGCTCCCTTAGCAGTGAGACCACCCCTTATAACCCTCACATCTCTGTTTGTCCACTTGACCTTTGACCTGCACTATTCCATGTAAAAGAATGGAATGGACGAATTTGCACTTTCTCCAGTTTACCTCTTGCTTATATTAAAGCAGTCAGTGATTAAGGAACAGACGGTTGCTTTCCTTTTGTCTTGTGGTCTTAATTGATGACTCCAATACCTGACAGCTCAGCTGAGGTCCTGAGACTTAAGGACTCTTCACACAGCTTATACTTTCAAGTTGCTGATGGTTCTGTTATATAAATAAATGCTCAGTAACATGTATGCTCAGTCTTTTGATAGAATGGTCTTACCCATGGTTATGAACACTTAATGCATACATGCATGCACTCTGTTGCTTTCAGAATAGACAATATTATTGATGTCACATAATGCAGGGAATCTAAGATGAGTTTAAAAACATTAAGTAATTTCACTGAAATGCTGAGATATGTTTGGAGTCCCCAGAGACATGCCACCTGTCAGGACAAATGCTTAAGTTGCCAAGGGTAGTGTGTGATGTTGCCCAGTTACCTTTCTCTTGGTTGAAGGTCTTGAGAAAAGTTGCACTTGGATATTTCCCTTCATTTATTTTTCTTTCTTTTTCTTCCTTTTTTTTTTTTTAGATGGAACCTCACTTCTACAGTGTAGTGCTATGATTTCAGCTCCTTGCAACCTCTGCCTCCAGGGTTGAAGCAATTCTCTTGCCTCAGCTTCACGAGTAGCTGGGATTACAGGCATGTGCCACCATGCCCAGCTAATTTTTGTATTTTTTTTTTAGTAGTTATGGTGTTTTGCCATGTTGGCTAGGCTGGTCTCAAACTCCTGACTTCAAGTGATCTGCCCACCTTGGCGTCCCAAAGTTCTGGGATTACAGGCATGAATCACTGTACCCAGCATTTCCCTTAGTTTCTCATGATGCTCCCATGGTAAGAAGTACAGGTCACACCCCACAAGTAAAGATGTTGATAAGCTTCAGCTACCCTGAGATACCAAAGTGAATCATGGTAGTGAATCTATAAAATAAAAGCATTAAAGAACTGCACTATTCAACATATATCTCACGGTAGAACAGAGAAGAATGTAAGTGCAATTCTATTAAGACCTACACTTTGAAGCAGTCAGAAAGTAATTAAATGTGTTTTGTAGGGATACTGAGTGTCTCCAATTGCAGATAATGACTGTGAATCAATAAAGGAACTTACCATTTATATCATTCATTTCCTAGCACTATGTTTTACAGGCATAATAGATGTTCAATTAATGTTAGGAAACAGAATTTAGTTGTTTTGCTATTTTGTACATAAAATTATAAATGAGCTCTGCTTCTAATATGATTTTATTGTGCCTAATACGTATAAATGAATTAGTTTTATCTCTTTCATGGTTTCTGAAACATAATGTGCAAAGTTCTTTTAGATGGTTATTTTGATTTTATTTTAAACTTCCTGTAAATATACTAATATTAATAGGCTTCTGCTGCAAAACAATGTCAAAAACTCCCAAATATTTTCAATAATAAATTGGGCTTGAAAAATATTTAAGTAAAATATCAGGTGTGTTATAATGAACATGATGCATGTTTTGGAGAAAATCTTACAATCCAATTCCTTTTTAATCATTCAAAATCCTATTGACAGATAATTTGATTATTATATTAACATCTGTTATGTTATCTATAAGATAAGGGGTCACATTGGCTCAGAGACAAAGCAAACTAAACGCAGACAATAGTAAAATGTAGGTTATTAGTAAATATCTTCATCATTGACACCAATTGGACTAGTCAAAAATATGTGATAATATTTGTGAGAGTATTTTACTAGCTTTAAATTACTCTACACCCATAGGCATTTACCATTTAATTAATTGTATCAAATGTGTATTGAATTAACATGAAATATGCAAGAGCTGTCAATAAACTGGTCAGCTGTTGGATTTGACATTGAGATTACAGGTAGGGATAAGTGGTTTTGCAATTGTTTAGTTGAGACAGACAGAGGAGAAGGAACCACAGACTAAGTTCTTGCACTCAACATCAGAAAAGCGTCAGGAAAACAAAAACAAAAACAAAAAAACACAGAAGTTTTGAGGCACCCTGAGTTTTGAAAAGGATTCCCATTGGGGAATGTCAATATAGAGAAAAGAGGAGAATGGCAGGGAAAATACATGTGTGCCCCAAGAGCTTCTCACCATGCCTCCTCACCTTTAGTATAGAGCCTCGTGAAAGAGGAACCCTCATTTACCATCTCCATCTGCACCTTACCTTCATTCCTCAAACCCGTGGTGTCTGACATCTGCGCTCAGCATGCCATCAAAATTTGCCTTGCCAAAGGGAGGAAATCCCTTCTTTCATGAAAAATAAATCCAATGGGAATTTTTCAGTTTTTATCTTTTATGACTTTGTGCTCCTCTTAAATTTCCACGATGTGCTTATCTTATTTCTTCATAGGCACCTTCATCCTACGTTCACTCCCCATCTTTCTTTCACTTTATGTCTCTCTCAACACCTCTGAAGACTCTAAAACTACATATGAAACTGGAGACAATGTCATTTTCCCGAGTCTACATTCTAAACTGTCTACGAGGCACCTGGCTGTGCAATGGATTCATCAAAACTACCTGTTTAAAATAGAGACAGTTATAAATAGCCTACCAATAAAAAAAAAAAAAAAGGCCACGACCAGACAAATGCATAGCTGAATTCTACCAGATATACAAAGAAGAGCTGGCACAATTCTTAGTAAAATATTCCAAAAAATTGATGAAGAGGGACTCTTCCATAACTCATTCTATGAGGTCAGCATCATCCTGATACCAAAACCTGGCAGAGATACAACAAGAAAAGAAAACTTCAGGCCAAGACCCTTGATGAAAATAGATGCAAAAGTCCTCAGCAAAATACTGGCAAACTGAATCCAGCAGCACATTAAAAAGCTTATCCACCATGATCAAGTAGGCTTTATCCCTGGGATGCAAGGTTGAGTCAACATACAAAAATTAGTACGTGCAATTCATCACATAAACAGAACTAAAAACAAAAACCACATGATTACCTCAATAGACACAGAAAAGACCTTCAGCAAAATTTAATATCGATTCATGTCAAAAACTCTCAATAGACGAAATATTGAAGAAACATAACCCAAAATAATAAAAGCCATATATAACAAACCCACAGCCAATGTCTCACTAAATGGGCAAAAACTGGAAGCATTAAACTTGAAAACTGGCACAAGACAAGGATGCCCTCTCTCACCACTACTATTCAACATAGTTTTGGAAGTCCTGACCAGGACAATCAGGCAAGAGAAAGAAATAAAGGACATCCAAAAAGGAAGAGAAGTCAAACTATCCCTGTTTGCAGATGACAAGATCATATATGTAGAAAGCCCCATAGTCTCAACCCAAAAGCTTCTTAACCCACTTATGCTGGAGGTTGCAATTTTTTGAATTGTAGACATGTGTGAAAAATCAGACCTTAGCGGTGACCTTGAGCACTAGGACATTAGTAACTCCCACATGCTTAGTGTTCCAATAATGGAACACTAGGCATAAATGGGTTTTAAGCTGATGAACAACTTCAGCAAAGTCTCAGGATGCAAAATCAATGTGCAAAAATCGCTATCATTCCCAGACACCAACAACAGTCAAGCTCAAACCAAATCAGGAATGAACTCCCATTCACAATTGCCACAAAAACCCCTAGAAATACAGCTAACTAGGGTAGTGAAAGATCTCTACAAAGAGAACTACAAACCACTGCTCAAAGAAATCAGAGGTGACACGAACAAATGGGAAAACGTTCCATGCTCATGGACAGAAAGAATCAGTGTTGCTAAAATTGCCGTAGTGCCCCAAGCAATTTACAGATTCAATACTATTCCTATGAAACTACCATTGACATTATTCACAGAAATAAAAAATAGTATTTAAAAATTCATATGGAACCAAAAAAGAACCTGAATAGCTAAGGCACTCTAAGAAAAAAGAACAAAGCTGGAGGCATCATGCTACCCACCGTCAAACTATACTACAAGCCTATAGTAACCAAAATGGCATGGTACTGGTACAAAAATAGACACATAGACCAGTGGAACAGAATAGAGAACCCAGAAATAAGACCACATTCCTACAACTATCTGATCTTTGAAAATCTCACAAAAACAAGCAATGTGGAAAGAATTCCCTGTTCTATAAATTGTGCTGGGAGAACTGGCTAGACATATGCACAAGATTAAAACTGGACCACTTCCTTATACCATATACCAAAAATTAACTCAAGATGTTTTAAAGACTTAAATGTAAACCCAAAACTATAAAAACCCTGGAAGACAACCTAGGCAATACCACTCAGGACATAGGCACGGGCAAAGATTTCATGATGAAGATGTCAAAAGCAATTGCAACAAAAGCAAAAATTGACAAATGGGATCTGTATTAGTCCATTGTCACGCTGCTATGAAGAACTGCTCAAGACTGGGTAATTTATAAAGGAAAGAGTTTAATTGCCTCATAGTTCAGCATGCCTTGGGAAGTCTCAGAAAACTTAAAATCATCGCAGAAGGGGAAGCAAACATGTCCTTCTTCACATAGCAGCAGGAAGGAGAAGTGCCAAGTAAAGCAGGAAAAGTCCCTTATAAAACCATCAGATCCTGTGAGAAGTCACTTACTCTCACAAGAACAGCAGCATGGAGGTAACTGCCCCCATGATCCAATTACCTTGCACCAGGTCACTCCCACAACACGTAGGGATTATGGGCACTACAATTCATGATGAGATTTGGGTGGGGGCACAGTCAAATCATATCAGGATCTAATTAAAATAAACAGCCTCTGCACAGCAAAAGAAACTATCAACAGAATAAAAAGACAACCTACAGAATGAGAGAACATTTTTGCAAACTGTGCATCTGACAAAGGTCTTATATTCAGCACCTGAAACAAATTTATAAGAAAGAAAAAAACCAAACAACCCCATTAAAGAGTAGGCAAAGAACATGAACAGATACTTTTAAAAGAAGGCATACATATGGCCAACAATCATATTTAAAAAAAAGCTTAACATCACTGACCATTAGAGAAATGCAAATCAGAACCACAATGAGATACCATCTCCCACCAGTCAGAATGGCTATTACTAAAAAGTCAAAAAATAACAGATGCTGGTGAGGTTGTGCAGAGAAAGGAACACGTTACACTCTTGGTGGGAGTTTAAATTAGTTCAACCATTGTGGAAGACAATGTGGTGATTCCTCAAAGACCTAAAGACAGAAATACCATTCAACCTAACAATCTCATTACTGGGTATATACCCAAAGGAGTATGAATTGTTCTATTATAAAGGCATGTGCATGCATTATGTTCATTGCAGCACTGTTTACAATAGCAGAGACATGGAATCAACCTAAATGCCCATCAATGATATACTGGATAAAGAAAATGTGGTACATATACACCATGGAATACCATGCAGCCATAAAAAGGAATGAAATCACGTCTTTTGCAGAACATGGATGGAGCTGAAGGCCATTATCCTTAGCAAACTTTGCTTAACTAAATTATCTACAAACCACGATCCCTTGTTGATATAGTTTGAATCTTTGTCCCTTCAAATCTCATGCTGAAATGTCATCCCCAATGTTAGAGAATGGGCCTGGTGGGAGCTGTTTGGGTCACAAGGGTGGATTCCTCATAGCTTGGTGCTGTCTGGTTGTTTAAAAGTGTTTAAAAGTGTGTGGCACCTCTCCCCCATCTCTTGCTCCTGCTCTTGCCATGTGATGTCCCTGCTCCAACTTCACCTTTCACCATGAGTAAAAGCTCCCTGAGGCCTCCCCAGACTCCGGACAATTGCAGACTCCTTGCTTCCTATACAGCCTGCAGAACCGCGAGCCAATTAAACCTCTTTTCTTTATATATTACCCAGCCTCAGATATTCCTCTATAGCACGCAAGAATGGCCTAGTCCATTTGTCCAGGTCATTGTTTGCATTCAATGCAAATACTGTACCAAGCAAGTAGGAAAATCAGAAAACATGCTTGCTGAATGAACTATTGAATGAGGTCAAAGCAGCTAGGTTGTTTGCTATAAAATGGATAAGGATCTTACAGAGCTTCCTCTAAAAATGCCGCACAGTCTAGAAAGAGAACCAACTGAAGACAGTGATAAAAAATATGTATGCTTACCAAGTGGTCTCAGTGCTACAGATATAAATATAAAATGAATCCAACTATTAAAAAGGCCACAACTCTGAAAGAGCAGCTACAGAAGTAGATTCACGGTTTTCATTCCTTTATTCTATAGAATTCTCATCAGGAATCCTGGTTCTCCTCAGGGTAATAAGATATGACACCTGAGGCCCATGGTCAGATGGACCGTGGTGTGGTAGGAATGCTTAAGGAGAAGGGTAATGTTTTGAAAAGATGCAGTGGATGGTTTATCCCGTGCTTAAGAACTGACGCTGCAGACATTTTCTTAGCATCAAAGACTTTCATCCTTGTGTAGTCCCTCATCAAAATTATCTCTGATCATTAACAGTAGCCGTGAAAGCCGTTTTCACATGCTCCCCATAGATAGACTTCTGTGCAGCCATCCAATTCCAATGAAAATCTGATGAAATACTCTCTTGAAAAGCAAAGGTGTATGTATGACTCCCTTAAATAAAGGCCCACATTGTTATTGGGATGACCATATATTTCATTTTGTTTTAGCTCATTCTTCACATTGATTGGCATAGTGATATAGAAAGGGGGCAAGATTTTTGTTAATTTCAGCATACATTGGCTGACCCGGCAGAGCCCGCTAGGAGCTGAATGTAGGGGCTAATTTTGTTTTCCACATTCTGTGCCTAAAGTGCTGCTTTCTAACATAACCTCTGTCTTTCCTTTTTTCTTTTCTTTCTCTTTTTTTCCTTTTCTTTTTTTTTTTTTTTTGAGACAGGGTCTCACTCTGTCACTCAGGCTGCACTGTAGTGGCACAACCATGGCTCACTGCAGCCTCTAACTCCTGGGCTCAAGCAATCCTCCCATCTCAGCCTCCCAAGCAGCTGGGATTACAGGCGCATGCCACCATGCCTGGCTTATTTTTTTATTTTTTTATTTTGTAGGAATGGAGTCTGGCTGTTGCCCAGGCTGGTTTCTAACTCCTGGCCTCAAGTAATCCTCTGACTTCGGCCTCCCAAAATGCTGGGATTATAGGCAAAAGGCACTATGCCTGGCTGTCTTTCCTTTTGACTCATTGGAATAATCTTCAACTCTTAATACCACCTTATTAAAAAAAAAACACCCTGACCATAGGGAACAAATCATCCTTCCTTCATTTATAATCTTATCTCCATCCCCTACTTTTGCCTTTTTGTAGACGATCACAAAAATAAAGACTCTCTCTTCTCCCAAAAAATAAAGATATAAAAGAACAAAAGGTGTATTCACATTCTAAATATATAGGCTAGGCCTGTCATTTTCAAAATGATCAGTTGTTAATTTTCCCTTAGATTGGCAAGCATTGACAATTATAACTACATATACAGTTTGATTGATTCTTTATTTTTGCCAGTTGGAAATAATATTCAATTCACCTTTTCTGTCCTTGGTCTCCAAGGATCTATAATATCAGTGCCCCCCAAAATTCAAAGCACATGGATTTGCATTTCATTTTCATCTCTAGTTTAGGCTTCATTCATTAGTTACAGATAGTAAATCGGCAAGCTTGCTGGTGCCCGATGACAGGGAAAAAGATATTTCCTAAAATACTTAGCAATGTCTTCAGTATTTGTTCTCATCACCATTGTCATCCCTGCCAGACTTAACTTAGCAATGAATTGATAAACTCCCCAATCTGTAGTTGATCAGTAGCCTTTCTTATTTTCCCCAGAGCCTAGTGGCTGGGGTAAGTATCAATTTATCTACTATTTTGATCCATTCAGAACTGATTTAAAATTCAAAAGGTCTTGCATGCAGTGAAATCAAAACCAAGGGCCTTTGCACCCTTTCAACTGTTCCTATGAATAAAATATTTTCTACATTTATAGAATGAATGACTTTTAAGTGTGATGTTTTATTTGGTGACATTTGATGGAAGGAAAAAAATAACCATGTCATTTATGATGAATGGCAGGTTTTGGAGTTGGGGAAATCAGATCAACTTTATCAACTGGGCTTCAAATGGTGACATCTGATGTTTTTCACAGATGCTCTGAGCTTAGCTGGTAGTAAAGAATCGCAGAGCAAGCTGATAAACTGGGATTGCTCCGGAAGTACCCTGTCCAGCCTAATTTATTGCCAAACTTGTAAAGAGAACAGAGACCCTCTGCGGGACGTTCCTGTAATAAAGTCATCCTCTGTGGTCTGCCTGGACAGCACATGAAAAGCTCTGACTGTAACCTTGCAGCACTTAATCCCTGATCAGCTCTTTCTAAACAATGCCACCTGCTCTTTCCTCTCTACTCAGCATGTGTTACAGAAATATCTGACCAAATTATAAGAACAAAAACATTTGTTCTACTTTCAAAAGTAACAATTTAAGGTTCCTTCCTGCAGAGTAGAAATTATCTGAAATGATATGCATCCAGGCACTTGATGGGTGATCAATGGTTAATTAACAACCACAACATGGATGGAATTTTCTAAAGATCCTTTCCTTTGAGTTCATTCGCTCTTAGATGTTTCACTTAACTGATCCCCATCTTTGCTCTAAAGAGTCAGCCTGGAAATTATAGACTTTGCAGGTGATTATCTTCTGTGTGAAGGGAGGTGCTAGAGACAGCAATGAAATGGTGAGCCATTTGCCAAGGAGAAAAAGAAGCATGCTGAAAGAGTCCTTGATAGAATGGAACTTGGCCTTGAGTTGAACTTTGATGTTGAATAGAAAACTGACATCAAGCACAAGCCATTACATTCTTTCAGATTAGGAAATTAGAAAATAACACCTCACTGAAAATTATAGGAACAGGAACATTGCTAAGTCTAGGGAAAATGAGATTGAGGATGAACAATAATTACGTCTGTGGTCTCAGAAAAGTTTAAGGGGTTTGCCTGCAGCTGCAGAAAGGGCTGTCATATCATATTCGTGTTTCTAAGGTCTAATGATGCCACTGCTAAAAAGCAAAAGTCAAATAAGGATTTAATTTTTTAGAAATATAGAGTGTATTATTTTGGCATCAGCATTAATTGTGTCCTCTGCTAATAGCTCTTTTATAAATATTTCGGAATGATTAAAGAAAAAGAAAGTGTCACGGCCAAATAAGTTTGATATGCTCCATAAAGTAACATCAGTAGCGTTTTAAATATTTTTAGATCTCTTTAGAAAGACAGAAATCTGTTCATCATGGTTTCCTTCAAGTTGCCTAAAAATAGAAGACTTCAGAAAACATTTTTATATAACTAATCATTATGTCCTAAAAACATGGCATTTAAAAAGTTCTTAATAAATTGATTGAAATGACAAAATTACATGGAGCTAGGATTTATAATGAAGAATATTGGCCGGGCACGGTGGCTCACACCTGCAATCACAGCACTTCGGGAGGCCGAGGCAGGTGGTTCACAGGACAATGCAAACTTCCAAACATTACCTGGCCGTTGGTGGCATTGAGCCATGATTTTATAAGAACAAGAATTTTACTTTGAGATCAAACAAAACAATACAAAACAAAGAAAACAATAAAAAACTATATGTTGAGTAAAGAATACATTTCAACAAAGTGATTAAGATAAATGAAATTACAATATATCTGTCCCATACCAAGAACATAAAATTGTAGACCACGATATTATTTTCTGTTGAAACTGGACTTGGGTATAGAAGTTTTTTAAAAGACACTTTTAAAAGACACTGGAACTCAGACAACTAAGTTATTACTAGGTGAACAATGAGGATATGAGTATGATGAAATTTTATGTGCAGTATAACTGCATCAAAAAACACACAGCAGTGGCTCACATCTGTAATCCCAGCACTTTGGGAGGCTGAGGCAGGAGAATCGCTTGAGTCCAGGAGATCGAGCCTGCAGTGAGCCGTGTTCACACCACTGTACCCCATCCTGGATGATGGAGCGAGATCTTGTCTCAAAAAACTAAAACAAACAAACAAAAACACATAACAAATATTGTTCCTTGGATTGGTGTCTGGAGATTGCTCAGCCTTCAATGAATGAAAGTAACAAATGCTTTAAGCATCCTTCCTGTGTATTCTTATTTACATTTGTACTTGCTGGTTTTTCTGCTTCTCAGATTTCTCTGACATTTTCATCTTATTAGACATGCATTATCAGTTTATCTTTTAAATGTTGTATGCAATATTTTAGGCATTTCTAATCAGCATGTTTGCATGAAGTAACTCATCTACAATATTTCTGGAAAGAGAAGTTTCACACTCTTTATTCACTCCTTTTAAAATTGAGTGCACAAAGTCGGCTAGGACGTCTGTTTCCAATTCCAATGGAGTGACCCTCTGCTATAAACAACCATAAAGTTGAACAGATATACAAGGTACCTGATTTTGACAGTGGCCCATAGGCAGTGCAAGACCGTAGTCTCCAAGAACAGAGTGTATTCATGGGACACATCTTGCTTCCAACTGAGTATAACTTCTTGGCTGGTGAATTGGCAGCAAAAAAGGCCAAGGTGGTTCTTCTGAGCCGAGGAGGCATTGATCAGATTTCTTAGAGCCTCAACTGGCTGGAATCTGTGGGTCAGGAAATCCAGAGGAGGCAACTTTGCAAGCAGGTGGTTCAAAATTTGGGAGAGTATTCTTTCCATGTCTACAATGTTGGCTGAGGTAGCCCATGCATATGGCACAAGACTTACTAAAGAATAGCTGCAAAGGACTGAAGGAGAAAAAGAAGTGTGTGAACGAAAAGTATGTGAGACAGATCTCAATCAACTTAGAAAGTTTATTTTGCCAAGGTTAAGGACGTACCCGAGACACAGCCTTAGGAGGTCCTGACAACGTGTACCCAAGCCGGTTGGGCACAGTTTCATTTCATACATTTTAAGGAGACATGAGACATCACTCAATACGTGTAAGATGTACATTAATTCAGTCTGGGAAGGTGGGACAACTCAAAGCAGGGAGGGTGCTTCCAGGTCATAGGTAGATAAGAGACACCTGGTTGCATTTTTTTGAGTCTCTGATTAGCCTTTCACTGAATACACAATTTACATGTGAGACAGGGGTAAAGGAATACTTACTTCTGCCTTAGTCTGGTTCAGTGAATCTGCATTTTTACATCAATAGTAGGGCAGAGGAAGCAATCAGATACACATTTGTCTCAGGTGAGCAGAGGGATGATTTTGAGTTCTGTCCTTTGTCCTATACCTGTGAAGATAAACTCCCAATTTACATTGCCAGGATGAAATTCAACAGAACTGTTTTAGGGTAAAGATCTTGAGGCCCACAAGGAATTTTGCTGTGGGCAAATTGTGAGGGAAGCATGTAGCTTTTTTATCTTTGTGTTATAGCTACCTTATTTGGGAATAAAATAGGAGACAGGTTTAGCTCCCAGGTTGACTTTTCTGTTTGGCTTGGTGATTTTGGAGTACTGAGATTTCTTTTCCTTTGACAAGCATAAGAGCATAATCAGCACCGTCGTTCCCCCTTATCCACGGATGATAAGCTCCAAGACCCCAGTGAATGTCTTAATCTGCAGATAGCACCAAATCATATCTACAGTGATTTTTCCTATACATACACACCCATGGTAAAGTCTAATTGATACATTAGGCACAGTAAGAGATTAACAACAACACCTAATAATAAAGCAGAACATTCTAACAATATGCCAGCATCACTACTCTTGCGCTTTGTAGCCATTATTAAGAAAAATAAAGGGGACTTGCACACAAGCACTGCCAGAGGGCTACTAAGTGACTAATGGGCAGGTAGCATCTACAGCGAGGTACTCTGGGTATTCACATCCTGGGCAGGATGGAGCAGGATGGCACAAGACTTCTTCACATTACTCAGAATGGTGCACAATTTAATAATTATGCATTGTTTATTTCTGGAATTTTCCATTTATTTTTTTCAGACTGTGGTTGACCGCAGGTAACTGAAACTGTGGAAAATAAAAACACAGTAAGAGTAGACTACTTTATCTCAACCCTTTGAATGTCTCACTCGGCCGGAGTACAGCAACTCACCACCTCATTGTGCATTGCAGAATTCATCTCGCTAACACAAATGCAAGGTATGCTCATTTATAAATACTCTCAGAAGGGTGATGAGAACTCTTTAATAGCATTTACCTGTGGGAGCTGGATGGCAGTGTTTGGGGCTTTGAGGGATTTACTTAACCGTTGATTGCACGGCTATGAGTATTGTATGAATTTTTTTACCCTTTGGCTGGGCCTAGTGGCTCACACCTGTAATCCCAGCAGGTATATCGCTTGAGCCCAGGTGTTCAAAACCATCCTGGGCAAAATAGTGAGCCCCTGTCTCTACAAAACAATACAAAAATTAGCGAAGCATGGTGGCACGTGCCTGTAGTCCCAGCTACTTGGGAGGCTGAGATGGGAAGATGACTTGAAGCCAGGGAGTTCGAGGCTGCAGTGAGCTACAATTGTGCCACTGCACTCCAGCCTGGGCAACATAGTGAGACCCTGTCTCTACAATAAAATACAGAAATTATCCAGGCAAGGTGGTACACACCTGTGGTCCCAGCTACTAGGGAGGCTGAGGTGGGAGGATCGCTTGAGCCCAGGAGGCAGAGGTTGCAGTAAGCCAAGATCACACCACTACACTCCAGCCTGGGCAACAAAGTGAGACCTTGTCTCCACCAAAAAACAAACACACACACACACACAAATGATAATAACAATAATTTACCCTCATCACATATAACTTCTATTCTTAAAAGTTCAAAATATATAATATCTATTGAAAATTATATCCCTTACTGTTTTCTTCCTTTTTTCATATTGAATCATCTTTCTGCATTATTTCTCACTAGTCACAGTTATTACTGAAATCTTCCATAAGATTTTCTTAAGTTGCACTTCCAAAATGTGCAACTTAAGAAAAATGATCAGGAAAAATTAAGGATCTATTTATAACCTGGGAAATAGTAATGAAGTTCATTTTGGATAGTTGGAATGAAGCTGCAGCTGTAAAAATAAAAATGCCTGAAGAAATAGGTTACAAATATGCAGTCGGGCTTTTCACGCTCAAAGTTCTCTGTGAATAGAATTATTCCGACAGAAAAGGATTTGTGGACATGGCCACCAGTCTGTGACTTTAAAGGATGAAAATCTTCAAGATTCGGAACCAAATCACTGCCTGCCTCAGACCAATAACAAACGGGATTACCAAAGTCAATTGTGTTATCAGCACAATTCAGCCTGATAAAGCTTGAATATCTAGATGAAAGAGCATTACTCAGTACCTAGAGATTAGGGGAAAAAGAGACATACAAGATAAAATGGGAAGTTTATTTATGTTCCATGGTTATCTTTAAAGCATTTTAGTGAGGTCTCAGGTTTTTGTGGGAATATATGAATAATATCTTAACAGTTAAACAGAAAATGTGATGCAATATAAATAATTCATACTAGTATTGTTATATTGGATATGTAGAGATGAAATATATTGATTATTTGTAAGCATTCTTAGGCATCTAAAGAATACACAAAGCTAAATTTAAAAATAAGATACAATTCTTAGGTGCTTTACATATTTTATGGAGAGTTCCATTAAGAAGCAGATTCCAACGCTGAAATTGCATGTAGTTCTTTTTAAAAACAGATTTAATTACTTTCCAGCTATAAATTTATCTTAAAAATAAGTTGTGCCTTTTATCGCTAGATTTTATTTACTATATATTATACTTCATAATATGTTACAGTCTGTTGATCTGGAAATTAGGGAAGTTGATAACGTATCTTTAAGTATTTTTCGATGTCCAATAATAATAAAAACATACAACCTAGGACAGCTGCTTGAGTGGAATACAATTACCAGGAATCGAAGAAGTTCATGCTGCCAAAATTCCTTCCTTCCTGGTTTACTCAGATGTTTTTGCTAACTTGCTTTTTCATCTTTTGATGGCTTTCCAGGCATGTATAGTCTGTCCATTCTGAGTGAAGAGTTCACTCTCGTCTCTCACATGAATCTTTTTCTGTAACTTAGAATAACAGTATTTTATAGCTGGAATGCAAATTGTGTGTGTGTGTGTGTGTGCATTTGGGTGTGTGTTGTGGTATTTAGGGAATTTTATCTTAATTCTCCCACTTAATTATGTGCAGCTGGCAGACACCCTGCCATATACATCTTTATTTCCTGGCCACGTTTTGCTGAGACTCAATGGATAATGGATAAACAGTAAATTTTCTCTATTCTCCTCATTAGTTTATTCCTTCACAAATAAAAAACAGTTGTATTTGATTTTATTTGACTATCTTTTTAAGATGAAAATAACAAAAATTTTAATAAGACCATATAGAATTATAAATGTACTTTAAAGCACTTCTTTACTTGCATTCCAAAAAAATGAATAGTATTTTAATTATTACTTACAGAGATTTAATGATCAGTCTGAAACATATTCTGTTTTCTGATGAAGTTGCCTTTTTGATTCAAGAGTAATTTAGAAGAGGTGAGTGGGGCAAAAGAGAGGTATTAGAAAGGGACTTGAGAAATCTTTAGAGGATAGTTATATGTTAAGTCTCTTGATTGTGATGATGGTTTCCTGGTTGTATATAATCATAAAAACTTATCAAATTATGTGCTTTAAATGTGTGCAGTTTAGTGTATGTCAATTATACCTCAATAAATCTGTTTTTAAAATGGGGCTTTGTCATAACAGTAAACTAAAAACATGTGACAGTGGCTCCAACGGTGTTCAAACCTCTTATGTGTTTATTGATTTTCTGTCTCATTATTTTATCAACCATTAAAGAGGACTATTAAAATCTCTGACTCCCTGCAACCCTATAATTATGCTTCACATATTTTGAAGTTCTATTATTAGATGTACAAATGTTTAGAATTCCTATGTCCTCTGGATAAATTGACTCCTTTATTATCTTGAAATTACCTTTATTCATGGTAATATTCTCTGTTCTAAAATCTCTTTTGTCTGATATCGATATAGACATTTCAGACAGTTTTGATTAATGTAGGCATATTATATATTTTTCATCACTTTGCTTTCAATCTTTTTCTATTTGAAATGTGTTTGTTGTAAATAGAATAAAATTAGGTCCTTGCTCTGTACATATTCTGAAAATCTCTGTTTTTGATGGACATATTTAAACCATTCACATTTAATGTGATTAAGAATAAATTCATTCTCTATATATTTATTTTTTATTTGTCCATCTGTTCTTTCTTCAGTTCTTCCTCATTTTCTTCATTCTTTGGGATTAGCAGAATATAGTTTATGATTCCATTGTATTTCATTTTTTGGTATATTAGTATAATGCTTTACATTATATTAGTTATTGCTTTAGGGTTTATAGTGAATCTAAAGCCTGTCACAATTTACCTTCAAGAGATATTATAGCATTACATGAATAGTATAAGGATCTTAGAATAGATAACATCCATTCCTTCTCTTCTGATTTTTTGCCATTGTTACCATGCATTGTACTTATACATATGCAATAAATCCTATAGTGCATTGTTATTTTTTGAAATAATAAGAAAAAATTTTAGACATTTATTTACCCATGTTGTTATCATTTTAGCTCTTTATGTCTTTTATTAGATACATATTTCCATCTAGTATAATTTCCTATCTACCTAAAATTTCTTGTACTGCGGGTCTGCTAGTGATGAACTCTTTCAGATTTTTGTGTCAGAAAAAAATTTATTTCATCTTTGTTTTGAAAGATATTGTTGCTTGGTATAGATTTCTAGGTAGGCAATTTTTAAAAATTTGTTTCAGTAGTTCAAATATATTTCTGCACTGCCTACTCACTTGAATTGTTTCCAGTGAGAAATTTTAAGATGTTCTCGCTGTACTTTTGGTTTTCTTTTAAAAAAAAATATTCTGGCTGTTCTTATAATTTTATTTTTGTCTTTTTTTTGAGAAATTTTGATGTGTGTTTGTGTTTATGTAGCTTCCTTCATGTGTCTTGATTTGGAATCCATTGAGCTTCTTGGAATTGCTTGTTCATATTCCTAATCAAATATAAAAGTTTTTCAGCCATTATTTAAAAATACTTTTTTTCTGTACCTATTTTTTTGAGACTTGAATTACACTTGTATAAGGCAGCCCTCATTTTCTGTTCATGTAAAAATTGTTCTTTTCTTTTTGTACTTCATTTAGTCATTCATTTGGTCACTAATTTATTCATAGTCTTTATTGCTATTTCTTCCTATTCACTAATTATTTTATCTAAAATGTCCTAACCTGTTATTGATCCATGCAGGGTTATATTATGTCACACATTGTAGTTTTCCTCTCCAGGAGATAAATTTGTGCTTATTTATATACTGTATTCTCTAATGAACTTTTTAAACATTTGGAATACTGTAATAAGAACTGTTTTACAGTCTTTGCTATTTCTGTCCTCTGGGTCCATTCTGGCTGACGTTTTGATTAATCAATTTATCTCATTATTGTCTTTATTTTGCTTTTTGTTTTTTGCATGCCTTACAAATTGTGATTGAATGCAAGACATTGTGGAATTTCCTTTTTGCCTTGGGGATTTGTGTAGTCCTGTTGTAGTCCATTTCTATAAATATCCTTGAACTTTAACTTCATACATAATTTTGTCATTTTAAAATAGTGTTATTATTCTAGGTTTTGCGCTGAACACATTTTAGGAAAGACCACAGCCATACTCAGTAATCCCTTAATTCAATGTGAGACAAAGGATCTTGGGTAAGCCATGTCTAGATGGCACTTAACCACCTGAGACAATGAATAAACTACATTACAGGATGGAATATGAGGGTTTGTTGAGTTTGAGAATCTGTAACCATGGTTTATTGATCATTAGATCATAGAAAAAGCAATAGATAGACAGCTGGAAAGATTCTGCTTGAGAGAGGCAGAAAATTTCTGTATCTGCTTGGCAAAAACTTAAGACAATATAATGGAGAATCTCAATTTCTTACCCAATGTCCAGGCTCATTGCCAACCACAGATGCAGAGCCTTTTAACTGAAGTGGAATATTCTTGAGGAAGACCTTATAAATAATTCACAAGAGTATATGATGAAACTTGAAACTTCCCCTATAGCTTACCAAAATGGACTTATAACATTTTCCTGAATAAACATGAACAGAGGTAAAAGAAAAACCTCCTTGGAATTATTTTTTAGATATAAGGATTTTGATGTATAAATAAGTGTGACCATATTAAGTAATTTTTCAACATGCTCCATGAATCTGGAAGTAATGACATATAACAGATATTTTATAGTGAAATTTTATAAAGTCACATCCAATGCAAGTCTTTCTAAATGATAAATGTGATAAAGAATAAATCTAAGTGATAATCTAATAAAACTATTAAAGCTACCATTTACATTGACTATTTTTGTAGTCTGTTTTTCTTTTGAGTGTTCCACATTTAGTCTGATGTTTGGATTAATTCTTTCTTGAAAATATGGTAATTTTCCCCTACAAATAGTAAAATTTTTTAAAAAATTAGAAAAATTTTAGATTTTTATTTTTTGAAAATGAAAATACAGAAATTCTAAGGGTTTTACTAATTTTATAAAGTATATATTTTTTTAAAAATCACATAATGGATACATATTGGATTTTAATAATGGCTTTCTAGGTCTATATTAATTCTGGGTCATGCTCAGATTTTACCAATTAGATAGAGGAAGAATCTCTTTTGCAGTGTATGTGCAAACAGTATCTGTCCCTGTGGTTGGAAAACATCTTATCTGCTCCTGCTCAAGCTGTTGGTGAGAAAATAGTCACTATCTGCTCAGGTTCTCAGAACTGGGAATACTGACAGAATGCTCAGTGCTCAGGGATAATTTCTGCTGAGTACAGCATGATGGCTACTTCAGATGGCAGCTCTAGCACCGTTGGGGAATTAATGCCTGCTTGACTATTATTTTGTTACAGAGTGAGTGCTCATAGAACCTGAGTGGTCATCTGAGTTTTTTACAAAAATCGACAGTTAAATATTTCTCCCAATTAGCTCAACGATGTGTAAATAGGCTATAAATAGCTCTTATAGCTATTTGCAGAGAGGTTGGGATAAACAGTCTAAAGCCTGGTTTAGAACTTCAGCATTTTTCAGGCTTTTCGGATCTCTTCCTGGTTGATAAGAAAAGAAAATGAATTATTTCTCTTTGTATGAAGCATAAGGTCTCTCAATCAGTAACTGATTTAAGAATATCCTCATAAATATATATTTTTTTAATATGGGAAACCCTGTGGTTGTCACTGCTGGTTAATTTCACCAATGTTTATCACTAAGGATGTTAAATGAAATAACATAAAAGGCAACTTTATTATGCTGATTTCCCAAACTAATGATAACCAATGTAAATCGTGGAAAAACATGATTATACCAAAACACAGAGATACATAGATAGATAGATACATAGATACATACATATTCATATATAGAGATATGTTGAGATGAATAGAGATAGAGATAAATAGAGCTAGATGGTAGATAGATAGGTTGATAGAGATAAATAGATGATAATTGATAGAGATAGATTTTTGAACACAATTATTTTTGCTCTTAACCACAAAGTCAAACGCATTCTTCTCATTTTTATTTATGTGTTATATGTTAATGTCTTCATCAGATAATTTCTTTCATGATCTTTATGGAAAATCTATATTTTATTAGAAAGAGAATCATAACAGATTTCTTAATATTGATATTTTGTGGTTGAATTAAAAAGATTAGAATAGAGGATGTTTGGAGATTACCTAGCAAAAAATAAACTGAACTGCATATGATGGCCTTTGTTTTGCTGCTGTTTAGGGCCATTGCTGAATGTGATTCCAAGCCATGTTTGCTGTAATACTCCATGAAGGCTAACGATGTGGATTACTTCCGCTTGGTTCTTATCACAGTTAAAGGGTGTTTTGGTTTGTTTTGGTTTGTTTTGTTTTACAGAGACTCACTCTCTCAGCCAGGCTGGAGTGCACTGGCACAATCATACCTCACTGCAGCCTCAACTTCCCAGGCTCAAGTGATCCTCCCACTTCAGCCTCCCAGAGTAGCTGGGACCATGGGTCCCCAACCTCCAAGCTATAGGCAGGAACCAGTCTGTGACCTGTTTGGAACTGGGCCACACAGCAGGAAGTGAGCAGCAGGCAGGCAGGCGTTACCACCTGAGCTCTGTCTGGATTCTCCTAGGAGTGCGAGTTGCGCATGCGAGGGATTCGGGTTGTGGGCTCCTTGTAAGATTCTAATGCCTGATGATCTGTCACTGTCTCCCATAACCCCCAGATGGGACTGTCTACTTGCAGGAAAACAAACTCAGGGCTTCCAGTGATTCTACATTAAGGTAAGTATTTAATAATAATAGAAATAAAGTGTACAGTAAATGCAATGCACTTGAATCATCCTGAAATCATTCCCCACCCCCTCATGCTCCCACCCCTGTCTGTGGAAAAATTGTCTTTCAAAAAACCAGTACCTGATGCCAAAAAGATTGGGGACAGCTGGCTGGGATTACAGATGTGTCACCACACCGAGCCTTTTTATTTTTTTTTTTTAGAGACTGAGTTTCACCATTTTGCGCAGGAGGGCCTTGAACTCCTGCGCTCAAGCAATCAGCCAGCCACAGCTTCCCAAAGTGCTGAAATTACAGGCATGAGCCACAGCACCTGGCCTGTTTGTCTGCTTTTGAATTGAAAGCTGATGAGCATATATGTTCTCTAAAGAATCAGATAGCTCTATTACATTTAGAAAGATTCGCTTCCTCCCTATTCTTTAACAGATTTTTTAGGGAAAAACAGTACTGCAGATATTGTCAAGATATTTGATTAAATTCTTTTTCCACAGCTAGCACTGTGCCCCAACATTCATAAAGATTCAGTGAGAAGGCTATGGAATGCAAGGCTAGCTATATTTAAATAAATCACTGCACTCTGAACCAAGGAAGCTTTCAGAAGAATATAGCAAAGAATATATTAATAGCAGGGAACAGTGATCACCATATATAGTTGGTGGCAGATGGCTAATTTATTTACTTCCCCTGAAATTTAATTTTAAAAATTAATTAGAAGGAAGAATTTAATATGGCTTGCAATTCATTCATTCTTGAATTCAAATAAAGGCCAATAAATCATGATTTAATTTCTGTTGGTAAGCTATACGAAAGGTAAACCCCAAACTATAGGACGTTTCTTCCCACTATGAACCTCAGAGTCCAGAAAATAATGGTACATATTCCCAACTAATTTTAATAAATGATCGTAAGTGCTTCAATAGAGATATGCATATACTGTAGCAACACAGAAGAAAGATTAATCAGTGATACTTATTTTATTGGCAACATTAGGGCAAAGATTGAACCAAAGGGGAAATAACATCTGAAGAACAAAGAGAAAGAAGTAAATAGCAAAAAAATAGGAAAATGATTGGAATATGCTAAGGATAGGCATAATTGAACTTGAGCTCTGTGTTTGTGAAGATGAGAAAATAAAAGAAGGGGTTAGTATTATGTTGGTGCAAAAGTGATTGCGGTTGTCATTGAAAGTAGTGGCAAAAAATGTGTTCACCTTTGCACCAACATAGATAAATGATTGGCATTCAAGTTGACCAGTACAATATGTTAGAAAATTTGCCTTTCCTAGTTGTGAAGCACACCACGTCTGCCGGTGACAGTTTTATGTAAAGAAGAAGAGTGAAAAGGGAAGGAAGTTCAATATGTTTCTGTTCACTTTCAGGCAACTTTGAGTCATGAAAAAGGGATCTTGAAATATGGGTCTGCACTATAGAATGGTGCTCCCTGCCACATCTCAGAATCAGACATCATGACTAAATCATTTTATTTGAAGCCATGGATGGAAAACATGCTAACTGGGAAGACTATCTAGGGGTTAAGTAGAAAATCCCCAACAAGTACCTGGAAAATACATACATGCAAATGTCAAAAAGGATGAAGCAAGAATAGCCAGGAGAGGGGAGGAGAGTGGGAGACACACTGTCATTTAAGAGGGGCTTTGGTCTTCTACTTAGTGTGTTGTTGAGGTAGTTCTGTTGCCATTAATAATAAGCAGCTACTTTGTGTTTCATTTTAAAGATCATTTTTTAATTTAAATATAAGTGCTCTTATAATATAATTCCAGGTGTCCTGAGAAGGTTCTGTGCACCGCCCAAGCTTTTTTGAGCAGTTTTACGGAGGTATAATTGATATACAAAAATCTATACAAATTTAATGCATACAATTTGATGAGTTTGAATATGCACCTATGAAATAACCATCATGATCTAGGTAACATATTTATGCATCACCTCCAAAAGTTTTCTGGTGCCCCCTACTTTTTGTGGTAAGAACACAACAGGAGACAGCCTTTAAACAAAATTTTTATGTGCAAAATACAGTATTGTTAACTAGATCCACTATGTTAATGAGGCAGATTTCTAGAATGTATTCACCACACATGAATGAAATTTTACACCCATTGAAAACAACTCTCATTTTTCCCATCCCAACCCACCCCTTGATAATCACCCTTCTACTCTGCTTCTATGAGTTCGACAATTTCATATTTCACATGTAAGTGAAATCATGCAGTGCTTGTCCTCCTGTGCCTGGCTTACTTCATAGCATAATGTTTTCATCCATATTGTCACAGATGGCAGAATTTCTTTCTTTTGAAATGCTGAGTAGCATCCCATGGAATGTAGAGACCACATTTTCTCTATCCATCAGTCTATCAACGAACACTTAGTTTGTTTCCATATCTTGGCTATTGTAAATAATTCTGTAATGAACATAGGAGTGCAGATATCTCTTTGAGATCCTCATTTCACTTTTATTTTTTATTTTTAAAATAAAAACACAGAAGTTGAATTGCTGGATCATGTGGTAGCTCTATTTTTAATTTTTAAATTATATATATACATATATATGTACATATATATATATGTATATATATAATTTAGAGATGAGGTCTCTCTATGTTTTGCCCAGGCAGGTCTCAAACTCCTAGGCTCCAGTGATCGTCCCAGTTCAGCCTCCCAATGTGTTGGGATTACAGGCATGAGCCTATTTTTAATTTTTGAGGAAGCTTCATACTGTTTTCCAGAATGACTGCATCATTTTACTTTCCAACAAACACAGTGCAATGGTTCCGATTTCTCCACATCCTTGCCAACATTTGTTATTTTTTAGTTTTTTATAATGACTTTCTTAACAAGTGTAGGTCAGTATCTCCCTGTGGATTTGATTTGCGTTTCCCTGGGGTAATAATGTCGAGCACCTTTTCAGGTACCTGTTGGCCATTTGTATGTTTTCTTTGGAGAAATGTCTATTTAGTCTTTTGGCGATTTTTAATTGAATTATTTGGTGTTTTTTTGTTGTTGTTGTTGTACATGTTTTTGTGTTGAGTTGAAGGAGTTCCTTATTTAGTTTGTATACTAATTCTTTATTAGCTGCATGGTTTGCCAATGTTTTCTCCCATTCCATAGGATACTTTCTCAATCTGTAGATTGCTTTCTTTACTGTGCAGAACTTTTTAGTTAAATGTCATTCCACTTGTCCTCTTTTGCTTTCACTGCCTGTGGTTTCAGTGTCATGTCCAAGAAATCATTGCCAAGGCCAATGTCAACAAGTTATTCCTTATATTTTCTTTTTGGAGTTTTACAGGGTCTTATGTGAAGTCCTTACATGTCTTATGTGAAGTCTTGAATCTATTTTTAGTTCGTTTTTTTTCTGTTGTGTAATGGTCCAATTTCATTCTTTTTGCATATGGATATCCAGTTTTCCCAACACCATTTGTCCAAGAGACTCTCCTCTCTCTGTTGTGTATCCTTGCAAGATCTTTTGATGGTACATGCATAGGTTAATTTCTGGGCTGTTTATTCTGTTGCATTGATCCATATGCCAGTATCATACAGCTTTGATTACTGTAGCTCTATAATATATTTGAAATCAGGAAGTGTGATTCTCCAGCTTTTTTGTCTTTCTCAAAATTGCTTTGGCTATTTGAAGTCTTTTGTGGGTTCATATACTTTTTAAGAGTGCTTCTTCTATTGCAACTTTTTTTAAAAAAATAGAGAGAATGTCCTCTCCAAAGTTATTCCATAGTCTAGGTTTTTAAAATGGAATCAACCCACATGCAGTTTAAAAACCAGAGAAATGTATTCCTTACATCTGCCCAGCCTCTTCTACAACCAGCATATTATTCAGGTGTGAGATAGATGATAAAAAAATTGATAGACGTGGATAATGATACATAGGTAGATATAAACATAGGTAGATATTAGACAGAGAGATCTGTTTACAAATTAGTCACTCATCTAAGCCTCTATCACAAAAAATAGTAAATCTTCATTAATATTTAGTTAAAGTACTGTATTTCATTTGGATACCTAGCATTAAAAATATGATTTCCTGTCTTTCCTTCTTCCTTTCTTTCTTTCTTACTCTCTCTCTCTTTCTCTATTTCTTTCTCTCTTTCTCTCTCTCTCTTTCTTTCTTTCTTCTCTTTCTTTCTTTCTTATTTGATATGAGTCTTGTTTGTTGCCCAGGCTGGAGTGCATGATTTGGCTCATTGCAACCTCCGCCTCCCAGGTTCAAGCTATTCTCATGCCTAAACCTCCTGAGTAGCTGGGACTACAGGCCCCTGCCAACACGCCCAGTTAATTTTTCTATTTTTGGTAAAGATGGGATTTCACCATGTTGGCCAGGCTGGTCTTGAACTCCTGACCTCAAGTGATCCACCTGCCCAGGCTCCCAAAGTGCTGGGATTACAGATGTGAGGCACCTCACCTGGCCTATGATTTCCTGTTTTTCTATCATATTAATTTCCTTATTGTCTTTGCTTATTGATGGCTAGCCAATTGCACTGTGGGCAGTAAAGCTATACTTTCTGTTTGAAATCCTTTTAATTTTGCAGAGATTTGCTTTATAGCCAGGATACAAAAAAAATTGTAATATTACACATATTCTTAAAATGAGCACATACTTTGCATTTTTGAGGATAAAGTTCTATAACTATTAATATCGATTATTTTGTTTCTGTAGTTCTCAGAGCTTCTATACATTACAACACTGTATTTTTAATGTCTCCTTGTCTTGTTTGTTACAGAGAATGGAAGATCTTCATCACCCTATTTTATTATCTATTATTTCTCTTGGCAATGTCATTTTATCCTTTAAGTGCCCAGCAATTTCTAACTGAATGTCAGACATTGTATACAAAAAATATGACTAATTTTAAGTCTAGGATAATTTTCTCTATGTTTAGAAAAACAGAGTTCATTTGCTGCCAGTGGAAGTAGGAAACTAGAATCACGATGCATTTTACGGGATTCATTGGGTTTCAGTTTTGGTGGAGGCCAGCCAGACACCTCCTAGTTAATGTACTTACTCACAGGGTATATTTTTAAGGGTCTTAATATAAAGCATGGGAGATTTATCATTATTCACCGTGATGGGCACCACCCTCCATTTTATTCTCCCTGTAAACCTATGAGGCTATTGAACTATTTGCTCAATTTCACAGCCTCTTAGCTGCATCTTCATGAATGGATAGACAACTCTGGGATAAGATCACTGGATACTGACTCCATAATTATTCAGGCATATTTAAAATACTATTTGGCTTAGCTTTTTAGTTTTTTGTTTTTTTAATGCAAAATTTGGTCTGAGTTCTGAATTCTCCAGTTTGCCATAAACTGAAGTGTATTCTTCCTCTCAAGTGGTTTTACAATGCAGTCTTCCAAGTTGCCAGATCCTTTTTGTTCTGATCATTTTTAAACTAACAATAGAGAGCAGGATTTAATTAAGGTTTCACAGGTTTCTTCAAGGAACTAAATGAAGGAAATTATACAGTCACTATGCTTACTTTTTAGAGAGTTACTTTTCTTAGATTTAATGTAATTAAAGACACATAGTATCTGGACATCCATGCAACTAACACTTAGGTAAAATACATGTTTACATTAAAGTTATACTAACAATACAGCTTGTAAATGTAGATGTAAATTAATATAGAAAGTAAGAAAAATAGAGTTAGAAGGAATTAATTCTAGTATTTGGTAGTACAGTGGGGAAATTATAGTTACTAGTAATTTATTGCATATTTCAAAATAGCTAAAAGAATTGTAATGTTCCCAACACAAAGAAAAATGTTTGAAGTGATGGGTAACCCAATTACCCTGACTTGATCATTGCACATTGTATGCATGTATTGAAATATCACATGTACCCCCAAAATATGTCCATCTATGATATATCAATAAACATAAAAATTAAAGAACTCTTGCTTTTTAAAAATAAAATCATCACAACATAATTCAAATGTACATAGGATCCCATAGAATGATAGAATACATTTATTGCAACAAATGTAAATGTATCAGTTCTACACTATCATTAATTAAAGATATTATTAGTGCTAATGTGAGCTAAGTTTGAGAATAACAGAAAACTTTGTGCCATCTAGATAATGTTGGTTAGAGGAACAAGGATTTAATATACTATAATTTATTATTATCATTATTATTATTTTGAGACGGAGTCTTGCTCTGTGACCCAGGCTGGTGTGCAGTGGTGCGATCTTGGCTCACTGCAACCTTCACCTCCAGGATTCAAGTAATTCTCTTGCCTCAGCCTCCCAAGTACCTGGGATTACAGGCCTTTACCACCACGTCTGGCTAGTTTTCGTATTTTTGGTAGAGACAGGGTTTCGCCATGTTGGCCAGACTAGTCTTAAACTTCAAACCTCAGGTGATTCACCCACCTTGGCCTCCCAAAATGCTGGGATTACAGGCATGAGCCTCTGCACCCAGCCTATAATTTATTATTGAATATCAAATACGGTTGACCCTTGAACAATTTGAGAATTAGGGGTGCTGACTCGCGTGTGGAAAATTTGCATGTAACTTTTGACACCCCCAAAATTAAATGACTAATAGCCTACCGTTAACTGGAAGCCTTAGCAATAGCATAAACAGTTGACTAACACATGTTTTGTGTATGTACTATGAATTATATTCCTACAATAAAGTAAGCTAGAGAAAAGAAAATTATTAAGAAAATTCTAAAGAAGAAAAAATATATTTACTATTCATTAAGCGGAAGTAGAACCATCATAAAGGTCTTCATCCTTGTCATCTTCAAGTTGAGTAGGCTGAGATGGAAGAAGAGGAGGGGTTGGTCTCGCTGTCTCAGGAATGGCAGAGGAGGAAGAAAATCCATGTCTAAGAGACCTGCACAGTTCAAACCCATGTTGTTTAGGGGCCAATTGCATTTAAAATAGAAAATTAATAAAATATAGAAAAGTGTGTATAAAGGATAAAATGACTAGTGCCACTAATTTTAGGACAAACAACTATTAATATTTTGGTTTTGTAATCTTTCTTCCTTTGAAAAATGTTTATGGAATAGACTTTATAGTCAAGGAATTGTGTAAATGGTGCAAGTGAAGGGGTTTGTTCTAGTGGACAGATGAAAAAGACATTTGGAATATGCAGGTGCTTATGAGAAGACTGAATTAGCAGAAACGCACTCTGCCAGCGTCTAAATAAGTTTCCTTAGGAACCAGAAAAACAATCATTGAATGTGGAGAGCTAGAAATCATGCAAAATTGCAAGATTTGGAAAATCCTTGTGAAATAGATGGTAATTTAACAGGTATATCAAAGGGACCAGCGGAGGTGATGGGATCCTAGCTTGGAAAAGCAGTTCTGAATCAAGGAAGTCTGGAACTAAGGTACCCTGTCTTCTAAGCAAGATATAGAAGCAGCAGTCTCTTCCGTTGGAGAGATCATATGGATTTCCAGCGTGCTTTCTCAACCTTGACACTATTGGTATTTGGGGACTGATAATTCTTTGTAGTGGCAGGGGCTGTCGTGTGCATTGTAGGATGTTTACAAGCATCTCTGGCCTCTACCAACTAGATGCCATCAGTGCGCTCCAAATCAAAAATGTCTCTAGTCTTTGTCAAATGTCCTGTGTCATATACGATGTCTCCTACTCACCTCTGTCTCCCACTCACCTCTGTCTCCCATTCCATTAAAACACACTGAATAATGCATTGACTATATCTTTAGATTGGACCACTGTGGTTCAAAGACTGCAGGGTCCTCTCTAGATACTTTAAACCAGGTAGAACTAATATTTTCCCCCAAACCTTTGGGGTTACCAAGCTTAAAGCTTTTAAATTACCACTTTCCAATGATGGCAACCAGTGGTTTTTCTAAAATCCTGCAACAGGGGCATAGGGTGAAATTACTTTCATGACAATAAATACCTACAAAAAGTAAATGAACATTTCCCATTCCAGATGACATTCTCTGCAAATGTAAAGTTCATATTTGCAGGAGATTTTAGCAAACTTCTCCCATGTGCTACTCCATATGACTTTTGCCTGTAAGACTTTAACCCAGTTTGCAAGAAGCATGAAAGAGCTGTTCTCGCTTAGGGAAGACGTCCTTGGAGGGCAACCAACATCCACTCAGAAAACCTTGGATGTTCAGTTCTATCCTAGAGCTCCCTGGAGCTCCCTCTAGCTCATAGAGCAGCTATGCGAATGCTGAGCTATCACAAGAATACCAGGACTTTCTTTTCCTCCCAATTCCTAGGACATGAGCCAAGCAACTCCAATGGCAATGCAAAGCCAGAGAATACTGACTGATTGGGTAGAATACTTATTTTTCAATATCTCCATGGCAAATTAGTGAAGTACTGAAAATGTTTCTTTTAAAGACTGGTGGTTTAGAAATTTTAAACTTATTTAGAATCAAGTATTCTTCATCATTGAAATGAGGATATTCTTATGAAGCTTAGTTCTACTGTAATCATGTGCTCAGTATCATAGCTGGAATTATAAAAACAGGATGTGAGGATGTGAGATAGAGCTTTTAAAGAGGAGGGAAACAAAAGGACAAATATGAATGGCATTGTAGTTCATTCAGAACTGACCCCAACAACTGCATGAAATGGAAATTTATGTTAATTGATATCGGAATTAGAGCAACAAAATCTCCTTAAAATTTAGCTACTTTTTAATATCATGAAATGACTTTGTGTCCAATGTATGATGACAAATTTTAAGCATTTTGATCATGAGAATATTATGAAAACATTTATTTCAAGAATACATTTTGTAAAAAGGGAAGATGCTTATATTGAGATGTTTTGCAGAAATGCAGGGCTTATTTTTAGTTTCACTAAGGACTGCTTCCTGACTATGATTGAGAACTTGCAACTTGGTAGGTCAGTGCATTAAAAATATATATTATGTTGTTATGGAAATTTGCTTTTCAGATGAATTATGAAAGATTATATCTACCAAGTAAATACAGATGGCTAGAGTGCTTCACTTATCTTTTAGTTAAGCCCGCTATATCTTTCTATGCATCATCTGGCACATGATAAACAATATTGTTTGGGGCACAAGGACTTCCAGTTTATATATATCCTTGTAAAAAGCTAAATTTTCAGCCTGCATTATTCATTGGGAAATGAAAAAAATGCTATGCAGTCTTGCCTACATTGAGACATCTGAAATGTATTTTGCAATATCTAAGTAGTGTTTATGTTGACAGACACATATTAAAATATACATTAAATGTTTGAGGAAGGATAATTAGGGTTATACTAACTATGAAGTTAATTATGCAGCGATATGTGGACTCGTGATTAACATACACATACAGGTGGTGAGTTAAGAAATGCATGGTAGAAATAGCAAAGTGGGTGTTCTCTTTATCTATTAAAGCAATCACTGTGGCTTCCTCCTCATCTTTATAAAGAAGGCTGAAGCCTACATGTGTCGTTCTCCGTTGCTTCTTGACCTGAAAAGGCCATGTGTCCTGGTAAATAGAATGAGGAAATGAGCTTGAGACCTCACAGATATTGCCCTTGAAAAATAGCGCTTTAATCCCAGTGTTCAGAGGTGTGGTCAAATGTCACATCTGTTCGAAGAACTGTTGTTGGCCACTCTCGCTGACATCACAGCCGGATCGCATTGTTATGTTTCATAGGCAGTGCAGACAGAGTTCCACTGCTTCCCTCTCACCATTAAGGGAGGATGCTGCCTGACCTGATGTGAGCCTTTGGGGGGTGTTTTTATCACTCAGCGGAATGCCCAGTGGCAAACTCTGCATTTTGGCAACCTCGATTCCTCCTGCTATGACTACAGGCACTATCTGTTCACAGACACCATGGAAACAAGTCTTTCGTATGTGTGTGTCTGCAAAAACAACTGCTAAATAGGATAGAAGAGATAAATAGCATGTAGGCAATAAATAATGTCTCCCCTACTTGTGCTCTCCCATTTGGAATAAATTTAGATGGGATTGGACTCTCCTAACACATTGCTTATATCTTTAATGGGTGTATCTTTGCTGGTTTCAGCACACACTACACCCTCTAGAAATTGCTTTTCCCTATCTCCAGTCTAGGAAAAATTCTGGTGTATCCATGTTTTTCCTAGGAGGATCCCAAGCCTTGGCCTCAGTTGATTCATTTCATGAATGAGCATCTGAACTAGAGTGGACCAAATCAATTCTCTTTCTAGGAATTTGCAGAATGGCCAGGAAAAGATAAGAAGGAGAGGCTTTAGAAGGAAACAGCCTCATGTAATTCTAATAAAGAAGTAGACGTCAGGCACAGTGGCTCATGCACGTAATCCTAGCAGTTTGAGAGTCCAAGGTGAGTAGATTGCTTGATCCCAGGAGTTGGAGACCAGCTTGGGTGGCATGGTGAAATTCCATTTCTACAAAAAAAACAAAAACAAAAAACAAAACCTAGCAGGGTGTGCTATTGTGTGCCTGCAGTCCCAGATACTTGGGAGGCTGAGGTGGGAGGATTGCTTGGGCCTAGGAGGTACAGGCTGCAGTGAACTACGTTCGCACCACTACAATCCAGCCTGGGCGACAGAGCAAGACCCTGTCTCTCAAAAAAAAAAACAAAAAAAACCCCAAAACCAAACAAAAACAACTCCCAGTGGGAAGTCACCAGAGCTAGAGCTCGGTCAATTATTTATTTATTTTAGAGACAAGGTCTTGCTCTGTTGTCCGGGGTGGAGGGCAGTGGTGTGATCATAGCTCACTGAAGCCTCCAACTCCTGGGCTCAAGTGATCCTCCAGCTTCAGCCTCCTGAATAGCAGGGACTACAGGTGCACACCACCATATTTTGCTATTTTCTAAATTTATTTTGTGCAGATGATGTCTTGCTATGTTGCCCAGGCTGTTCTCAAACTCTTGGCCTCAAGAAATCCTCCCATCTCGGCCTCTCAAAGAGCTGAGGTTATAGGAATGAACCACTGCACCCAGACAATGAATTACTTTACAGAGCCTTTGTGGTTAAACATGTTCTTTGATCCTGGGGGATTGTGTCAACATCCTTTCCATGCATTTCCCTTTCTTGCTGAAGATATCAACTGTAAGTTATTTTACTTGCAACCAAAATAACTAACTAATAAGATATGGTTTCTATGAATCAGGGTCTTCAGAGGGCAGACTCAAAACTATGAACTGGCTGATCCAAGGCAGATTAAAGAACAATAAGATTTTAAAGCTCCCAGGTTAAGTTGAGAGCAGGTATTACTGCAGCCTCAATTTACCTGTAATACCTTGAGATTCAGATTATATTCTCATCATTTTGTCACCAAAGCAGGAGTGCCTTGGGGCCATGATAGTAAAATATAAGAATATTCATTCATATATATTAGTTGCTTTTTGCAATCTTGAAGAAGATGTCATGAGAGAAAATATGGTCAGCTAAACTTCAGACTGAGTTTCTCTGCATTTTACTACGTGGCCCATGGAAAAACAACATTGTGGTCATCTGGGACCTTGTTAGAAATGCAGTTTCTCAGGTCCCACTTTAGTATCAAGAGGCTGTGGAAGGTTTTTAATAAAGACAAATTACAGTCAATCATAGATATAAACCAAGACCCAAAATCCTAAATGAAGTATTACCTAACTGAATTCAGAGACATAGAAAAGATAGCTAAATTAGCTTCATTGCCCAACTGTGATACTGGCTACATATTGAAAATCTATGTACATTACATTAACAGAAATTAGAAATTTAGAAATTATATTTAACTCATATGAAATCATTAGATAGGTACTCAATGCCCAGAAAATATATAAGTAAATTGTATATGAGTAAATTGCAAATGAGAAAATAAAACGGGTCTCTACAAAATTACATTTAAAAAATCCTTCAAATACCTAGGGATATATTGAACAAAAATTTTGCAAGACCAACAATAAAAACTTCAAGACAGTAAAGCTAAATAAATGAGGGCTGTGACATATTCATAGACTGGAACACAATGCAATGTGACAATGTCAATTCTTGATAAAGTAATCTGTGTATTGATAACAGTCTTAGTCACAATTACAGGCTAATCATATTTGTAAACCCAGACCCCAAATCTAAACAAAGTATCAGCCAACTGAACTCAGATATACAAAAGACAACTAAGTTAGTTTCATTGCCCAAGTGTGAGACTGGCTCAATATTGAAAATCAATGTACATCACATTAACAAAAATTAGAAACTTAGAAATGATATTTAATTTATATGAAATCATTAGATATGTATTCCATGCCCAAAAAATTAATTGCATATCGATGTTGATATATTGACATATCGATATACAATTAATTAATAAATAATCTAATGGGGCAGAATGGAGACTAACATATACTTACTCATATAGGGATTTGTTTTTTGACACAAGTTCTTATAGAGCTGTAGGATGAAGGTTTTTTTTCCATATACACCTCTCGATGGGTCACTGTGTGTGTGGTGATGGGAGGAGAGTCGTATAGTCACAGTATAGGCAAAGTCTATTCCCTACAAATGTTAGGTCTAAATGTCAAAAGTAAAAAAATAGAACTAGGAATCAACACAGAGGAATACCTTCATGATCTTGTATTAGGAAAAATGTCTTATAGTGTGTATCAAGGAAACGAAAAGACACATTGGATCATATTTGTATTAGTTTGTTTTCACGCTGCTGATAAATACATACCAAAGGCTGGGCAATTTATAAAGAAAAAAGAGGTTTAATGGACTCATAGCTCCACATGGCTGGGGAGGCATCACAATCATGGTGGAGGGTGAAAAGCACATCTCACATGGCAGCAGGCAAGAGAGAATGAGAGCCAGGTGAATGGGGTTTTCCCTTATAAAACCATCAGATCTCATGAGATGTATTCACTACCACGAGAACACTATAAGAGAAACTGCCTCCATGATTCAATTATCTCCAACCGGGTCCCTCCCACAACACATGGGAATTATGCGAGCTACAATTTAAGATGAGATTTGGGTGGGGACACAGCCAAACAATATCATTATTATAACTAATTAGTATCCATCAAGACAACATTAAGAGAGTAAAGAGGCAAGCCACAAAACGGGAGACTTATTATCTATATATGTTTTCAAAATACGTAAATTGAGCTAAATTTGCAATAGGATGACTAATATTCAGAGACGTTAAGAATCCTGAGAAATCAATATGAAGACACAGGCCGTTCAGCAGAAAGGTGGAACAAAAGGCCTAACATACGCTTTACAAAACAGTATATTGAAATTCCCAAGAGCCATGTAAGAAAGTCCAACTTTGTTATTCATGATGGACACTCCAAATTAAACCAAAATGAGGTGACATGGCATATGCACTAAAATGGCTAAAATGAAATAAAGTCAAGAAGTTTCAAGTGCTGGAGGAAACTAGAGCAAATGGATCTTCCAAATACTGCTGATCGTACAACACTTTTGGAAAATTATCTGAGGATATCCACCAAAGCTGAATAGACACCTTCACCCAGCATAAACCAAAAGGTGTCTATTCATATGTCCACACACACGGATGCATGCACACAGACACACGTAATTATATTAATAATCTTCGTAGAATCTCTACATGGAATTGCTAAAAATTGGAAACTACCCAGATATCCAGTAAAAGTGGAATCAAGTGTGGCTATTCATATAAGGAAATCTCTAAACCAAGAAAATGAGTAATCTATTGCTACACTCTACATCAAAAATTAATGTCACCAACATAATGTTGAACAGAGGAAACTAAAGACAAAGACACCACACCATACAATTTCATCTACATAAAATTCAAAGCCAGTCCAACTGAACACCAGACTGCACTTTGGTGTTAAATATCAGGATGGTGGTTTCTTTTGGAAAGATGGTAGAGAACTCCATGAAGAGTCAGGATGAGGTGGACTTCTAAATTAGTAATATGTTTCCTTCATGTAGGTGGTATTTACACCCCAAATTCAATTAAAATATAAGGTTTGTGTAATTCCCTGCATGTTTTTCCTTGACTTAGGTGGTATTTATGCCCATAAATCCAATGAAAATGTATTTATATAATTTTATATGAATCTCATTAAAATATATAACACCATCTGCAATTTCAATTATATAAAAGCAACAACAACTGTGTGTATGTATTTGTTTGCACATATGAAAGAAATAGAAGTAGATTCAACAAAATGTAAACAATACTTTATCTGGAAGTATATACATGCTTTTTTCTTTTACCATTTATTTAAGTTTTTAAAAACTCGTGTATCACCTCATATTAATAATTTTTTAAGGAAAAAATTGCAGTAAGATAGCAAAGAACAGTTAATTTTTGATAACACTGTATAATAATAATTCATATTTGATATTGTGCCACTAGACCATCTGAGTTTAATGACAGTTTTGAGTCCCTTTATGCCAATGAAGTCTTTAGCTGTGCGTGGCATGTTCCCAGTGCTGAAGCAAAGCATTTCACTAACAGAAGCTCATTTTATTCCCCTATTTACTATAAGCCCTCCTTAATTCCTCTCGATTTAGGAGCTTCTAATTTTTTCCTCCATTGCATTTCACATCTTGTCCAGTTCTAGTATACTATCAAAGTCCATTTTGATCTCTTTAATTGTAACTACATGAAAAATTCAAATTAAACTGCAGACATGAACAATATTAACTCATTTGTCTGTAACTTACCATACAACTATATATGATATTGAATATATTTTGATCCTTCCTAATTCTCAATAAGATGTAGGTTTAGTAGCCAAAAGACTTTATTTTGGTAGCTATCATAAATGTATATGCATAAATTTCCAGGTTATATGCTGGATGCAGTGGCTCACGCTTGTAATCCCAGTGCTTCCAGAGGCCAAGGCAGGAGGATTGCTTGAAACCAGGAGTTTGAGACCAGCCTGGGCAACATAGCAAGACCCTGTCTCGACAAAAATAAATTAGCTAGGCATGGTGATGGGTGCCTGTAGTCCTAGCTACGCAGTAGGCTGAGGTGGGAGGATCGCTTGAGCCCAGGAGTTGGAGGATTGCTTGAGCCCAGGAGTTGGAGGCTACAGTCAGCTATGATCATGCCACTGGACTCCAGCCCGGGGAGCAGAGCAAGACTCTTTCTCTTAAAAACAAATCTAGGTAGTAATTCATAAAATGATATGTGGCTATAGGTAACAATTCACAGTATTATATATACCTTAAAATAAGAGACATGCAATATACATTAGAGAAAAGCTCTGGGAAGATGGAGGAAGTTAGGTCAGACTGGATTTTTAAACAATGTTGTCACCTTCCAGGGAAAACGGAAGGAAAGTCAAGATGAATATTTCTGTAATATGTCGATCTTGCAGGGGGCATTCCTACGAGAACACATTTTCCAGCAACATTCTGCAGTACCAATAAAAGGCACACTGCATTGCTGAATACCCCCAGGGCAGCATGAAATGACAGGGAGTGAGGCCACTTATCTTTCTGAAATTGGTATCAGGCTCCAAGAAGGATCTGCAGAAAGTTTGTCATAGCCCCTAATGACAAATGACAGGATGAAGCCTACACACACACACACACAAACTGAATGATTTTTACCCATAAATGTCATTCTGAAATGCTGACACAATTCACATCTATGGGCAATGCCACTCCAGAAACTTTCTGTGTGGATGGACTTAATTTTTGACATGACCTCACTCACCCTATTCTTATTTCTAAAACTGCACGGGGAAAAATGTCACTGGACTATAAAGAGTAAGCTGCAAAGATAAATTCCTAGAAAGACATAAAGTCATGTTTTCGTATATGAGATTCAGGTTGTGAGAGTATAAGGACTAGGACAATCCCAGCCATGATAGGCCATGTCATAGCTGCCCTTCCTTCCATACCATGAAGCCCAGAATTGGGAGAGGATAGCTGCTCTCTGGACATTATCTGAATGAATGGGTAAGTGAATACATATCGGGTAATTCAAGCAGTATAATTAACTTTTCAAACGATGATAGATTTCTACATGCAAAATTATGATTTATTTGTCAACATCCAAGAGTCTTTGAAATATATATTCCAGAAAAACTTACAAATTAATTGGAGGAAAAATAATCCCATTAGGGTTTAGTTAATAAGTTGAGGAACACGATATAATGATATACATTCTTTATGCATAAGGGTAAAGATAGTAGCAAGTAAATGGGCCTTGGAACTCACAGGCATGGGAGAGAAGGCCAGCAACAAAATCCACCTCCATAAACTATTGCAGAAGATTTTATTGACTCTTTCCATAGCAATAAAAATTATATACTGGGCTTTGACATGAAATGGCTTTTGCTTTTTCCATCATGTAAAAGTTTCTAGCTCTGGGATTTGGGATAAGTCACTGGCTTCTATATAACTCAGTATTTGCATTGACAAATGGGAATAATCAAATCTTCCTCAAAGAAATGTGCATAAAATCGAACATGCAAAATAGTTCAGAGCAATTAAGTGGGACCTTTTATTATTGTTTATTGTCATTATTATTCCAGTTAGTTCAGTCTATCCCAGTATTTTGTCAAAAAGCAAGATAATGCAAGAGACAGGAATTACACCAAGATTAGTGACCCTGGTTATTTTTTGATTGTTAACTAATTATTTGTTAAGTGACCCTGAGCTTATTGTGTAGCTACTCTGTGTCTCAATTTAGCAAATTTCTTATTCTATAAAATAAAGGAGCTGTAAAAACTTGTCTTCGGTATCCATGTAAGCTATCATGTTACAACTTTTATTTTCTATGTTTTCCTACGAGAAAGGACTCAACTGAACACCATAAGCTGTTTTAATAGAGTCATAACCAATTAACTATTTCATCCTGAAACAAACAATAGCCTTTGGCTATGTTTTGGCTCTGTCTTTTATTGGTTAAGTCACATTCTATCTTAGATCTCATGGACTTCAGACAATCATCACTAGATCGATAAATTGGAGGATAAAATGCGATGTAAACACAACGTTGACCTGGTGAATTTTTTTTTCTTACTTTTAGAAAGTTTTCCTTACATTTGTTGTGTATTTTTAATATTTTTAGATAGGAAGGCTGGGAGAGAGGGCTCTAAAAATATTTGTATTTTCTCTGAGGTTGAAGCACTAAATAAGTTGATTTAATGAATCTTGATTTCCAAAAAGCCTTGTCAAGTTTGTGAATCAAAATTAGAATTCTAGTCAGGAAAGCTTAATTAAATAGGACTAGGAATAAGAATTGAGTATCAAGTAGAGTTTAGGAGGTCAGCATTAAAAGGACTAAAGACAAATGTAACATAAGTATGCGTAATATTGATAGAAAGACATGAAAAAATATGTATTTCAAAAAATACATAGCATAAAAACGTGATTAAATTTTTAGGTAACATTGACTTAAAATAATATGCTAAGGATTTTGAAATGTGCATGCAATGTATTGAAGCTGAATCTATAGCCATGCATGAAAATTGGACTCATTTGCAGTTGAAGCCAATAATACATTCTATTAAAAATTGCATTTTATTTATTTTTTATTTTTATTATTTTATTATTTTATTTTTTTATTTTTTAGGGACAGAGTCTGTCTCTGCTGCCCAGCCTGGAGTGCAGTGGCGTGATCTTGGCTCACTGCAAGCTCTGCCTCCCGGGTTCACACCATTCTCCTGCCTCAGCCTCCCGAGTAGCTGGGACTACAGGCGCTCGCCACTACGCCCAGCTAATTTTTTTTTTTTTTTGTATTTTTAGTAGAGACGGGGTTTCACCGTGTTAGCCAGGATGGTCTCGATCTCCTGACCTCATGATCTGCCCGCCTCGGCCTCCCAAAGTGCTGGGATTACAGGCGTGAGCCACTGCACCCAGCCAAAAATTGCATTTTTAAGGCCGGGCGCGGGTGGTCATGCCTATAATGCCAGCACTTTGGGAGGCAAAGGTAGGCAGATCACTTGAGGCCAGGAGTTCGAGACCAGCCTGGCCAACATGGTGACACCTTATCTCTACTAAAAATTTTTAAAAAACGAAAATGAAATTTTATTTAAAATAATTATATAGTTAAATTGAAACATTTATTCTTGAGTATACAGTGCAAAAAAATTATTGCTCCCCCACTGAAGGGCCCCACCATCTATTTTATGCCAGAAATGATACGTGTTTTAATCTATCATGAATCATTCCAACATATAATAAAATGAAAGCATGTGTGTGTGTGCGTATGCATTGTGTATTGAATAGCACATAACAACAGTAGTTCTAAATACACTCGTCTGAACCTTGTCCTTTTTGTTTAAAATATATACTTGAAAATAGCCCTGTATGAATATGCATATAAAGTTGGATATATGGACATAAATTAGGCTGGTGCAAAAATAACTGCGGTTTTTGCCATTTTTTTTTTTTTTTTAAGTAATGCCAAAAATCACATTTACTTTTGCACCAACCTAATAGTATGTGTATATATATACATACATATATGTACAATACACCTGGGTGAGTATATATGCATATATATATATACTGAGTATATACATATAAGTATATATATATACCCAATGTGTCTATGTGTGTATATATTCAATGTACATATACATACTTTTTTATTTTTAATTAAAAATGGGTTCTTCCTATGTTGCCCAAGGTGGTCTCGAACTCCTGGCCTCCAGTGATCCTCCCAACTCAGCCTCCCAAAATGCTGGGATTACAGGTATGAGCCACTGTGCCCAGCTTACATACTCAATAAATGTATATGTATATGTATATGTACTCACCCATGTGTATTGCGTGTGTGTGAGAGATAAATTGGACTCTGGATTTAGACAGCTTGGATTAGGATTTCAGCTACTGCACTTACTAGCTGTTCAGTCTTGGGAGATTTATTTTGCTTGATTGGCTCCTCTTTTTTCATTTGTTAAAGAAATAATTGAGTATCTGACTCTGAGGTTTATTATTAGATCAGTAAATAGGTGCAAAGTGGATATAACGATATCTGGCATATATATATATATATATATTCAATTAATGTCCCTAATTATCATCAACTTTATTTCTTTAAACATCTGTATAATATTGCATCGTATGCATGTGTGATGTTTCCTATAACCACTCGTCTATAAATGGCATCTAATGTTTTGCCAATCTTTTTGTTATTTCATATAACACAACAGTTATATGCTTTTATATGCCTCTTTGTTTTTATTTTTACATTGCTTAATGTCTTTTCTTTCTTTGAAGCAATTTCATGGAATCTCTTTGTCTTCATGTGAGAATACATTGGAAAAATATCTCAACACAAGAAAATTTTTAAAAGTAGATGTGAAACTGAAAGTTGGAAATATTTTACTAAGTTAGCTGCCAAGTAGGTTTAACCAAATTAAACTTCCACTACCAATTTTCCCCATTCTCTAAATGACCACCTATGTAATGTGAATTAAATTTTGATATGCTGTCTCACTGCAGCTTCACTTTGCATTTTCCTAATTTTGAGAGGAGCTGATTATCATTTTATATCTATAAAAGCAACTTGTGTTTCCTTTTGGGTGAGCTCTGAATGTTCTTTACCCAACTTTATCAGGTAAGTGTGAATCATTTTCTTACTGATTTTAGAAGCTCCTTTGTTTTTTTTTTTTTTTGTTTTTTTTTTTTTTTTCAATCAGGAAAACTAGTCCTTGGTCAACTGTATGTTCCAAAGATTTTTCCTGGTTTTTTATTTTTTTAATTAATTTATTTATTTTTTCTGAGACGGAGTCTCGCTCTGTCACCCAGGCTGGAGTGCAGTCGCACCATCTCGGCTCACTGCAAGCTCTGTCTCCCAGGTTCACGCCATTCTCCTGCCTCAGCCTCCAGAGTAGCTGGGATTACAGGCGCCCACCACCACACCCAGCTAATTCTTTGCATTTTTAGTAGAGATGGGGTTTCACCGTGTTAGACAGGATGGTCTCGATCTCCTGACCTTGTGATCCGCCCGTCTCGGCCTCCCAAAGTTCTGGGATTACAGGCGTGAGCCACTGTGCCCAGTCTTAATTATTTTTTTCAATTTAGTTTAGAAATTTTTTACCTGCAGACATTTAAAAGTGTATATTTTTCTTGCATAGCTTCTGATTATTATGTCAGTTTTATGAACAGACTTATCTAATCATGTAGTTTAAGGTATGGTTTTCTTAAGGCTTTATGTTTTTACATTTAAATGATCAGATTATACATTGAAATAATTTGAAGACAATTCATAGATGTTAACACAATGCCTTCCTCAGCGGGGATATCAAATTAATAGGAGACCTTAAAGCACTAACTAAGCTACATATAATTATTAATTCTGATAACCATTTAGGCATAAATCCATCTATTTAAAATGTATTCAAATGGTGCATTTTTCAAATATTTATTAAACAACTATACTCTTTGTGATGAGATGTATCATGACAAGGTGGGAACAAATGTTCCTCATGTTCTTTTTATTAAAATAAGGGTATGAAATATTCAAAAGGGTTTATTCATAAGTTTTCAATCCTATGTTTTTGTTCTTTCATTACAATGTCCTTATGCATCCCCTGTCTCATGCACACATACAAACACAGATTATTTAACAATATGATTATATACTAAAATTAATATATTGCTATTATTCAATGAATATCCCTCATGTCTCTATATGTGATAGATAATTTTTTTTTTGGTGCTTGAGGTATATTAGTGAAAACAAAAGAATATACCCTTGCCCACAAGGAGTTTATACTCTACTAGTGGAGGAAGGTGTAAATAAAGAATAAAATTAAGAAGAGACTTAGTAGGTAAATATAGCAAGCTCTGTACTTGCAGAGGCTTAATGCTATGAGAAAAAGAAAGATAGATCTATTTTCCTAGTGCAAGGAGTATCAGGAGCCTGTGAGGTGGGGACAATGTGTAGGTTTAAAGAGGAAGGCCAGGGTAGGCTCTCTGAGAAGCTGATACTCCAGCAGGTTTGAAGAAAGGAACTGATCATGCCACCCTCTGGAAAACCAGGGATCCAGGAAGATGGAACTAGGTCTGCAACCCTAAGGCAGGGACTTGGATCAGGAAACAGAGTTAGGACCCATAGCAGAGTGAAGAAAATAGTAGAAGAGATGGAAGACATAGTGTTGACGATGCCATGTAGACCTAAGTAAGGACTGTTGACTTTTTCATTGTGTAAAATGGGAATCCATGGAAAATGTTGAAAATAGCATCAACACGGTCTGGTTCATATTTTAAAAGAATCTTTGTTGTATGTGTCACCTCTGTTGAGATTAGACTCTATGGGACCAAGGGCAGAAACAAAATTCATTTATGAAATGATTGTTAAGAATATACGGGAGATTGGCTGAGTGTGGTGGCTCACGCCTGTAAGCCCAGCATTTTGGGAGGCCGAGGCAGGCAGATCATTTTAGGTCAGGAGTTCAAGACCAGCCTGGCCAACAGGGTGAAACCCCATCTCTACTAAAAATACAAAAAAAATTAGCTGGGTGTGGTGGCACATACCTGTAATCCAAGCTACTTGGGAGGCTGAGGCAGGAGAATCACTTGAACTTGGGAGTTAGAGATTGCAGTAAGCCGAGATCACACCACTGCACTCCAGCCTGCGGCAAAAGAGGGAGACCCAGTCTCAGAATAAATAAATAAATAAATAAATAAATAAAATAAATAAATAAGAATGTACATGAGAAAAGATGGTAGCTCAGTGGAGGTTAACACAATGAGGGTTTTGCAATAGAGAAAATAGGATCTCCTGATGGCCAGGCCTTTTGTGCAATAGAAAGAGAAGAGTCAAGGATGACAGTTTTTCATTCAAACTATAATAGTCACCAAAACACTAGGGGTTTGGTCTAGGTCCTACTGCTCACCACACAGAAAGGCAATCACTGAGACAACCAGTATTGCCAGAGAAGAAGGCTTTCACTGGGTGCTGTAGCTGAGGAGATGAAAGATCAGACTCAAATCCATCTCCCTGATTGACTAACATTAGGGCTTTACATAGCAGAAATGTAACTGCATGTAGGAAAACACGAATTAGGGAGTGGTAAGAAAGAGGAGTTGGTCAATAGGAAGCAGATGGTCAGTTAGGCCATCATGATGACTGAAGGGTCTGGCATCTCATTGTCCAATTGTGGTGATCTGGCGAGTTTCAGCTCCTTGATGCTATCTGGGAAGCCTGCTGGTTTGTTTCCTGAGAAAGGAACTCAGATAAGACAAACATAACTTTCTCAAGTTTTAAGACTGGGAGCATCGATTTCTACGTTTATTCAAAAGAAACTATTATTATCAGTTTTATGTGACAATTGGGTTGGTGTCATAATGTTGAAATTGCCATTCATCCAGGGGAAGCACAGTGGTTTTTGTTTTTGTGTTTGTTTGTTTGGTGTATGTATGTGCATGTGCATGTGTGTGTGTGTGTGTGTCTGTGTGTGAAAATAACCAAAATGTGGTGTTAGGCAGGTTATTGAGCTGTCTCTCTGACTTCCAAGAAGAGGTGACAAATAGTTGGATATATAAATACAGCGTTTGGGAGAGAGGTCAGGCTTGCAGTGACAAATTTGATAACACAATTTACATTTTCCAATTACGATTAAAGTTGCAAATTTAAATAAAATGAAATTCTAGGTATTTCAAGCCTTGAGACTGGACAAAGCCACTAAGTGAATGGTGGAGAAGAGAACCCATTGCTCTGGGAAATTCCACCTGCAAGGAGCCAGGGAAAAGGAAACAGACAGTATACGAAAAAAAAAAAATAAAAACCAAAAAACAAAAGAGACAGGTAAAGTAGAAGTGTATGGTACCCCAGATGCAAATATAAGATATCTGAAGAAGCGGCATACCCAATCCTTTCAGAAACTCCTGACAGATTGAGTAAGTTAACCACAGACGAGAATCTACTATTGGATTTGCCAAAAGGAAGGAGCACTGCAACATTTAAAAGGTCAGCTTTCATGGATTAGTACAGTGAAACCCTAAATGAATGGCTCAACTCATACTTTATAGAAACCTAGTCATGCCACCCTGTTTCCTTGTCCTGAATGTAATTTAATTATCACTTTACATCTGTATCCATTCCTAGTCTGTAATAGTTGGGAAGTCAAGGTGGCATGCCGTTTATCTCATCTAACTTATCTTCTCTGTTTTTAGAGATGGGGTCTCGCTCTATTGCCCAGGCTGGTGTGCGGTGGTGTGGATCATGGCTCGCTGCAGCCTGGATCTCCTGGGCTCAAGCAATCCTTCCACCTCAGTCTCCCAAATAGCTTGGACTACAGGCATGAGCCACTGCACCCAGTCCTATTTATCTTTTATTGCATAGTAATTGGCAAATAGTAGGGGTGCAACACATGGTTATTCCACATAAGAATGTGGAAAACTTGGACAATCTATAGATATTGCTGATGGGATGAGCACCAGGGTCAAATTTAAATTTTCTTTTAACATTATAGAAGACACAAAGTGCTGAGTGTGCTGTGCTTGAAGGGTAGGAAGGCTGGAAGGGTAGGAGGGCAATTTCACTGGAAAGAGTGGATACAGAGTTAGAAGACTAGTAGGACAGAGTGAGGAAAGGAAGAGTGAGTGGCTTGGTCAGAGTCAAAGACAGTCACAGCAAATGATGTCATGGGCAACATTATTAATGTATTTTATCCAAACTCATTTCACGAAAGTCTGATTTACAGCCTCAGACTATTTTATTTGCATTTAATTTGGCATAGCTTAGATTCTGGTGCCTAATAACAGAACACGGTTTTAGTTCCACCTTGTTCACATCCTTCTCTCTGCTTGACTTCACTACTACACATCGTTTCCAAGTTACTTCTCTGTCCACTCACCTCCACCCAAACAAAACCCCCAAACAGCACCACACTTTTGTGTCAAAGTTATCATTGTACGGCTAGCTTTACAGGATCCAAATACACCCATATCACAAATATTAGATTGAAAAAAAGGCCTTCATTGAGAGGATCGATACCTAATGGGATAGAACATGGAAACGTCCTTTGCTACAAACAAATTTTGCAGGAGCTGGGCAAGGTGACATGCACCTGTAGTCCCTGCTGCTTGGGAGGCTAAGGCAGGGGACTCTTTCATCTCAGGAGTTTGAATCCATCCTAGGCTCCATCTCTAAAAAAAATAAAGAAAGAGGTAAAATAAATTTTAAAAAATTAGTAACATTTTAAACATTAAAAATATTAAAATTTCAGGGGATAGAATTTGTTAAAAACCAGATAAACCAAACACTGCCAAGATAAGTATATATTCAAAGGTAGAAATAGCCTGATTATGTACACCCGAATGTTATAATGCTATTTGTTAAAATGACATTCAGTGTTTACTGTCATGTATATATTTAGTAGCGATTATTTATCCACATGCATATATACCTATTCATACATATATACACACACATATGTCTGTACATATATAAATATATAGATACATAGCAAAACTGCACTTGTACTTCCTAAATCAATAAAAATAAAAAAGACAAAAAATAAAAAATTTAAATTTGCAAAATAATATTATTTTTAAAAGTTCACAAAAAGATATACATGTATACATACAAACATGTGCATTATGTATATATTACGTATATATATTATACGTAAGTATACACACACATATATGCAAAATAAAAAACTCTCATGGGAAACATTCTGGAATTTGAAAAAAAATAAATCGAGACTATTGAAGCACGTCATGTCAAGATTCACTGTAACAAAATGCCAGGGAGGAAACAAACTAGAATTCACTTGTCAAAGCCACATTGCATTTCTGATATGAACTGTATTAGGGCCTGGGGCATTCAAAACGTCTTCTCAAGATGTGACAGGGAAAGGATGGTGCTTTATTTCAGTCTGTTTGTGGAGGTTTACCAGGTATGTACACTTTCTTCTTTTAAAACCATGACATGAAAACAACCACAAAAGCATGAATAAATATATACTAATAAAATATGTTTGTCAATTTGACTTTGCATTAAAAAGGTACTGAAGGCAAATTTTAAAGACATTCCACAGGTAAGTGAATTACAGCCTCTATGTCTCTCTCAGTGATTGACACATTCAGAGACCACGTCATTCCCTGTGGAATCCTGCCATTCCGGATAAACTAACTGCAGCAAAGAGAGATCACCATGAGTAGAGAACACAAAATTTTTGTGTCTGCTTATTCACTTGTGGAAATTATATATGATATATATTATATATAATTCCTTCATTTTAAATAGGTTTCTATATTTATAATAGGTTTAAACAACTCTAGATGGTTTCATATAATATTTATAGGAAAGAATCACAAAAGAAAGGAAATTGTATTTGGGATAGAGTGGGTGCTCTTTAGTTGTTTCGATGAAACAAAATTATTTAAATGGTAATTTTAATTTCTTCGATTTCATGAATCCCCTCTTTCCAAGATTTATACACAAATTCTCATGCATGTAAACACACACACACACACACACACACACACACACACAAAACTAGGTAACATGAATCAGAGAGTTTATGCATAACTATTTATGCTTTCAGTTAGAAAGACAGTTGTATTGATTAGTATTGACCCATAAATATGCATGTTTCTTCTTCATTTCATTTACCATTTGACTTTTCTAAGACTACATAATTGGTTTTTTTTGTTCGTCTGTTTTCTCTTAATGTCTTAAAATTGCCCTGGTGACCCTATATATTTGGAAAATTGTTAAAACCAGATAAATAAAACTCTAAACTCTCCATTATTGTATCTGAATTATTTAGATAATTTGATTATAATAAGAAGAAATAAGGGGTAGAAAATTGCTTCCATTTTCTATCTTTCCAAGTCTTCAAATGCAAAAAGTTGGATACAGAACTGTCAAACATACATTTCTAAGAAGCTGTGGAAACATAAAATCTGTTCGTTTGTAGCAATTATATGCTTTTTTCATTACCAATTTGAGCGGATGCAGTAATTTCAACTCTGAGGGTTAGTCTCCCCCAAATTCTCACCAAGCTGTTTCCATTGCCCTATATGGTATTAACATTAATGAATTGTGATAACCAGAATATATTCTTTTTTAATAAACTGACATCAAATTAATAAAAGAAAAATGACTCTCATTTTTTAGTCATGTAAGGTGGCACCTTCCAAAATTCTGCAGACATCAATCTCATGAATTTCTAGCAGCTCTGAGGAAGAGGGCCTTGTTAAAATATTACTGTTTATTGCATTCATTCAATCTTCATTAGCTGAGATAGGACTTCAGGATCCATTAGTGAAATTCCACAGGGGCTATGATCACGAGAGACGAAATATTCCTTTATAAAATAAAAGTAAGCTCACATTTGAAAGATAGTATAAGCGCCATATTTAGAAGAAAAAAGTCCAAGGCATTGAAGCCTACAATGTCCTCTAAAGTACTTTCTGCATTTTCTGGTTTAAATGAGCATCTGACTAGCAAAATCTAACTCAGCCTCTTACAACTTCAAATGGGAATTTTGGGACTTTTTATGATACATGAGAAATGGGTGGGAAAATGAAGAAAGACATTGGAGATGATCTCTTAAAATTCTATAAAGTCCTCCAGAAATTCCAGTATGAGATGTAAGTGGAGTCAAGAGTCAGTCAAAGATCATAGAGATAGCATCATTCAGAATGTCTTGACTTCTATGAATCAACTGGTTTATGAATCCCAAGGACAAAATTTAAAAGCCCAGGGGTTAATTTGTATTCCCATTCTTGCAGTTTCTTCGTGTATCTAACTTGTTTATGTAGTAATTAGTAACAGGGGGGAAAACTGTATATGCCCAAAGATTCCACGAGACATTATCTAAAATGTCACCTTCCCTTAGTTTCTTCCTCTTCCTTCTTCTCCTTCCTCTATCCACTTCCTGTTTCTCCTTGGAGTATTTCCCTAACCAGTCATTTGCATAAGTGTCCTTGCCTCAGGATATGCCTCTGGGGAACACAAACTAACCAAATAGTTTTCTAAGCGGAAGTAAATTTTTCTAAATATCTGCCTACAGTTAACATTAATGCAATTCAAAAGATAAACTTAAAGTTTTCCTGCTTGATTTCTTGAAACATTATTTTTTGTTATTTCATTTTGTTTTGTTTTAAATAATTGTATTAGTCTACTTTTGCTAGATAATGGTGCAATAACAAATAATGCTCAAAATTCAGTGGCCTATTTCTTGATGGTTTATATCTTGCTCATGTTACATGGCAGCATGCGTGGAACATCCCCAATCTGGGATATCCCTTCCTACAGCAGAGACAAAGTGCATGAAACTGACAAAGACATACAACAGATCAAAAGCCTCTGGCTGGAACTCACGCGGGAAACTTCTGCTCCTACATTATGGTAATCACCCAACAGCTTCTTCCTGCTACCTCCGTAGACAAAACAAATTCACTGAGACTGTCGTATTGCTGACAAGAGTTTAATTAATGCAAGGCAGCTAAGCAGAGGACTAGCGTTATCACTCAAATCAGCCTCCCCAAGGACACAGAGGCTAGGTTTTTATAGATAATTTGGTAGGCAGGGGGCTAGAGAAAGGGTGGTGCTGATTGGCTGGAGATGAAATCATGACAGTGTGGAAAACTGTCTTCATGCACTGACTCCTCTGCTGGGTTGGGGCCATAGGATTGGTTGAGTCATGAGTCGTGAATCCAGGTGGGGTCAGTTGGTTGCCAGAATGCACAAGTGCAAAACACATCTCAAAAGACCAATCTTAGCTAAGATCTACAATTGTACTAGTCTGTTCTCATGCTGCTATACAGACATACCTGACACTGGCTAATTTATAAAGGGAAGAGGTTTAATTGACTCACAGTTCCCCAGGGCTAGGGAGGTCTCAGGCAACTTGCAATCAAGGTGGAAGGGGAAGCAAACAAGTCCTCCTTCACAATGGACTAACAACGAGAAGTGGAGAGCAAAGACAGAGGAAAAGCCCCTTATAAAGCAGTCAGATTTCATGAGAACTCACTCACTATCATGAGGACAGCAGCATGAGGGTAACCACCCCCATCATTCAATTACCTCCCACTGGGTCTCTCCCATAACATGTGGGGATTATGGGAACTACAATTCAAGATAAGATTTGGGTGGGGACACGGCCAAACCATGTCAACAATAGTGACATTATCTACAGGAGCAACTGGGGAAGTCATAAATCTCATGACTTCTGGCCACATGACTCCTGAGCAGTAAGAGATTATAAAAACTATGCACTACATTTCAGCAGAATTCAGGACCTTCCCTTAATCCTAACCTCATGGCTTTTGGTTAGTTTTCAGTCCCTGAGCAACGAGGGGCTTAGTTTTAGGGAGGGACTATTATCATTGTTGCTTCCAAGATAAACTATAATCTAAATTCTTCTCATGGTTACCTTGACTTACACCCAGGAATAAGTGAGAATAGATAGCCTGTGTGGCTAGAAGCAAGCTGGAGCCAGCCATGCTAGACTTCTCTCATTGTCATAATCTTTGCAAAGGTGATTTTATTATTGGCCAAAACAAGAGGCATGGATCAAAACAAGAGGCATTGATCACAGTGACAACACTGTAATATATTTTTAATGATGAATATCTTTGCATGCCAGGCCAAGAATATGATAACATATTCTGTAGACAATGGAAAATTGCAATATTACTTAGAAAAGAGTCTCAGCTACTGTTACAAAAACACACAACTAGAGTGGTTCAAAGGTGAAAGACCTTTGTCTCTTCCATAAGAGTCCAGGTTGGGTTGAATCCATCTATGCCTCAAGCTCAGCAGTTCATACTGTGTGGCTTTGCTATTGCCTAAGGACTGCTTCCCCTCTTCAACAGTGAAGCTGCAGGCCAACCACATGGAAAGGAAAAAGAGACATGAAGGGGAAGCAAATGTGTGTTCCAATACTTGAAGCACAGTTTATGCTTTTCACTTTGGCATATATCCTATCTGCCAAACCCTATGTATATGCCCACACATAGATTTCAGGGAAGCTGCAAATGTGTTCTTTAACTTGACTAACATGTACCAGACTGACATAGGCCCTACAAAACAGAAAGAGACGACTGTTATTAAAAACATGGAAGAAGTGAAAACTGGTAGACAAAAATCAATCTCTGTCATAATTGATGAATTATTTCACTTGAAGTTTTGACATGAAGCTTCCATGATGACTACCAAAGAGAGCCACTCTCTACCCTGAAGTGGTTTATTTATTACCAAGCTCCCTTTACTAAGCTGTAGTAACTACAACCTAGTAATTATTATTAACTTCTTCTTAGTAAAATAGGACCAGATATTTGGTTTAGAAAAATCTGTGTGACCACAGTGTAAAAAATGAGTTGGCTATAAGGCAAAAGAGTGAGTCCAGAGGTGCAAAGACTTCGTGCATCTTCTAAAATAGTGGAAGGAAGAAAGAAAAATGTCAGACTACAAATTCATTCACTGGTTATGGGTGTGAAAGAAAGAAAGTGAAGAGAAGTAGAAGGGATATAAATTAGAACCTAGGAATAATATACATGAAAGATATAGTATTTGCATTTAACCACAGCTGTACTTGACCAAGAGAATCTGTTGTAGGGTTTTCCCAAGTCTAAAAAAACAAGTATTTCTATTTCCAACACAAAAAAATGATAATTTTCTTACATTAATAAGTTCCCAAGCTTTGATATCTAGTGTGACTCTCTCTGCAGTAGAATCAATTCTCCCAATGACCAAACATTTCCTCTCAATGTAAAGTTGCAATGATCAGTCTTATTACACAGCAAACAGAGACACCGAAACAAACACAAAATCATCTTGAGGCATTGATGGAACAGCTGATCTGCTGCAATACCGAGATGCTGAGAACAACCACAGAGGAGAGGATGCTTGCTGAGCTGCAAAGCCCGGCTTAGCTCACTCTCTCTCCCCTGAGCTACTGTACTGTTCATCTTTGCTTGCCTCACCATGCTAATGCTTTCACTGAGTGTGCATACTCTGAAAATAAAAGGATCATTCATAGATCTGCAACCATAATAGGTTCTTTGCCTCAGGTGCATGGAAAGTTAATATGCAGAGACACTGGGGATGCAGCAGAGAAAGTGGTTTAATCATAGAACTCTCAGAAAATGAGGAGATGGAAGGAAACTTCAAATCCTTCTCCCAGAGGAGACTGAGGCTAGAGTTGTCAAGGATTTGGAAGTGGGCTCAAGAATGGAGATCACTGATTGGTGGAATAGTGCAGGATGAAGTCATGGGACGGGGTCATGAAGAAGCTGTGTTCTCATGATGATTGTGTTCCTCTGTGGGGATCTTCAAACTGGTTGGCATCAGCTATTTCACTGGAATTCTCCTTATGATTCTATCTAAAGAATATATGGTTCTATCTATAGGATTCCTATAGATAAAGGTCCTATCTATAGGAACAATCTGGATACAAATGATCAGTATCTAGTGCTATGTGACTTTCCATTACAAGGAAGTGGGTCAAAATGCAGCCTGATTCATGCTTAATTATAAATGTATTTCTGTCCAGAATTCTTGTGAACCCCGTGAGGACAGTTTCAGATTTACAGTTTCGCATTGTAGCAAATCTCATTTAGCAGCCAATTATGTGACACAGAACAATCTATCACCCCACCCACTATCTCAACAGGCAGACAGAATTCCTTTGTCCTGGAATCTTAAGGCAAAAAAAAAAAATATACAAATATATGTATATATATAAATGCATATGTACATCTATACATACAAATGTAAAATAAAGGCAAAACCAGGGCTTGCCCCATGGAGCTTATAGTCTGGTTTCCCTACCCTCTAAGTGTGAGGAATGACTGTGCCTTATCAGCATCCATACCTGTAGGACCTCACCTACTTCCTATTCCATACTGGGAACTTTACAAGGTTTCTTACATACATCTTGTCATTTAGATATTGAAGAACCTTGGAAAGAAATGCATTTTCCCCAGACTACAGAGAAAGACCACGAGGCAGAGCTTCCATCCCAAGTGACCAGTTTATTTGGTGTTCTGCTTCAAGTTATCCTCCATCACAACTTCTTTTTTTGTTTTTGTTTTTCATTATCACCCCCTTAAGGGGAGCTTTTTTATTTTTATCTGTTTGTTTATTTTTAAGACAGCATATCACTCTGTTGTTCAGGCTGGAGTGCAGTGGCCTGATCTCAGCTCACTGCAGACTCAACCTCCCAGGCTTAAGCAATCCTCCCACCTCAGCCTCCAAGTAGCTGAGACCACAGGCACGCCATGATGCTTGGCTAACTTTTGTATTTTTTGTAGATATGGGATCTTGCTATGTTGCCCAGGCTGGTCTCCAACTTCTTGCCCAGGCTGGTCTCCAATTTCTTGCCCAAGTGGTCCGCCTGTCTCAGCCTCCCAAAGTGCTGAGATTATAGGCACAAGCACTACACCCAACCAGAAGCTGTTTTAGATTTTTTTTCTTTCCCAATTGCCCTTGCCCCCATAAAATGTTAATACCATGAGCATGCTCTATGTCTATTTATGTACTATATGTATGTTTGCACTTTATACGTCAAAGAGTAAGGTGTTTTTTCACCTCCCAAAATTCCCACTATTACTTCCTTATGGCACCATTTCCACAGTTGAGAATGCATGATAAACTAGAGTGTGCAGAGATAAAAACATACAATCCTGTTTGAGTGGCAATGTTTTCCCCTCTGGGTGGATTTAAACTTTCTCAGTACCAGCAAAGAGTAGAAGAAGTAATCTTTGAATAGGCCAAATAATTTTTCAGTCTTTTCAGGTGCCATGGCTCACACCTATAATCCCACCACTTAGGGAGGCTGAGGTAGGAGGATTGCTTGAGCCCAGGAGTTTGAGACCAGCGTCGGCAACATAGTGAGACCTTATCTCTAAAAAAAAATATATATATATATATATAGCTGGATATGGTGGTGCACGCCTGTACTCCCAGCTACTCAGGAGACTGAGGTGAGAGGATCACTTGAGCCGAGGAGTTCGAGGCTGCAGCAAGTGGGCTGTGATCATGCCGAAACTGGAGAGTTCCCTGCATCCCCTGGCAAGACGTGCAACAGGGGTGTGGCTCTCTGTTTGGCCACCACTAGCTCAAACCCCTTACCGGAGGGGGAGCACGCAGATGGGCCCAGAGCAGGAACCCAGGGGAGCGCTTTGGGGCTCCAGCCCCAAGGCAGTGTCTAAGGGTGTGTGTCTGCTACTCCCAAAGCCCAAGTGAGTGTGTGTTACAGTGTGCTCCTTCAGCTTTACGTCTGGCGACGGCTGCGTGTTAATCCCCGTGGATTCTTGTCCAGTATCCTGGACCAATCAGGTCACACGAACTGTTAGAAAGGTGATGAATGCGGAGACTTTCCCGAGCGGTGGAGGTGGCTTTCAGAGGGATGGGGAGCTGGCGTGAGAAGGTGGAGTCGGGGCAGATCATCTTCCCCCGCAGTTCGGCGGAGAAGGCGCCTCTTCCCTCCTTCTCTGCCATGCTGCCCTGATGCTCTTGCACTCTCCACCACTCTCTGCCATTCTCTGCTCCTCTCGATGATCAGCTGCGTGTGTGTGTGTGTGTATGTGTGTGTGTGCCCGCTAAGTTCTCAAGTGTACATGGGCACAGGATGTGGGGGATGATGGGCCAGAGTGGTCTTGGAAAATGCAACATTTGGGCCCGAAAACAGAAGTTCCTGTTATCACTTAGGTCAGCAGACACAGGCCCGAGGGTGGAGCCCTCGCCAGGGACCCCGCTCTTCTCTACCCAGCACTTCCCTGCTCCCCTCCCATATCACTGCCACTGCATTCCAGCCTGGGCAACAGAGCAAGACCCTGTCCCTGAAAAAATAATAATAGTAATAATTCTCCACTCTTAGGTCTAACCTTATTTCATCACAATAAAAAAATTACTGCACAAGCTGTAGAGTGAATAAGTCTGATGAGGGAGTAATTTTATTGCAGTATGCCTTGAAAAAAAGTGTGATGTAGTCTGATCACTTAAATATCACTTTGCTGTTTAGCATCCAACTCCATTCATATTTGCTTGCTCTTCATGGAATTGTGATCTACCAGGCCTTTATGCTCTGCAAAATTCTAAACAACCAGTATCAACATACTTTTTTTGGGTTTGTTTGTTTTAGCTCACAAAGCTTTAAGTATTATGGTTTACTAGGCTGGGGCCGATGGGCTATTGCAAAACAAAATTAGAGAGCGAGTTCATCCGTGTTATTGTAGTGGGGGGAAAGGCCTGCCTAATCATAATTGTATCATTTGCTAAGCAAAATATGAAATAAAATTTCACTCTCTAAACTTTTCTCCAGACAGAAACCACATTACTAAAACAGGACAGGGGGAGCTGGGTTGCCCCCTGCGGTGGTCCAATATTTCATATGACATGCTCCAGGGTTCATTGATTGCAGCTCGGCCAATTTCATTAGAAGAGATTAGAAAGCCTTCCAACCGTGGTCATGTGGGAAAAGCCTGTGGCAAGATATTTGTATTTCAGACTTTTCTTAGTCCCTGACAAGTTAAAAAAAATCAATAATAATCTATGAGTTATTGGCTAAATACAGATCACCTTCCGAGTTCAATGAAGATGACTGATAGAGGCTTTTAGACTTCTGTATTTTTTAATAAATAATCTATAACTAGACTAGTTTTCATAAGCATATAAGATTGCAATAGAATCTCCTACATGTTGTATTCACATATATTTTCATGCAAATTGTTTGACTTGATGAAATCACATCTTAAGACACAATTTAACATGAGATTTGGTAAGTCAATAATGTTTATTTGCTTCATAGCTTGTCTCAGGCTTCAGGTAATAAAATTCTCATTATAGTCAATAGTTCTACTATAGCATAATTGCAATTACTTCAGCTTAGTAAAGGGAGCATGGCAGTAAATAAACCACTTCAGGGTGGAGAGTGCCTCTTTTTGATAGTCAGCATTGAAGCTTCATGTCAAAACTTCAGGTGAAAAAGAATAAGCACTGCAGAGGTTCCCCATCAACTCCTAGCACTAATGTTTGCATTTGACCTTCTCTCTCTTTTAACTCTGTACTCATTCATAATGAAGGTGACAGTAGAAACATGAGCACTATTTCATAACTCTCATTGCTGGTCAAATTTCCACTGAGGGAAGGAACATCTAGTGAGAGAGAGGGAGAAGAGGGAGAAGAAGAAGAAGAACAACAAAAACAACAACAACAACAAGAAGGAGGAGGAGGGGAAGGGGAAGGGGGAGAGGGAGAGAGAGAGAGAGGGAGAGAGAGAGAGGAAGAGGGAAAGAGAGAGGGAGAGGGAAAGGCAGAGGGAAAGGGAGGCGGAGGGAGGAGACAAGGAGAAGAGGAGGAGAAGGAAAAGAAGAAAGGAAGAAGAGAAGAAAAAGGAAGAAGAAGAATAAGAGGAGGAGGAGAAGAGGAGAAGGAGGAGGAGAAGAAGAAGAGGAGGAGGAGGAGGAGGAGAAGAAGAAGAGAATTTAGTAAATCTCAGGTTAAATTAGTAGTGGCAAAAAGTCTTACCTTTTGTTCTGAGGATATTGGAGCTTCTCTGGGATACTCCTGTGTCTTGCAGAGAAATATGAAGGTTGATGTAGCTGGGCATTCCTCAGAGCCCAGGGAAGCTAGAGCAAGGCTCCTTGAGAAGAGCCCAGCCATCCTTTGGATTAAAAATCGAGTCAGTCCTGGAGCATCATGTCTTTGGTAATGGGGATCAACGATGATTTCACTGTTTTGTGGGGAAGTGCCCACCCTGCTATTACAATCAAATCATCACATGAAGATGGCCTTCGTTTATAGACATGAGCAGACACAGGCTGAGTATGATGAATAACAATGACAAAATCTAAGAAAGCTCAGCTTGTTGAAAAGCACTGTGCAGTGGTTACACCAAAACTGAAAGCAATTTTAATGCTATAACTTTGAGTATTATTTATGCAACTGCTGAAGGCTGTATATTCAAGCTGGAAGCTAAGAATTTTGGCCCACGTCCAAATCTCCATTAAAATAGAACGCTTAGTTCTGCTCAAGACATTCCTTTGGGAACTAAACATCTCTCCTGGCTACTCTGCTCAATACAGGACATGTGGCACAGCATTTTAAAAATGCTTTCTGCAGTGCCCAAAGTTATCACTGTTGTATTGCTCAGATGAAGAGAGTGATTGACTTCTGAAAATTAAGCCAAACTTGATTCTGGGGTGCAAAAGCAGCCCAGTTAGTCTGAGTTCCAGCCTGCTCCTCATTTCTGGTCGTTTTACCATTGGGCTCAAAGTTATTCTCAGGCCGGGAAGAAACTCAGTGCTCATTAGGACTTTCATTATCATAATCTGTCTTGATCCATTCACACAACCCTCCTCCTTTATTCTTCAGACCCAAAGATCAAGGAGCAAGAAGTGCTTCATTAAAAGAGGCAGTGTCGACACCCTAGAAAGTTGTGCAAGGGCATCCCAAGGACTGAGAAGAGTGCTAGTTGTTCCTTTTATACACTGAATCCAGGGGAAATATGCTTGCCACGGAAGTTCTAAAGAGAACAAAGCAATCAAACAAAATGAGGGCTAAAAGGAGACTGTGAACCTGGTGGCTTCTGTAATTTTTGTGAAGGGATGGAAGTTAAAGCCAGGTTGCTGTGAGATGAGGAACACAGACGTGGTAAAAAAAAAAAAAGTGAGACAACTGGCTTAGACCCCTAATGCCAGACAAGTTAATCTCTGTTATATATAAAGAGATCAATTATCCCTGTGAAAAGAAAATCAATACATCCTGTGCTTTCAACAAGTACAGGAGCAGAAGATACTGATTGTCATTTATTGACCATCTGCAATAGATCAAGAGATGGAGTACCAAACTCATTTGAACTTACAACCATGTAAAGTGGGCACTGTCATTCCTATTTCACAAAAGGAGAAAAAAGATGGATGAAGAGGAGGAAGAAGGAGGAGGAGGAGAAGGAGTAGGAGGAAGAGGAGAAGGAGAAAGAGGAGAAGAAGGAGAAAGAGAAGGAGAAGGAGAAAGAGGAGGAGGAGGAGAAAGAGGAATAAGAAGGAGGAGGAGAAGGAAAAGGAGAAAGAGGAGGAAGAGAAGGAAAAAGAAGAGGAGGAAGAAAGAGGAGTGGACGGAGGGAGAGAAGGAGGAGAAGATAGAGAAAGGGGAGAAGGAAGAGGAGGAAGAAGAAGAGGAGGAGGGGAGGAAGAGGAGCAAGAAAAAGAAGAGGAGGAGAAGTAAAAGAGGAGGGAGGGATGGAGGAGAAGGAGGAAGAGGAGTAAAGAGAAAAAGGGGAAGAGGCAGGAGAAGAAGAAGAGGAAGAAAAAGATGATGACAACAACAAAACTGAAATTGAGACAGTTGAAAAAGCTGGTTGCGGTCATGAAACTTTTAAGCAGAAAAGTCTTCCAAGTCTTCCACTGGCTTTAAATTGTAGGACTATTCATTCATGATGAAGACCACTATGTTAGTGAGCAAATTGATTGAAAGTAAAAAATATATATAAATTGGAAGAAAAAGTTAACCTTTCCACCAATTAATTTGCAAGCAACAAATTTGAAAAGACAACAGATAACTGAAATTGGAAAACTGACATACATTAATATTTTCTCTGCAGTTTAAATCACCAAATGGATGAAAATGTAGATGAAAAATTGCAGTGGAATGGACAGATTGCCACTTGACTGAAGATACTAGCAAAGGAAAGGAGATAATATGTCCCTGAGAAGGCTGGTGGCTCAGTCAGAAAAGAAATATGGCCCAGGAAGTGCTATGAAGGATAATTCCACAGAAATTATCTGATACCTACCTGTACAAGTTGACCCCAGTCCCAGTCCCCTACTCAGCTGGTTTGGGGGCTGATACAGATGAACTCTCTTGGCTCTAAAGCAAAGAAAAAGTCCAGAGGAATGGTTCATGATGCTGGCTACACATTTGAATCGTAGGAGGGGCTTTAGAATCTACAGGTTCCATTAAATCAAGCCCTCAGAGCCAAATCCCCATTTACAATAGCTACGCACAAACCCAAATACCTAGGAATACAGTTAACTATGGAGGTGAAAGATCTTTACAAGGAAAACTAAAAAACACTGCTAACAAAAATCATAGATGATACGGAAAATGGAAAAACATTCCATGCTTATGAACTGGAAGAAACAATAGTTAAAATCGCCGTACTGTCCAAAGCAACTTAAGATTCAATGCTATTCCTTTCAAACTACTAATGTCGTTTTACACAGAGTTGGAGAAAACTATTTTAACATACATATGGAGCCAAAGAAGAGCCTGAATAGCCCAAGCAATCCTAAGCAAAAAGAATAAAGCTGGAGGTATCACATTACCTGACTTCAAACTATCCTACAAGGCTATAATAACCAAAACAGCATGGTATTCATTCAAAACGGGACACATAGCCCAATGAAACAGAATAGAGAGCCCAGAAATAAAGCTGTACACCTAATAGAGAGCCCAGAAATAAAGCTGTACACCTAATAGAGAGCCCAGAAATAAAATAAAGCTGTACAGCCATCTAATCTTCAACAAAGTTAACAAAACTAAGCAATGGGGAAAGGATTCCCTATTCAAAAAATGGTGCTAGGATAAGTGATTAGCCAAATATAAAAGAATGAAGTTTAACCCCTATCATATACCATATGCAAATATTAACACAAAATGGATGAAAGATTTACATATAAGACCTCAAACTATAAGAATCCTAGAAGAAAACCTAGGAAACACCATTCTGGACATCATCCTTTAGAAATAATTTATGACTAAGTCTTCAAAAGCAATTTCAACAAAAATTAAAATTGACACATGGGACCTAATTAAACTACAGAACGTGTGCACAGTGAAAGAAACTGTCAACAGAGTAAACAGGTAATCTACAGGATGGGGAAAATATTATCAAACTATGCATTTAACAAAGGACTAATATCCAGAATCTGTAAGAAACTTTAACAATTTGACAAGCAAATACCAATCCCACTTTAAAAAAATGGGCAAAAGATGACAGTTCTCAAAAGAAGACACACAAACAACCAACGAACATGAAAAAAAAGGTCCACATCAGTAATCATCAGAGAAATGCAAGTCACAACCACAATGAGATATTATCTCACACCAGTCAGAATGGCTATTATTAAAAAGTAAAAAAAACAGCAGATGCTGGTGAGGCTGCAGAGAAAAGGAAATGCTTATATGCTGTTGATGGGAATGTAAATTAGTTCACCCACTGTGGAGAGCAGTTTGGAGATTTCTCAAAGAAATTAAAACAGAACTACCATTCGACCCAGGAACCCCATTTCTGGGAAAACACCCAAGGGAAAATAAGTTGTTCTACCCAAAAGACACATGTACTCCTATATGCATCGCAGCACTATTCTCAAGAGCAAATACATGGAGTCAACAGAGAAGCCCATTAACAGTGGACTGGATAAAGAAAATGTGATACATATATACATGGAATACTACACAGCCATGAAGAAGAACAAAATCACTTCTTTTGCAGCAACATGGCTGCAGCTAAAAGGCATTATTCTAAGTGAATTAATGCAGGAAGAAAAAACCAAATACCACTATTCTTACTTATAAGTGGGAGCTGAACATTGAGTACACAACACAACAGGGACAAGATGGGAGTACAAAGAAGGGAACAGTAGACACTAGGGCCTACTAGAGCAGGGAGGGAGGGGCCACAAGGTATGAAAAACTATCTATTAAATACTATGCTCACTAACTGGGTGATGGGATCAGTTGTATCCCAAATCTCAGCATCACACAATATACCCAGGTAGCAAACCTGCACATGTGCCACAGACTCTAAAATAAACGTTGGAAAAAAAAAGCCTCAGGCTCTCGGTGGATGAGACTCCATCAATAGTATTTTCTCAGATATTATATTGGGCAATAATGATTTAAAACCACTGATTTAGTTCTTTAAACCAGTGGTCCTCAAATATGGACTGGGACATGGCAGAATTCACATCACCTAGACACTTGTTCAAGATACAAATTCTTGGGCCCCATCGCGACAGATAACCCAAAATCTCTGGATATATTTGAACCCACATTCTAGGCAATTTTGATGCCAGAAAAATTTGGGAGCTGCTGCTTTAACTCTTTTCTTCTCAGAGGGTCCTTCAAAGAACCTCAGCATCACATGCGAGTTGGTAAAGCTATGACATCTGAGAACTCATCCTAGACACTGTGAATCAGAATCTGCACTTCGTCAACATCTCCAGGGGACTGATCTTAAAGTTTAAGGGGTGTGAATTCCTAGTCCTTAAGGCACCATCCATCCCTTTTCCTGATTATACTTTTGGTTCCCATCTAGATCATCCTATAAGGCAAGAATATAAAGATCAAAATGTTGGTTTCCCATTATGAGGGAGTGGGAAGTGAGAATGTGTGGGTTTGTGTATGATGGTTCATGTAGGTGCTTATGAATATCCTGTTTCTCCCTACTTTGAGTAAACAGTATTGCATGCAACACAAGAGAGGCAAGACAATTTCCTGCCCTATCAAGGCCCAGACCCACTTGTATGTGCCCATTACCTGGGTCATAAGGAGAAGAGAAGACTAGAGCCTCCAATAGCTTGCAGGTAGAGAGCGAAGATAGAAGAGAGATATGAAAGCACTGGCTTTCCTCTGCTCATCCCCAAATCCAAAGCCTTCATTTCATCTACTCAGTCCATATCCCATGGATAATCCTCATTCCTTTTCTCTTCAAGTTTCCTCTCAACTTGCATTCTTCCCACCATCAGACGGCACCTGTGATTTGCATTAGGAATCCTGGAAAATGTTCTGCTGTTCTCCCTCTTCTCTTCTCTCTCCTCTATCCTTGTTCTACTGTAGTCATTCACCTCCTCCTCATTTTCCCTGAGCAGTGGAACTGTGATTAAAGATCAGGTTAAGACAGACAGGGAGACTGGAGAGAGGAAAGTCTGACCCAGATTTTTTCACAGCTGAATTCTTCATGCGACCGAGGTCCTATCGAACACACAACTCCATACAAAAATTGGAAATCAAGTGAAGAACTCAGATGTTCCCACAAACTGATGGAGAAGTCATTGAGTTTTCTATGGGGTCAGTGCCTGGAGTTGATCCCTTAGGCAGCTTTCGGACGGCAAGTGAGGTATTGCATTTGTTTCCAGCTAGAGTTTTCCTAACAGGTGACTTCTGTTACATGGTTTAAAGGGATGCTTCCTAAAACTCAGTCTGAAGCTTAGGCTTGGAATTTCTTGGAAACACTTAACGATGCTCTCTTTATAAAAACTAGTTGAAGTGTCATCTCCTGTCTGAAAAGCCAGCTGTGCCCCAAAGAGTGGCATCTCTAGTGTGTTCTAATATCCCTCAGATTTCATGGAGGGGAAGCTTTGTTGTGGGCCTGGAGAATTTTGCTGGCTGATGTTGTCTATTCTCTTTGTTGTAAATCTGGGGAGGTTTTATTGTCCTTCAGTCCTGGGACCCCTTCCTGGGGGTCCTGTAGCTCTAAGGGGTTGGTGACATCTATATTTATGTGGCTTCTCTGTTATGTTTTGAGAGTAGGGTGTTTTTTAAAAAATGAGATGCCCTTTGCTTTCTGTATAAAACAGAAATATTCACTGGACACACATTTGTAACCCCCCCGCTGCCCCCACCCCCCAAAAAAATGTCTGTGACAGGTCTAAATCAGTTTAGAGGTTTATTTTGCCAAGGTTGAGGACAGACCCAGGAAAAAGTGACACAGGTCACAGTAAGACTTATGGCTCCCACTTTTTCCAAAGAGTGTTTTGAGGGCTTTGATATTTAAAGGGGAAGAAGCAGGCAGAAGGGAAAGGAAGAAAGAACAAAAATAAGGGAAGGTGAGACAAGTGGTTGCATTATTTTGAGGTTTTGATTAGCACTCACTGAGTCCTCATGTTGCATATGAAAGGAGAGTGCAGAGGAACAATCAGTTATACATTTCTCCTGTGCTCAGTAAATCTGCACTTTACATAAGATAATGTAAACATAGAGTAGAAGTCAAATATACATTCATCTCAGCGTGGCCAGAGAGTCGATTTCTAGTCTCCTATTGTCCCATAGCTGTGAAGATAATCTAAGTTACATGGTGAGAGTGAAGGAGGCCACCTGGGGAGATATCTGTTTAGGAACAAAAGAAAAGAGAGGTTTTGTGTGTGTGTGACTCAGTTTCCAAGCTTAACTTTTTTTTTTTTTTTGACATAGTGAGTTTGGGGTCCCGAGATTTTATTTTCCTCTCACACTTCTTATCTGAATTATAGAGTTATTTGCTTCCTGGAATTTCTGCCATATCTTATATTTAAGAGTTTGTTGAGTGCTTGAGGTTCATGTCTCATGTCTCTTATTACATTGTTGGGTGCTTGGTAGATGTGCCACTATATCTAGTGTCTAAGATGCTAGATTGCTGTGTGATATGGTTAGGTTTCGTGTTCACACCCAAATCTCATCTTGAATTGTAATCTCCATAATTCCCATAACCCCCACGTGTCAAGGGAGAAACTAGGTGGAGGTAATTGAATTATTGGGGCAGTTTCTCCCATGCTGTTCTCATGATAGTAAGTTCTCACGAGATCTGATGGTTTTATAAGGGAGTTTTCACTCTTGCTAGCTCTCCCTTTCCTGCCCCAATGTGAAGAAAGTCTTTGCTTTCTCTTCACCTTCTGCCATGATTGTAAGTTTCCTGAGGCCTCCCCAGCCATTCTGAACTGTGAGTCAATTAAACCGTTTTTATTTTTTAAATAAATTATCCAGTCTCAAGCAGTTCTTTGTAACAGTGTGAAAACTAATACATGATGGCTCCCATTTTCTCACGTGTTGGTACGAGGCTTAGTAATTGTATGCTAGAGCTTCAGGTACCTCTTGGTCAAATGGAGACAGAGACCCTTCTAGGTTGCTGGTGGTCTTGCCTTGTGTTGCAGACTGGTTAGGGTTTCATGATGATGTCAAGTCACCTCCTCTGTGAGATTGGCAGTTTCAGCAGATTATGGGAAATTTAGGAGAAGATGAGCCCCACTAAGATGGGAGATTTCCATGGGTAAATGTAACCTTATGTGATGTGCAGGTGGAGTATCTTCACTCCTTTAGCTACCTTCTGTGTGATTTTCGAAAAGAATAATTATCCTCTCAAAAAAAAAAAAAAAAGAGAGACTGAGGATAAAAAGTTTAAATAATATACCCTCGTCCAAACAGCGGAAAGTAGCTAGGTGGGGTTTAAATCCCATCTTGCCTGGCTCCCAATGTAGAAACCTGCTTCACATTGTGAATGAAAACTCTGGTTTGTAAAATGTCTTCTTAATAATTTTTATCTCTGTCAAAAGGAAACAAAATGTGATATTTGGAGACTCAGAAAAAGCCTGGCTGTGTTTGCTATTGACAAAACCTGGACCTGCTGCAAAAGTAAGAGGCATCGCCAGGAATCATATGCCCAAATGCCACGGAAAAAGAGCACTCCACCTGGACAAAAACATTGCTGTGTAAACTGCCCCAAACAGACCTGCTCTGGGGAAGAATTGCTTGATCAGTCTGCAACTCCCTTTTGCCATCTCAGATTTCATGGGCCACAATATTAAAAAGAGAAAAGCAAAACACAAACTGACAAACTGACAGTAACGGACTGATCAGCGCTATCTCACGTTCCTTGGCAACAAACCAGTCCTGAACTGACAACTCAACAATGGATTTAAAAGAACTGACAGTTTTTCTTTGTAAAACCTTGAATTTTGCTTTTATCAAAGTACCACTCCTTTGTTTGGGAAGATACTATTCAAAGGATGTCATACACATATAAACACACACACACATGTGTGCATGGCAAAATACTCAGTTTTATGAGCTCTAAAATAATTAACAGTTTTTCTGGGTCTGTAGCCTGGGGCTCCACTGAAAGCTATTCAGAAGAATGTAACTGTTCAACTCCTGGAGTTCCCTTTAGCCCTAGGGTCTCTTGGTTCCTTGTATGAATCTGACAGAGCCATGGAGTTCTATTTTAATGGCTCTAATTGTGACTTTCCCTATTTTCAGTGTATAGATTCAATTGTGTATTAGGAGTGGATATATCATGCTTATGATTTCCTAAATCACAGTTATTCATCCCAAATGGTGACAGCTGTATTAGAACATGGCTTTTGGTTTCACGACTTTAACCTCTGTGAAAGGAAAACATCTTGGACCCCCCAAATCACTAAGCTAAAGGGAAAATTCAAGCTGGGAACTGCTTAGGGCCAACCCACCCCCCATTCTATTCAAAGTCACCCCTGTGCTCACTGAGATAAATGCATATCTGATTGCCTCCTTTGGAGAGGCTCATCAGAAACTCAAAAGAATACAACCATTTGTCTCTTATCTACCTATGACCTGGAAGCCCCCTTCCATCTTTGAGTTGTCCCGCCTTTACAGACCGAACCAGTGTTCATCTTACACATGTTGATTAATGTTTCATGTCTCCCCAAAATGTATAAAACCAAACTGTGCGTGACCGCCTTGGGCACATGTTGTCAGGACCTCCTGAGGCTATGTCATGGGCACACGTCCTCAACCTTGGCAAAATAAACTCAGATTTTTGGAGTTCTTACCTCTATCAGATGGAAGGGAATTTGTCCCCACAGTGGGGAGATTAGAGAGTATCTATGCCCTATCTGCAGTCAGGGTCAGGTTAGAGTGTTCAGAAATCCCTAGAGATAATCTATCAAATGACCATAAAAAATATGCTTGGTTATTACAATGGAGAATATCCCTTTATGTTTCATTTCTGTTGTAACTGTGAGTTTTGTGTTCTGTGTTTTGACCCACAGCTGAACTTGTAAAACTATATTTATTCCTTCTTTCGTAAAAATAAAAATGATGAAAAAAGAAAACAAATAATACCAAAGTCTATTTATTGCCAAAGAATAGTGATCATCCATTAACATAGCCTGCCACTGTAACATATTTGTTTTTTCTACTTGTCTAGAAATTTCTTCATCTCTTGTTAAACTGTCTCAATTTTAAAGCTGAATTTGCATGCACTTGTTTTTCCTCTAACAGAGCTGACATCAGTGTTGAAGGACGGGATGTAGAATCCAACTATAATGTCCTACTGAGTTTCCTAGCTTCTTTGAGTGTTGCAAAGATTCTTCTTTTGTAATAATTTGAAACATATTTTTAGGAAATAGTCTATATGCCTTTGAAGAACACGAAGTGGACTCAAAGTCTTTTACATTTAGTGGATCTTCCATTCTCATTGTCTTAAGGAGTAGACGAGTTTATATAAATGTGAAATAAATTGTAATCTATAAAAGTTGTTGAACTCCTAGTGCTCCAAGTGTTCTAAGAGAAGCCCTTCTTTTACAGAATTTGCCACGTCACAAAGAGGATAAAATCAGATCTTGGTAGTGTTGACTACTACATGGGAACTAAATAATTTGGGTTGATAAGAGAAAATCATTCTAACCCAGCAGAAAAGTAGTAGTAACTGGCAACTGGATTCACCCCTAATGAATTGGATGGATTAACACAGTTTCAAGAGGAACAAAGGTGAACTATTTAAATCTCAGTCATCAACATATAATGAGCTCCATTTGAGCCAAACAATCCTCAACTGGTAGAACAGGAATTTGAGTGAAACTATTTTTCTCCGTGAAATAACAAATAACACAGAAAAGCTTTTTGCTTCTAGTCCCGCACTTTTTAACGCTTTTAATTGGGGTGTGATTGACAAATTAAAAAATGTATAAATTGACGGTGTACCACATATTTTGTAATGTTGTATAGGCTTAGTGACTGAATTTGTTTTTTTTATTGTATAGCACCTTTTTTTTTCCCCAAGAAGGTCTTCAAAGAGGATATTATTCTTCATGTGTATGTATGAGGAAGTCATAAGAAGCTTTCATCTACTGGTTTTGAATTTTCTTTTCTTACCATGAACATTTCTCAACTGATGCTTTAAAATGTATCCCCAGGAGTCTCTATAATAGATTGTCTATAATTTGTCTTTCTATTTGTCCAGAGCCTAGACAGACTCTACCTCCTCTTTATTCCTTTTTTTTCCCCATGCAGACACTAGAGAGAACTCGAAATTATCATTTAAAAAAATTACCCGCATTGAAGATTTGAGATGCATAAAGCTACAAAACAGGAATTCTATTAAAAGATGTTTTTGTTTACTTAAAAGTCACGTTTTAGATTCTAAGTAGAAATGAGTAACGAGTTAAAATTACTCTTAAATTCAAAGGACAATGTGTTAGTCCGTTTTCATGCTGCTGATAAAGACATATACGAGACCGGGAAGGAAAAGATGTTTAATGAACTTACAGTTCCACGTGGCTGGGGAGGCTTCACAATGATGGCAGAAGGCAAGGAGGAGCAAGTCACATCTTACATGAATGGCGGAGGCAAAGAGAGCTTGCGTAGGAAAACTGCCCTTTATAAAACCATCAGATGTCATGAGACTTACTCACTATCACGAGAAGAGCACAGGAAAGGCTTGCCCCCATGATTCAATTACCTCCGACCAGGTCCCTTCCACAACATGTGGAAATTCAAGATGAGGGTTGGGTGTGGACACAGCCAAACCATATTAGACAATTTCAGTGATGGAAAAGATAGATTCTCAAGATATGTCCTGTAAATATAAGACTACAGAGACAGAACTCTATGCATAACTTTCTTGGCTCCCCCATTTTCATCTACTCCTCTTTCCTAAAAATGAGTGAGCCTCACTCAAATATTTATAGACTTGGAATGTGGAATAACCTTTACCTAGGGATATCCTCCCATCAATATTAATTTCCACTGCAATCTAAATATTCATGTAAACAAAGCAGTTGACCTCACAGTGTCCCTCCTGTTACTGTTCTTAATTCAAGAATTGGGAGCCAGGCATGATGGCTCATGACTGTAATTCCAGCACTTTGGGAGGAGAGGAAGGAGGATTGCATGAGGCCAGGAGTTTGAGACCAGCTTGGGCAACATAGGAAGACCACATCTCTACAAAAAATTTGAAAAGAATTAGCAAGGTATGGCGATGCACACCTGTAGTCCCAGCTACTCAGAAGGCTAAGACAGGAAGATCACTCGAGCCCAGGAGTTCGAGGCTGCAGTGAGCTATGGTTAAGATTGTGCCACTGCACTCCAACATGGGCAACAGAGTGAGATCCTGTCTCAGAAAAAAAAAAAAAAGAAGATGACAAGGAACCTCACTTGTCAACCTTCAATAATGAGATTCAGAATATAAAATAAAGTATAGCATTTAGTCAAGTGCAAAGCTTGAGAATACTCAGGCAGGACCTGCAGATTCTGAGAGAAGAGGGTCAGTGCTGCAAGGGGGAGAAGTTCAAGTTTCACTTACATAGGCGGAGACAAAGGTTTAGCAAGATTACAACAGTTTTTGTATAAGGTCAGTACATACATTATGGGAATGTGATTAGTTGCAGCTTGTGACATGATGAGGAAGTTTGCTTTAACTTTAATTCTGTCGGGAGGGCCAATGGTCTTCCAGGGGTCTTATCTCTGGGGCCAATTTGATCTTTCTTAATCATTTACATTAAAAAAGCAGATGTTTCAGCGCATATTACACGACTCAGGCCACATAGCCACATTCCTCTACAGGCTCAAAATAATGTAAAGTCCCAACAGTTTTAAGTTTGAATTATTTCATTCCACACACCAAACAGTTATTGTACTAATAATAGTTTTGCAGTAACTTTCAGAAGATCACGAAAATCACACCAATGGTAGAACTTCCCTAACCCCCCTTAAGGATGAGGCTTTGTGATTGGATCATCCAAGGTGTTGTAAATGATTGGATCTCGCTTGTGGCCACGGCATGCAATTGTTAGTGATACAGGAGCTAGAGAGAAATTATTTAGGCAGATAGTGAAGGTAAGAAAGTCCTTGGCAGAATTACCCTTTTAACAAAAAGCAGCCCCCAAATCACTTCTTTTCTAACAAAGAGGAGCCTGAAGAATTGAGCTGCAGATATAGATAAGCAAGCTGGAAACTTGCATGGGTAAATACCGGCAGCTGTGCCAATAGGAAAAGGCTACAAGGGGGCCAGGCATATTCAACATGGAGGCTCTATCTTCCCTTTACTTTGTCAACCACGCGTACAGTAAAGGAACAGGCAACATGGCACCAGCCAGGTAGATAACTCATCTGCATAATAAAAGATTAGGGTGGGGTGGCCAGCCTCTTTGCATGCTATGCAAATGGAACACCTGGTCCAACCAATCTTTCATGCCTGTGTAAATCAGATACTGCCTCCTCAAGCTCATCTATAAAACTTCCTGCATTTCACCACAAACCTGGCAACCCGTTTTTCTCCATGACACCCCTCTGTGCAGAGAGCTCTTCTCTTTCTTTTGCCTATTAAATTTCTGCTCTTAACCTCACTCTTGTGTGTCTGCATCCAAGTTTTCTTTGGCCGTGGGACAAGGAAACTCAGGTATTACCCCTAGACAATGACGTCACTTCATTAGCATGAGGGCTTCTGTATGTTCTTAGTCTTCCAAGAAGAACAGTGTGGTTCACAGTGGTGGCTGTTTCTTTAATCTGGGTTTCTTTTTTTTTTTTTTTTTTTTGAGATGGAGTCTCTCTCTGTAGCCCAGGCTGGAGTGCAGTGGTGCTATCTCGGCTCACCGCAAGCTCCGCCTCCCGGATTCACGCCATTCTCCTGCCTCAGCCTCCCGAGTAGCTAGGACTACAGGCACCCGCCACCACTCCTGGCTAATTTTTCTGTAGTTTTAGTAGAGACGGGGTTTCACCATGTTAGCCAGGATGGTCTCGATCTCCTGACCTCGTGATCTGCCCGCCTTGGCCTCCCAAAGTGCTGGGATTACAGGCGTGAGCCACCACGCCTGGCCATTAATCTGGGTTTCTAAGTTTCTGCAATGGAAAGAGCCCCTTCTCCCACATGGAGTGGATGCAGAGTTTTCACCATAAATGAAACTCCAGAGTTCTAAGCCATAAAGATTATGGGTTTTACCAATGCATAAGCCTGCTCATCCTAAAGAAACTAGGTATGCAAGAAGGTATACCTTGTAATCCAAAAGACCACTAGGAGGGCTAAGTTGTAGAAAGGGGAGTTTTATTGATCATATCAGTTTGCAAATTGGGGAGAGAGTGTCTCTGGCTTGGATTGAAGGTGCTCTCTCTCTGAAGAGGGAAAAGAGTGATTGGGTCCTATGCCTCACAGGGACCATATTACACAATACAGTCATACATATTCAGCAGGTTTGGGGGGAAATCCATACATATTTATGAGGGAAGTGTAATGCATTCACAGTGGGTAAACACATATGTATAATAACATACAGCTCATGTTCATTTCGAGGTGAGGTTTTAGCGTTAAAATGTGGTGCAATTTGGCTCTTTATGTCACAGCATGAGCTATACGATGCAAAGACAATTGGTGCACAGTCTCTATAAGCTGCTGAAACTGGCTTGGGATCTTGTGGTTATCAGGAAAGAATGTTTGTAAGATAAGACTGGTCCTCTGTCCAGTCAGAGTTTTAATGATCTTGGTTGTAAATCACAGTTGGGGCCAGGCATGGTGGCTCACGCATATAATCCCAGCACTTTGGGAAGCTGAGGCAGGAGGATCACCTGAGGTCAGGAGTTTGAGACCAGCCTGGCTAATATGGCAAAACCCTGTCTCTACTAAAAATACAAAAAATTAGCCAGGCATGGTGGCGAGTGCCTGTAATCCCAGCTACTCAGATGGCTGAGGCAGGAGAATCACTTCAACCCAGAAGGCGGAGGTTGCAGTGAGCCGAGATCATGCCACTGCACTCCAGCCTGGGACACAGAGTGAGATTCTGTCTCAAAAATAAATTAAATAAATAAAAAATAAATAAATACATCACAGTCGGGAGTGGTCTGATAATTTACCTGATAGCACCTGTTCCTAGGGAGTTTAGCAAGAGTGTGGCTTTTCTTATAGCCATAGACACCTAGGGAGTTGCTGTGCCAGCCAAGCCATGAGCCCTAGACCCGTAGATAACTTTTTGTCTCCTTAATTTCAGGAATTATCTTATTAATAGTTTTAAATTGGTGTCTATTTTGGTCTGTCAAATCACACTTATGTCATTCATACAGAAAATATCCACAGTCATCAATAAAGCCATACAAATAAACTAGTTTGTTTCTAAAAAGAAATACATATATAAGAACAAAATACACATTTGGATTCCAAAATATTCTTTTTCTTTTTTCTTTTTTTTTTTTCTGGAGATGGAGTCTCTCTCTGTTGCCCCCGCTGGAGTGCAGTGGCACGATCTTGGCTCAATGCAACCTCCGCATCCCAGGCTCAAGCAATTCTCCTCCCTAGCTTCCTGAGTAGCTGGGACCACAGGCACAAGCCACCAACGCCTGGCTAATTTTTGTATTTTTCTGTAGAAACGGGGTTGCATCATGTTGCCCAGGCTGGTCTCAAACTTCTGAGCTCAAAGTGATTTTATCCGCCTCAGCTTCCCAAAGTGCTGGGATTACAGCCATGCGCCACGGCACCCAGCTCAGATTCCACAATATCTCTTAATCACTAAAACTAAAATCACTATTTTTATTATTTGTCCCCTCTGCCAAAATTAACAATAATGTGTCCATTGCTAAGCCATGTGCCTTTATATTAGTGATTCTCAAATTATAGTCCTAAGAGAAGCAAAAAAAAGCCTTAGAATTTTTTTAAAAAATATATAAATTTTAGGGTCCCAACCCAGACCTGCAGAATTAGAAACTCTCTGGAATTAAGAATCTGTAACTCTGTTTTATGTAGCCTTCCACGTATGCTGTTTGAGTACTGTGATTTTACACTTGTCCTTAATGAGAGAAATTACAAGTAGTGGTTTTGGACTGGCATGTAAGCAATAGGAGAGAATTAATGAAAGATGGTACAAATGCAAAATGTAGTTACATAGAGAAAAATTCCAATGGTAGCATAGAGAGTGTGTTCTTAATTTTTTAGACAATAGGAAGTGTAGCATTTGGAACACTGAACAATAGTTTGCTGTTGTATCTCTTGACCTCCCTGCAGCCTGTGGTCACCAGCATCAGATTGTAAAGTCTCATTTATTTATCCAAATATTTCCTTAGGAATGACTTCAGCCTCTATCTCAATCATCTTTGGTTAGAGTGTGATCATTTGTGCTGCTAACAATAGCACTGCTTAGCTTCCTTCAGACTGAACACTTGCATTGTATCATCTACAAATGCATTTTAATTCAGTCATACCTCCAAAGTGGTTTTGTTCCAGAACATTACAATGGGGACTAGCGTTGTAAACTTTAGACACATGAGGCCAAGCAACTGTGGTCCATCAAAGCTTCTGTGGTGACTGCAGTCCATCTGACGCAGGGTAGGAGAGCCCCGACATTGGGTGGGCCAGTGGTGTTAAATAGCAACTTTTATTGAAGCAGCAGTGCACAGCCACAGCAGAGGTGCTGCTCCTTGTAAAGCTGGGTTACGCTACAGGCAGTGCGCCCAGAGTAGCAGCTCAGAGGCAGTTCTGCAGTCATATTTATGCCCACTTTTAATTACATGCAGATTAAGGGGCAGATTTTGCAGAGGTTTCTAGAAAAAGGATGATAACTTCCAGGTCATTGGGACATTGCCATGGAAAGGGCTGGTAACACCTGGGTGTTGCCATGGCAATGGTAAACTGGCATGGTACACTGGTGGGCGTGTCTTATAGAAAGCTGCTTCCACCCTGTCCCTGTGTTAGCTAGTCCTCCATTTGGTCCAGTGTGCAAGCCTCATCCCTGGAGTTGAGTCTGCCTCCTACCTCACATCCATGGTCTATGCTCCAGACCACCACATCCTGGGAGGGAAGGATGCTCAATGTGTCTTGAAGTCTCCTTGGCTTTTCCATGCCCGGCTCTATAGGACATCTTTCTAGAGCTGGACATCGTGCTCCAACGTCAGGAACTCTGCAGTTTTACATCTGTCTTCACCAATTGTGCAGCGTTCGTAGTAGAAACACTTCTCATAGAGCGGGACCACAATCTCAATCCAGAAAATCAGCAGACAAAAGCACAGGGAAACCACAACCCTCCCCGTGGGTATTCTGTGTGCAGGGAAACTTCCAGCCCTTTACAAACATCTACTTTCTCTTCTACCTATAAAACTTTAAATCAAAGAATGGAAGTGAGTGAATTGATCCTGAAACCCAAAATTAGTATAGTCAAGCCAACCCTGAAGACAACAGAAAGACAAAAACAGAAAAAGATATGTAGAAAAGATAATGTAGAACTATAAAATCTCAAATATGATTTTTGGAGCAAGCAATATATGATCTTCTAAACTATATGCACACACATAAAGAGGAAAAAGCCACAAGTAAATATTAAGAAATGGTAAGGAGAGAAACAGTAAAAAATATGATATATTCAGTGACATACTCATGAGTTCACAAATAAATGAACATATTTTAAAAAGTAGATATTCAGGATTATATAATTGGTTAAAATTGATCCAAAAAGACATACAATCTGTAACCCTTTTTCTTGAAATAATATGCAAAAATGCTTGAGAAACAAAAACAAAACAAAAATTACAAACTCTACCAACTTGAAGAATGCAGCTGGCTCAGATGATTTTGCAAGGAAAAAATCTACCAACTTTTTAAAGAAAAGTTTATTCCAGTGCTTTTTTAACAGTAGCAGAACCCTCAAAATAGCACACGGGAATTTTATGAAGTAGAAACGGAATAGACATCTGACTAGGTCACATGTATACAAGCATTTGACACACTCTCACCTGGAAAAGTAGACTTGCTTCATCAGTTGTTTACAGGATGGTCTTAAAACCCCCAACAAGGATGTGAAAAGTTTAAATTCCTCTCTCTCTCCCCCCTCCCTCCTTCTTCCTCTGTCCCTCCTATTTCCCTCCTTCCCTCTCTCCTTCTATTTCTCTCATTCCCTCTCTCCTTCTGTTTCTCTCCCTCACTCTCTCCCGATTCCCTTCTTCTCTCTCTCCCTGTCTCTCCCTCTCTGTCCCCTCTTCCTCTCTTGCTATCTCTCTGTCTCTCTCTCTCTCTGTGTTTCTCCCTTTCTCCCTGTCTCTCTCCCTCCCTCCCTTCCTTTTTCTTTCTCCCCTCTCTCTTCCCCCTCTTTTCTCATTTTCTCTCCCTCCCTCTCTCTCCCTTTCTGTCTCTCCCTCTCTTTCCCTTTCCTCCTCCTCTCTCTCCCTTGTCTCCCTCTTCCTTTCTGTTGCTCCTTCTGTCTCTCTCTCTTTCTCTCTCTCTCCCTCCTTCCATCTCTGTCTCTCCACCCCTCTTCCTCTGTCCTCTCTCTCTCTCTGCCTCCCTCCCCCTCTCTCTCCCTCTTCCTTCCTCTCCCTTCTTCTTCTCTCTCTTTCCCTCTCACTCCTTCTGTCTCTTCCTCTCTCTTTCCCTCTCTCCCACTCTCTGGCTCTCTCTCTCACTCCCTCTTTTCCTCTCTGTCACTCTTTTCCCTTAATTCCTCTCTCTTCTCTCCTCTCCTTCTATCAGTTTTGCTTCCTATGCTTCATATATTTTTGGAGCTCTGTAATGAACTCCGTATACATACAAATTCATATGCCTTCCTGTTTATACATTTCACTTTTTTTTCCAGTAAGTAATGGTCTTCATCTCCATTAATGGTCATCCTCTTCATATCTACTCCAATGAGGGTAGCAGAGTCACTCTGGCTTCCTTCTCTTCAGTGGCAGCGTGGGAATTCTTCTACCTTAATACACTTCTGTCTGCATCTTTATAGTAAATACATCTTTAAAAGAAACAACATGGAGTGGGGTCATGCTTTTTTAAATCTGTCTGGGAATCAGTCCTCAATTTGAGCTTTGGTTCTGTCTTTGTACAATGTGATGTTTGCTACAGTTGGGTTTAAATATGTCAGCTTGACATTTATTTTCAATTTGTCCCATCTGTTCTTTATTCCCCTGCTCTCCCACATGCTTCTGTGTTGAGTAGACTTTTACTATTTCATTTTAATTGTTTTAAAATTTGTTTAGCTATTTCTAATTTTTTTTCAGTAATAAATTCAGGGGTTACAATATCCATATTAGACTGTGAGTTAACCTTCAATGCATTATGCAATTATACATCATGCAAATTAATGCTCGAGTTGAGAAACCCACCTAACGCATTAAATTGTTCTGGGTGAGTGACTGTGAGTGAGTCAGTGACTGAGTGGTAAGTGAATGTGAAGGCCTAAGACGTTATTATACAGGGCTGTAGACTTTGCAAACGCTTAGGCTACACTCAATTTATTAAAATATGTTTCTTCTTTCAATAACAAATGAAACTTAACTTACTGTAACCTTCTTACTTTATACATTGTTTTAACTTTTTGACCTTTTTAAATAACACATCTTAAAACAAAAACACCAAAAATATTTTATTTTTTATATTTTTATTCTACAAGCTTTTCTCTTGTTTTTTGTTGTTGTTGTTGTTGTTTGTTTGTTTTAGAGACAGGATCTCCCTCAGTTGCCCAGACTGTAGCAGAGTGGTGCGATCATGGCTTACTGCAGCCTTGAACTCCTGTGCTCAAGCAATCCTCTCGCATCAGCCTCCTGAGTAGCTGGGACTGTAGGCACACACCACCATGCCCAGCTAATTTTTTATTTTACTTTAGAGACAGGGTTTCATTCTGTTTCCCAGGCTGGCCTTGAACTCCTGGTCTCAAGTGATCCTCCTGCCTCAGCCTCCCAGATTACAAAGATTATAGACATGAGCTACCGTTCCTGGCCTACAAGATTTTTTTCTGTTTGTAAATTAAATTTTTTTTCCTTTCAATACTTTTAAAATTTTTTTGGTGAAAACTAAGACAGAAACACACACATTAGCCTAGGCCCACACAGGTCAGGATCACCAAGACTTCAACAGAAGATAGGAATTTTTCAGCTCTACTAGAGAGAACATGGTTACTTATGTGGACCTATGGGACTGTGGCTGTTTATGTGGTTGGACATTAACTGAAATGTCATATGTGGTGCATAACTGTATTTATGACACTTATTTTCAACTCCTTGTCACGTAAGTCCAATATATAGGTCTTCTCTAGATCTGTTTATATGGACTGGTTTTTCTTTCAGGATAGTTAAGATGCTTTGATTATTACATGCATTTCTTTGTCTCTAATATTTTTTTCCGTAAGAACAATAAAAGATTGAGAGAGAGAGAGAGAGAGAGAGAGAGAGAGAAAGAGAGAGAGTGTGTGTGTGTGTGTGTGTGTGTGTGTGTGTATGTAATTGAGAAGGACCCCTTGGCCTCTAAGAAGCTAGGATCATGGGGTGGTCACTTTGAACCATTAGGAGTTGGGCAGTTTGGGGACATCGTTGTCTTTAATCCTTCCAAAAGCCCTTAGAGTGGGAATTCCAGGAGTCTGGAAAATGTCTTCTCTTTTGCAGCCCTGCTTCCATGGGGCCAATACGTATATGTAGGTGTGTGGGTGTGGGTGTGCACACCCCACAAACAAACCTATCCCCACGCTTTGAACTATTCCTTCCCAATAAAAGAGGGATTTGACAAAAACACACAAAGGACTCAAAGCTGGCCTCAGAGAAAGATAAACAAATCCAAACTAATGAATCACACAGAATTAACAAGGAGATGCAAGTGTTTTTCAATAAAAAGAAGTTCAGTCCCACATATGTGAAAGGCAAGTTAAAAGCACATCAAGGTTTTTTTTTAATTTAACCAATAACATTTTGAAGTATTAAAGCTTCTGATTAGAGGGGAAAAGACTCTGTATGCACTATTAAAATGTGCTGCCTGGTATTTATGTGAAGTTGCATTTCCATTGGTGCCTTAGCAATAGCTAAACAGACTGAGTAATTCACTTTTTCACTGGACCAAAAAATTTAATTTTTAAGAGTTTTTTCCTACATACATATATATGAGACATTATATAGACATTAGTATATTGCATTATTTTTGTGAAATCAAAATCTTGAATCAGTTCCAATGCATATCAAAAATGGCTAGCTGAAATAACTATGAGTGGGAAAAACAGAGCTGAAAATAATCATGGTAGAAGGGAGGAAGGGAAGAAGGAAGAAGGAAGAAAGAAATAATAACAAAGCAGAAAAGCCACATAAACTTAGATACGACATACTAAAAAGATATATTATCCATAACTAATATTATAAAATAATATATAACTGCTATGTATATTTGTTTGTCAATTAATACTTATGTGAAAATTATAAATTCATAAGAATATATGTCTTATCAAAACTCAGTGAAACCTCCAACTTGAAGCACCTCATTTTTTTAGAAAATTAAATTCAAATTTAAAATTCTCACAAAGTAAACAAACAGGCAGAAGATGCTGATGGCATGCACAAGCAAGTGTTAAAGAATCTTATTAATATAATTTCAAACTATCCTAGATTCTAAACAAGAGGGAAAACCACTGAAAACATTCTGTAAGGCTATCGTAACTCTGTTATGGAAATTAAATAAGACAGTATAAAGGGATCTGTAAAGGAGTGAAAGTGTATATTTGATGGTGTATAACTTTTTTTGTATCTTGAAGAATAAAAAGACATGATGAGGTTATCAGTAAGAGATGTTACAGGGGCAGGTGGCACTAAGAATCAGTGATAACCTTTTCCAGGCTACAAGATATGAAATTTTTCGCAAATTTCAATGTTCTTACAATTTTAAGACCACTAGTGAAATTTGACCACACACATCACAACACTTGAGGTAATTTTATGTTATTTACTTTTATTCCTGTACAATATGATAGATAGATAGATAGAATAGATATATAATATATAAACACAGAGATATATGACAGATAGATTAGAGAATACATAGGATAGATTGATGTATACATAGATGTACGGTAGATGATAGCTTGATAGATAAATGATAGATAATAGATAAACACATAAGTCGATACATAGATCAATAGATAGATGATAGATGGACAGATAGATGATAGATGGATAGATAGATAATAGGTGATATATAAAGATAAGTAGGTAGTAGGTAAATAGACACAGACACATTATAGATAGATTGATAGACAGACAGACAGACAGATAAATGGATAAAGTTTTACAATCTGCAGTGTGAATAGACCACTGCTAAAGAAGGTAATTGGTTAAAGAAGGCACTTAAATAAAAGTGCCATAATCAGAATTGGAGTTTGGAGAGAGAATCTTGTTAGGGCCTTTGAGAATATAGATATTAGATAGGCACAATTGACAATGAGAAGACTTGGTTTTCACTTGGCCTCGTCGCCTTTTAAGACCTCCAAACTTTTAATGATCAAGCCCTAGTAGAAGATCCCAAGTGGGTGAGGAAAATGGTAAGAAGGAAACTAGGGTCCCATGGTGGAGTGGCTGATCCGAAACCTGGGACAGGAAATATACAATATAAGCCTGAAACTTGTTGCAATGCCAGAAAGTAAGGAAGTACTCAAAAACCAAAACTCTCAGTGACGGGGTGATGTCAAAGGAGCACAGTACTCAACTGAACGAGCTCTCAGTGGTTAACGCTGAAAGAGATTGAGCAACAGAGCAAAGTAGGAAAGCACATATTCATGTGTTCACGCTGACAAACAAATGACTAAAAGTGAATGGATGAGAGGGAGTAGGCTTAGCTCCTCTACAGAAGAATACCAAATGATTTAGATAGATACTCTACCCTAAAGGAAGTGGTACATAATTCTTCATCCCTCAGGTATGGGCTGTGCATAGTAATTCCTCCCAAGTGGACAAGATAACAAAAAGCTAAGAGTGTAACGTTTTTTAAGTTGATTTTTAATTTTTTTTTTTTTTTTTTACCTATTATGGGTACATAACAAGGGCACATATTTATAGAGCACATGTGATGTTTTCATTTAGGCATACAATGTTGTAGTCATCAGATCAAATTATTAGGTTATCCATTACCAAATAAGGTAACTTTTTTAGTGTGGAAACATGACAGACACTACCTTGGCCAGCTCATCAAAGTCAACATCATCAGAGATACGTCAATGTTGACAGTGTGTATGCTTGGTATTATGAAATAAAATTATTATTAGATGAAAAAGGTGCTTTATCTCCCACATACCCATAAACCCAGGCTAATCATGAGAAAAACATCAAATTCCAATACAGGGACATTCTACAAAGTGCCTGACTTGTACTCTTCAAAACTGTCAGGATTATCAAAATCATATAAAGTCTAAAAAACTGTCCCAGAAAAGGAAAAGCCCAAGGAAACATGACCACTACATGTAGAATCCCGGAGAATTGAAATGGCATTGTGTAATATACAAGAAATCTCAACTAAGCATGAACTTTAATTCAGAATCCCATCAAAATTGGTTCATTCCCTATAACAAATGCTCCATATTAATGTAAGATGCCAATAATAGCCAACACTGAGTGTGGGAGAGATGTGCTTATGTGTACTTCTCAAACTAATTTTTCTGTAAATTTAAATCTTTTCTAATTGTTTTTAAAAAGTCTATGTAAAAACAATGGTAGTAAGGCCGGGCGGGGTGGCTCACGCCTGTAATCCCAGCACTTTGGGAGGCCGAGTCAAGCAGATCACCTGAGGTAGAGGGTTCGAAACCAGCCTGACCAACATGGAGAAACCTTGTCTCTACTAAAAATACAAAATTAGCTGGGTGTGGTGGCACATGCCTATAATCACAGCTACTTGGGAGCCTGAGGCAGGAGAATCGCTTGAACCTGGGAGGCAAAGGTTGCGGTGAGCCGAGATTGCATCATTGCACTCCAGCCTGTACAACAAGAGCAAAACTCTGTCCCCCCAAAAAAAAGGTAGTAAAACATCCAGGTTCAGATACTGCAGAGACCACAAGACGAAAGAATTTGAGAAATGAGCAGTCACTGTGGAAAATCACTGGGAGTAAATCAAGGAAAGAAAAGGCAGATTTTGGCATTTAGTAAAAGAAAGGTCATGAATGGCCATTTCTAGAAAAGTTAGAATGGACTCTGAGGTTTTTACAAAAGTCATAATTATCATAAAATAGATTTCAACAGCAGTTTTAGCCTCCCATTATTGTTTTCATAATCAGTCATGTTTTACCTTTATTTTAGGTACTAAAATTCCCTTTCAGATATCTGTCGTCATATTTCTGAATTTTGAGACTTTTCATATCAATGGGGATTAAATCATAAAGATTTACCAAAATGCAACTTTTCCTTAAAAGACATTCCCCAAAATTGAGTAGCAAGGAGACTTCCAAAGTTCCTTTTGTCAAAAAGACTGTTTCATTATAAATGACTGTTAATAACTCCATCTACCTAAATTATTTCAAATATCAGATTCCTCTAGGCTTAGTAATATATACTTCCAGTTTTACCTGTACAGGATGTTATTTAAAGAGATTAAAAAATGTCAAGAATTGCTAGATCAGCAGTATGTCCCATGATCTTGAACCAAAATGTCACATATCTAATTGATCATTCAATTTGTCCACAGACAATGAGGTTATTATGTTAAATACGATTTTGGGGCCAGATGTCATTTCAGCCTAAACTATCTGCTGCAGGTAGATTAATTCCCATGGAAGGTAGATGCTGTAGTGGGGGAAGAGTTCGAATGGAGAGTTGAGTGTGGTTTCTGATCACAGCTGTATCCTTGTAAGTTGTGTGACCTTGGAAGTCCAACTTAATTTCTCCAAGGATTGATTTCTTCATCAATCAAAAAGAAATACATTAAAGTAAATAAAAATACTAAATGGAGTGCACTGATACTGAAACTGCTGATTATCGAAATCATTGTTTTTGAGTTGCACTTTTAAAAATAAACACACTCACATACAAACAGTCACCTGGATCCAAACCTATTGCCCCCAGAAGCCTGGTTAACCTGGGAAGAGTCGAAAAATTGTGACCCTGTCCGTGGTGCCACAGCTGATGGGGATCGGCTGGAGAAAATGGAGTTTATCTAAACACTTTACTGGAAAGCACCAGGCATTTAAAACTTGTGCTTCTATAATGTTCTTGGGCTGGTGGGTTGAGATTTGGTCAAATGAGAAGGACATGTGGCTCTGTGATGGTTAATTGTCAACTTGTCTGGACTAAGGAATGCCCGATAGCTCCTAAAACACTATTTCTGGGTGTGTCTGTGAGGGTATTTCTAGAAGAGATTGGCATTTAATTAAGAAGACTGAGTAAGGAAGATCACCCTCACCAATATGAGTGGGCATCATTCAATGATCTAGGACTTGGATAGAACAAAAAGGGAGAGGAAGAGTGAATTCGCTCTCTCTGGTAGAGTTGGACATTCATCTCCTGCCCTCCGACATCAGCAATCCTGGTGTTCAGACTTTTGGACTCAGATATGGACGTACATCATCAGCTTCGTATCCTGGTTCTCAGGACACAGTGGCTTTCTTGGTTCTCCAGCTTGTAGACAGCAGAATTTTCAACCTTCATAATTATGCAAGTCAGTTTCTATAAATATCTATAAATCAATGACTCAATCTATCTATATAACCATCCATCATCTATCCATTTTCTACTTATCTATATATCTATCTATTTGTTCATCATTTATCTACTATCTATCTACAGATGCATCATTCATCCACTATCCATCATCTATCTATCTATCTATCATCTATCTATCTATCTATCTATCTATCTATCTATCTATCTATCTATCTGCCTACCTTTCTCAATCCATTGTCTTCTGTTTCTCTGAAGAACACTAACAGGCTACCAGCTGTAACCTACACAAGGTAACTCTGGTTTACATGGAGAACTTTGTTTTGCTCTAGGAATATACAAGATAAAAGCTAACTCTGAATGGTCACAGAGCTGGAGGAGACAACAAATACAAGAGTTCGATTTTGCCTGCCTTCCCCCCAGGTGGTCCTCAGCCTGGCCTCCAGATAAGTATTGATCAAAGATGTAAGAATATCAGCTAGAAGGGGAAGCCAGTTGTTGCCTGCATAACCACGTCTGTCTGGACCTGGGCTCAGACTTGTTTGGGTTTAAGTACCACTTCAGACAAGTCAAATGCTCAGCAACTGTGGAAAACTGCTGAATGAAGAATGAATGCCTGGCACCATGCCCCTTCTTAATGGGTCCCAGCATGACAGATTTTATCCTTGTCATTAGCTGGTCACCCTGAGAATTCACCTAATTAATTAAAAGTCATTGTTGATGGAGACAACTCTAATTTTCCATCACCAAGGTAGGTTAAAAAAACCAAGGACTTCCCATATGTCATTTGGAAAAGTTCATATATCTGACCTCTCATTCTGTTTTAACTTTTGGAGGTAACCTGTGCAGTGATCTAAAACAGGTAATAATCCTCTCAGGAATCATTATATCTTTCATAAAATAAGGGGAGTCAGTATTTCCACAATCTTTTCAGGACTAAAATCTCATAATTAAATACCTTGTATGGATCTGTAATACGTTCTTTTCTATTTGGTCTCCTACCACATCTCTTTTCATTTTACTAATTTCCTCTAACCTCTTTATGTCAAACCAAAGTAACTATTATGTTCCGCTGATTGGTGTTGCCATAAACCTTTCAATTTATCATCATTCATTGTCTACCCAGCTGTGGACAATCAGTCCAGACCTCCAAATTTATGTTTTAAAACCTACAAGTTCATCAACAAAACAGTGAATAGAAAAGTAGAAAACATGATTCTTTGCCTAAAACATTAAGAATTGTTTCAAGCTTTCTGCATTTCCGAAACTGGTTCCTGGAATCCAAATGAGAGCTCTGTGCTTTGTAACTTACAGAAATACTTAGGACATTTTTTTTCTTTTGTTCTCTGCCATTTTGATGGCAATGATGCCTCGGGTCATTTGGAAGTAGTTTGAGGTTTTTCTGGAATCATTATCACACTTTCCAGGACAAGAAGATATCAGATAAATTTTGTCAAATATATGATGTATCAAGGAATATAAGCTTGGTATCTAAGCAGTCATGGATGTGTATGCAAGCTCCAACCATATGCAATAGGGTATTCAGGTTAATATATGTCTGGCCACAGTATCCTCATCTGTAAAATGAAGATACTATCGAAATTGCAAGTGATTGTGCTGATTAAATAATAAAGTCCTTGTGAAAACATTGAAGAAACAGAGGTTAACACAAGAACATTATTTTTCTTTTTCTATCCCTTAGCCTTAATGAATAAATGACGGTGCTAGAGGTAGGCAAAAAAAGCTTAAATATTTAAATACTACAAAAACAACAAGAATACAGCAAAATTATAAATAAGTATAATGTTGGGTGTTTGCTAAAATTTTATTTTTAAATGTATGCCTTTTTCTTTAAATGAATTTTCATATATATGCCTTTTCCCTTTAAATGAAAATGCATGTTCATTTTAGAAAATTAAGAATACAAGCAACAAAAACAAGCAGGGCACGGTGCCTCACACCTGTAATCCCAGCACTTTGGGAGGCTGAGATGGGGGAATTGCTTAAGTCCAGGAGTTCAAAGCCAGCCTGGGCAAAATGGCAAGATCCCGTCTCTACAAAAAATAAAAAATTAGCCGGGCGTGGTGCTGTGTGGCTGTATTCCAAGCTACTTGGAAGGCTGAGGCAGGAGTATTGCTTGAGCCTGGGAAGTCGAGGCTGCAGTGAGCTGTGTTTGCACCATAGCAATCCAGCATGGGCAACAAAGTGAGACTCTGCCTCAAAAACAAAAACAAAAACAAAAAACTAAAACAGTGATAACCCACTCCTGCAAAGACCCAGCCAAAATCAATGATAAAAAAGGCCAAGCATAACTAATTCTTAGATATTGCTTTCATGTTACTTTCTCTGGGCATAGGGAAACCAATAAGAACAGTGGACTATGTGGTAACATTCTTAAGAATCTCAGGGGATTTTTTGTTAAGTCAACGTTTTATATTGGTTTAAATGTAGTTTCCCATGTAGGTGTAAGAAATAAGATAGATTCATTGTACACTTTGTCCAGTTTCTCTCAATGGTAACCTTGCAAAACTATACAATATTAGTATTAATATTTTATTCCTTTCCATTGTTATATAGTATTGCATACTATATATGTATCAAAGTTTTTCAATCATTTTTCTACTGAAGGACACCTCTGTTGTTTTCAGTTTTTCACTATTACAAATAAACTCATGCATAGGATTTTATATGAACATAAGTAAAGACTTGCATGTGTCTGTGGAATAAACACTCAAGAGTGCAATTTTGGGTTTCCATGGTAATGACATGCTTAGTTTTTTAAGAAACTCTTTTTTGGAGTGGCTTCATCATTTTATATTCCCATTAGCAATATGTGAGTAATTCAGTTTCTTCACGTCCCTGCCAACATTTGGTGTTGTCACTTTCTTTCATTTTAGTCATTTTGAATAGGTTTGTATAGACACATCAGATTATGGGTTTTTTTTTTTTTTTTTTTGGAGATAGGGTCTCGTTCTGTTGCCCAGGATGGAGTGCAGTAGCATGATCATGGCTCTCTGCAGCGTCGACCTCCCAGGCTCAAGAGATCCTCCCACCTCAGCCTCCCAAGTACTTGTGCCAGTCATGTACTACCATGCCCGGCTATTTTTAAAAAATATTTTGTAGATATGGAGTCTTGCTATGTTGTCCACACTGGTCTCAAACTCCTGGTCTCAAGCAATCCTCCTGCCTCAGCTTCCCAAAGTGTGGGGACTATGAGCATGAGTTACCATGGCTGGCAGATAGTGTTTCTAAATAGCATGTTCCTAGTGATGAAAGTCTATGAACATCTTTTCACATACTTATTTGTCATTTGTGCATTCTCTTCAGTGAAATGTCCTTTTATCTCCTTTGCCAATTTTCTGAATGGATTTCGAGTGTGTTTTTTACTGCTGAGTTTGGAGGATCCTTTTTTATTTTAACTATTAGTTAGTTTGCATACGTGTCTGCCAATCTATAATTGGCCTTTGCATCTTGTTAATAAGGTTGTTTGTAGACCAAAAGTTTTTAACTTTGATGAAGTCAAATTCACCATTTTTTTTTCCTTTTATGTATCATGTCTTTTGTGTCATCTCTAAAAACTCCTTGCCTGGCCTTAGGCACTGAAGAATTTCTCTTCTTGCTGTTGTTATTTTTTTCTAAAGTTTTTTACAGTTTTATGCTTTATATTTAAGTCTATGATCCATATTAGACTATTTTTTAATGCTTAGAGATGCGAGGAGTTCATGGGCAGGATTGTTATAGGGATATATTGCATACTGGTAGAGTTTGGGCTTCTAGTGTACTTATCAGCCAAATAGTGAACATTGTGCTCTAAATGTGATTTTTCATCTGTCACTCCTTTCCCCCACCTCCTTTTGGAATCCCCAGTGTCTACTATTTTCACCTTTATGCCCACGTGTACACATTGTCCAGCTCCATTTATAAGTGAGAACATGATTTTCTCTTTCTGAATTATTTCAGTTAAAATAATGGCCTCCAGTTCCACCCATGTTACTAGTAATACAAAAGGCATAATTTCCTTCTTTTTCATGGCTGCATGGTATTCAATTTTATATATATATATATATATATATATATATATATATGTATGTATGTATGTATGTATGTATAATAGAATTATATGCATGGTGCTTTATCTCCCACATTTATAATTATATATATATATAAAACCCACATATATAATTATATATTTTATATATATATAATCTTTATCCAATCATTCATTGGTGGACACTTAAGTTGATTCCATGACATTTCTATTATGAATAGTACTGTGATAAACATACAAATACAAGTATCTTTTTGATGTAATAATTTCTTTTCCTTTGAGTAGATTCTCAGTAGTGGGATTGCTGGGTCAAATAGTAGTTATTTTTAGTTCTTTGTGAGATCTCTATATTGATTTCCATAGAGGTTATACTAATTTACATTCACACCAGCCATGTATGGTGTTCTTTTTTTCATCACATCCTTGCTATGTATTAATTTTTCAAATAAGTTGTGGGTGATAAGATTATATTTATTTATTTATTTGTTTGTTTGTTTCCTGTGGATATCCAATTTCTTCAGCATTATGTGTTGGCAAATTTGGGGAGGTTCCAGCATTTATTTCTCTGAGTACTTTTTCAGCCTGCCCTCTCTCATCTTATTCTAGGACTCTGATGACACAAATTGTGGGTGTTTTGTTATAGGATCACAGGTCTCTATGCACCTACTCATTTTTTTTTTCAACTTACTTGATCCCTTATCATTGTATTTCACCTGCTAGTTCACCAGTTATGTTCCGTGTCCCCTTCTGTGTGCCCTTGAACCCATCCATTTAGTTTGTTTTGTACTTGTTGTTAAATTTTTCCATTGTAATATTTCTGTGTGGTTCTCCTTTACCTCTTCTATTTCTTTGCTGAGATTTTGTTTCTTTCATTTGTTTCAATCAGATTTGCAATTGCTTGTTGAAGATGGCTGCTCTAAAATCTCTGTGGGATCATTCTAACTACTCTGTCATCATCCCAGGATTGATATGAATGATTGTTCTATTTCATTTACTTTGACATTTTTCTGGTTTTGGGGATAACAAGTGATTTTCTAGGAACACCTTGACACTTCAAGCTGTGGCATATACATTTGGATCTAATTTAGCTAGCTTCTTTGATTCCACTGTAAAAGAGGATAGGATTAGGTACTGTAGTTCTACTTCCCGTTGGTGTAGAAGTCTCTGTCCCCTACTCAGCCTCTGATGACACCTGTGGGGTCATGATGAGGGAGTCTTGTTACTTCCGGGTGGGCATAGGAATTCCAAATCCCCACATGGTCCCCACTAACACCAAAGGGGGTGGTATTGCCTTGTTACCACTGGGTAGTGACAAAAGTCTCAAATCTTGAATCCACTAAGATCTCAACTCCTGTGAAATTAACTCAGTGAAGAGAGAGCAGGGCACCTCGTTATCCCCAAATAGGATTGAAAGTCTACACCCTCCATGTAGTTTCAACTGATACCCCATGTTAAGGATCATCATTACCAATGGAAGAGATCAAAGTCCCGGATCTCTTCTTAGCCCCTCTGATGCCACCCCAGTGGAAGTTTGGAGAGTTTTGGGACTACCTACTAGGGGTGGACCTCGAGGTACACACACCTTGTGCTTGTATGGGTAGGCGAAGCCACAATTATTTTATATGGTGTTTGGTGGTGTGGAGTAATTTTTGTCTTGCTAAGTTCTTCATTTTCTGGCCCTTTGAGTAGAGAGAGAAGGTTTTCGGGGCATATTAAAGAAATCTGCTCCTGTTGGTACTTCTGGGTTGCTATCTTCTTCAGATCCCAAGTCTGGGATATAGGAGGAAATAAATGTGTCACTCAGTTTATTAATCAGTTGGTATATGATAGGAAGACTATCCTGTATTATCTGGGTGAGAGCAAAGTAATCACAGGGCTACATAAATGGGAAGCAAAAAAACAGAAGAGGCATTCAGATGCCATGAAATAAAAGTCAGGAGAAATTCAACGTGTGAGAGGGATATGAGCCCTCGTTGATCGCTTTGGAGATGGAGAAAGGGGGCATGGGGAAAGAAATGCAGACAGTCTCCGGAAGCAGAGACAGATCCCAGGATAACAAGGAAGGAGATGGAATCTTCAGCCTTGCAACTACAGATGGTTCCCAACTTACAATGTTTCAACTGTATGATGGTGTGAAAGTGATACACCTTCAATAGAATAAATTCCATGAGGTATTCAATATTTTATTATAAAATGAGCTTTTTATTAGATGATTTTGCTCAACTGTAGGCCAATGTAAGTGTTCTGAGCACATTTAAGGTAGGCTGAGCTAAGCTATGATGTTCAGTAGGTTAGGTGTATAAATGCATTTTTGAGCTATGGATATTTTCAACTTACAATGGGGTTATAGAGATGTCTAACAGCTCTGTACATGTGACTGAATCTTGCCAATAACCTGAATGACGCTGGAAATCATTTCTCCCCTGGAGCCTCCAGGAAAAATATGTAGCCTTACCCAAACCTTGACTTTGTTCTTGTGAGACCCAGAGAAGGAACGTAGCTAAGCCATGCTGTGCCCATATGTCTAACCCATGAAAACTGCAAGATAATAGATGATTATGCAGACAGCTGGTAAAATTTTGGTAACTTTTAGTGGCATCAATAGAAAATAAAATAATGCTTTGTTTTTTTCTCTTTTCCAACAGAAGTCACAGAAACTATAAATCATCAGTGTGCATTTTCTTCCAGTAGACACTATCTTTGAATGACAGCATGGTTATGTAAACTGATAGGTTGCACATTTCTTCTTTTAGTAGTTTGTGTACATTGTTACATGGTCTTCTAACATTGCGCATTCCTGAGTTGACAACTAACACCTGTCTTATTGGACCCATAAGTGGCTTTATCACTTAACATGCTGCCCCATGGATTCATTTTTTTTTTTTCCTGGAAAGTCTGGACCTTTTGGGGAATATTTCAGGTTGACCTACTTTGGGGAATAATATAATATAATATAATACCTTTATATTATATATCATATTATAATATAAAGCCTGTAGAGTTATGCCTTATTTCTGGGAAGTTTTCTCAGCTTGATTTCTAAATATTTATGTATGCCATTATTTAATTTATTTTATTTGGACACACCTGTGTGTGTTGGATAAGAACCAAAAGTTTTATCAGGCAAGTGACAGAAAAGGAAATAGCAGGGTTTAATGATGTATGCAAAAATGAGCAAACTTTCTCTTAATTAAAATTCTAATTAAAATAAAAAAGACAATTTTTCATCTTTTATTTTGCTAAACTTTAACAAGCTCAAGCCAACGAGGATTTAGAGGAGACGGGCATTTAGGGAATCACATATAGACTTGTAAGGAACCTCAGTTAGTAAAACCTTTGGAGAAAATTTAGAAAAGCTTGGTAATTTAGTTTTTTATATCCTCTGACCTCGCAGTTATAATGCTAATATTGAGTACACAGATGACTATATGGACATGAAAGGATTTGTAGAAAAGTATTAAAATAGAGTTTCAAAAAAATAATGAGTTGGGCATAATAGTACCTGTCTGTAATTCCCAGTGCTTGGGAGACAAAAATGGGAGGAATGCTTGAGATCAGGAGTTTGAGACCAGCTTGGGCAACTTAGCTATCTCTATAAAAAATAAAAGCAAAAATTAAGCTCAGTCGTGCCTGTGTGTACTCCTAGCTACTTGAGAGGCTGAGGTGGGAGGTTCGCTTGATCCCAGGAGTTCAAAGCTGCAGTGAGCTGTGATCGCACTACTTCACTCCAGCCTGGGAGACAGAGCAAGGCCTTGTCTCTTAAATAAAGAAATAAATACACAAATAAGTAGATGCATTTCTTTTAAAAAAACAAACAGACCAAAGAACAATAAAACATTTGAACGAAATACTGAAATACTTTATTTCCACCAAGAGAAGATTGCTCACTTACAGTAGTGCATATAAGTACAGAGAGATACAATAGAAATTCAAATGAATGGAATAGATTTATATTATTTCATATAAAATATCTCAAAGTTATCTTTTCCATAAAAATGCACATTTTACATACACAATGTAGAAGAATGTATAATCGGCCTCTATTTCTATAAAGTGACAAAAAAACCTACAAAAGCGCTATCTTTTCACATCCAAAATATTTCTCAACATTCACATGTGACAACAAATGTTTTTCAATGATTATATTATTGGCATTGTTCTATTTATTTGGTGACTATTCTGAGTAAGGGGTAAAATTCCATCTGGTGTGTCTGTGTGTATCCATTTAAAAATGATTTGTACTTATCTACAGAGTGCCTAGATTTTCTCAAAGCACTATCCACAGAGATATTTCTCTATTTATGTTATAAACACAATATAATCATTGACAAGGGAAAATATATGTTCGTGTTTGCAAAATTACATGGTCAATTGTAAAGCATTAGCAGCATTAAAATTCATCAAGAGATGAGGAGTGGAGACTTGGTAGACAATAGTCTAAAACGATATATTTTTGGTAAACAAGTCTGTATTTGGTAATATTTTCTTCTAATTCAGTTTAAATACATAATCCTGTTTTGTCTTGAAACCACTGGTTGTCTATTTGATGTTATATACCCTTGAAACACTCACAAACTTTATAAATGACTAAGTGCCTAAAATCGAAACAACACTGACATCGGGAGTTCAAGACCAGCCTAACCAACATGGAGAAACCCCTTCTGTACTAAAAATACAAAATTAGCCTGGCGTGGTGGCACACGCCTGTAATCCCAGCTACTTGGGAGGCTGAGGCAGGAGAATCACTTGAACCCGGGAGGCGGAGGTTGCAGTGAGCCGAGATAGTGCCAATGCACTCCAGCCTGGGTAACAAGAGCAAAACTCCGTCTCAAAGAAAAAGAAATCGAAACAACAGAAACTTTGGAATTTGACAGACCTCCATTTGCTAATTCTATGTTAGTGTGTGTGTGTGTGTGTGTGTGTGTGTGTGTGTGTGTGTGTAATACTGGAAAAGCCATTTAAGTTTTTAAAATCCATTTCTTACCTTCAAAATGGAGTAAGGTATCTGTCATGGGTTACAATGTGTCCCTCAAAAATTCCTATGTTGAATTTCTAAATCCCCCCAGTACCTTAGTATGTGACTGTGGAGACACAGTCTTTAAAGAGGTGATTAAGGTAAAATTAGGTCATGTGGATGTGAGTCTTGATCAAGTAGGACTGGTGTCCTTATAAGAAGAGGAGATGAAGACACAGACACACACAGGAACGACCATGTGAAGACACAGGGAGAAGAAGGCATCTCCAAGCCAAGGAGAGAGGCCTCAGGAGGAACCAGTCCTGCCCACACCTCGATCTTGGACGCCTAGGCTTCTGTTATGAAGACTAAACAGCTAGCATTAAGCTCAAGTTTTCTTGTTATTTATGATGAGCTGAATTTTATGAAAGTGAAGTGTTATGAACACATGGCGAACTTTTCACGTTAGGTTACTTTCGTTTTATTCATTGACATTCTGAAAACTAGGATTACTAAGATTACTCATAGCATAATTATCTTCATAAAACTAAATGTGGTAGTTTTTAGAAAGCTATCATTTTTACTTTTACTCTTTCACAAATTATTGAGCCAGAGAAAAGTCCTTATCTCTCTAGAGATGACATTGGACGTTTATATGCTTCTCACACGTACATTCCATAGGCTATACTTAATGTTCATTTTGTGGTGTTTCTCAAGAGACCAGCAAGACAGAACAACCAATAAAATCCCTAAAAAGAAAAATCGGAGTTCAAATGCATGCAATTTCACCTCCTCTGCTTTAGCTATTTGATGTAAATATTTTCAGTTTTCAGTCCCCTTTATTCTTGAATCAAGAATCGTGGAGTAGTTTAGAAATTGTGTGAGTTTAAACATTGACTATAATTTCTACTTTTTATAAAATGGGAGTAAAATCAGCCTTCTCTATCCATGCGTCCCATATCTAAAAATTCTGCCAACTGCTGATGGAAAACATTATGGGAAAAAATTTAAAAAGTTAAAACATAACAATATAACAATAAAAATCCAGAAAATACAGTGAAATGGCTATTTACATAGCATTTACACTGTATTAGGTATTATAAGTAATCAGAGATGATTTAAAGAATACAAGAGGATATGCATAGGTTATAGGCAAAAAGATATTTATCTGAGGGACTGGAGCATCTGAGGGTTTTGGTATCCTCAGGAAGTCCTGGAGAAAATCACCTGCAGATACCGAGAGAGGACTGTACAAGTTTGAGGAAATATGTAGTTGTCTCAGAGACACTTTTATGCTGTTTCTAATGAGACCCCAATTGTTATATGTTTCCCACTGGAACGTGTTGATGTCAACCTCTGCCATTCCAATAGGACTTCCAATAGGTCTCCGATTCTCGTTTATCTTGTGGGTTATCATAAGACCCTCTGTTATTGCAAAATTCAGTCTTTCTACTGTGTAGATAACCTTTTTATTTTATTTATTTATTTACTTGTTTTTATTATTATTACTATTATTGACACAGAGTCTTGCTCTGTCGCCCAGGCTGGCGTGCAGTGGTGTGATCCCGGCTCACTGCCATCTCCATCTCCCGGGTTTAAACGATTCTCCTGCCTCAGCCTCCCGAGCAGCTTCGACTTCAGGCACCCGCCACCATGCCCGGCTAATTGTCTTCTGTGTAGAGAATCTTAAAAGCTAAAGTTTTGCTGGACAAGGAAACGTAGGGCAATAATGAAGTATTTAAACTCCTACATAAAACAGAATTGAAGTTTCAAGTGCAGAGGAAACGCAGTATGTTTGTAAACTAAAAGTATTCGGTAAAAAAGAATTGTGATACTTCCCAATGCAGACTGTTTTTGTTTAGTTTTTAAAAATCAAATTCTACTGTGATAATGCACACAAAACACATCAGAATTTTGGATAATATACATTTAAGTTTAGTGATTGTTTTTAATTATTCTTAACACAAAACCTAATTCACTTTATTACACTTTTTAAAATATTCTAAGTGTCCTTTCTCTTGCACCTGGTTTGGTTAACATCTTTTTCCTGGCTCCAGAGAAGCAAATCTTCCCTTTCTTTTACAATCCAATCTTATAGATCTTCATCCTTCATGTTCTGCAAAAACAATGGAGCCAATACCTGTGGTTTGCCTCACCTGGGTTAAATCTATCTCAACTCTTGCTTTTAATCTTGTCATGGCCTCCCAAAACTCCAACCAGGCTGCCCACTTCCTCCATAAAACTTTTTTCTACCACCTTCTGCTGAAAACGTCTTTGTTCCTTTACTGATTTTTTTTAACACATAGTATACACATTTGTGTATTTTCTGGTACTATCTGTTATTGTAATTATTTAGCATATATTTTCTACAGGGCTTTATCTGCTGATATCAAAACATCACTGACCAGCAAACAGTTTATATTCTCTTCCTGAAACACCAGTGGGTGGTTGATCTTGTTGTTGCTGTTTTATTGAACCCGTGATCACTTTTTTTCAGTGATCATCTATACTCATGAATAGGCTGAGAAAAAGTAGTGATAGATTATGCCGTTTGGCTAATAATGCCCCCCAAAAAAGGGTTCCTTAACTTTCCTAATTAAAATCAAGTTCATAATATTAGCAGAAAAGCTAGCTTTTCAAGTTTTCTGTCTGCAAGTTGCTCAGTGGTGGCTAAGAAAATGCAGCAAAGTATACAGCACAAACATTTTCAGAAGAGGTTCAGAAATGAGCCTTCCTCAATCACTGAAGGAATGTAAGTATTTCAGCTTTGAACAATACTTTGCTCAGGAGGCAGTAGAGGACTGTGACTTATTAGTTTACCTGAAGTGGGCATGCCTGTTTTATCAAGCTGTTACATTTTATGGGAAACTGGATTCTGCCTGTGCACTACAGGGGCCCAATGTTTTTCATTTGATATTATGTGCATGCTTTTTTTTTCTCTAGTATTTAAAGAACATCACAGTGATTCTTATCCCAACCATGTGAATAATAGCTAGCTCTTTAATCTAACTTGATTTTTAAGCCACCTCATTATAGTTTTAGCACACTGCGTGTGTGAAAAAATAGTTGCTAAAGAATCCTGAATTCATATATGGAAAGAGAAAGTACTGCTTTCTTAGACGGAAAGTATCTACCAGCTAATGTGATAATAATAATATAATTCCTCCATCAAGCTCTTTCAAAACAGTGTCCCCTATATAAATTGTCTTGGTAAGGTTTGCAAATCTGTAAAGAAAAAAAAAGTGACAAAATACAATACATTTATTTTGAATTAAAAATATTTTGGTTATCTGAATTTTAACATATCCTGGTATATATTTAGATCCCCAGGAAACAGAATCCACTCTAGATGAAGATTAGCTATAATTGGAAGATGCCCCAAGCCTGCTAATATATAGTTTACCTTTTGTGCATACAAAACAATGAAACACTAATGAGTCAAAATTTATGCTTTGATGAAAAGCACTGAGTTCCTTCATCTTAATCCTTTTGGTAAAACAAAACTGGACAGGATGTGTTTAAATAACAACATCGATAGTGACTATATTGACTATCGGCTATGCCAGGCATGGAGCGGGTTAAACAGCCTAAGCATTGTGAATTAGTAACATCATTCACAGAATTGTTGTTACCTTATGCCTTAAACACAGGTAGATAGTTTGTTACATTTAGTAGGCATGACCACACAGTACATGCATTCAAACTCTGTTACTTGAATTCAATTTAAATGCTTTTCTCTGTAAAATAAGACAGACAATAAATAAAATTAAGTGGGGGGAGGGGACAGAGAGAGGAAAAAAATGGACTCCAGTTAATTGAGTATCTCAGACCATGGCATAAATTAAACTTGCACAACTATAACCAATTATTTCAAGTCTTTTTCAATTTTTGTAACATATAACTGCCTTAATATGTTATAATATAGGGTAGAAATCACATTTAAAAAAGAATACTGCCTGTAAGAAGCAATCATATAATAGCAATAATTTTCTATACTTACAAATAGCTCTTTTCTGCCAAATCATGAAAACTTGCTTAAGTGATAGCTGAAAATTCAGACAATATGAGTGTTTGCAGGCATTAATGGGATGCAGCTTCTCTCTTGACACATTGCAAATATAAATTCAATCTTGTTCTTTTTCCTGTTGAATTACGTAGTAGATAGAGTAGTAGATGCTCAATAGAACTGAGGCTTGGAAACCTTCTGAAATTTCAATATGCTTTTCTTTGAACCAGAAAGACGTAAAAAGAAGCCAGAATATAAAGTGCTTTCCTGTATGCTTGCGCTAAATTGTCAGGAATTAGCACTCATTTTCCATCCTTAAAGCCCTCCACGAAGGCTCTCCTACTCCTTATCTCAGGGAGGAGCAGTTAATGAAGCAGATGCTAAGAAAAAAAAATGATGAGCCTTCTTTGGGGCTACGAGGAACAATGGACCTGAAAAAGGTTGGGTTTCTGGTTTCCCCGGTCCTCTCATCTCTTTTTTGCCACATTCAAGTACTCACCTATGATAACGACACCTCTCACACTTCGTCCAGTCTGAGTTTCTCCATTTCCAGCTCTGATTGCTATTTGCACACTTCCAGTGGTTTGCTTGAGCGAAGAAGGAGTACTGCAAGTGAGTGTCTGCTTTCCAGATGGAAAACCTGTCTACAAAAGGATCGTTAAACTCTCAAGGCATGGAGACGTATGGAGAGATGAAAATGGAAAATTCTGTGCTACATTTGATGTCTTAAGCATTTTTAAAAGTTATTTTAGTGGACAAGAAAACTGTGGTGCATCTATACAATGGAAACAAATCAGAAATAAAAAAGGAAGAAACTATTGATATATGCAAAAACTTGGATGCATCTTAAAGGGATTATACTCTCAAGGTGTGGAGAAATGAAGTCCAATCAATATTCACCATCCCACTGGTCCCACTGAGGAAGAGCCCCTTGTTTCTCTCCTGACAGCTTAAAAAAGAAAGTTTCACCTTGTTACCTTCCTAGCTTGGGAAAAAATCAATTACCAAGCCAAATGCCAGAAACGTCATTGCAACCTAGTTGCCTATCACGTATGTAAAAAGTCTATGAAGCAGAAACATGATTTGCTTCCAACACTGAAAGAAAGGAGAAATAATCAGTCCGCTCTTAGCCACAGTTTTTCTTTCTGCACTTTCAGTTACCAACAGCACAGTACTATCAAATATTTTGAGAGAAAGAGAGAAACCACACTTACATGACTTTTATTACAGTATTTTGTTATAATTATTCTATGGTATTACATATTATTGTTGTTACTCTTCTAATGTGCCTAATTAATCCATTAAACTTTATCGTAGGTGTGTATTCACAGATAAAACATACTATATATAGGGTTCAGTACTACCTGTGGTCTCAGCCATCTGCTGGGGGTCTTGGAACGTATACCCCATGGATAATCAGTGACTACTGTAGCATGGGTATGCTAGAAATGCATCAACATTTGTCTCCACAATGATTTTTTTTTTGGCAAGTGAACAGTTATGTCATCAAATGAAATAATTCACCTTGTCTGGGTGAGTCATTTGGAAGATATAGACATAGATACTGATATAGACAAATCTTATTTCTAGGTGATTCATTTGGGTTACGAATCCTCACAGATACCAAATAGACATTCTAAAATTTCCTCCAAGCCAGGCATGGAGGCTCATGCCTGTAATACCAGCACTTTAGGAGGCCAAGATTGGAGGATAGTTTAAGCCCAGGGGTTCAAGAACAGCCTGAGCAACATAGTGGGACTCCATCTCCACAAAATAAAAATAAAAAAAATTAGTCAGGTGTGTTGGCACATGCCTGTAGTCTCAGCTACTTGGGAGTCCAAGGTAGGATCACTTAAGCCTGGGAGGCAGAGTTTGCAATGAGCCATGATCACGCCACTGCACTTCACAGCGAGACCGTCTCAAATAAAATAAAATGAATAATAAAATGAGTGAATGAATGAATGAATTAAATAAAATTTCTCCACTGTGACCAACAAGTTTTTGGAGGCTGTCTTTGGTACCATTCTACAGCTCTACCCAATGACAAAATGTGTTATCCATCTATATCAATACATTTCTAGATAAAACTCTATATATGAAAGTTTTGCACCGTGACATTTGTAATGCCAACAAAAATCTTACTTCGGCTCTATGCAGCCTACTTACTACTAAGATGACAAATAGTAATTTGTTCTTGCATTTTTAATACCAGATGTTTTGCTGTTTCTTCAAATAAAAATATGCAATCCATTGTAATGTTTGCAAACAGTGAAACAGCTTGCTTATGGCCTGAAAGCATGAAAGTGTTAAAATGGTATATTAGCTCTTTTCTCAAACATGGCCTATATCCTAGAATTTTATATGCCTGTAGTTCTCTGTGCAAGCAAACTAGAAACCAGAGCTAGGGGTTATCTCCTGTGCAATTAATGAGTATTGTTTCAGATGGCAGCTCTCCTTAAAAACAGGATTCTATGTCCAGAAAATAGGATTTGAAGCTCTCTTGGTGAAATGTAAAATTAATCACACTCCATCATTTATATGAATGCCATGAGGCTATTCTCTTTTTTCTTCTGGGATGAGGCAAAAGCATACCTAATAAGTTCAAAACATTGTTTTTCTAATATGTGGTTTGTTATAATGACACAGTTTCTCATGTGTAAATATGCATCTTTAGAATCTTAATAATGCTAAAATCACCCGACGCTTTGTTATTACTGCTGTAATAAATAGAAAATACATTTAAAAAAACAATTTTATTTGCTTGTTTTGATGTATTTATACGATTTGTATGAGTTTGTCAGAGCTACCACAACCATATACCACAGACTGGGCAGCTTAAACAATAGAAATATATTTCTCATAGTCCTGGAGGCTGGAAGTATGAGATCAAGGTGTCAGAGCATTGGTTCCTCCTGAGGCCTCTCTCCTTGGCTTGTAGACACTCTCTTCTCCTTGTGTCCTCACGTGTTTGTCCCTCTGTGAGTGTCTGTGTCCTAATGGCCTCTTCTTAAAAGGAAACCAGTCTTATTGGATTGGGGTCCACTTTAGTGATTTCTTTGTAACATAATTATCTCTAAAGGTCCTGTCTCCAAACACAGTCACATTCTGAGGTAAAGGCAGGTTAGAGACCTCAGGTTATAATTTTGGGGCCATATAATTGAGCCCATGACACTACTTCAGTGGAGAGATGTGTCGCTTGTCCCTTCTCACCTCAGCATCCATCAGTAAATTGCCTTGTTCCTCTACAGAGCACCTGAGCCACCCTAGCCCAACCAGAGCACTTCCAGGATGTATGCCTCTGTGATGGGAGACAGACGCAAACTCTTCGGAGATTAGATCTCCTCCTCTAACATAAATCAGCTCTTCAGTTGGAAAGAATAAGCAGCTAATAAGATTGATGGTTAAGAATGATGGCATAGAATAGTATGTCTCAAGTTCTAATATGCATAGAGATCACCTGCAGATCTTATTGCAAGGCACACTCTGATGAGGCAGCTCTGGGCTGGTTCTGCATTTTCAACAAGCTCTCTGGTGAGGCTGATCAAGCTGGTCCAAGGTCTGCACCTGGCATAGCACAAAAACACAGCTACATATCCTCTGTATTGGGCTTTTTGGAGGTTTGAAGATACTCCGACCAGCAAACTCTCCCCACTTCCCCAAAGGTTCTAGTTTAATTGGTTTTGCAGCAGGATGCAGAACTGCAACTATCAAGGGTAATGGGTTCAGCCCAAGGGCTACCACTTCTGTGGAGCCTCAGCAAGTTACTCAACTTTTATTGCCTAACATTTGTCTTCTGTGACATGGAGTGACTACCAAAAATGCCCACCTCCAGCCAGGCACAGTGGCTCACACATGTAATGCCAGCAATTTGGGACGATTGCTTGAGGCCAGGATTCGAGACCAGCGTGGGCAACATAGAGAGACCCTGTCTCTACCGTAATTAAAAAAAATTAGCCAGGTGTGTTGGTACATGCCTATAGTCCCAGTCCCAGCTACTCGGGAGGCTGAGGTGGAAGGGTTGCTTGAGCCCAGGAGTTCTAGGCTGCAGTGAGCCATGATTGCACCAAAGCACTCCAACCTGGACAACAGAGTGAGACTCCATCTCCTAAAAAAATACCCACCTCAAAGCTCTAACACAAATTATTTGCCATAATATTTGCAGTTTTTAAAAAATTCCTGATATATACTGAGCCACTTATAACTATTTGCTTAAGTATTCCTCAAGAGTTTTTATTTCTTGCTATTGTTATCATATTTCTTCTAACAGCAAAATGATCTTAATAATATTTATAATAAAATCTAAGTCATGGGTTAGAACCTCGAGTATGCTTATAAGAAATACATTATATAATGCCCCATAATAAGATCTACAGTACCTATACGATGACTTATATTGAAATTGAATACAAGAAATCATTTAAATATCTATTTTATCATTTTTTGCACAAGACATTTTTTAGACTATATATAACATGAATAATTGAATGGGGCCCGTTCTTCAGTTTACAGTTCAAAACATATGACTTTTTGCAAATTTTTTATCTTTACAGTGGTGCAAAGTCCACACACATTCAGTAGAAATGACACTTCAAGTCAAGTTCCCATACAATCATTCTGTTTTTTACTTTCAGGACAGGATTCAATAAATTACAGGAGATATTCAACACTTTAGTATAAAGTAGGCTTTGTGTTAGATGATTTGCCTAACAGTAGGCCAATGTAAGTGTTCTGAGCACATTTAAGGTAGGCAGGGCTGAGCTATGATGTTTGGTAGGTTAGATGTATTCAATGTATCCTCAGATTACAATATTTTTAGCTTACAATGTGTTTATGGGGATGCAAGCTCATCGTAATCTAAAGAGCATTTGCATACACTTTCAGAAACCTAATATACACACTTGATACACACAAATAACTAATTAATAATGAGCAAAAATAGGCCGATGTTTTAATATAAGTAAATAAGATGCTACAATATTGAAAATTCTATGCTATGTATAGTGTCTGAAGCATTCCTTAGTTATTTTGGTGGTTGGGCAAACTTTGATGCACTCATACCATGGGATCTACTTAGCAAAAAAAAAAAACAAAAAAAAACTACTGATACATACAACAACTTGGATGCATCTCCAACGATGTGATAAAAACCAATCTTGCAAAGTTACATCTTGTGCAATTCCATTTACATAACATTTTTGAAATGAAAGAAGTATAGAAATGAGTAAAAGATTGATAGTTGCCTGGGGTTAAGGCGAGTTCATGGTAGAAGGGAAATAGGTGTGATTATAAAAGATCAATATAAGAGATGCTTGTGAGGATGGCATTTGACATGGTTTGGCTCTGTGTCTCCACCCAAATCTCAAGTTGAATGGTAATTCCCAGTGTTGGGTGAGGGACCTGATGGGAAGTGATTGGATCATGGGGGTGGATATCCCCTTGCTGTTCTGGTGACCGTGAGTGAGTTATCACGAGATCTGGTTGTTTAAAAGTGTGTGGCACTTCCCCTTATGCTCTCTCTCTCCTACTGACATTTGAAGATATGCTCATTTCCCCTTCGCCTTCCGCCATGATTGTAAATTTACTGAGGCCTCCCAGCCATGCTTTCTGTATAGCCTGCAGAACTGCCAGGCAATTAAACATATGTTCTTCATAAATTAATCAGTCTCAGGTAGTTCTTTATGGCAGTGTAAGAATGGACTAATACAGAATTGTTCTGTATCATGACCATCTCAAGAATACTACCCTGGTGGTGACATTATGCTTTAGTTTTGCAAGATGTTACCATTGGGGGAAATTGGTCAGTGGAATCTGTATGATATTTTACAACTGCCCTGGAATCTCCAGCTATTGCAAAAGTCAAAAAAATGTTTAATTTTAAAAAGTTTCAAAAATGCAATAAATTGACCACAAGGAAAAGTTCAACTAAAGTTAATGCAAATAGAGGAAAATATTCATTTTCTCTCAACGTTGCAAAACAATGTCTTTTCTGAGGAGGCGTTTTCTTGACTTTAAATGTTTACCAGCGAGACCTTGGCCTGGTTCCTGTCTCTTAAATAATACACTGCAATTCACAAATAGAGACCAAATATTGTTATCTTCAGGTTACATTTAATCTGTTTTTCCACCTAAGCCTTTTCTTATTATTTAGCTGGTGAGCTACTCAATTGTAACTCATTTCTCCATTTCTAACTCAATTATTTGTACACCTGCAAAGATTTGCTTTGTCATAAAGGAGAGAAATGCAGGTTAGAGTTCACCCTCTAAGTAGAAAATCAGTCTACTGAAGGATCTTTAAACTCTCAAGACAGGATATGGAGAGATGAAGTCCCATTTTAATTGTTCCAATGATGTTTGTTTTGGTGGCAATGAAATATTAACTGTAGAAGTGTGTTAAAGGAAAAGTGGAACTAATTTTGCAATAAGGCACAAATGTCAAACATGTATTTAAACTCTACTTTTTAATTCACTCTGACAGTCTCCAAATTAAAATTTATTTTTAATATTATGTTTCTAAATATTTGTCTTCTTTCAGATTTTCCAACACTCATGATTCCTGTGGGTGTTTCGTTGTACATGCAGCTGCGTTTGATTCTGCTACGAATAAAACAATAATGTGATATTTTATTGGTACAGTTTATCTCTTGTGCTTTCTGTAATACAATATCCACAATGGTACATTTAGTTTCCTTTAGGTCCCTTTAAGACTATAGCATCCTGCATTTTTGCTTTATATGCAGGTACAAAGTTAATCTTTTGTTTAGGTTATTCTTTGAAATTTTAATCTGTTTCTCTGGAATTTCATGGGATGTTTTAAAGCAATATAGTTCAGTAAAAAAAAATTGAGGCACTTATTTTTCTGGAAATAAAATTTAATTTAATAAGAAGGAAACTCAGCATGGTGGCTGATGCCTGTAATCCCGGCACTTTGGGAAAAGCCAGGGTGGGTGGATTTCTTGAGCCCAGGAATTTGAGTCTAGCCTGAGCAACATGATGAAACCCTGTCTCTATAAAAAATACAACATTAGCCGGGCGTGGTGGTACGCACCTGTAGTCCCTGCTATTAGGGGGGCTGAGGCATAAGGATCACTTGAACATGGGAAGTTGAGGCTGCAATGAGCCATGATCGTACCACTGCACTCCAGCCTGGGCAACAGAGGGAGATCCTGTCTCAAAAAAAAAAAAAAAAAAAAGAGTGAAGATATTTGATTTTATCATGTGATAATATTAAAATCATAGGTCAGAACAGAATGTTGGAAACATTCGCCTACTCAAAAGAGTTGTTTCCTCTCTGCCATTTTAAACTGATATAAAATTGGATAACATCACAACACCTCAGTTCCTTCTAGAAATATCATGATTCCTTATATAAGTGACTGATTTTCTTAATGACTGTGTAATAGTAGTTAATGAGATTTTTTTTTAACCTCTCTCTTCTTTGAGTAAACAAGACTGCAAAGGATAGATTCATTGTTTGTGGATTAGACATAGACTATCAAAGAGAGAGTAAGCCAGGAAGGCAGTGCCGGTCTTAGGACTTGGAGAGAGGGTAGAGAGAAATAAACCAGTTGGATGCGGGTAGGTAGCTACAGTGTTCACCTAACGTAATGTTCATCTACTCCTATAACACACCATAAATAAATCTAAGATACGGTAATTACAAAAATTCCAGCTTGACAAATATCGGGGCATAATACAAATTAAAGAAAAATGAGTAACTATTGCATAGAGAAATGTGTGGAGTCCTACTTAGGGAAAAGGAGTCAGTCTGGTGAGACTGAGGGAAAGCAAAAACAGAAAGCAGATAAGCTGTAAGTCTGTCTTTCTTCATAGTACAGGACCCATAGCCCCCCTGGGCAAAAAACTCACAATCTTCTTGTGCCCAGCTATCGCCAGACACCTGCAAGTTAGCTCACTGCAACCGTGCCATTATGAGCACTGCATGTACCACTCTTCAGCATAAACATCATTCCATAAAATTCCCAGCAAGCCTTTGTTTCCTGACAGTCAGCTTCTCTCTGGCTGGTCTGCCCATTTCACCCTTGCAATGCATTTTCACACTTTCTCTAATAAATCTGCCTTTCTTTACCTGCCATTATCTTGGTAAATTACTTTACTACCCTTGCAATACCAGCCCCCGAGGGCTGGTGCTCATCCATGACAAAATATAGAAAATCTAACATGATGCATAGAATTATATGGTGACAGAGACTGAATACATCAAACATGTCAATTAATGTGCAAGGAACTTATCTCATTTACTGAGAGACAGAAAAAAAAAATCAATGGGCCCATACAGAAGCACCCCAAGATAGGCCATCCACAAGAAATATACCTAAAACAAGGTTATTCAGAAAGGCTAAAAAAAAGATGAAGAAATAAAAAAAATTGTTCTTCCAAAAAGACACATGCACTTGTATTTTCATCACGGCGTGATTCACCATAGCAAAGACATGGACTCAACCTAGATGCCCACCAACAGTGGATTGGATTTAAAAAAAACAAAAAAGTGGTACATATACACCATGGAATACTATGCAATACTAAAAAAGAGAAAAATAATGTTCTCTGAAGAAACATGGATGCAACTGGAGGCCATTATCCTGAGCAAATTAGTGCCGGAACAGAAAACCAAATACCACATGTTCTAATCCTTAAGTAGAAACTAAGCATTAAATTATGAAGGAGATAAAGATGAGAACAATAGGCACTGGGGACTACTAAAGGGGAGAGCATAGAGGGGTACAAGGGCTGATAAATTAACTTTTGGGTACTATGCTCCCTACCTGGGTGACAGAATTATTTGTACCCCAAACCTCAATGTCACACAATATACCCAAGTAACAAACTTGTACGTGCACCTCTGGAACCTAAAATAAAAGTTGAAATAAAAAATAAAAGAGAAGAAAAGCAATAGCAAACCTTCTTCCCTAGATGTGACAACTAAAAATATCTCATAGAACTAAAAAGTAGGGCCGGGCGCGGTGGCTCACGCCTGTAATCCCAGCACTTCGGGAGGCGGAGGCAGGTGGATCACCTGAGGTCAGAAGTTTAAGACCAGCCTGGTCAACAGGGCGAAACCCCCTCTCTATTAAAAATACAAAAATTAGCCGGGCGTGGTGGCGTGTGCTTGTAATCCCAGCTACTCGGTAAGCTGAGGCAGGAGAATACTTTGAACGCAGGAGGTGGAGGTTGCAGTGAGCCGAGATCGTGCCATTGCACTCCCGCCTGGGCAACAAAAGTGAAACTCCGTCTCAAAAAAAGAACTAAAAAGTAGAAGAAAGGATACTACAAGCTGGGAACGTTAGGGGTAAGAGAAGATAGGGAGAAATTTGTTGAAGGACACAAAATTATAGTTACATAGGAGGAATAAGTTGTACTGTTCTATACCACTGTAGGATGACTATAGATATTGAATGTTCACAACACAAAGAAATGATACATGTTTGAGCTGATGGATACACGAATGACCCTGATGAGATCACTGTATGTTGTATATATCAGAACTTCACTGTGCCATGTGAATATATACAATTATTATATGTAAATTAAAAATTAAATTTAAACATTTTTTAAATGTCTCTAGACTTTTCTACATGTCCCCTGCAGGAAGCTAAGCCACCTCAGGGTGAAATGACTGCCCTGTGGGATTATGCCTGAGCAGAAATATTCCTACACAAGCATTTGTTTATTTATTTAGAGACAGGGTCTCACTCTGTCACCCAGGCTGGAGTACAGTGGCATGAACTCGGCTCACTGCAGCCTCTGCCTCCCGGGTTCAAGGGATCCTCCTGCCACAGCCTCCTGAGTAGCTGGGACTACAGGTGCGTGCCACCATGCCCAGCTAATTTTTTTGTATTTTTTGTACAGACGAGGTCTCACCATTTTGCCCAGGCTGGTCTCAAACTCCTGGGCTCAAGCCATCCACCCGCCTTGGCCTACCAAAGTTCTGGGGTTACAGGCATGAGCCACCACTTCCGGCCTGTTTTTCCTTCCTATTTAATATGTCAAGGTGGTTCTTGGTAGACTTTCCTTGACTCGTTTAGGGGGCTTTGCCTAGCCACTCTTTGCTTATCATAGGCCTAATGTAGTTATCTGAGGACCATCTATTTACCGCATTTCTACATTTTATTCAATGCCTTACTGTATATTATATTAACTTTTATTATTGTATTTAAAATATGTTAAATATGTTAATGTTTTTATTTGTATAAATGTATAGGGCACAAGCTCAATTTTGTTACATGGATATGTTGCATAGTTGTGAAGTCAGGGCTTCCAGTTTACCCCTCACCTGAATAGTGTACATTGTACCCATTATGTAATTTTTTGCCCTCCCACCTCTCCCAGCCTCTCACCCTTCCAAGTGTCCAGTGTCTATTTTTCCACTCTCTTTGTCCATTGTACACATTACTTAGCTGCCACTTGTGAGAAAACGCAGTAATTGTCTTTCTGTTTCCGAGTCGTTTTCCTTAGGATATTTAGCCATGATAAAATATTTTAAAAATAAGACTACGGTATTAGTCTGTTCTCACACTGCTAATAAAGACATGCCCCAAATGGGTAATTTATAAAGGAAAGAGGTTTAATGGACTCGCAGTTCCACATGACTGGGGAGGCCTCACAATCATGGCAGAAGGCAAATAAGGAGCTAAGTTATGTCTTTCATGGTGGTAGGCAAGAGAATGTGTGCGGGGGATCTTCCCTTTCTAAAATCATCAGATCTCATGAGATTTATTCACTATCAAGAGAACAACATGGGAAAGACCTGCCCCCATGATTCAATTACCTCCCACCATGTCCCTCCCATGACACATGGAAATTATGGGAGCTACAATTCAAGATGAAATTTGGGTCGGGATATAGCCAAACTATATTAACTACTCATTAGTCAATTTGGCCAATCAATGAAGAAGAAAATACCATTTTAAAAAACATGTAATAACTAGTTGATATATGCTTCACTGTCATGTTAACTTCAAACTTGTATACCTTAAATTATTTGAATTAAGTAAGGTTGTTAATTAAATATTACCTAAAATGACTCTATCATGATAATTTACTTTGCTTGAGAAAATATCAATAATATCAGATGTAGTATCTGTGGTAATCCATCATTCTCTGATTCTCTATGTGATTTTTCTCCACTCATTTACCTTCTGAGTGACAAATGTGTGAAACCCACAGTCAAAAGGAGATCCCTTCAGCTTGATAGTAAAGTGTGACTTACAGGGTTCATTTTACTTAAGAACTCACTTTAAAATTTTTTGAAAGGAGATTTTCTGCTCACATGTCAAAGGCTATTCCTAATGAAGGCATATAATCTCCACCAAATAATAATTGAAATCTATAAGTCATCCCTTTCATCGTGCTTTTTATTCTTTAGATTTTCATTAATTTGATGGTAAGCTGTAATTTTCAGATTCCCTTCATGCTAAAAGTATACCCTGCTTATATAATTAATTATGTTTTTATTCTTCCATCAGCTTCATGAATAGGAAGTCATCCATGGGTGTCCTACTTCCACGTTGTTCCCATAGATCCTTTTGTCTGTTATAAAAATAGAGATAAATACCAGTGTCAAAAACGCAAGGAAAAAAAAGTAGCTGTTTACTTGTAGAAATGTTTTCTTTGCATTGCTGTGAAAACTAGTTATAGGTCAAGTGAAAAACTACCATGTTATAAATTAGTCTTCCAATCTGTCTTTGAAGTACAAACAATCTGTGAAATTTCTATTGGGGCAAGTCAACTTTATCACAAACACCCACGTATCCCAAAATTATAGAGCATTGTCTTGTTTTCTTCCCTTTCTTCCAGTTTATTACATGGATATGATCACCTAATTGCTGATATATGATTGCTCTGAACCAAGAACATAAGTTGTTTGAAAAGTTGGCTATGTTAATATGTTTTGATTATTTTTGTTCAGTTGTTAACTAGTCAAATTACCCATATTAGTCAAATGGTAGGTTTCAAATCTGATATATTAGAAAACATGCATTCCTTAAGAAAAAATCGATTATACAGAAGGTCACGAAAGTATGCATACCTTATGTAAAATCAGTTATCTAGAAGGTCACTTTCATAGGAGCTATACATATTTTTTAAAGGTATTGCTAGAAATATCAGATATGAATTGAATTTATACCTTTCCAACTAGTTGGCTTGGTGTCAAAAAAATCTTTAGAAATCTTTATAATAGTCATGGAAGCAAAAAAAAAAAAAAGAGACCTATTTGCATTTTGCTTTTTTACTTTTTTGGGTCTTTTTTTTTATACTTTAAGTTCTAGGGTACATGTGCACAATGTGCAGGTTTGTTACATAGGTATACATGCGCCATGTTGGTGTGCTGCACCCATTAACTCGTCATTTACATTAGGTTTATCTCCTAATGCTATCCCTCCCCCCTCCCCCCAACCCTCGACAGGCCCCGGTGTGTGATGTTCCCCTTCCTGTGTCCAAGTGTTCCCATTGTTCAATTCCCACCTATAAGTGAGAACATGCGGTGTTTGGTTTTCTGTCCTTGCAATAGTTTGCTGAGAATGATGGTTTCCAGCTTCATCCATGTGCCTACAAAGGACATGAACTCATCCTTTTTTATGGCTGCATAGTATTCCATGGTGTATATGTGCCACATTTTCTTAATCCAGTCTATCATTGATGGACATTTGGGTTGGTTCCAAGTCTTTGCTGTTGTGAATAGTGCCACAAAAAACATACGTGTGCATGTGTCTTTATAGCAGCATGATTTATAATCCTTTGGGTATATACCCAGTAATGGGACAGCTGGGTCAAACAGTATTTCTATTTCTAGATCCTTGAGGAATTGCCACACTGTCTTCCACAATGGTTGAACTAGTTTACTGTCCCACCAACAGTGTAAAAGCGTTCCTATTTCTCCACATCCTCTCCAGCAACTTTCTTTCATTTATATCAGTAGTCCAACTTATTGTAGGACCTGGGAACACACATTTATATTTCTTTTCAAACTGAAGGCAATAACTATTTAGATTATTACATACTGCTTCCAGAAGAAATCTCACATAAAACTATAATTTCAGTTTATACCATTTTCAACCACATACTTCATTAGCACTAGACTATAGACTGGCATTTGCAAAAACAAAAGCTAGTTATAAAAAAAACACATTATTGGGGGTTTTTACATGAACATTGCGGTTATTAAGAACCACAGAAAAATGATCCCAAATACAATCTCCCTCAAACTGATAAAAATTTATCTTATTTTAAAATACCAGTGGAGAATCATTTTGAAAACTATTTTCATAGATTATCACACACTCTTGTAAATGCTTTCTTGTATATTATCTAGAATTCTAGCCAGGCGTTATGGCTCATATCTAAAAATCCCAGCACTTTCAGAGGTTGAGGTGGGAGGATTGCTTGAGCCCAGGAGTTCAAAACCAGACTGGGAAACATAGTGAGACCCCCATCTCTATCAAAATAAATAAATAAATAAATAGCTGGGTGTGGTGGCCTGTGCCTCTTCATAGGTAGTATGTTTTAAAAAAATGGTGGGATAGGTGCAGTGACTCATGCCTGTAGTTCCAGCTACTCTGGAGGCTAAGGTGAGAGGATCATTTCAGCCCAGGAAATCGACGCAGTAGTGGGCCGTGTTTGCACCACTGCACTCCAGCCTGGGTGACAGAGTGAGACCCTGCCTCAAAAAAAAAATAATAATAATAAATAAAAAAAAAATTCTACCCAAGAACTGGAGCCCAGCTGGTATCATTTATAAATTATTGAATACTGATTGTGCTTTATGTACTTGGGATGTATATCATATATTCCCCGCATCTTTCTCAAGACTTCCCAGTGATCAGATGTCTGAAAGTCTATTTTTTGACACTTTTATTTTCTTCGTCTTTTCTGAAACATGATCCAGGATAAAGTGGGTTTTGGATCAAAATGAAGTTGATTCACTGACTGGATTCATCACATATACACTGAATGGAATTGTGCAAATTACCTAGCTTATCATAATTTGGACATGTGTAAAATTATGCCAATTACACAAATCTTATTTTCTTCCTTTCAAACAAATAGATTGCCCTTAATTCATCCATGATTGTTGTGGGAATTAGAAATACTAATTGAAAAGCACCCACTAAGGTGATTGACTTCATCCAGCCACTGATACAGGAGAAAGTGTAACTATTACTGTGAAGGCCGTATGATTTTCTCTACAATTCCATTTACCCATCAAAGTTAAGGGCACAGTGGATCACAACTATAATCCCAGCAATTTGAGGCTGAGGCAGGAGGATTGCTTGTAGCCAGGAGTTCAAAACCAGCCTGAGCAACATAGCAAAACCCTGTCTCTACAGAAAATTTAAAAATTAGCCAGGTGTGGTGGTGTGTGTCTGTAGTCCCAGCTACTTGGGAGGGTGAGGCAGGAGAATTGCTCCAGCCCAAGAGTTTGAGGCTGTAGTGAGCTATGATCTCTTAATTTTTTTTAAATTAAAGAATAATTCCAAATCCAATAATGAATTGAATGATACTATCTGCTCTATGCATTTATATATTTTATCCTACGTTGTAGTGACAGATATGATAACCATAAATATTTCTGGTGTAAGAAAATACACTTGTCTCAATTTTCTTAAAATTTGACCTAAAAATCTCTGCACTTGCTTCTAAGGACTAAAGTTGAGACTGATATTTTTAAAGCATGAAAAGAGCAAACAAAATGCATATATAAGATACAATATATGCAGAAAGAAAGAAGAAGAAACATTATTCTCTGTGTTAGTATTATTTTAGGAGGAAATTCTACGCAGATATGTATTTGTAATCCAAGGTTTTGTGACAACAAAGGAATTGTACTTATACAATGTACAATTTGCACAAGTACAAATGGGCAATTATACAACTTCCACAATTCCATTCAGCCTACATACGACAACCAGCGGAATTATTGAGAATGATAAATGTTATAGTGTGGAGTGAAAACTCTGAAGATTATGTGCCTAAAACATTACCTGGTTTAATGTTTACAAACGTTTATAAATGCTGTAAATATTTATGCATTTTATAAATGTTTATAAATTACAGTTTATAAAGCTAAAAGCTTATGGCAGAAATAAAATTTGGGTATCTGCTGTGAGTTGAACTGTGTGATTTCCTTCTTTTTCTTCCTGCAAAAATGATCACCACCAAAACTGTACATGTAAATTTCCTGCCACTTAGTCATTAGAATTTGTTTGCGCTTCGTTTTAGTATCTGAAATATAATCCATAGTGTCACAAAATATGTCAGATTTCAGGCTCCCTCCTCCTTGTTTACTATTTTAATTATAAAATAAAATTTGGGAAATTGGCTTATATATATGGTCTAATGAACAATTTGGACTGTGAGTAGACTTTTTGACTTTTAAGTTTACCTTGCACTTTATCTGTTAGAAGTTCTGGAATATGCTGTGAGAATCTTCTTCCAGGGTTGAGTCCCAAAGTTCCTTGATAGATGCAGGTTCTCAATGAAGCCAGCATTAAGCTACTTCCAGGGAACTGCCTGGTCCACCTCCCAAGCTGCTTGGTTCTAACGTGGTCAAGGCCATGTGTGCCACGACCTGTACCTGCACAATGATTTCTCACACCTGCCTCTCTGATCACCTAAGTCAGCTCTACTTTCATATCTCACACAAGTGTATTTAACTCAAAGAACATAAGTTTGACATCTGGCTGGAAGATTAGATGGAAAAATGTAAGTTTAGTTTTCTGAGCTCTTCAGTCAGGAAGAAAAGTAGAAGGCTTTTCTACTTTTCTACACGATAAACTTTAAGAGATGAATACATGTTCAAAGAGGCAACTCACATTTCCAACCACACGTGGGGGTAACTTTTGCACCCCATGTTAACATGTTCATCACTGAAGAAGCCAGAAGAAGTTCATGGAAAGTCGCAGTAGCTCAGACTAGGGTTTCATGCCATGCTCACGTGACAGCTGCTATTCAGACACATTCTCTGTCTCTTCTCAGAAACAAATCAATACAAATGCTGGTGCCTGGCATATAGCTATGGTGGTAGCAAATGTCTGTGTTTCATTTTCCTTCCCATTTATTTATTCTCTATCTCAATAAGCAACAATCCCTACAAGCAATTGACTTTCACATAACAGTGTCAGCAATACATCTTTACCACCTTGGCCACATTCAGCCTCTGTGTGTCCACAGAGGTCTTAGAGGTATTTTTGCTACCTCACTGTCTCACAATTCTTTACCCTGGTCTGCTACATTGATGCTGATGGGGCCTGAAGCTTAGGATGTAGCAATATTTGAGATACATGTGTAAGACTGATGCTTGCCACAGAATGGATGATAAAGCCTGTCTTTTTTTGCTAAGGCTGCCATATCAAAATACCACAGACTGGGTAGATTTTAAAAAACCAGAAATTTGCTTTTTCACAGTTCTGGAGGCTGAAAACCCAAGACGAAGGTATGGGCAGCACTGGTTCCTCTTAAGGCCTCTCTCCTGGACTTGTAGACACTGTCTTCTCCCTGTGTTCTCACATGGTTGCCCTCTGTATTTGTTTGTGTTCTAATCTCCTCTTTTTATAAGGACACCAATCCTATTGGATTAGGGCCCACCCTAATTATCTCATTTAAGCTTAATTATCTCTTTAAAGGCCCTATCTTTAAATACAGTCCCCTTGGGGATAAGTGTTTCAACATATGAATTTTAGGGAGACCCAAATCAGCCCATAACAGTGCAAGAAAGATCAGTATTCTAAACCCTCTGTGAAATATGTAGTTATCCACAACCATACAGCATACACTTCATTTCACCTGTAAGTAAAAATGAATGGAAATACATATTCATACTCTATGTGCTGGCTAGCTTTGCATGGTGCCCAGTGGGAGAAAGGCTCACCACTTGTATTGTTCACAGAACAAACACCTCTTTCTTGTAAGCTTTGTCACCCAGCAGATTAACTGTTGCGTGAAGTGCACATAACAGGTCATGTTCTGATAGGATTAGTGGAAAGCCCCACTAGGATCATTATAATGAAATCTCTCATGTATGAAGGAAAGACCATGCCATTTTTGCAAAGTCTTCTTATTTTGGATAAGAGCTGCCTGCTTTTTACAGGGTCCTGGTAGAAATTGTTCAGCTTACCATCAGAGTCGTGTGGTCATGCATCTTGAGGCACACATCAGAAATTACGTGATTTCCATCCCAATGAACAAGTGAGCCCACGGACACTTCATTATGAAGGGGAAGTAGCTGTATAAAGTAGGGATCAGACAGGTCTAGTAGATATAAGTTGTTTGAGCAAAATATTCATGTTTACCAATGTGCCTTCTCTTGCATGTGGCCCCTTCATGGCCCTATGGAAAGAGACCAGTGATCATGTGTTTCTCCAGAGAAAAAGAACTAATAGGAGATAGATAATTGGACAGATGAATACATGAATAGCTAGCTAGATGAACGGATGGATGGGTGACAGATGGATGAATAGATGGATAGATGGATGGATGAATGATAGATGAATGAATGAATGGATGGAAAAATGGATGAATAAATAAGCCAACAGATAGATGATGAATAGATAGATAGATAGCAAGATAGATAAGATGTATTATACTAAGTGTCCCACATGGTTATAGAGGCTTAGAAGTCCCACAACCTGCTGACTGCAAACTGAGAACCAGAAAAGCCTGTAATGTAATTCAGTCGAAGTCTGAAGACTTGAGAACCAGGGGTGATGATGTCTGAGGTCAGGAGAAAATGGATATTCTAGCTTAAAAATAGAGACTGAATTCACCCTTCTTCTGCCGCTTTGTTCTAGCTGGACACTCAACAAACTGGATGATGCCTACTGACACTGGTGAGGGTGGATCTTCTTTACCCAGTGTATCTGTCTGCTCTCACGCTGCTATAAGGACATACCCAAGATTTTATTTAATTAAACCAAAAAGTTTAATTAACTCACAGTTCCACATGACTGGCGAGGCCTCACAATCATGGTGGAAGGCAAACAAGGAGCAAAGTCATGTCTTACGTGGCAGCAGAAAAAAGAGCATGTGTAGGGGAATGCCCTTTTATAAAACCATCAGATCTCATGAGACTTATTCACTATCACAAGAACAGCATGGGAAAGACCCACCCCTCGTGATTCAATTACCTCCCACCAGGTCCCTCTCACAACACTTGGGAACTATGGGAGCTACAATTCAAGATGAGATTTGGGTGGGAACACAGTGAAACCATATCACCCAGTCTACTGATTCTAACGCTAATCTCTTCCAGAAACACTCTCAGAGACACACTCACAAATAATGTTTTACCAGCTCTCTGGGCATCCCTTAGGTCAGTCAAGCTGACACATACAATTAACCATCACATCAGGTAACAAAGAAAAGACATATTCGCACCAGGTTTAGATAGAAAGACATGCTCTACAAGTCATGCTTAAATTATTAGGATGATTTTATTGCTCCAAAACAATGAGACATGAGGAGAGAAAATGATGCTTATTACAGTGTAGCAACAGAATGGATACTCAGAAGCACAACTGGGTGTTTATTGGACCAAATAAAAACCCAACTGCAACCAGAGAAAAGTCACAGATCACATACACAGAAGTAATAATTAGACTAATACCTAGGTTCCAATCAGTAACACGAAGAGGTCATACAATCCAAATGATGAGGGATTGTCTATCAATATAAAATTCAGAAATGGTAAAGAATATGCTTCAAAACGATGTACCAATAAGTGCATGTTTAAACAAACAAGTCCCAGGACAGTGTATCCATCAAGTGGGAGAAATGAAAGAGAGTAAAATGAAAACAGTACAATATGTGTACTCAGAAAGAAGGAAAAACAGATAGATAGATAGATGATAGATAGATAGATAGATAGATAGATAGATAGATAGATAGATAACATAGGTAGACAAAGAGATACATAGATGGATGGATGGTTAGATAGATAGATAGATGATAGGTAGATAAATAGATAGATAGTTATAGATAGATAGATAGATAGATAGATAGATAGATAGATAGATAGATAACATAGGTAGACAAAGAGATACATAGATAGATGGATGGATAGATAGACAGACAGACAGACAGACAGACAGATAGATAGATAGATAGATATAGATAGATAGATGATAGATAGATAGGTAGATAAATAGATAGTTATAGATAGATAGATAGATAGATAGATAGATAGATAGATAGATGACAGATAGATAATCTATTACGGGGTACCAAAATGCAGAGTTCAAAAGTGGGTAAAATATATGCGTGAATGTAGTAAACTTAATATCCACAGTTTATGGTGTTCTGCGATATTGAAATCTATCTTCTAAAACATGTATGATTCAGAAACATCCTCTCCCATCCCCTTTATCTTTGCATTTATTGGTTCATTTGACCATCATTTTGTACACAGACCAATACTGGAGTTCCTGTCCTTGAAATGTCTTTCTGACAATTATGAATTAGGGTAGAACCTTTGGATAACCGTATGTTCCAGGTGCCTGGGCCAATTCTGGTATACACCTCTTGTTCCAGCATAAGAGTTATAGTTATTTCTCTCCCACAGGTGTTCTGGTATATATAATACATTATAAATTCATTCTGTAGAAAAACCAAAGGATTAACTTTTCTATTCCAAATAGTTAAAATCAAATCCCTTCACTTTATCTGGGACCCATTGAAAACTATTAGAGTTTCAGATAAAAACTGTTAGGCCGGCCAGGAACAGTGGCTCACGCCTGTAGTTCCAGCACTTTGGGAGGCCAAAGTGGGAGAATTGCTTGAGGCCAGGAGTTTGAGACCAGCTTGGACAACTGTATTAGTCCATTCTCATGCTGCTAATAAAGACATATCCAAGACTGGGTAATGTGTAAAGGAAAGAGGTTTGCTTAGCTCTCAGTTCCACATGGCTGAGGAGGCCTCAGGAAACACAATCATGGTGTAAGGGGAAGCAAACACGAACTTCTTCACATGGCGGCAGCAAAAAAAGCCCAGAGCAAAAGGGGGAAAAGCCCCTTATAAAACCATCAGATCTTGTGAGAACTCACTATCACAAGAAGAATATGAGGGTAACAGCACCTGTGATTAAATTACCTCCCACAGTGTCCCTCCCAGGACACGGGATTATGGAAACTACAATTCAAGATGAGATTTGGGTGGGGACACAGCCAAACCACATCAGCAACAAAGCAAGACCCCTTCTCTACAAACATACAAAAATTAGCTGGGTTGTGGTGGCGCACGTCTGTAGTCTGAGCTATTCAGGAGGAAGCGGAGGTGGAGGGATCACTGGATCCCAGGAGGCAGAGGTTGCAGTGAAGTGAGATCACACCACTGCACTCCAGCATGGGTGACAGAGCAAGATCCTCTCTCAAAAATTAAAAAAATTAAAACATCTACTAGGCAGACTACACTCCCTCTTAATGTTGCCTGTACATCATACACACACACACACACACACACACACACACACACACACACACACACACACATTTTATCTCCCACCAAAGACTCTCACCGTTCGCAGTACTGAATAAAGAAACAGACTATAAAGAAGAGGCCCTTCATCATTTGATTGTACTAATATAAGCCTATCTTTTGACCAAAAACTAGCTGTCATCCCCTAGACAAAAGATTCTTAGTTGTTTGCGTTGGACTGCAAACTATCTCCAAGTTCCATATGTCCTTTTCAGCGTAAGAAACTCATCATTATTTTCCCTTCACAAATTGAGATAATACATTCCAAATATTTAAAGGAAGGAAAGTGTTTTTAGTTTTTTTACCTTTTTTGTTACAGGGAAATTGAGTCAAAACAGGAGGCAGCAACGTGAAATGATTTGTCTGAAAGAGGGTGTAATAAAACATGCTGCATGAGTAACAGCAATAGCTGTGAAAGCTTGTCTGAGTAATTCTTGACAATTCCATACCACAAAGTCCAGCTCCTCTTTCTTTGCTGCAGAGCTTTTTAAAGTCAGACATGAATCAGAGGCCTAGAAGCAATGATACCAATTAGTGAAGTCCTGTGACATGTTTTATTATTCTGCTTGGAAAAGAAAAGGGACCCTGGAAATAGAAATTGGCGAGGGGAACATTCATCAGTGCTCAGCTAGTATTACTCACTGGATTATGCACATAATTTTCTTTGTAGGTTTTGCATAATAGCCTCATTTTGAGCAAAATTATGAACTGACCAGCAAAAATGTTAACCATCCAAAAAAAAAAAGAAAAAGAAAAAGAAAAAGAAAGCCGAACACGGTATTAACGGCAACAACTTGAATGAATTTCTGAGTTTGGGGTTGTAACCTTGTAGCTCTCAGACAACGTTGCTATTTGGCATAGGGTTTACCGTCTGGGATTAATTTATAATATATCAAAGCTGCATGAGTCTCTATTGATATATAGAACTGGAGTCCACGGTTTCTGCCCACTTGTACCAGACTCAATGTCCTTAGAAGAGCAATTTCTGTGTGCTTAAGTAACAGTATAGGAAAAGCCTTGATTTTTTTTCCTACTCAATATATTCTTATAATTAGACACTACCACAATTTATTTTTCCCCTCTAAAGTAATCGTTTTTTTTTTAAAGCTAGATAATAAAACCTGAATACAATTTGTGGTTGCGGAATCTTAAAAAGCAACACTCCCCCTTTTAAAATTACGCTTTAGTTTCATTTACAATAATGGGCTCTAAACACAGTAAACTCATTTCTAGAATGTTTGCCCATTTGTTGGAAATTTATTGGATAATATATTGCATTTCACAGGATACAAAGATAATTTTCCCTTTAACTCACAACTATTTATTCTCAGATCTCTATTTTGGTTTTACACAGATTTGTTTTCAGTTAAAAATTCATTCAGTTAAAGCAATAATGGCATCTTATTTTTAGCAGAAAGAATAACATTTATCCAAAAAATTTTATAAAATATAAAAATAACATTTATTTAATTGAGTGAAGAATCTTTTTTATATTTTAAGATATATCTTAAGTACCAAATTTCTTGGAATCTGAAAAATTCTGGTATTTGTACATTAAAATCACATTATGTAAAAATTTTATGTCTAACAAAACCACTTAATCACTCTTTCACATTAAATAACATATAGAAAGGTTTTTAATCTCACAAGTATGTGATAAAATAAAGGTGCCTATCCTGTAAATGAACTAAGATGAGTTATTTTGACTCCAAGGAAATTAGGTGCTTTCAAACAAATCTAATTATTTGTTGGAGATAAATGAACATGACACACACAAAAAAGTTCAATTTTCTGATCTCCCTTGTCATTTTCTGTCATGTGTTTAAGGAGAAGAGCTGATAGATGTCAAATTTTCTGGATGCTTGTAAGACTGAATATTACAGTGATATTTTTTAACCTCAAGTATTCTAGGAAATGAATTCAGGTCACAAAGATTCTATTGTATTTGCCATTTGTAGTAACGGAGGCCAATACTATATGTGAATTGAAATTCTGCTCATTTTGTTAACCAGCATAGGTAATAATAACAATTGCCTTTTATATATAATACAATAAATATAATTATTATGCAAATGTATAATTATATTATATAAATATATATTATACAATGACAAATAATATCATTATAATATAATAATATAAATATTGTATTATATAAGTATTTGTAATATAATATACATAATAATATAACAATATTATATACTTGCATATGATGATAATTATTATAGCAACAGCAAATATTTCTTGAGCATTTATCTTATACCAGTCTATTCAAAATACGCTATATGAATTTGCACTTTTAATCTTCACTACAAATGTATAAGGTGAAGGAAAGTATAGTTCCAATTTAAAGATAAGAAAACCTAGACACAGAGAGGTAGATAAACTGATGGAGATACAGACCTTTATCATGTACAGAGATTTGATATCATAATTGAATTCCTTTCCATGGTTAATAAATAGTTGCTATGTCATGATTTAAATCCATGAAAAATGCAAGTAATTATCATTTCCTCTTTGATCAAGAAGAAAATTCCTGCAGTTGAGTTGTTCAATCAGCAAACTGTATTGATTGAACTGCAGAAAGAATAGCACAGTCATGCTATTGTAATATTATCTTGCGGGTGTACCTTTTTCACTTGCATCTCACTTTATCATTAATTACCTAAAATGCAGCCACTGTAAGCATTCATTCCATTATGTTTCCCAACATAATGAATCAGAATGAATCAGAAGAATACCCACTTATGAGAACTGTGCAAAAAGAGAACAAAGATCACAAAACAATTTGATCTGTGTGGCTATTTGAAGACGTAGTGGTGCCATTTTTGTGAATGATGGCTTTCCCAACTTATTCCCTGATACACTTTTGGTTTAATAGTTTGACATAACCTATTTGTTTTAGCCATAACTTGGTACATGATTAAATATGAATTTTTAATTTGATAGTTGTGGTAGAAACTGTGTTAAGATATTGAAATACAATATCAATGCAAGTCAGAAACTGGGTCAACCTGCAATCTATTTCTTATCCTCTAATTGTACAGAGCATGCTCATTCCTTCTTCATGCTATTCCCAATCAACTACAGGCTATGTAAATGAAAGTCTTTCTTTCTAAGAAAGAAGCAAATACCCATTTTCATTGTTTAGGGGCTTCTGTGAACTGTTTCTAATTTGGACATTAGACTTTGCAACAGAGAAATGAAAGAAAAGAAATAATTTTGAAGATGAGTTGACCAAAAAGAGGAATAAAATAGATTCAAATTTTAGTTTGCTCTTAGGCAGGAACAACCAATCAGGAGATATGACTGTGCCCATATTATGCTGTAGCATAATATTGATGTAATTGTGGCTTGACTTTTAATGGTAAAATGGGACAGACACAAAAGTAATATGGCTATTAAGGGACTTGGATAGTAGGTGGGGCAAACAAGGGAAAAAAAATAGATTCAATGCAGGCCAGTGTCCATCTAGCCACTACAGCCAAGATGGCACACATGAGAAAGGAAATCCCAGCCGTTATACCAGGCATAGAAGTTGAGGCAGAAGAAAAAAACATGAATAAGAATCCCTGGAAGCTGCCCCCTGCTCCCAAGGCAGAAACAACAACAGCACAATGTGGTTGATTTCACAGTGAGAATGAATCAGTTTGCTGCTTGAGTTTTAACCATACTTCCTCATGTAGGTAGCTGACTAAAAATATGCTTGATTTTCTCCAAAACTAAACAAGTATTTGGCAAGGATGAATGGAAAGATAGATAGATTCAACAGATGGATAGATAGCTAGATAGACAGATGAGATAGGTAGATGACATCGGTGGATAGATAGATTGATAGACTAGATAGATTAGATAGATAGATGAGTTAGAGAGAGACAGGGAGAGAGAGAGAGATGAGGCAGATTAGACAGATGAGACAGAGAGACAGACAGGTAGGTAGATAGATGCATTGACAGATAGATGATAGATAAATAGATGGATGATAGATAGATAGATGGATGATAGATGGGTATATAGATGATAGATGATGGATGGATGATAGGTAGATAGATAGATAGATAGACAGATAGATAGATAGATAGATAGATACATAGATACATACATACATACATACATACATACATACATATGATGGATGAATGAATAGATAGAGAGCATAGATGGATGCACGGATACGCAGACAGATAGATGACCGGTAGATGATATATATGATTGATAGATATGATAGATGAATAAATAAATAGGATGGAGGGATATACAGTTTGATTTATATGTGTACTTATACATCATATAAAATGAATGTCTCCAATAAAGAATTATTTATCTTTTCATAGTTCATTTAACAAAAAAGCCAATGATTATGGTACAGGTTGAGAAGTCAGTTTGTGGCTAAAACAATCTAAATATTAATCTAATACCACTCAGGTGGTTTATCTCTGTGAAAAAGTCCTAACTCAATGAAGATGCAGAGAACCCATGGTCCAATGATCAACCATAGAGAAAGAGAGCTTTTATATTCAAATTAGATGGATAGATAGATAGACAGATAGACATACAGATAGTTATGGTGGCTTATGCCAGTAATCCCAGCACTTTGGGAGACCGAGACGGGCAGATCACCTGAGGTCAGGAGACCATCCTGGCCAACATGGTGAAATCCCGTCTCTACTAAAAATACAAAAATTAGCCAGGTGTGGTGGCAGGTGGGTGCCTGTAATCCCAGCTACTTGGGAGGCTGAGGCACGAGAATCGCTTGAACCCAAGGGGGAGGTTGCAGTGAGCCGAGATCGCGCCACTGCACTCCAGCCTGAGCGACAGAGTGAGATTCTGTCTCAAAAAAAAAAAAAAAAAAGAAAAAGCTACATACATGGATAGATAGAAAGATGATAGATTTTTAAATAAAATAAATAATGTAACGTAAAATTTGGCTTTTCATTAATCCATAAAACTGTTATGCCTTTTTTTAAAGACGGATATTTGCCAAAAACTTTCTACATATTGAGTTGTTTAATAAAAACTTTCATATTGTGATATGACATATGAAAAAGTAAGATAAATATTGATAACTCTTTATAGAGGGTCACCTGAGCTCCAGGTGCTGCTCAGCAGCTAAGGGAAAAACAAAACAATCATGATATGATGGGTGACCTCAACTGTCATAATCCAATGAGTATCAACACCAAAAACAAAGTGAGATACAAAAACATCCCCTATTCAAATAATTCCGATTATGAATCTGGAATCACTCTGTCCCAGATCTTAGGAAAATTATGTTTATATGTATCCTTCATCAGAGACGCTACAGATAGAACAATTTCATAACCTTCAGGTCAAACTTTTTTTTTTTAATGTTTTTCTCTATTTTTAATTCTTTAATTCATTTATCTCTGCTCTAATTTTTTTTATTATACTTTAAGTTTTAGGGTACATGTGCACATTGTGCAGGTTAGTTACATATGTATACATGTGCCATGCTGGTGTGCTGCACCCACTAACTTGTCATTTAGCATTAGGTATATCTCCCAATGCTATCCCTCCCCCCTCCCCCCAACCCACAACAGTCCCCAGAGCATGATATTCCCCTTCCTGTGTCCATGTGATCTCATTGTTCAATTCCCACCTATGAGTGAGAATATGCGGTGTTTGGTTTTTTGTTCTTGCGATAGTTTACTGAGAATGATGATTTCCAATTTCATCCATGTCCCTACAAAGGACATGAACTCATCATTTTTTATGGCTGCATAGTATTCCATGGTGTATATGTGCCACATTTTCTTAATCCAGTCTATCATTGTTGGACATTTGGGTTGGCTCCAAGTCTTTGCTATTGTGAATAATGCCACAATAAACATACGTGTGCATGTGTCTTTATAGCAGCATGATTTATAATCCTTTGGGTATATACCCAGTAATGGGATGGCTGGGTCAAATGGTATTTCCAGGTCCAGATCCCTGAGGAATCGCCACACTGACTTCCACAATGGTTGAACTAGTTTACAGTCCCACCAACAGTGTAAAAGTGTTCCTATTTCTCCACATCCTCTCCAGCACCTGTTGTTTCCTGACTTTTTAATGATTGCCATTCTAACTGATGTGAGATGGTATCTCATTGCGGTTTTGATTAGCATTTCTCTAATGGCCAGTGATGATAAGCATTTTTTCATGTGTTTTTTGGCTGCATAAATGTCTTCTTTTGAGAAGTGTCTGTTCATGTCCTTCGCCCACTTTTTGATGGAGTTGTTTGTTTTTTTCTTGTAAATTTGTTTGAGTTTATTGTAGATTCTGGATATTAGCCCTTTGTCAGATGAGTAGGTTGTGAAAATTTTCTCCCATTTTGTAGGTTGCCCGTTCACTCTGATGGTAGTTTCTTTTGCTGTGCAGAAGCTCTTTAGTTTAATTAGATCCCATTTGTCAATTTTGTCTTTTGTTGCCATTGCTTTTGATGTTTTAGACATGAAGTCCTTGCCCATGCCTATGTCCTGAATGGTAATGCCGAGGTTTTCTTCTAGGGTTTTTGTGGTTTTAGGTCTAACGTTTAAGTCTTTAATCCATCTTGAATTCATTTTTGTATAAGGTGTAAGGAAGGGATCCAGTTTCAGCTTTTTACATATGGCTAGCCAGTTTTCCCAGCACCATTTATTAAATAGGGAATCCTTTCCCCATTGCTTGTTTTTCTCAGGTTTGTCAAAGATCAGATAGTTGTAGATACGCGGCATTATTTCTGAGGGCTCTGTTCTGTTCCATTGATCTATATCTCTGTTTTGGTACCAGTACCATGCTGTTTTGGTGACTGTAGCCTTGTAGTATAGTTTGAAGTCAGGTAGTGTGATGCCTCCAGCTTTGTTCTTTTGGCTTAGGATTGACTTGGCGATGCGGGCTCTTTTTTGGTTCCATATGAACTTTAAAGTAGTTTTTTCCAATTCTGTGAAGAAAGTCATTGGTAGCTTGATGGGGATGGCATTGAATCTATAAATTACCTTGGGCAGTATGGCCATTTTCACTATATTGATTCTTCCTACCCATGAGCATGGAATGTTCTTCCATTTGTTTGTATCCTCTTTTATTTCCTTGAGCAGTGGTTTGTAGTTCTCCTTGAAGAGGTCCTTCACATCCCTTGTAAGTTGGATTCCTAGGTATTTTATTCTCTTTGAAGCAATTGTGAATGGGAGTTCACTCATGATTTGGCTCTCTGTTTGTCTGTTGTTGGTGTATAAGAATGCTTGTGATTTTTGTACATTGATTTTGTTTCCTGAGACTTTGCTGAAGTTGCTTATCAGCTTAAGGAGATTTTGGGCTGAGACAATGGGGTTTTCTAGATATACAATCATGTCGTCTGCAAACAGGGACAATTTGACTTCCTCTTTTCCTAATTGAATACCCTTTATTTCCTTCTCCTGCCTAACTGCCCTGGCCAGAACTTCCAACACTATGTTGAATAGGAGTGGTGAGAGAGGGCATCCCTGTCTTGTGCCAGTTTTCAAAGGGAATGCTTCCAGTTTTTGCTCATTCAGTATGATATTGGCTGTGGGTTTGCCATAGATAGCTCTTATTATTTTGAAATACGTCCCATCAATACCTAATTTATTGAGAGTTTTTAGCATGAAGGGTTGTTGAATTTTGTCAAAGGCTTTTTCTGCATCTATTGAGATAATCATGTGGTTTTTGTCTTTGGCTCTGTTTATATGCTGGATTACATTTATTGATTTGCGTATATTGAACCAGCCTTGCATCCCAGGGATGAAGCCCACTTGGTCATGGTGGATAAGCTTTTTGATGTGCTGCTGGATTCGTTTTGCCAGTATTTTATTGAGGATTTTTGCATCAATGTTCATCAAGGATATTGGTCTAAAATTCTCTTTTTTGGTTGTGTCTCTGCCCGGCTTTGGTATCAGAATGATGCTGGCCTCATAAAATGAGTTAGGGAGGATTCCCTCTTTTTCTATTGATTGGAATAGTTTCAGAAGGAATGGTACCAGCTCCTCCTTATACCTCTGGTAGAATTCGGCTGTGAATCCATCTGGTCCTGGACTCCTTTTGGTTGGTAAGCTATTGATTATTGCCACAATTTCAGATCCTGTTATTGGTCTATTCAGAGATTCAACTTCTTCCTGGTTTAGTCTTGGGAGAGTGTATGTGTCGAGGAATTTATCCATTTCTTCTAGATTTTCTAGTTTATTTGCGTAGAGGTGTTTGTAGTATTCTCTGATGGTAGTTTGTATTTCTGTGGGATCGGTGGTGATATCCCCTTTATCATTTTTTATTGCATCTATTTGATTCTTCTCTCTTTTTTTCTTTGTTAGTCTTGCTAGCAGTCTATCAATTTTGTTGATCCTTTCAAAAAACCAGCTCCTGGATTCATTAATTTTTTGAAGGGTTTTTTGTGTCTCTATTTCCTTCAGTTCTGCTCTGATTTTAGTTATTTCTTGCCTTCTGCTAGCTTTTGAATGTGTTTGCTCTTGCTTTTCTAGTTCTTTTAATTGTGATGTTAGGGTGTCAATTTTGGATCTTTCCTGCTTTCTCTTGTGGGCATTTAGTGCTATAAATTTCCCTCTACACACTGCTTTGAATGTGTCCCAGAGATTCTGGTATGTTGTGTCTTTGTTCTCATTGGTTTCAAAGAACATCTTTATTTTTGCCTTCATTTCATTATGTACCCAGTAGTCATTCAGGAGCAGGTTGTTCAGTTTCCATGTAGTTGAGCGGTTTTGAGTGAGATTCTTAATCCTGAGTTCTAGTTTGATTGCACTGTGGTCTGAGAGATAGTTTGTTATAATCTCTGTTCTTTTACATTTTCTGAGGAGAGCTTTACTTCCAAGTATGTGGTCAATTTTGGAATAGGTGTGGTGCGGTGCTGAAAAAAATGTATATTCTGTTGATCTGGGGTGGAGAGTTCTGTAGATGTCTATTAGGTCCACTTTGTGCAGAGCTGAGTTCAATTCCTGGGTATCCTTGTTGACTTTCTGTCTCGTTGATCTGTCTAATGTTGACAGTGGGGTGTTAAAGTCTCCCATTATTAATGTGTGGGAGTCTAAGTCTCTTTGTAGGTCACTCAGGACTTGCTTTATGAATCTGGGTGCTCCTGTATTGGGTGCATATATATTTAGGATAGTTAGCTCTTCTTGTTGAATTGATCCCTTTACCATTATGTAATGGCCTTCTTTGTCTCTTTTGATCTTTGTTGGTTTAAAGTCTGTTTTATCAGAGACTAGGATTGCAACCCCTGCCTTTTTTTGTTTTCCATTTGCTTGGTAGATCTTCCTCCATCCTTTTATTTTGAGCCTATGTGTGTCTCTTCATGTGAGATGGGTTTCCTGAATACAGCACACTGATGGGTCTTGACTCTTTATCCAATTTGCCAGTCTGTGTTTTTTAGTTGGAGCATTTAGTCCATTTACATTTAAAGTTAATATTGTTATGTGTGAATTTGATCCTGTCATTATGATGTTAGCTGGTTCTTTTGCTGGTTAGTTGATGCAGTTTCTTCCTAGTCTCGATGGTCTTTACATTTTGGCATGATTTTGCAGCGGCTGGTACCGGTTGTTACTTTCCATGTTTAGTGCTTCCTTCAGGAGCTCTTTTAGGGCAGGCCTGGTGGTGACAAAATCTGTCAGCATTTGCTTGTCTGTAAAGTATTTTATTTCTCCTTCGCTTATGAAGCTTAGTTTGGCTGGATATGAAATTCTGGGTTGAAAATTCTTTTCTTTAAGAATGTTGAATATTGGTCCCCACTCTCTTCTGGCTTGTAGGGTTTCTGCTGAGAGATCTGCTGTTAGTCTGATGGGCTTCCCTTTGAGGGTAACCCGACCTTTCTCTCTGGCTGCCCTTAACATTTTTTCCTTCATTTCAACTTTGGTGAATCTGACAATTATGTGTCTTGGAGTAGCTCTTCTCGAGGAGTATCTTTGTGGCGTTCTCTGTATTTCCTGAATCTGAACGTTGGCCTGCCTTGCTAGATTGGGGAAGTTCTCCTGGATAATATCCTGCAGAGTGTTTTCCAACTTGGTTCCATTCTCCCCATCACTTTCAGGTACACCAGTCAGACGTAGATTTGGTCTTTTCACATAGTCCCATATTTCTTGGAGGCTTTGCTCATTTCTTTTTATTCTTTTTTCTCTAAACTTCCCTTCTCGCTTCATTTCATTCATCTTCCCTTGCTGATACCCTTTCTTGCAGTTGATCGCATTGGCTCCTGAGGCTTCTGCATTCTTCACGTAGTTCTCGAGCCTTGGTTTTCAGCTCCATCAGCTCCTTTAAGCACTTCTCTGTATTGGTTATTCTAGTTATACATTCTTCTAAATTTTTTTCAAAGTTTTCAACTTCTTTGCCTTTGGTTTGAATGTCCTCCCGTAGCTCAGAGTAATTTGATCGTCTGAAGCCTTCTTCTCTCAGCTCGTCAAAGTCATTCTCCATCCAGCTTTGTTCCGTTGCTGGTGAGGAACTGTGTTCCTTTGGAGGAGGAGAGGCGCTCTGCTTTTTAGAGTTTCCAGTTTTTCTGTTCTGTTTTTTCCCCATCTTTGTGGTTTTATCTACTTTTGGTCTTTGATGATGGTGATGTACAGATGGGTTTTTGGTGTGGATGTCCTTTCTGTTAGTTTTCCTTCTAACAGACAGGACCCTCAGCTGCAGGTCTGTTGGAGTACCCTGCCGTGTGAGGTGTCAATGTGCCCCTGCTGGGGGGGTGCCTCCCAGTTAGGCTGCTCGGGGGTCAGGGACCCACTTGAGGAGGCAGTCTGCCCGTTCTCAGATCTCCAGCTGCGTGCTGGGAGAACCACTGCTCTCTTCAAAGCTGCCAGACAGGGACATTTAAGTCTGCAGAGGTTGCTGCTGTCTTTTTGTTTGTCTGTGCCCTGCCCCCAGAGGTGTAGCCTACAGAGGCAGGCAGGCCTCCTTGAGCTGTGGTGGGCTCCACCCAGTTGGAGCTTCCCGCCTGCTTTGTTTACCTCAGCAAGCCTGGGCAATGGCGGGCGCCCCTCCCCCAGCCTCGCTGCCGCCTTGCAGTTTGATCTCAGACTGCTGTGCCAGCAATCAGCGAGACTCCGTGGGCGTAGGACCCTCCGAGCCAGGTGCGGGATATTATCTCCTGGTGCGCCGTTTTTTAAGCCCGTCGGAAAAGCGCAGTGTTCGGGTGGGAATGACCCGATTTTCCAGGTGCGTCTGTCACCCCTTTCTTTGACTCGGAAAGGGAACTCCCTGACCCCTTGCGCTTCCCAAGTGAGGCAATGCCTCGCCCTGCTTCGGCTCGCGCACGGTGCGCTGCACCCACTGACCTGCGCCCACTGTCTGGCGCTCCCTAGTGAGATGAACCCGGTACCTCAGATGGAAATGCAGAAATCACCGTCTTCTGCGTCGCTCACGCTGGGAGCTGTAGACCGGAGCTGTTCCTATTCGGCCATCTTGGCTCCTCTCAGGTCAAACGTTTTTATTCACTGAAATAAGTGAAAAAACTTATTAGTGGCATTTTAATTTTAAATTTGTTTAATTTGCTCATAAATATAAATGAATTAACTCTAAGTAGTTACATAAAATATGAATGTGTATGATGACAGAAATTAAAATGAAGCACTTGTCAGAGTTTACAAGTCACAGAATTATACATAAATGAAATTGCCCTCTAGAGGTTTTTTGTTGTTCTTCACAAGTAGTAATGACTGCCTATCAGTAAGATGTTAAATTTATCTAATATAATACACAATTTTATTTATAATTAAAAATTTATTGTTTGTTTATCAGAGAAGTTCAAAATATAAGTTGTTTATTTTTTAAACTGGTTAAATTGTAGCCCCAGTGTGTTGTTTAAAGGTCTCTTTGAGCCATGGCCTTGCCTAGGGGAATATCACTTATCTTTCAAATCTGATTGAATTTTAAACTCTGTCTAGAAAGCTTTTAATTTTATATTTATATTTGGATAATGTTTCCACGATAGAAAGTATCGAAATAGATATATGCCTATACCTATAGTATAGTATAGATAGATAGATAGATAGATAGATGTAGTATATATATAGTAATTTGTATAGGAGCTATATAGTATGAATAATGTTATTTTTTCATATTTTAGTGAGAATTTGATATGCATATATAATATGCTTTTATCAATTTTTTAGATATGTACAAGGAAACTTGGAGAATTAAGGTGAAACAGAAATTATTGAGAGGTTTTTGTTTGTTTGTTTACAACATACCTGTTCAATATTTTGAAGTTTCTTTAGTATTTATTTCTTCATTGAAATAATTCTCCTCACATATTGCCATTAAAATAAAAGAATAAATGTCAATTTATTGATTCAACGAGTTTAATTCACATAATGTTAAAACTGATTTTAGGATTAATGACCATTTAAGAGCATATTTCCTTGAATTAGAAGTGAAAGTTATAATGCAATGTTTCTATATAACAGTTATTTAAAAAAAAACAAGTTAAAATTTTTAAATAGAATGACAGTAACTCTAAGTTGTTTCCCAAACTATGATAATACCTTTAGCAAAGCTAGAGGGGGACAAAAATAAATGTCTTTTACTGTTCTGCAAGACTAAAAGAAGAAATTAAAATATGATTTGTTATAAAATATTTATTCTACATAGATCCAATTCTCATCTCTTAATAGATTTTTGGTATTTTATACTTCCTATTAACAAAAGTAAAATTCTAGCTGCCCAAACAACTTATTCTGAGTGGTTTTCTTTTCATTAAACACACAAACATTATTTTATCCTTAAGAAACAAAGGACTTATTCAAAAATTTGTTAATGTAATAATTATACTTTAAATACTAATATGTATTACAGAAAAGAAGTAATTATTACATACTGGTAACTAACAACTTGGTCAATTAAATAAAATTTAATTATTGATAACTCTTATGTGTATTAACTATATTTATGTTGTATGAAGGAGGCACTATTACTAATTGTAATACAAATTAACACAGAAGAATATTTTTTCACAAAGCACCTTGTTGCCACGGAATAAAACACACATAAACACCATAATGTGGATGTACTGTGTTAAGAATTAATATGTTAACTCTTTTGATTGTGTTCTTAATGCTAAGTTTTTTGTCGAATTCTTAATTCACCATTTTGAACAGAAATTTGAATTAATAAGTGTACCAGTACTTGTTTTAGGAGTTATTTAGATTTTAATTTTTTTTCTTTTTTTAGGGGACAGGGTCTCACTCTGTCACCCAGGCTGGAGTGCAGTGGTGTAATCTCGGCTCACTGCAACCTCCGCTTCCCGGGTTGAAGCAATTCTCCTGCCTCAGCCTCCCGAGTAGCTGGGATTACAGGCATGTGCCACCATGCCTGGCTAATTATTATTATTATTATTATTTTTTTTAGTAGAGATGGGGTTTCTCCATGTTGGCCAGGCTGGTCTCGAACTCCTGACCTCAGGTGATCCACCCACCTCGGCCTCCCAAAGTGCTGGGATTACAAGCGTGAGCCACAGTGCCCAGCCTAGTTTTTAAATTCTGAACAAACAAAAATAACGATATTTTAGGGAATTCGAAACAGTAAGTATACCAGTATTTGTTATCAAAGTTATTTGGTTTTGGAAGTTGAACTGTAATTTGAATTAGTAAGTTAAACAGTGTTATTTTATATTAGATCCCACAGGTAAACTACTGTGATTTGAAAATTTGAAAAAGTGGATTACTGTTAGTTTGAATTTTAATTAATAATTGACAAAGTACCTATTACCAGAGATATTTGAGCATTGAAATTTGGTGTGAGATATGAGCTAATAAGTATATAAATGTCATTTGGAATTGGGGTTAATATATGTACCAGACCTTGCTACAGTCTTACTATGTGTTGTTAATTTTACTTCAGAATTCAAACAGTAAATATACTACTGTTATTTGGAAATAGGAATTGGATTCAACTTCAATTTAAATCAGTATGTATATCAGTGTGATTGAGAATTTGAGTCAGTAAGTGCACAATTGTGAGTTATCTGCTTTATTTGGATTATGAAATTTAAAAATAAATTTGAGCTAATAATTAACCAATGTTATTTCCATTTGGAACTAATAATAAGTGTGCTTACTGGAACTTATTTGTGTTATTGGGATTTGAAAATTTCAATTGGAAATTCCAGAGTGTTAATTTGAAATTTTAAATATATATTATAATTGAATAAATATATTAGTGTTATTTATCATTAATGAGAATAAGTACACCAGGATTTTGAATTGGGGTTATTGGACTTTGAGATATAAATTAAACTTTCAAGTGAAGGCATATGTGTTATTTAGAATTTTAAATAAAACATACATCAGGTAGTGCTTGCTATGAAGTTTATTTGGATTTTAAAATTGTCACTGGAATTGGAACTTATAAGTAAACCAATGGTATCTTGAATATGAGCAAATAACTGTATCAATGTATTTTGTTTTGTCTTTTAATCTTTCACTTTAGGGAATTTAGTTTGAATAAATAAAGATAGCATACTTATATATAACGTTAGCTAAGCAGTATTACATTTTCACAAGCATGTTTTATCAAAATCAATTATTTTGAATCTGATCTAATGTGTAAGCTAGTGTTATTTGGAATTTGGATACATAAGTGGAATAATGCTAGTTATTGGGGAAATGTACATATAGTGCAATTTTAATTGAAATTTGAGAGATAATTACACTAGTGTTATTTTTGCACTGAGTCTAAAAAGTTTACCTGTCCTTATTAATGGGTGTTTTTAGATTTGGGGATTTTAAGTGGATTTTGAGTTGTTAAGACTACCAGTGTTAGGCCAGGCGCAGTGGCTCACGCCTGTAATCCCAGCACTTTGGGAGGCCGAGGTGGGCGGATCACAAGGTCAGGAGATGGAGACCATCCTGGCTAACATGGTGAAACCCCGTCTCCACTAAAAATACAAAAAATTTAGCCAGGCATTGTGGCGGGCACCTGTAGTCCCAGCTACTCGGGAGGCTGAGGCAGGAGAATGGCGTCAACCTGGGAGGTGGAGCTTGCAGTGAGCCGAGATCGTGCCACTGCACTCCAGCCTGGGCGACAGAGCGAGACTCCAAAAAAAAAAAAAGACTACCAGTGTTATAAAAATTTCAACCACAAAGTGCATCAGTACCTGTTCAAAGACTTTAGGAATTTAGAATTTTACATGAAAATTTAACTAATAATTAGAATATATACAAATAAGTACATAAATGACATTCTAAATATGAGCTTTAATAAAATCAGCTCTGCTGCTATCCACATTTTAAATTTGAAATGTTTAATTGAAATTTGAGCTGGTAATTCTACAAGGAATATTTGGAATTAGAATAAGTTTACCATTTGTTAAAACACTGTTAGTTGGATTTTGAATAGTGAATTGAAACTCAAATTAATAAGACCTACAATTTCATGAAAAATTTGAGTCAATAATTATTCCATGCTTGTAATCAGAGTCATTTGAATATTGAAACTGGAATTGAAATATGAACTATATAAGCACACCAACGTTAACTAGAATTTTTTTTTTTTTTTATTTTTTTTTTGAGACGGAGTCTTGCTCAGTCGCCCAGGCTGGAGTGCAGTGGCGCAATCTTGGCTCACTGCAAGCTCCGCCTCCCGGGTTCATGCCATTCTCCTGCCTCAGCCTCCTAAGTAGCTGGGACTGCAGGCACCCACCACCACACCCGGCTAAATTTTTTGTATTTTTAGTAGAGATGGAGTTTCACTGTGTTAGCCAGGATGTTCTCAATCTCCTGACCTTGTGATCTGCCCGCCTCGGCCTCCCAAAGTGCTGGGATTACAGGCGTGAGCCACCAGGCCCGGCCTAGAATTTTAACCTAAAATTGCACCCATGCTTGTGGTCTGATTCATTTACACTTTGGATTTGAAATGAAATTACAATTAATCACTGCACCTGAGCTTGGTATCAAAGTTACTTGCTTATCAGCAAGAGACCTAATAAAGACATCAGTGTTACTTAAAATTTAAAGTAATAAGTACATCAAAGTATGCTATTAGTTTTATTTGCATTTTGGAATTTGAATTAGGATATAAGTTAATAAGTAATCAATCTCATTCAGAATTTGAACTTCTAGGAATGCTATGACTTATTAGAATGTGCATGTGTTTGCATGTGTTATTTAAAATTTGAACTAATAATGACATCTGTACTTGTTATGAAGATATTAAGTATATTCATGTCATTTGGAATTTTGACAGAAGGTCAGCAGCGGTTTTGAATTTTTACTGTGGTTGAATTTTGGTATATTAGTCAAAATTTAAACTCATAATTCCAATAGTATTGTTAGGAATTCCTATCAATAAGTGCATCAGATCTATTTGGGTTTGGAAGTTTAATTTGGAATTAAGATGACCTCGGGTGTTACTTGTAATTTGAAGGAATGTGCACACTAGTGATTGTTATAGGAGATATTAAATACTGGAAATGAAAATCAAGCATGAACATAGCTATACATCAGTATTTTGTTATTGTTGTTGTTTATGTTATACTTTTTTTTTTTTAACATAGTTATCCATTATGTTCCCTGGATTGACTTGGTACTCAACTATTCCCTGGAATGATTCAGTACTCCACTGTTTTCCCTGACTGATTGGTCATGTGGTCTTTTTCCTGGATTAACTCAGGCATTGACTATGTTCCCTGGATTGACTCAGCGCTCAACTCTTTCCCCTGGACTGACTTGGTGCTCAATTCTTTCCCCTGCACTGACTTGGTATGTGACTCTCTTCCTTGCCTGCATTGACTTGGTCATCAACTGTGTTCCCTAGATTGACTCAGTACTCCATGCTTTTCCCTGGACTGACTCGAAGGCTTTGTTCACTCAGCATATTTTTAATAGAATTACGTATATTCTGTGTATCAATAGTTTGTGCTTCTTCATTCTCAGTGTATGAAAACAGCAAAGTTTGTTTTTCCCTGGACTGACTCAGTAGTTAACTGTGTTCCCTACACTGATTCTTTTGCAACTGTGTTCCATGACGTGACTCAACTGTTTTCCCTGGACTGATTTAATCATCCACTGTTTTTCCTACACTAACTCAATAATCAACTGTGTTCTCTGGATTGACTTGGTACTTGACTGATTTCCCTGGAATGATTCAGTACTCAACTGTTTTCCCTGGATTGATTGGTCATCAACTTTTTTTTTCCTGGATTAACTCGGTCATTGACTGTGTCCCCAGGATTGAATCAGGGCTTGATTCTTTCCCCTGGACTGACTCAATGCTCAACACTTTTCCCTGAACGATTCGGTAGTAATTAACTATGTTCCCTGGATTAACTTCGTCATTGACCATGCTCCCTGGATTGACTTGGTACTCAACTCATTTCCCTAGACTGACTCAGCAATTAACTGTGTGCCCTAAAATGACTCAGACATTGACTGTGTTCCCTGGATTGACTTGGTACTCAACTGTTTCCCTGGGATGATTGGTCTTTGACTCTTTTTCCTGGAGTAACTTGACCATTGACTATGTTTCCTGGATTGACTTGGTACTCAACTCATTTCCCTGGACTGACTCAGTATTCAACTCATTTCCCTGGACTGACTCAGCAAATTAACTGTGTGCCCTGGAATGACTCGGTCATCAACTGGGTTCCCTGAATTGACTTGGTACTCAACTCATTTCAATGGACTGACTCCCTACTCAACTCATTTCCCTGGACTGACTCAGCAGTTAACCGTGTGCCAGGAAAAGACTAGGTGGTCACCTGTGTTCCCTGGACTGTTTGGTACTCGACTCTTTAACCTGGATTGACTCAGTCATGGACTGTGTTTCCCAGACCATGGGCATTGTGTCCCTGCCTGTCATTCCCCCTCATCACCTGTTTTCCTTGGAGTAACTCAGTCATTCACTATTTTCCATGCTGAGGGCATCTTCATGCCATCCTGTCATTAATGCTTTCCTGGACTGATTTGGTCATAGAGAAAATTTTTGCAATCTATCCACCTGACAAAGGGCTAATATCCAGAATCTACATGGAACTTAAACAAATTTACAAGAAAAAAACAAACAACCCCATCAAAAAGTGGGCGAACGATACGAACAGACACTTCTCAAAAGAAGACATTTATGTGGCCAACAAACCATTATCACTGATCATTAGAGAAATGCAAATCAAAACCACAATTAGATACCATCTCATGCCAGTTAGAATGGCGATCATTAATAAGTCAGGAAACAACAGATGCTGGAGAGGATGTGGAGAAATAGAAACGCTTTTATACTGTTGGTGGGAGTGTAAATTAGTTTAACCATTGTAGAAGACAGTGCGAATAGCATTAGGAGAAATACCTAATGTAGATGACGAGTTGATGGGTGCAGCAAACCACCATGGCACATGTATACCTATGCAACAAACCTGCACATTCTGCACACGTATCCCAGAACTTAAAGTATAACAAAAATAAATAAATAAATAAATAAATAAAAAGAAAAGTGTCTGTTTATGTCTTTGGCCACTTTTTAATGGGGTTGTTTTTTTCTTGTAAATGTATTAAAGTTCCTTATAGATACTGGATATTAGGCCGTTGTTAGATATGTAGTTTGTAAAATCTTTCTCCCATTCTGTAGTTTGTCTGTTGTTCACTCTGTTGTTAGTTTCTTTTGCTGTGCAGAAGCTCTTTAGTTTTTAGATTACATTTGTCAATTTTTGCTTTTGTTGCAGTTGTTTTTGGCATCTTCATCATGAAATCTTTGCTCATGCCCATGTCCTGAATGGTATTGCCTAGGTTGTGTTCCAGGGTTTTTATAGTTTTGGGTTTTACATTTAAGTCTATAATCCATTTTGAGTTAATTTTTGTATATAGTGTAAGGAAGATGTTTAGTTTCAATCTTCAGCATATGGCTATAAAGTTCTCCCAGTGCCATTGTTGAACAGGGAATCCTTTCCCTATTATGTGTTTTTGTCAGGATTGTCAGATAGATAGTAGATCTATCAGATAGTTGTAGATGTGTGGTCTTATTTCCATTGGTCTATGTGCCTGTTCTTGTACCAGTACCATGCTGTTTTGGTTACTGTAACATTGTAGTATAGTTCAAAGTCAGGTAACATGATGCCTCCAGCTTTCTTCTTTGTGTTTAGGATTGTCTTGGCTATTCGGGCTCTTTTGTGGTTCCATAAAGATTTTAAAATAGTTTTTTTCTACTTCTTGAGGAATGTCAGTGGTAGTTAATAGGAATAGCATTGAATATACATTGCTTTGGGAAGTATGGCCATTTTAACGATATTGATTCTTCCTATCCATGAGCATAGAATGTTTTTCCCATTTGTGTCCCCCAATTTCTTTGAGCAGTTGTTTGTGGTTCTCCTTGTAAAAGTTCTTTCACCACCCTAGTTAGCTGTATTCCTAGGTATTTTATTCTTTTTGTGGCAACTGTGAATGGGAGTTCATTCTTGATTTGCTTTTCAGCTTGACTGTTGTTGATGTATCGGAAAGGTAGTGATGTTTGCGCATTGCTTTTGTGTCCTGAGACTTTGCTGAAGTTGTTCATCAGCTTTAGAAGCTTTTGGGCTGAGACTATGGGGTTTTCTAGGTAAAGGCCATGTTGTCTGCAAATAGGGTTAGTTTGACTTCCTCTCTTCCTTTTTGGATGCCCTTTATTTATTTCTTTTGGCTGATTGCCCAGGCCAGGACTTCCAATACTACATTGAGTAGAAGTGGTGAGAGAGGGCATCCTTGTCTCGTACCGGTTTTCAGGGGGAATGCTTCCAGCTTTTGCCCATTCAGTATAATGTTGGCTGTAGGTTTGTCACATATGGCTCTTATTTTGATGTATGTTCCTTCAATATCTAGTTTGACAGTTTTTATCAAATTTTATCAAAAGCCTTTTCTACATCTATTGAGAAAATCATGTGATTTTTGTCTTTAGTCCTGTTTATGTGATGAATCACATTTATAGATTTGTGTATGTTGAACCAACCTTGCATCCCAGAGATAAAGCCTACTTGAATGTCTTGGATAAGCTTTTGATCGTGCTGTTGGATTTGGTTTGCAGGGTTTTGTTGAGGATTTTTGCATCGATGTTCATCAAGGATATTGACCTAAAGTTTTCTTTTTTTGTTGTATCTCTACTAGGTTTTGGCATCAGGATGATGCTGGCCTCATTGAATGAGTTAAGGAGTCCCTTCTCCTCAATTTTTTGGAATAGTTTCAGTAGGAATGGTACCAGCTCTTCTTTGTACCTCTGGCACAATTCAGCTGTGAATCTCTCTGGTTCTAGGCTTTTTTTTGTTGGTAGCCTATTTATTACTGTCTTAATTTCAGAGCTCGTTATTGGTCTGGATTATTGGATTCAATTTCTTCCTGCTTCAGTCTTGGAAGGGTGTATGTGTGTATGGGTCCAGGAATTTACCCATTTCTTCTAGATTTTCTAAGTTTATGTGCATAAAAGTGTTCATAATATTCTCTGGTGGTTGGTTGTATTTCTGTGGAGTCAGTGGTAATATCCCTCTAGTCATTTCTGATTGTGTTTACTTGAATCATCTCTCTTTTCTTCTTTATTAGTCTATCTAGTGATCTAATTTTTTTTTTTTTTTTTTTTTTGCAAAAAAACAGATCCTGGATTTGGCGATCTTTTAAATGATTTTTCTTATCTCAATCTCCTTCAGTTCAGCCCTGATATTTGGTTATTTCTTGTCTTCTGATATCTAAAGTATATCTCACTGTGTTTATCATATAGGATATGGAGGACTGTGAATAGTAGTTAATGATTTGATGTAAGCACTAAATTGCCATGGGCACATAAATAAGTCGAATTATGTATATTGTGAATGCCAACTATCCAAAACACAATATTCAAGATATTGTTCTGGAGAGAATGCTTTGCAGGATATTTGCCCACAAAACTAATAACACATATCCCCAGACTGTAGTGAACAGATCAATTGGAGATGAGGTACCATTGAGAACACACTTTTTCCACTGTATAAGTAGACTGTTCCTACTAGAGTAAATTTTAAGAGCTGGAAGTGCATTCCGATAAGTATCTGGAAGTTTTCTCATACTACTAAGCACCCAAGTTATTTCCCATTAATTTCCAGCTTTCTGGAATGAATCTGTAAACAACAGTTACTCTAAAAATAGATTTTTAAAGGACAGGAATAGTTTTGTCTTAATGTTGTTGCCCCCTGAAAAGCAAAGTGTTTATAGATAGATTGGTTTATTTAACATATTTTTAAAAACAAAGGAGCAATTACTCATGTCTTAAAAGGCAAATTATACATCAAGCTTATGACTGTTGTGATCTAAAACCTTATCAACATCGAACTTTCTTCTCATCCTAAGAATCCATAGTGCTTCCAAAACAGGAAATATCATTAACAAAATGAAAAATATTGAATATTTTTCTGCAGCAAATATAATGCTGTTAGAATATGGAAATTATTAAATGTGACTGAAAGCATCTGGAGTCAAATTTAAGTATAGAGAATCTATCCCCTCTCTGTCTTTATCCTCTGTGGTTTATTTTATTGCAATTGATTATCGTATTTATTTAATAACGTCTAATATGTGCCAAATACGGAGCAATACAACAGGAAACTTAAAGTAGATAAGACATGCTACCTGCCAAAAATGAGGTAATAATCTACCAGGTGCTTAAAAACATGGAGACATAAAATCCCGATAGAATGATTTCTTTACTTCACTCTGTATATGTAAACACTGCATAAGAGCACCAAGAAAAGGCTAAATGATTCTGACAAGGGCACTGGGAGAGAGAAAGTTAGGGAAGAAGAAAGACAAGATTATGACAGCGGAAAGCAAGTCAATTTTCTCCTTCAGATGGTTGCAATTATTTGCAAAATTAGATTTAGTCACTATCTGTGAAACTCAGCCATCGGAGATGTTTATATACTTCTTATATAGAAGCAATGGAATAAAAATACTGTGTCTATAAATAGGACTGTCTTATTTTCTGTAAAGTTTAATTTTGGACATGTTTAGGGTAGATTTCATTAGCATGCCTTTCTGCAATTTTATGTTGCTTCACCATATGATTACAACAGAGGTAAAAATAATATCTGGGGTTTGGGTAAGAAAAAGATTGGAGAAGACAAGAAATGATGACAATTATGCTGCATATTTCAATAACTCTGTGCCTATTACTTCTACTGACTTGGAAAATTGAGATTTTTTTAAATCCTCATTTTGCCCTTGGATTAAAATTGAGCAAAGTGTGAAAAAATACTCACGGTTTGCTTAGTTTACTTATTTTGAAAGAGTGAAAAGAGATCAATATAATTAAAAACAAAAATAATACCCAAAATCTCTTACTGACTATGTACTCTGTGCCCTGGATTTTAAAAAGGGTGACGTTTTGACCAGATGATTTTAATAACTAAGGCATGCACATTTTAAAGCTAAATGAGAGTGGTTAAATTCACCAAGTCCTGTGGCAATTAAATCATTCTGCCTGGTCAAAACTAATTTGGTGGTATTACAAGATCCATGTGTCTTGACACCTTTGGAAATCAGAAAGTAAAAACAAAGTTTTAAAAAGATTCTGTTGGGGACTACAAAATCTATTACCATTATTAGTTGTAAGAGGGGAAAAAATAAGAGAAAACCTCAGATGTACCACTTTCATTGCTGGATTCCCTGAATGGACGAAAACAATTTGCTTTGCATGGAATCAGGCTCTTTAAGGTGGTTTATTTACTTTTGGCACAAAATGCCTCATATAAGTTAATAGATTTGATAAATAATTACATTATCTAAAATATGTATATTTTGGGAAACTCCCAACTTTAACCATCAGCTAGAATATTAAATTTTGTTGAGCATAAACTTTTTCTAATGCCAAGGTTATTTCCAAAATACTGCCCATACCGATGAGATAAGGCACAATCACCAGTATCATTGTACTTGTTGGAGAAAGCAAGTGTATATAATGTAGAAATGAAGATTATAGGGACTATATAGTAACTAAAGAATTTGTTAAAGGCTTTAATGATCCAGGGTTTCTTTCTACCACAGGTGTTATTTTAACTCCTTATTTGGACAAAATGTAGCGAAGAGCAGGTATAGAGTTAGGCCTTAACAGGATAAGTACTTAGAAAGTAGAACAAAAGAGGAAAATCCAGGCAAAATGGAAAGATTAAAGCAAAGGTTCAGAGAATATTGTGTACAAGAGCTGTGCAAGAAATGAAACAAAAAATGAAAACAAGACCTCTTTCAAAGAGTTAGAGAGTTGGCAAGAGGGATATATATTTGAAAACATATACGAGCACCACTTTAGGAAGAAGCTTGGATCTCAGATTAAAGACTAAATGAAACAAGAAACTTTGAATTTATTCTTTGAATGAGTGAAGGACAGTGCAGACATTACAATACATATTTAATGAGAAGAGACACAATATATACATAGTATATATCCTGCCTTCTCTACTGAACGCAACATCTATTGTTTTTTTTCTTTCTGAGACATTTAAAACTTTTGCAAATATTTCAGACATGTATCAAATATTGAACATTTCAAGCATTACAAGTTTCACTCAACGTAGCCAGTTTCACCAAAATGAGACTTATGTATCTCCCAGGATGAATGCATTGGAAATTCTAAAGTCACTCAAATAACTTTTTGAAGGAATGTGTTTAGAATTTGGTTTTTATCCTTATTCTGCATTATGATACAGCAGGCATCAGTAAACTGCAGCCCGTGGTTAAAATCGGCCCACTGCCTGTTTTTGTAAATAAAGTTTTATTTTACCTCAGCTATGTCCACAGAATGCAGCTGCTCCATTCATTTTGAACTGCCCATGGCACTACAGAGGCAGAGTTGAGTGGTGCAACTGAGACTGTATGGCTTGTGAAGACAAAAAGATTTACTCTCTGTCCCTCCACAGAAAAAAAAATAAAAGTTTACAGACCTCTGTGATAGAAGCTACAAGGTGTACATTCAAAAATGTAATACATTTATCAGCAATGCAACCACTTTAGTGTGTCTACACTCATCTCATCTTTACATTTTAAAACAACTTTTTGTTCAATCAAGTTGCACACCAACACTCATTATTTCAAAAAATACTCATTATTCAAAAAAATTAAAGGAGTGAATAAATTCACAACCAACATAAGAATATTTTTGTGTCATTAGCACTTCTTATACAAATATCATCATATAGTGCACCTTATTCGAAGCTCTAGTCACTGAAAAACGTTAATATCCATTTTAGTAGTGAGCTGGATACATGAATGAGCTATTCTAACAACCCAAAAATCACTCTCAGGAATCTGAGTGTGGTTACTCTAAAATCACTTGAAAAGGAAAATTAAAGCAATTAAAAAACATTTGAGTGATACGCTTTCTCTTAAAAAGCACTTTCCCCTCATGGAAGAGGGTGAGTTGTCACTAAAAGTCTCCCGTAAGGTTTGTCAGATAAAACATCAAGCATTACTGGCAAGTGAGCCCAGATAATTCTGGTTAGAGATTAAAGGGCATCCCATATCACCTCTCATGTCACCTGTTTTCTTTTTTTTCTTTTATCTATGCGTCTATTAAGAATGATATTTTTCTTTTCTACATGCAGGTGAGTTTAGATTCTCTGGAGACTTGTCTAATTTATTTTGCTGGTTACTCTCAGAAACAATTTCAGAAATAAGTATGCTACCTTCCCCTGCTGATTGAAACCACTAACCTTCCAAAAAATGACAATTTATATACAGGACATTACACCTCATCGCCTTTTTCTGTGAATCTAATTGGTCCTTATTCATGTGTTAACAATTCCATTGACTTAATCATAGCTTCATTTTCATTCCTTGCGTGACAGCTTCTCAATTTCATTGTTTCTGAAGTTTCCTATGGTAGACTCAAGATCCTTGATCTTGGTCAAGGAAAAGGCATAGAATTTAGGGTCCTATAGAAAAGTCCATATGAGTTTAAGTTGAGGATAACTCAGATTGCTTAAGAGCCAGTTCTGCAGGATATTTGTGCGAGCATAATAGTTTTCTCCCTCACCACCTCCTCCTCTGATTGTGCGTCCCGTGTCTTCATTTAATCAATGCTCATTTCAGCAAACACAAGGCAGAGTTGCTCATTTACTTTTGAATGGCATCTCATTTTGACAGGGGCTGCCAGGATGCCACATCTTCCATGACAAAAATTTCAGTGAAATGGCCAACCAGGTTGAAATCTTTATTTTAGGACTATTTATGTGTTCCCCAATATATGATCTTCCTCTCACTCTATTTTTATCACATGTACATCCAATTCACATAAGTTATTTCAGACGTCTCAGCCTTTGTAAACTTGGCAAATTCTATTTTAGTCCTTGGAGCAAAATTTCTCCTCTCACTGTCACCCCATTCTTCTGAATAACTCCACCTTTTCTTTTCAGACTTTATTGAAGCCACACTGCACTGGGAAGTGTTCAGGGAAATCTTCATTCATAGGTAAAACAACTTTTTCTCTGGTTTGCATTTTTCATAATACCCTGTGTGTTTCTATCACAGCATTCACCCCCGCATATACTCATTGTCTCCCTGCTAAATGATGAGCACTTGAAGATGAGGGCTGTCTTTTATCCATTCCTATGTGCCAAGCCTGGTCAGTATGCTCAGCATATGCTAGACACTCCGTTAACATTGACTAACTTTAACAGGGCCACACATTTAGCTTCATTACATTTTGATGTATATAGGAAAAACTATGCCTTTAAAAATATCACAGTTTAGATGGACTTTCTCATGATCTTTAATGCCATTTAATACTACAGAAATGGATAATGAAAATCCAGGAAATCATGTTCCCAATATCCCAGTCTGAAAAATAATATTTTCAAAGCAATACCCCATAAGCCTTTCCCTTTGAACTTCATTTAATATCGAATGTCTGATGATTGCCATTGTGCACCCCATGGGTCTTCATTTGTCTAGACTTACCCATCAGTGCTTCTTATAAATGCTCGCCACAGAGCACGGCCACTCAATTCTTCATCACCATACAGGTGACCACTGAACAACAGAGGGATCTGGGCATCAGCCCCTTACACAGTCAAAAATCCATGTATAATTTTTGACTTCCCCAAAACTTAACTACTGATAGGTTACTGTTGACTGGAAGCCTTACTGATACCATAAATAGCCAATTAACACATATTTTGTATGTTATATGTATTACATACTCTATTCTTTCAATAAAGTAAGCTAGAGAAAAGAAAACATCATTGAGAAAATCTTAAGAAAAAATATCTTTACTATTCACTAAGTGGAATTGGATCATCAAGAAGGTCTTCATCCTCATGTTCACCTTGAGTAGGCTGAGGAGGAGGAAGAAGAGGAGGGATTGGTCTTGCTGTCTCAGTGGTGGCAGAGACAAGGAAGGAAATCCTTATATGAGGAGGAAGAAAATCCTTATATAAGTGGACATGTGCAGATCAAGTCAATGTTGTACAAGGGTCCACTGTAGTTCATTTCCCTAAAACGTTATCCAGGTCAACTTCAACCTGTCTAGCACAGCCAGTCACCTACTTCTTCGTCTCTAGAAATCAACTTTATTACAAGATCTTGCAACCATATTTGCAGTTTCCATGATGAAACTACACAATCAACTTAGTGCCTATAAGCCAAAACTTCCCCCAATTCTATTTGTTCAGTTTCATTTTTTGATATGAGTAGAAAAAAGTTAGAAGGAAGACATCTTTCCCCTCTTATGCATAGATTTCCACTGTGAAGTAAATACAGGACACGCTTTGCTGAGAAAACACTATGATGTTAACTGGACAATTTAGAGGTTACAGAGTAATTCTCCTCAATAGGATAATCGAAAAATAATTTATGCTGTGTAGTTTGAATGTATTAGACCATTGTTGAATTCTAGTTGATAAAATCATCAGTGACCCCATTGTTGTACTGCTTTCTTATTATTAATTTTTATTTTGTGGAGGGCAGGATAGTATTCACATCCATGAATAATTCGACATTTATTTTCCCTATAGAGGAAATGCTTTCACTAATATTACACTGCATCCAGAAGCAGAAGCACTGACAAGTTGATGCTGTGGAAAGTTTAGAATGAGGAGAGTTTATTCTAATCCCAGGGAAAATCTAATTAATTATAATCCCAGAAATAGGATAAGAATTCAAACAAATTAGAATAAAAATAAAAATAACTAATCCTATCATACACAGAATGTAGTATGTACCTACAAAATGATTATACAATTATTGAAACCATTACTCAATAAAAGTAGCCTAAACATTCCTTCCTTCCTTTCTTTTCTTTGTTTCTTTCTCTTTCTCTTCCTTTGTCTTTCTTTCTTTCTATTTTTCCTGCCTCCCTTCCTCCTTTCATTTGTTCTTTCTACCTTTTTTTCCTTTCTTTTTTCTGTCTTTCTTCCTCCCTCTCTCCATTCCCTTTCTTCTTTTTCTCTTTCTCCTTCCTTCCTTTCTTCCTCCCTCCCTCCCTTCACCTTTTATTTTTCATTTCTTCCTTGTGGTTTCTTTCTTTTTTCTTTCTTCCTCTCTTCCTTCCTGTTCTTCCTTTCTCATATTTTTTCTCTGTTGCTTCCTTCTTCTCTTTCTTCCTTCCGCCTTCCTTCCTTCCTTTCTTCATTTCTTTCCTCCTTTCTTCTTTCCTTTCTTTTTTTATCTTCGTTCCCTTTTATTCCCCCCACGGAATAGTGATTTAGAACTTTAAGGATAACTTCTTATCCTCATTTCCGGTTGCTAAGGAATAGCTATTTTTTGTCTCTTCTATCCATTGAAAAGAACTCCAGTTACTTATGTAATTTATATTTCTGGCATGTATTGTAAAGAAATAAACAATCAAATATTCCAAGCTGCTTCTCTATTCAACAAATTAGGCAGTGGCTGAGCTGGTGGTCTTCGCCTGTCCTTCATTTGTGAAATGCCTCCCCCCAAAACTAGGTCAAGGGATATAGAGGAAGATGCCAGACACAAGATAAATGAAGGCTTACCTTCTGGAGCAGAGCACAGTTCATCTAGATGTCAAGTGGAGAGGGTCTGTTGCATCACAGGGTCTAACCGATGGCATGTAGTCAACTTGCAGGAAGTAGGCTAGTCCTGTATCTCTGCAGGAAGGAGCCTACTCCTATATCCCTAAAGGATAAAAGTATACGTATCAGAGTGTGTATACACTAAACACATCCTCGTATAAAGGCTCACTTGGGTTGAGCCCACCCAAACCTTCTCTTATGCCCTCACTCATCCTGGGTATTGTGATTTTAGATACTGGAAGTGGATCCTGTGACTCGCCTGAATTTCAGGAGCATGTTCCTTCATAAATAGCAATGCCTGCTCTGTTTCCTTCAGGAAGCAAATCTACAGGCTTTTCTTGTTTACAAAATTTTCAGTGGTACCCACTGGTCAAAAATAGTTGATATTGCAGGCAGACATATGTCAATGGCCACAGCTACAACCAGGTTTAACCAAACATGGATCACGGAATAGTTGCTGCAAGTGTAAATGCAGTATTTATTGTGTTTAGCAGTGCTTCTTCATGTCTGCCTCTAGGAGGGACCATGGTGAAGAAGGGTTGTGTGTAAGAGGAGGTAATTCATTCTTATCACCATCTGCAGAGTTATCTTTTCTACTTGTGTCTTGTGAACCCCTCTACATCCACTCGTAGGGGTCGCTATGTTGTTTGAAGCTCTTCAGAAAGACACTGAGTTCTTTCACCCTCATTTCCTCTGGGATATCCTCTCACAGGGCTCAGAAATTAACATAAAAATATGATACTTTGTGCATGCTAAACTGAAAAAGGAGCCTCATGTTCTCTCTCACCTCCCGCCCATACTCCACCAGCTCTCCTAAAGCACAGGATGAAGTTGTTCTCTGAATTCCCTTATTTGCTTGTATTAGTCTGTTCTCACATTGCTATGAGGAACTACCTGAGACTGGGTAATTTATAAAGAAAAGGCATTTAATTGACTCTCCGTTCTGCAGGCTGTGCAAGAAGCATGGCTGGGGAGGCCTCAGGGAACTTACAATTATGGCAGAAGGCAAAGGAGAAGCAGGCATGTCTTATATGGCAGAGCAGGAGAGAGAGAGAGCATGCGCAAAGGCGAGAGTGCTACACACTTTCAAACACTCAGATCTCTTGAGAACTTTGTCATGAGAAGAGCAAGGGTAAAGTCCTCCCCCTTGATCCAATCACCTCCCACCAGGTCCCTCCTCCAATGCTGAAGCTTACAATTCAACATGAGATTTGGCTGGGGACACAGCCAAACTGTATCTTTGCCTAAAAGCCACACCTGCCAAAGAAGAAAACAATGACCTCCAGTCCCTTCTCTGAGGTTGGATTAACCGAACCCATACTGCAGGATGAAACACTGAAATCTGTCAATGCACATGGATGGACTTTTGTCACAAACCTCTGTCCTCTCTGCAGTCCCAACAGACTTTGTCCCAAGCCATTGTGTATTCTTCAAGCCACTGAATTATCCCTAGTAATTAATCATTCATTACATCTCAACAGAATTCCTCTTCTCTCCCTGCTCCTATAACCTGTTTTGCCAGGACACAAGCCCCCACTCTTTCTGTAACCTCAGTATGGTAGTATAAGTTTCTGCACCTCACTGAGGAGTTGAGTCTTCATTCTGAAGCCTCTCACGTCACCTAAAACTATAATCAAATAAATATGTTTGCCTTTTCTCCAATTAATCTGCCTTTTATGAGTTGATTTTTCAGCCGACCTTCTGAGGGCAAGGGGGAAATTTTCATTTCTCCTCTATGCCCCTCAGAATATTGAGAAATACTAAATTCCTAAGTATCTTCAGCTTTTCCTGGATGTCCAAAACAAACATGTCATGCACCAGCAGATGATAAAGGCAAATTTATTTGTGTTTCTGTTGTTGTTGTTCTGAAGTATCTAACAGCATTCAGAGGGAAGGTCCCTATAGAAAATCTAAAGTCAAGGTCTTCTTGTGTTGATTGATTGCTGTCATCAGTTGAAGGGCAGAAGTGAAATCCTGGAATTCTTTGGGAAGGAGGGATTCCAGCATTGGGAGTTAGCTTCCTCTGGCTTCTTGAAATCATTATGTTTCTAGTATTCCCTCTGACAAGCCCCCAAATAGCCCCTTTTCATTACCAGAGAAAACTGTTCAGATCCCCTGTCTTTTCATTGGTCTTGTGACCTCCACCAATTCATGCTTTTATGCCTTCCTTCATGCAGCTTTAAAGATTTTGAAAGAGAAAATGTGGCTGTGTTCCTATGTGTAGAAGAAAATGTGAGTGGGTGAGTTCTCTGATTCAAAATTAGCCTTCCCTCCAGCCCCATGAGCAAGCCAAGAGGTCCTTACATCTCCTGAAAATGGGGAGGTTGATTTCCTTGTGATTTTTTTTTTGTCCAGGAAACATAAATAACTCCTCCTTTTGCTGTAACCTGGGCAAAAAATGTCACCTACTCAAGTATGACTCATTGCAGTCATTTTAACCAGGGGCAAAATAAATAAATTAATTAAATAACATTAAACTCCAAAGGGATTGATGAACTATGTAGATTCTTACTGAAGCCTTTAAGAGGAAATGCAGATGAATTACCTGACAAGCGACTCAAAAATGCTTTCTAGCCTTCCTCTCTAAATGTCTCACTTCCCTAATTATTCAAACATGGGTGACTGCAACCTCTTTTTTTTTTTTTTCCAAGCACACTGCTCAAATCTCCTTCTAGTTTCTGAAGTTTCTCTCTTTATTTTATGTGATTATATTTTATTCAATTATACAAAGCAATAGAGTGCTATGTGTTTGTTGGGGCCAAGAAAAAACTTCCCCTTCACCCTCTGAAGTTTCCCTGAAGGTTACTGAGAAAAGACTGGTTAATAGGAGAAAAGGCATGCAAATTTATTTAATGTGTACATGGGAGCCTTCAGAAGGAAGACCCAACGATATGGGGGAAACTGTCCATTTTTATGCTTAGGTTCAACAAACTATGGATAACCATGTAGAAATAATATTAGACTAAAAGGACCTGATCTAAAGCTAGTGGATTGAGTGGGGAAACCCAGCCAGGACTGTCTGTCTAGATTCTTCTTGGCCTTTCTGAGCAGTGTTTCTTCCTTCTGGGTGTGAGGCAGGGCCCTCTCTGGAATGGGAGTACTAGGACCCAGAGGCAAACAAAGTAGGTCGGGGAATTTTTTATAGCCAGTTTTTACACAGAAAATCAGTGGGAAAGTTATAGCCAGAATTTTAGATTTTATGCTGACTTTGGGGAAAAGGGGTTTTGGTTTCTAAAATCTGGGGAAGGGGAGGGAAAGATGGATTCTTGTTTCTATGGTGCCTCGGGGGAGAGTGGGACTGAGAGACAGGAGGGAAGGTGACATGGTTTGGCTGTGCCCCTACACAAATCTCATCTTGAATGGTAGCTCCCATAATTTTCATGTGTCATGGGAAGGACCTGGTGGGAGGTAATTGAATCATGGGGGGCAGGTCTTTCCCATGTTGTTCTTGTGATAGTGAATAAGTCTCAGGAGAGCTAATGGTTTTATAAAAGGGAGTTCCCCTACACACACTCTCTTGCCTGCCACCATGTAAGATGTGCCTTTGCTCCTGCATTGCCTTCTGCCATGATTGTGAGGCCTCCCCAGCCCTGTGGAACTGTGAGTTCATTAAACCTCTTTCTTTTATAAATTACCCAGTCTTGGGTATGTCTTTATTAACAGTGTGAGAACAGACTAATACAGAAGGAGAAGGTCAGAAAGAAACTTTTGCTTCTGAGACTTCTTCTGAGGCCTTCATTTTGGGATACTTTTTTTCTGAGTCCCAACATATGCTTCTCGAAATTTAATTTGTTTCTTGTTATTCTTCTCGAGTACACACAAAATGGCATTGAACTGAACAAAACTTTCATTCTTGGTATGTACTGCAACCAATCTCAAGTTTTAAATCACCTTGCTGCTGTGGAGAGAGCTGTTCTTTTTGTTAATATGGTTTCAACCTGCCCCTCAAGGGCCAAAATAATAATCCTTAGCTTGATTTACATTGTAGGCTATATTAAGTTTCAAATGGTTTTATTTCAAGCATTTGTGAGGAGTGCTAGAACTTTTGTGGTCCCCAAATATTGCCCATACAGGAAGGAGATCAGTATAACCCAATTCTTCGCATCACTGGATTTGAACAAAACATTACTAAAAACATAGTATTTGTGCTAGTAGAACTCCATAAACATTGAGTAAACGCAAGACATAAAATTATAAAATCCAATGGTGGGAAAGCCAAATCCATTCCATGATTTCAAGGGAGAGTGAAGACTAGGCTTATATTTCCAAAGGAGTCCTCAGATATTATATATTATAGCAGAAATTATGTTTCAGATAGGATATCTATTATAGCATAGTTTTCTTACTGAAACCAGTGTGACTCCCTAACTTGAATTATACTGTATACATTTGTTGACCATAGGGAATGGTACTAACTATCCCTAGAAGTACACTTTAGCTTTCTTTAACATTTTGAAGCAACTCTATCATTTTCATTCTTGGAAAGCAAGGCTGGAGTTTGAAAGGGTTCATGTTATTCCAAACACTAAGGAAAATATTTGTCATGACTCCATGGCAAGTTTAATCCTGCAACTTATATCTGGAGACACCTGTTAGTTTTACATTTTATTTGCTCACTTTTTTCTCTTTTTTTTTTTTTTTTTTTTTTTTTGAGCTGTATCCTTGGCATGGTTAAGGATTTTGGGAACATTCATTTATATTCAGTTTTTCTAATACAATAGTGATTAATGAAGAAATGTATATCAGTTTTTTTTCTACATTTATGTGGAAATTGCTTTCCTTATTCACCAGAGCAGTATTTAGTTTCTCCTATTTCATTCTAGGGAATTTTATTCTCGGGAAAGGGTGAGGAGGAAAGTAACAGTAGATTATAGATTTTTTAAACGTAAAAAAATCACTAGTGCTCATTAATAATAAGAAATAAATAATCTTTTCATAATTAATCTATCATCCCACAGGAATGTAAGAGATGTAATAAATGAACCAATTTTAACTTGCAGTCTTCCATTTAACACTGTAGATGCACCAGTCTATATGAAATTTTCCAAGTTCAACATAAAGAAATAGAACATACTGAATTTGTGAGGTTCTTGCTGTTATTTTTCTGTACTGTTGCCTGAAGATGTCATGCATTAATGGAGCCGCCTTCATAAGTTAAAATATGTTCACTGTAAAAGGTAATGGGCAAACACTCATCACATAGTTTTTGCTGCAACAAAGACTAAAAACTATATTGAGGAATAGTAGACGTTATTGTTAATATGAACATGCATATGAAAAATCAATTGCAAGGCCTTCTTAACGAGTCCCTCAGAAGTCGTTCCATGTTTCTTTAGTAGCATTCACAGAGAAATTCAGCCCTGGTGGCCTGGTACTAACAATTCACTTGCAAGTGATAATGTGTTAACTGACCTGCACTCTGCACAGACATCTGGTGGCAGCACAACAGCACTGCAGAAATGAGAGGTTAAGGAATATACATAAAGTTAAACCAAATTGGAGGTGCTTCACAAAATATATGAGTCCTTGCATTACAGATGAATAAAATGTGCCTGCGTGTCTTGTTTCAAGAAGCATGAAGTAAAATGGCATAAAACTTGGATACACGTTTCTGCAAAGGATATAATATCTAGATGTCCAATCAGCACATGAAAAGATGCTCAACATCATTGATCCTGAGGGAACTGCAAATCAAATCCACAGTGAGACACCACTTTACACCCGATTATCAAAACACAAGCACAGAAAATAACCAGTGTTTGTGAGGACCTGGAGAAACTGGAACCATGTGCATTGCTGGGAGAAATTAAAATTGATACAGACAGAAGGCAGGGAAATACTGGGTAGAAGAGAGTGGTTCCCCAGAAAAGGCCCCACCCTCAAGACTGGAAATGTGTGGCCCTAAATGGGAACAGGCATTCCTGTTTTTGTGCCCAAATGTTGCTTTTCCCAAAACCACTCGGGCCTGTCATGCCCTTATCCTGTGCCCATATAAACCCCAAGGTCCACAGTCAGAGGAACAAAAGAGAAGCAGAATAGCACAGCAGCACAGCAGAGAAGGAGAGAAGAAAAGGAGCATTTGAACATTGAGAGGAATTGAGCTGGGGACGGTCAGAGAGGTGATTGGCCATGGGATGACAGAACTCCAGGAGAAGATCATCTTCGCACTCTATCCCCTTTCCAGCTCCCCATCCATCCCACTGAAAACCACCTCCAACACTCAATAAAATCCCTTCATTCACCATCCTTTAAGTCTATGTGACCAGATTCTCCCTGGATGCCAGACAAGGACTCGGGTACCAAGAAGGCAGGGTGTAAAAGGCTATCACCCTGACTCTCTACTGACCTGGTTTAACACTTAGCCATCCACGGAGGACAACTGAGAAAAGACTATTAATTATAACACACCCCTAGGTGCTACTGTGGGGCTGGAGCCCATAAGCACTCGCCCCAGCTCCTGCACCTGCCTGTCTGCGTGCTGCCCCCCACCGCCCTTGTAAGGAGTTTGAGAGTGCAGAGGCCAAGCAAACAAGCCACAACCGTGACACAAGTCCCACAAGGTGGTCAGGGAACTCTCCCATTCCAAAATGCTGCTGCTGCTATGGAAAACAGTTTAATGGTGGTGGGGCTCATATATGGGGACCTTAAAATACGGCACCTTGACATACAGCGTATTTTAAGCTAAAGAAATTTGAGAAAACCACAGAAGCAAGAAAGTGCCTCTGACATGTCCCCACCCTACTTCTCTGAGGTGGTCCTAAAACCTAGGAAGGATTTTCTGACCCTCCCTGAAGCTGGTCATAGGCCCTCAAGAGAGAGGTGCCCTCCCAACACACATAAAAAAAAAAAAAAGTTCTTATCTTTGAAGACACGGGACACAGAGAGGAATCTGAACTCACAGGCCACACTGTTTCCCACAGGTTCTTATCTTAGATGAGACCCTTTTATCCTCTTATATCTCCCCACAACTCGATTTTCTATCAAACCTACTATAAAAAACCACTCAGGTTTAACAGTTTCTAGAAGTTTTCATTTCTTTGGGAAGGCTCCTGTATCACACAAAACATGTATTTAGTAAATATGTATATTTTTCTTTTGTTAATCTTTCTTTGTTAAAGGGACTGTAACCACCCAACGGGTTCACCTTGCCTGCTGCCTAGACAGAGCCAATTTATCAAGACAGGGGAACTGCAATGGAGAAAGAGTAATTCATGCAGAGTTGGCTGTGCAGGAAACTGGAGATTTATTATTACTCAAATCAGTCTCCCTGAGAATTCAGGGATCAGAGTTTTTAAAGACAATTTGGTGGGTAGGAGGGCACTGAGTCTGGAGAGCTGATTGTCTGGGTTGGAGATGAAATCATAGGGAATCAAAGCTGTCTTCTTGCTCTGAGTCAGTTCCTGGGTGGGAGCTACAAGATCAGATGGGTCAGTTTACCAGTCTGAGTGGTGCCAGCTGATCCATCCAGTGCAGGGTCTGTAAAATATCTCAAGCACTGATCTTAGGTTTGACAATAGTGATGTTATCCCCGGGAGCAATCTGGGGAAGTTTACAATCGTGTAGCCTTCAGCTGCATAACTCCTAAATTATAGTTTCTATTCTTGTGGCTACTCTGTTACTCCTGCAAAGGCAGTCTAGTCCCCAGGCAGGAAGGGAGTTTGTTTGAGGAAAGGGCTGTTATTGTCTTTATTTCAAAGTTAGACTATAAACTAAATGTTTCCCACAGTGAGTTCAGCCTCTACCCAGGAATGAACAAGGACAGCTTGGAGTTTAGAGGCAAGATGGAGTTGGGTAGGTCAGATCTCTTGCACTGTCATAATTGTCTCAGTTATCATTTTTGCAAAGGCAGTTTTAGGTCGTCAGCCATAAAACTGTGAATGTGTAGAAAAAAAGATATTTTTTTCTTCCTGAAAGAGGATCCTCAAAAACTTAGCAATAGAATAACCATGAAACCCTGCAATTCCTCTTACAGGTATTAAAGGGGAGTAAAAGTAAGATCTGCTTTTTACCCATCACAACTTTCATGGTTGAGACTCCTGTGACAAATGACAGATTAACAAGAGAAAAGCATATATATGTATTTAATATAAGTTTATGAAGCATGGGAGCCTTCAGAAGTAAGATCCAAAGACCCAGGAATACCCGTATTTATATAGAGAATAGCCAGGAAGTATAATTGCAGAACAAGAAAGTATGATCTAATTGTAAGGAAGGTTAGGGTTAGGGTTAAGGTGACCTTAGCAAGAGCTTCATATTCAAATTCCTCTTGGCCTCTAGATACAGGACAGGACCCATGTGGAATAAGGGTGTTGTGCCCTATTTTCAGGGAGAGAAGGAGGGAGAAATTCAGAGTAACCTTCCTGTTTTCTGTGGTTTTCTCAATGTCCTTCAGCTTAAAACACTCAGTATGCTAAGGTGCCATATTTGGGGGTCTCAGGTTCTGAACCCTGATCGTATATACCCCACAAAATTGAAAGCAGAGTCTCAAAATATATATCTACACCAATTCTCATAGCAGCATCACTCACAATACCCAAGAGATGGAAGCAACCCGTGTACAATGGCAAAAAATAGACAAAAAAATGCAGTATATACATGTATTAGTCTGTTCTCACACTGCTAATAAAGACATGCCAAGACTGGGTAATTTATAAAGGAAGGATGTCTAATGTACTCACAGTTTCACATGGCTGGGGAGGCCTCACAATCCTGACAGAAAGCAAGGAGGAGCACAGTCATGTCTTATATGGTGGCAGGCAAGAAAGAGTTTGTGTAGAGAAACTCGTATTTATAAAATCATCAGATCTCATGAGACTTATTCACTACCACGAGAACAGTATGGGGGAAACAGCCCCCATGATTCAAATATTTCCACCTGGCCCTGCCCTTGACACATGGGGAGCATTATAATTCAAGGTGAGATGTGGGTGGGGACACAGCCAAATTGTATCAGTACATAAAATAGAATCTTATTCAGCTTTTAAAATGAAAGAAATTGTGACACATAATACTACATGGATGAACCTTGAAAACACACTAAGTGAAACGAGCCTGTCACAAAAGGACTAATGTTATATAATTCCACTTCTATGAGTTATTTAGAGTAGCTGACTTTATATATAGAGAAAGTAGAATGGTAATTGCCATGGGCTTGGGAAGAGTTTAATGTAGAATTGTGGTTTCTCGGTACAGAGTTTGGTATGACTTAAAAGTTCTGGAGTTGGAGGGTGATGATGGCTGTATAACAACAGGAATATACTTATTGTCACTGAATGGTATATGTAAAAGTTGTTAAGGTCATCAATTTTATGTTATATGTATTTTATCACAATAAAAAAAGAAAGGAAATTACACATTATGGTAAGTGGTCTGTGATTAACTTCAGTCTCTTATTAAGTGAAAACCAAAATGAAGTATCATAATACCAAACCGAAACTCTCTCTCTCTCCATATATATATATGTAAATATACACATATGTCTCTCTCTCTATATATATATATATATAGAGAGAGAGAGATATATAAAATATGTCTCTATATGTGTGTGCATACCTATATATATATAGGCATATATGGCAAATACAGAAATGTCTCTCTCTCTGTGTGCATATATATATGTATACACACACACATATATATGTCTATATACATATATAGGTACACACACACACACAGAGAGAGACATATATTTCCATATTTGCCCTTATCCAGTCCCTTGTTGATATTTTCAACTTCATAATTAAATCACAGACTAAAATATTTCCCTCTTCATTTTTTATCTTTCCTATTTTTCATGCTGGAATGTTTCAAAGCAATTTGAAAAAAAAAATGAAGTTAAGTAATCAAGTGGCTTGAAATGAAAAGAGGAGAACCTGAATATTCAGGCATAGAATATAATGTTCTAATACCTGAAGAAAACATTTTTTCTATAATTCTGTTGAACACAATTTCCAGAGATGAAAACTAAAATTTTAGAAGAGGAGGAAGTAAACATGTTATAGTGCCCTTGTCTTTCATATGGAGAAAATGACAGATTCTGTTTTATAGGTAGGGTAGTAAAAGAACACAGAATAAATGCATAAGCATGTGTCATAAGGACATAATATATAATACAAACATGTAAATTAATGATAGATCATATACACTTATGTCATGAGAGACTGTCTTTGTGAGGTTGCAAGAGAGATTTAATCCAAATAACAAAATAAATAGTCAAATAGAATACTAAAAGAGTCCAAACTTCCAGATGCACTTCAGTGGGTAAAGATATCAATAAACCAGTACATTCACGCCATTGAATACCACTCATTATTTAATGGAATGAGCTTTTGTGTGTGTCTGAGATGGGGTCTCACAATATCGCCCAGGCTAATCTGGAACTCCTGGGCCCAAGTGATCTTCTCACCTTGGCCTCCCAAAATCCTGGGGTTACAGATGTAAGCCACCATGCCTACCCAAGAATGAACTATCGCTCTATACAAAACCTGGATGAATCATGAAGAATTTGCTAGGTGAAAAAAGCCAGTAACACAAGATAACAGACTGTAAGAGTCCATGTATATACAGTTCTTAAAATGACAAGGTATAGACATGGTGGTGAGGCTGGACCCATCCTGAATGGGATTCGTCCCTCATAAGGGTCCTGGGAGGGCTTGCTTTTTCGCTTCTGCTGTGCTAGGACTGAAAAGGTAACTGTCTATGACCTGGAAGAGGGGTCTCACCACAACCTCATCCACCATGCTGGTGCCCTGACCTTGGACTTCCAGCTGCCAAAACTGTGAGAAATAAATTTCTGTTGTGTGTAAACTACCACAAAACAGAATTTTTTTTTTTGCAATTCCTCCAGGTTTTGTGTAGATCAATACTTCATTCCTGGCTAGGTGTGGTGGCTCATGTTTGTAATCCCCTGCAAATGGCTACATCGTGGGTCCTTACAGTCACAGAAAGTTCCATATCTTGATGGTATCAATGCCAATATTCTAATCATGATTGTCCTAGTCAATTCAGGCAGCTAGAACCAATGATCTTTGACATGGTTTGGCTATGTCCCCACCCAAATCTCACCTTGAATTATAATAATCCCCACGTGTCAAGGGCAGGGCCAGGTGGATATAATTGAATCATGGGGGCAGTTTCTCCCATACTATTCTCATGGTAGTGAATAAGTCTCATGAGATCTGATGGTTTTATAATGGGAGTTCGCCTGCCCAAGTTCTCTTGCCTGCCACCATGTAAGACACAACTTTGCTCCTCATTTGCCTTCTGCCGTGATTGTGAGGCCTCCCCGGCCATGTGGAACTGTGAAACCATTAAACCTCTTTCCTTTATAAATTACCCAGTCTCAGGTACACCTTTGTTAGCAGTGTGAGAACAGACTAATACAATCATCAATCAGGTAGCTTACACACAACAGAAATTTATTTCTCACAGTTTTGGAAGCTGTAAGTCCAAGGTCAGGGCACCAGCATGGTCGATGAGGTTGTGGTGAGAGCATGCTTCTGGGTCTTAGACATCTGCCTTCTCAGTCCTTGCATAGCAGAAGGGAGAAAACAAGCCTTCTTAGGACACTTATGAGGGCACGAATCCCTTTCAGGAGGGCTCCAGCCTCACCACCTTCCAGCCTCACCACCCACCTCCACTAATATGGATGACTCCCAAATACCCCATGACCTAATACCATCACATTAGAAGGTAGTTCTTCCACATCTGAATTTTGGGAAGACACAAGCATGCAATCTGTACCAGTGAGATTGCAGTTTATTTTTGTAAGATGTTACCATTGCAGTCAAGTGAATAAAAGGTGCATTCAATGTCCCTTTGTGTTTCTTACAACTGCATGTGAATTCACCATTATTTCAAAATAAAAAGATTAATTGTAACTAATTAGAAATAAGAAAAATAAATAGACAGACACTGTCACATTGTGAAAAAGGTAAGTGAGTTGTTTTGGAGAGTATAGGCCCATACAACAAAATGTGTCAAACAAAAGAGCAAAGTCCATTAAAGGGAACAAAAACAAAATAAAACATGGCAGAATCAAGACCCAAATGGCTCTTAACAAGAAAATGTAAATGCAATCATCTCACTAACTACAAAGCCAGACTATCAGATGTGTTTAAAAACATATATGGATAAAAACAAGCACAAAATTTTTAAAATTACTCAAATTTGAAAATACAAATATGCGTGCATACATATTATATGTACCTCCTCATATGTATATAAACTATACCTACATTATAAAACTAAAAATTTACCTTATTTTCCAATGCCAATGGAATACTTCTAGTAAAAGCTGTGAGGTAGAATTGGTATAGGTCATATTTTCAGACCATAATGTGATAGAACTCAAAATGAATTAAAAGGGAATTTTTTAAAAATCACATAGGAACTATGGAGAAAAAACCTACTAGAATAAAAAATAAATAGAACCCACTATCTGAAGAAGGAGAACAATATAATATTAGAATACCATAAGACAAATTTCATGGGATATCACTGAAAATATACTCAGAGGAAAATCATAGGTTCAAAAATGTTGCTTGATCAAAAAAGAATGAAATAATAAATTTTCTGAGGATTTTAGAAACAAAAATTTAAAAATGGCTTCAAAGGAAATTAATAAAATAATGTTAGAAATATATGTTATTTAGGAAAACAGGCTTTTATATTAATTCAGTTTGCTTTCTGAAAATAAACCAATAAACATTAAATCACGCATATGAATAAACTATTATAAGAAACCAAATACACCCATAACTAAACTCACTCCTCTAGAAGCTAGATCTTCTCATCAAAAATTACAAAGAAAAAAATTGTGCAGACACAGTTTAGAAGTCAGGAAACAAATAAATTAAATATTTATTGAGAGAAAATGTGACAAGTGTATACTCTGAGCCCCTCAAAAATATATATGATATGTGTTTATTCCTGTCAGGATTGATAGTAAAGGTTCTTATCATTCAGCAAGTACCATCAGTTAGAAGTTGCATTAATTCTAGGCCGGGTGTGGTGGCTCACACCCGTAATTCCAGCACTTTGAGAGGCCAAGGCCAGTAGATTGCTTGAGCCTAGGTGTTTGACGCCAGCCTGGGCAATATAGGGAGACCCTGTCTCTACCATAAAACACAAACAAAAATTAGCCAGGCATGGTGGCATGTACCCGTAGTCCCAAGCTACTAGGGAGGCTGAGGTGGGAGGATCTCTTGAGCCCAGGAGGCAGAGCTTACAGTGAGCCGAGATGGCACCACTGCACTCCAGCCTGGCTAACAGAGCCAGACCCTGTCTCAAAAACATAAATAAATAAAATTAGAAGTTGCATTAATTCTATATAATTCCAAGCAACATAAAAGTCAATTACTAGATGTTGTATTTAGATCTGAGTATGGCACATCAATGCAGTAAAATAATACGATCAGAGAACAATATAAAAGGTAATTCTGAACCTATATAGAGATATATCAAGAATCATTAAGAAGAAAAAAAGTAAGTTTCAGGATTGCCATACAATATTCCATTTATTAAGTTGGTGCAAAAGTATTGTGGAAACCATAGTTACTTTTGCACCAACTTAACGTGATACATTTGTGCTTTTACTATTAAAAATGTGTTCGTTTTCAGTATATTTATAAAACTGATACATATTGTTCAGCTATATATTTTTATAGGAATGTACAAATTTGGAAATGGAGGTCTTAAGTCTACAGAGTTTTCTCTGGAGGCAGGAACTATTGGATGATACATTTTGCACATGGCTTTTACTTTAAGAGTATTAATATTCTTGGAATATGTAATGATAAAGCTTTGAATCTTGAGTTTCTGTTTATTAGGAACAGGGGCACCCTGGGGAAACTATGCAAAAGCTCCAACCTGACTTTGTGAATATTCACCCAAGTGGTTAATGAACACAGAGATACAAATCACTGAGTTGTATGGTTCTGGGAACCATGTGGCTCTGGGAACGTTGCTTTCGCTTTCTGAGTTGACTTTCTAAATACATCAGGTAAGAACAAAGATATTACCACCATCTACTCTATGCAGCTATTGTGACAAGAAACACAGTAATGGATACAATGACGGGCACAGTGTGCATAAATCACTTGCCAGAGTCCCTGGACCACTCAGTGAAGATAAACATGTCTCCTGATGGTTGTCCTTGGTGTGACTATAATGACGACAACAGTATTATTATTATTAGCGGTGTCATTACTATTACTGTTGCTATCACTAACAGTATTAGCAACAACATCCTAATCTATTAGTGCTGTGGTTGGCATTATTTCTCTTGTAGAAATCTGGAGAGAAGGCTGGCAAGTCTAATTTCTCTGCAGCATCCAGCCTGTGTGTGGGGAGGGAGGTGGGTGGGTAGGGGAGGGGGTTATGTGGTGCTGTTTTTTGGCATCGATACTCTCTTTGTAGGGCAGATGAAAGGTTTCCAAAAAGCCATGAGTCATCTGTGGTTTGACACTGTGTAAAAAAGCCCAAAGTGCCTATTAAATCCTCATGCACCAGGATGCACCTTTTTGACTCAGAATTCTCTAAGCCTGGGCATCTCTGATTCAAATATTATTCAAAATCCTTTCTTCCACAACCTAGGACAGTAGTTACATTTTGTTTTCTCATATATCTGAGAGAAGGTAGCTCTCTACTACTTCTGATATTACCTCAAAGGCTGCCTACTATTCCATCTCACCCACAATATTGCCTCCGCATGCTGCCGGAACATGGCTTATGGAACCAGGAAGCAGTTCAGAACTAGCATGAATGCGTCTGAAATAAGCTGCCTTTTGACAAAGAAAAAGGTTTCAATTTTCTTAAGGCCATTGTTACAGCCCTTGAGGATCAATTTCCAGAGTACCATTTATCTTACTTTTTAGAATTTTCAATGTAATGAGTTGGTGTTACATTGCATGGAAACAGATATTCTTCTCTAAATGGATGGTTAGAGACCATCACCACTCCCAACGTTTCCTGAATCCAGAAATCTGGGCTTTTTCTCTTCTCTGATCTTCAACATAATTTTCACCCAAATTCAGATCTTTGTTCTAATTTCAGTAATAAGTTATATCATCTCTTCTCCCAAGAGAGAAGAAACTGCCATTCCAAAGTCTTCCTGAAGGGCTAAAATTTGGATATAATTATACATATTATACAACACCCCAGGGCCATATGCCCCCATGGGGCTGGGTATACAAGCAGCATTTTGGTTTCCCACAGGGATGCAATCCCATGATTAAAATGTGAGAAATGCTGCAGGAAAAATGATAAGACCCTCCCCACCTTTTCTTCCACAAACAAATGGAAAGAAAAAGGAAAAAAGGCCGGGGCAGTTGCTCATGCCTGCAATCCCAGAACTTCCTCAAGAGGCTGAGGAAGGAGGATCACTTGAGCCCAGCAGACAAGCCTGGGTCACATAGTTAGACCCTCATCTCTACAAAATATTTAACACTTAGCCAGGTATGGTGGTGTACACCTGTGGTTCCAGCTACTCGGGAGACTGAGGCAGGAGGATTGCTGGATCCCAGGAGGTCAGGGTTGCAGTGAGCCATGGTTGTGCCTCTGCACTCCAGCCTGGGCAACAGAGGGAGACCCTACTTAAAAAAAAATATAAAAAAGAGAAATAGCCCCTCAATACCACATGTGGAACTTGTCTGTAGAGAAGTCTCTCTTTATCCACAGTTTCTCTTTTCTCTGGTTTCAGTTACCATGTCAACCAGGGTCCAAAAACAGTAAATGGAAATAAACAATTCATCAGTTTTAAATAGTGCACTAATCTGAGTAGTTTGATGAAATCTCAAGCTTTTACTCTGTCCTCCCCAGGATGTGAATCCTGCCATGTCCAGCATCTCCATGCTGTCTATGCTGTTACTCACTCGACAGCCACCTCCGTGATCACACCAACTGTCACAGAATTGTAGTGCTTGTTTTCAAGTCACCCTTATGTCACTTAATAGTGGCCCCAAAGCACAAGACTAGTGATGCTGATGCTGACATATTGTTATAATTGACTACCAAGTCAATTATTATTAGTCAATTATTATTAGTTTTGGCTAAGTGCCTAATTTACAAATTAAAATTTATCGTAGCCCAATGTGTTGGCTCATGCCTGTAATTCCAGCACTTTGGGATGCTGAGGCAGGAGGATTGCTTGAGCCCAGGAGTTCAAGACCAGTCTGGGAAACATAGCAAAAACCTGTCTCTACAAAAATAAAAATTAGAAAATTAGCCGGGTGTGGTGGTGCACACCTATAGTCCCAGCTACTTGGCAGGCTGAAGTGGGAGGATCCCTTGAGCCCAGGAGTTCAAGGCCAGCCTGGACAACATTGCAAGACCCCCATCTCTACAAAAAATAAAAAAATTTAGCCGGGAATGGTGCTGTGCACCTGCAGTATCAGCTACTCGGGAGACTAAGGTGAGAGGATCACTTGAGCCCAGGAGTTTGAGGCTGCAGTGAGCCATGATCATGCCACTGCACTCCAACCTAGGCAACAGAGTGAGACCCTGTCTCTAAAACAAACAAACAAAAATTATCATAGAAAAATAATAACATATATAGTATTTAGTACTCTATAGAGCACCCTTGACATAAGTTATTTCATCCTAGAAAAATATTCCATCTTATATTTCATAGGGTACCTTGCCAACAGGAACAAGATGTTTTGCCTCATCAATAAAGACTGCACCCAACCAGATAAGGATGTAACCAAGCACACTCTTCCACTGTCAGTCTTCATCAGAGGACTCTGTGACCATAAAAACAGCAGGACTTCAGCAGCTTAAAACAGCCATCTTAACAGACCCCATCTTGCTGTAACTTGTAATAAGCACCCACCATCTGCCGTAAAAGCATCTACCCACATCGAAGATGCTTCCTTGTAAGATCCGTGGACCTCCTGGCCTCTTTTTGTCCTTGTCCCTCTCCCTAGACTGGTTCATTAACCCTTTATCCTGTCCCCTTTCTCTTGATGTTAAATGTTACTTTGTTTGTTGTGGAAAGCTTAATCTGTAACATTTATATATTGGTTAAGTATATTATTATGCATGGTTTGCAATACTGACTGACTTGTGGAGTGGCTTGAGCCTGTGTGCCCACGTCTCTGACTACCAAGTCAATGGGAAGTAGTAGGAGAATTGTCCCCTTCGGAACTTCATGTAGCTCATGGCTTTTATGATTGAAATAGCATCAGTAAAAGTGTGACCTTGTGGAAAGACACAGATATACATGAACCTGGTTATCTCTGACTTTGCAACACTCACAATAGGTACTATATGAAGTTTCATGCATCCACTCAAGGTCTTGTAACATATCTCCCATGGACAAGGGAGTACTACTATTTTCTGTTTCTAACAATTAATTCAAAATGGATTTCAGGCAATTGAGCATATATGAACCCAGGCTGCATTGACGATATTAAATAATTGATAATATTAAGGAACTACTGTTAAATTTTATTTTATTTATTTATTTTTTTTCTGATGGAGTTTCACTCTTGTTGCCCAGGCTGGAGTGCACTGCCGTGATCTTGGCTCCTGGATTCAAGAGATTCTCCTGCCTCAGCCTCCCAAGTAGCTGGGATTACAGGCACCCGCCACCATGCCCACCTAATTTTTGTATTTTTAGTAGAGACAGGATTTCCTCATGTTGACCAGGCTGGTCTCGAACTCCTGACCTCAGGTGATCTACCCGCCTCGGCCTCCCAAAGTGCTGGGATTACAAACGTGACCCACCAAGCCTGGCTACTGTTACATTTTAAAGAGTGATTAGGCTGTTATGGTTGTGTTAAAAAGAAGTTCTTGCATTTAGACAAGTAACACATTATTTTGAATGAAGCTATACACTATGTCTTTTATAAATAACACATGAAGGGGTGGTTGTGTTCCCGGACTGAACCGAGATTCAGGCTGCTCATTCTCGGCAGCCCAATAACAAGATGCAGATGAACTCGGAAAGAAGAGAGTTTATTTCTGTAACTGGGTACAGGGAGAAGGCGGGGAAAATATCGCCAGACAAACTCAAATTACAAAGTTTTCCAGAGCTTGTATATCTTCTAAGCTATATGTCTACGTGTAAGCGTGCATTCATCTAAAGACATTGGTGATGAACTTCTAATCTATAACTAAGGTCTGAGTCCTGAAGGCCTTTCTCTGGAGCCTCAGTAATTGGCTTAATCTAGATGGGTCCAAGTGCTGGGGTGATTACCCTTATCTTGTCTCCTGCTAAATCATGGAGGTTTGGGGAGTTCCTCTAGACCCCCAACAAACTTGTTTGTGGAGGCCTGGGGAGTTTCTTCAGACCCCCAATAAAACTGTTTAATCCTAAAAGGGTCCTGTTAAGAATTCCTTCATTATCTTGTCATGCCTGAAGGCCCAGGAGAGGCCTGGGCAGAACTCTTGGTGGGCTTTTGTTACATTCCAGCCTTTGTATGAGGACACTGGCTCTTTCAGCTTTTAATATTTAACTTCACCACTCGGTCAGTGCTGAAACAGTTGTTACAAAGGCCTGCCTGTTCAGCTGTTAGTGAGGCCTGGACTGCCACCGTAGTGCGACTCAAGTTTGCCCATGTATGGATAACTGTTGAAGCTAGTTACTAAGTACATGAGACTTCATTATAATTTTATATATATATGTGTGTGTGTGTGTGTGTGTGTGTACGCATATACATTCTAACTTTTTTTTAAAGTAAGGCAAGTCCTTTTCACAGGATAGAATAACTTTTGACAGCCAGTAAAAATATACATTTATGAGATGTATGATAAAACACAATCTTTAGGAAATGATTAGCAAAATTAAAATGATAACAATAACTGTGGGAATTGAGAGTTCGAAAGCTTCTATATTTGTGCAGTAATTCTAAGCTGGCACCCAGGCATCGTCCGTCATCTGGCCCACCATTTGTATATGCTTTTTATTCTCATGTTCTCATAAGACCCACTCCACCACCAGGCACACAATTTGTGTTCTGAGCAGGAAACAGGAAAATCTGAATGGGAATTTTCACTGCAAGAAATTATTGCTTATGTTTATTGACCACATATGAGGCACAGAAGTGACTTGGCACCACACTACAGAATTAGCCGGGAAATCAAGCACCTTGGTGTTGTCGCCCTGTAGTGTGAGAAGACAAGGAAAACTAAGTTTGCATGGGCGTTGAGTGAGCTCATGTACGATACCTGCCACAATAATTCTATTTCTCCACCCAGTAAAGAGTTTAGGAATAGAAGAGCCATGCATTACAGGCCAATGGAATATGAAGGCAACATGTATAATATGGGACATTGTGGTCTGCCATTTTCCCTGAAATCATGGCAAGTATTTTGGGAATATTAATGAAGCCAGGTCAAGGACAGAAAATGACAAAGCAAAGAAATGAAAAAACCCTGAACCCTCAAGGCCATCACACACTTATTATTTTACTAGATATCTAAGAATACAGGCCCATGAATTTACAGTATGAAGATGATCTCTACGTATGCTAAGAACGTTGCTATTTTTATTAAGGTTATCATTATTAAAACCACTTATAGTTGGTGCAATGGAATGAATGTGTTTCCACTCCAAAACTCCTGTATTGAAATCCTCACCTCCAAGATGTTGGTATTAGGAGGTGGGGCCTTTGGGAGGTGATGAGGTCATGAGGGTGGAGTCCTTATGGATGGGATTAGTATCCTAATAAAAGGGACTCCAGTGAGCTCCCTCACCCCTTCCGACATGTAAGGACACACAGAGAAGGCGCTGTCTATCAACCAAGAAGCAGATCCTCACCAGATGCAAGAATCTGCCACACCTTGATTTTGGACTGCCAGCCTCTAGAACCATGAGCAATAAATCCAATAAATGTCTGTTGTTTATAAGCTGCCTAGTCTATGAAACTTTGATATAGCAGCCTGAATGTACTACAATGTTTGGGGTTTCTGTTATCGCTATTTTTTTTTTTTTTTTTGAGACGGAGTCTTGCTCTTGTCACCCAGGCTGGAGTGCAATGGCGAGATCTCAGCTCACTGAAAACTCCACCTCCCGGGTTCAAGCAATTCTCCCTCCTCGGCCTCCCAAGTAGCTGGGATTACAGGAGCCTGCCACCATGCTCGGCTAATTTTTGTACTTTTAGTAGAGACGGGGTTTCACCATGTTGGCCAGGCTGGTCTCGAACTCCTGGCCTCAAGTGATCCGCCCATCTCGGCCTCCAGAAGTGCTAGGATTACAGTCATGAGCCACTGCACCCAGCCTCTGTTATCACTATTAAAGTCACTTTTAGTTGGGACTTCTGTTGCTTGGAACCAAAACCAACATCACTCACCTATTGACATCATTCATCTTTTCTCAGGGTTCATCAAGTAGCCAAAAATGGAAGACAAGTAGCAGCTCAGGGTAGACATGTATCTGGATTGGAGCATGGACGCCTGCCAGTCAGGATCTAAATCACACTGTAGGGCCCACTGCACTTTTCCTAAGGTCCTAAAATCATGGAGCTACTAAAATACTCAGGAAAAGATACCTAAAACTACGAGACATTTAAATAAGCCATAAAATCATGGTGCTCCTATAATCTTTAGGAAAGGGCATTTGAAAATTGGTAGCATTTAAAATCATTTCTCTATCTCATTTCCATTTATTCTTTAAAAAGATTATACTTTTGCTTAATACTCAAAAATATATAATGCAGCTCGGTGCTGTGGCTCACACCTGTAACCCCACCACTTTGGGAAGCTGAGGCAGGCTGATTGCTTAAGCCCAGGAGTTTGAGAACAGCTTGGGCAACACGGCAGACCCCGTCTCCAAAAAAAATACAAAAATTAGCCAGGCATGGTGGTGGCACATGCTTGTGGTCCCAGATACTCAGGAGGCTGAGGTTGGAGGATCACTTGAGCTGAGAAGGTCGAGGCTGCAGTGAGCTGTGATCAAGTCACTGCACTCCAGCCTAGGCAACAGAGCAAGAACCTACCTCAGATAGGTAGATAGATAGATAGATGTGCTGCAGGTATGTTTTTATACTTTCATTTGAGAGAAATAGGACTTTATAGAACAATACGAATTATTTATTTATAAGTCAAATGCAGATTCATACATCATTCATCAATATTTATTACATTCCTAGAATTTTCATGTATTTTAGATACTCGATCTGGTTAAATGTTGCTCCCCTACAAATAGAAAAATAATGTCTATTTGTTAGTTTAAAAGCCCTGGCAGCCAGATGAGGTGGCACGTGCCTAGAATCGCAGCTGCTTGGAAACTGAGACTGGAGGATCACTTGAGGTCAGGGGTTTGGAACCAGCCTGGGCAACAGAGTGAGACCCTATCTCTAAAAAAATAAAAAGTTAGGCAGCCCTAGTGGTGTGCTCTTGTAGTCCTGGCTACCCAGGAGGCTAAGATAGGAGGGTAGGTTGAGACCAGGAGATTGAGGCTGCAGTGAGCTATCATAGCACCACTGCACTCCAGCCTGGGCAACAGTGCGAGACCCTGTCACTGAAAAAAAAAATAACCAAGCACAAGTAACTTACATAGATTAAATTCCAGGAGTGTTAAAGATTTAATTTTGTTTACAATAGTTAATTTATTAGTTGCATATCTAAATTTAAATTGTATTTACATAGCCTGTGCTGCATAAGATATAGCAACACTGCTGTTAACCACATGCACATTTTATAAAACAATTATAGACAATCTGTTCACAACATCTGCAATATCCATGTCTTCTCTAGAAAGCTGCTTTCAAATATCTCATGGCATTTTCTTGGGCACATTATCTTCATATCCATCTAACTTGTTTGACTTTAGTCACTTTATTAATTGGTACCTAATATCATCACAAGAAATGACAAATGACTGTTCACACAGGATTAGGGTCATAATCTTCTCCATTCATCCTGCAGGTATGTAGTGATGACTTTTTTTCACTGTCAACTTCATCATTGAAGACTTGCCAACAGCGACTTCTCGCTTAGATTTAAGTCTTATTCCCAGCAATGATGGCTGAATCTGCATTCAATGTTTTTGCTCCCTTTTCTTTGAACACTCCTTTTCCCTGGTGACCTTTACTAACAGAGAGCATTAGAATCCACTAAGGTTATTTTAGCCAGGTATGTCTTTCTTTTTTGTTGTTGTTGTTTTTTTTGAGACAAGGTCTTGCTCTGTTGCCAAGGCTGAAGTGGCATGATCTCAGCTCACTGCACCTCCACCTCCCGGGTTCAAGTGGTCCTCCTGTCTTAGCCTCCCAAGTAGCTGGGATTACAGGCACCCACCACCATGCTCAGCTAATTTTTGTATTTTTAGTAGAGACGTGGTTTCACCATGTTGACCAGGCTGGTCTCGAACTCTTGACCTCAGGTGATCCACCCACCTTGGCCTCCCATAGTGCTGGGATTACAGGCAACAGCCACCATGCCTGGCCCCAGATATGCCTTTTTCAAGTAGGATTTTTTGTTATAAAAAGTAATTGAGTGATTATTCTGCAGTTGATATTAGGACCCCATGCATTTCATTGCTTTTCTTTGTCTGGGTACAAGGTAGGATTGTATTTCTTCATGACTTTTCTTTTCTTTTTGTTAAAAAATAGACTTTATTTTTTAGACCAGTTTTAGGTACACAAAATAGAGCAGAGAGTACAGAGATTTCCCCCCCTAACCCTCCCCACACACATGCACAGCCTCCGTGATTATCAACATCCCCCACCAAAGTGGCACGCTTGTTACAACTGATGAACCTGCGTTAACACAGCATTTTCACCCAGAGTCCACAATTAGCATTAGGGCTCAATCTTACTGTTGTACATTTTCTCGGTTTGCAGAAATGCATGATGACATAGGTCTACCATCTTAGTACCATACAGAATAATTTCACTCCTCTAAAAATCCTCTATCCTCTGCCTGTTCATCACTCCCTCCCCACAGCCCCTGGCAACCTCCAATCTTTTTGTTATCTCTATAGTTTTGCCTTTCCACAGTGTCATTGATATGGTTTAGCTCTGTGTCCCCACCCAAATCTCATCAAAATGCAATCCCCACTTGTTGAGGGAGGGACCTATAATCCCCACATGTCAAGGGAGGGAAGTGATTGGATTATGGGGGCGGTTCCCCCATCACCTAATAGTTTTATAAATGGTAGTTTTTCCTGCACTCTCACACACGTTCTCTCTCCTGCTGCCATGTGAAGAAGGTCCTTGTTTCCCCTTCCGCAATGATTGTAAGTTTCCTGAGGCCTCCCCAGCCATGTGGAACTGTGAGTCAATTAAACATCATTCCTTTATAAATTACCTAGTCTTGGGCATTTCTTCATAGCAGTGTGAAAACGAACTAATACAGTCATGCAGTTGAAATCACACAGCATATAACTCTTTTAGCCTGGCTTCTTTCACATAGCAACATGCCTTCACATTTCCTCCACGTCTTTTGGTAGCTTGCCTCGTTTATTTTTAGTGCTGGATAATATTCCGTTGTCTGGATGCACCGCAGTTCATTTATCTGTCCACCTATTGAAGGACATCTTGTCAATTATGAATAAAGCTACAATAAATATGCATATGCAGATTTTTGTGTGGACATAAGTTTTCAATTCATTTGAGGAAATACCAAGGGATGCGGTGCTGAATTGTATGGTAATAATGTATTTAGTTTTGTAAGAAACTACCAAAGTGTTTTCCAAAGTGACTGTTCCATTTTGCATCCCCGACAACAGTAAATTACAGGCACTTCTTGATGCTCTTCACCAGAGTTCAGTGTTGTGTCCCATGGTTTTGGACACCATAAAATAAATGCTTAGGCAGATGAAATAGGAGGAAGAAAGTGATGTATACCACTTCTGGGTAGAAGCATTAGGTGGCTGTGGGCAATTCACCATTCTCTCTTTTGTTTGCTGTAGTTCTTCATGATATTCCATGTAGTGTCTGCCCTACCAACCAGAATCCTAGACTGAGGATGCTATAGAGAGGAAACACCATAACAAAACTCAAACTAACACAGAAAATGCATAAAAATCAAATCTTTATTGTTACCAGCCAAGAATATTTGTGGGCTATTTTTCACTGTTGCATAATCTAGGCAGTGTTGTCTAATTTGTACTTAATGTGAACTATTATTAAAGCATTTATCCTTGTCCTGACAGAATTATTTTTGGCGGGAAGGAAAGTAATTGAAATTGTATTCTGACAAATGTTTTAATTTTATCAGCATAATGTTTATATAGGATAGTTATGAGTGTCTCCATTTAATATAAGAGTCTGATACTAAGAAAATAAAATCATGTGCTCATGTACCACAATTTGTTTGAAGCAATTTCTTATACTTTTGTGTCCAAGGTGTTTTCCCTCATTTTGCCATGCTAACGTAGCCGTGCTTTAAATAACAATCAGATGTGACTCTTCCAGCATAGATTTCGAAAGTCAAATGGAAGTTTTACTTCTGTGAATTTTCAAGAACATATTGGAAATGTTGCAGGAATGTCTATGCATATGAATAATGATACACACACAGAGAAATAGGAGATAGAATATTTGGCTTGGATGGTTATGTCAAATGTCTTGAGGAAATAGAGGAAATGATTTAGTGTAGTAGAACATGTTTTTGTCAACATAGTCAAATCAAAGAAAAATGGGTTACCCCGTGTTTATGTTTATTATCTCAAATAAAAATATGGAGAAAGGGTTGCATTCGTTTCACAATGAGGTCCCCAAGGATGAAGTTTGCAGGACAGAGCCCTGTGTTAATGGTTAAACCATCTCTACTGTGGGGTCCGGGGATGAAACGTTAACAAATATGACCAGAATCAGAGTCCTAGAAGACCCCCCAAAGAAAGCCACCTTTTCAGCTTGTTCTGCCTGCCCACATCTGATTCTGAGTTGTTTAATCCAAGATCAACAACTCCTCATCTCATTTGAGCCACAGGATCTTAGGACATCTTTGTTACAGCAGAGCATACCCTACAGAAATACTAAAAACAGGAGCAAGCCATGGGAATGGAAGTGAGGTGTTTCATCTACAAATTGATGTTATAAACTCATTTTATTCCTAGAAAGCTTTTATTGAAATGATTTTGCAAAGTATACAATCAACTTAATCACCTTTCCCTACCCATCTTGACTGGTCACTGAGGAGTTATCTTGGAATAAATGAAACAGTTTAACTGTCTGCTTTTAATTTTTTCTTCATGACAATTTGTGTTTAGAATAAGGGTGGCAGAAGAAGCACAATGATATAAAGTAGACATTTACATAATTGCCACTTGTTAAGGTGAAAATTACCAACAAAGCCCAATATCCCCTAAAACCAAATATCAAAATGTTAATAAGTAGAATGAAATCATTGGCTACTATCGCCAGTGCAATTGTCGACAGCTTGAAAACTATTTCACCTCATTTTTAGTGGCAAACTGTGTGCATGACTTAGTAAATAAGTATAATGTGGGCATTACATAACCTATTTACATATCCACCCAGCTGTTTAATGAGTGTGTGATACAGCTGGTTTCAAACGAGACCTGCAGCCTTCAAGAAACTTTAGTAATATTCTAATGATTAAACAAAATAAAAATTTTTTTTGAGATGGAGTCTCACTCTGTTGTGCAGGCTGGAGTGCAGTGGCATCATCTCAGCTCACTACAACCTCTGCCTCCCAAGTTCAAGCGATCTTTCCGCCTCAGCCTCCCGAATACCTGAGATTACAGGTGCGTGCCACCATGCCCGGCTAATTTTTGTATTTTTAGTAGAGATAGGATTTCGTCATGTTGGCCAGGCTGGTCTTGAACTCCTGACCTCAAGCGATCTGCCCGCCTCGGCCTCCTGAAGTGCTGTGATTACAGGTGTGAGCCACTGTGCCTGGCCGACAAAATATAATTTTTAAAAGATGTTTCTCATCTGTTGTCTTATAAAGGTATCCTTAAATAATCTGAAGCTACATATATTCAATTAGAATAACCAAATACGTTTAAGATAATTTTATCAAATGATGTAATTTTTTTACATTACAGGATCATGCCTGTAGTCCCAACACTTTGGCAGGTCCAGGCAGGAGGATTGCTTGAGCCCAGGAGTCCGAGACCAGCTTGGGAAACGTAGTGATTCCTTGTCTCTATTAAAAATAGTTTTACAAATTAGCCATGGTTGGCTACTCAGGATGCTGATGGGGGAGGATTACCTGAGCCCTGGAGGTCAAAGCTGCAGTGAATTCAAATTACACTTTACTTGCAGCTCTTCACATTTTTATGTTTTTAAATTTTAATCACTACTTACCTAAATATGTATTTATTGTACACTCCAAAAAGTTATTAATTGTGGTTATTTTTCCAGTCCCACTCTGATTGCCTCTTTAAAACTCAAGCAAGAAATACATTTGTATTTGTTTTTTATCATTAATGTACTGGCCAATGCTAATTAAATGTCACGGGAGTCAGAGAATTTTTCTGTAAGATACTATATTTCTGGACTTTGAGGCTTTGTTGGAGGCTTACCTCAAGGTAAATTTTATGATGCTATGCCTTTTTATAAAAAGAAATGTGTTTATTCAATCTTTTTAGTAAATGTGTGTGTGTGTGTGTGTGTGTGTGTGTGTGTGTGCGTGTAGGTATATTTTGGGGGTATATATTTATATAGAGAGCATAGATAACTTAAAATTTCATATATATAGGAGTTATAGCTACGTAAAAGTAGAATTTCTGGGTCATGGAATATATCTGTGTTCCACCTTTTTTTTTTTTTTTTTGAGACCTCTGTCTCCCAGGCTGGAGTGCAGTAGTATGATCAGGGCTCACTGCAGCCTGGACCTCCTGGGCTCAATGGATCCTACCACCTCAGCCTACTGAGTAGGTGGTACTCCAGGCATGTGCCACCATATGCAGCTAATTTTTGTATTTTTTGTAGAAATGGGGTTTTGCTATTTTGCCCAGGCTGGTCTCGAACACCTGAGCTCAAGCAATCCTCCCACTTAGGCCTCCGGAAGTTATATGTTCAATTTTTGTTAATGCAGACAAAATTTTTTTCTAAGGTCACTATTCCAATTCGAATGTAAGTCATCAGCATGTCAGAGGTTTAATTAGATTGTCAGTCTTTTAAATTTCAGATACTTTGGTAGGTGAGGGCTTAGTATAATTTTAATACAGATTACACAGATGTCTAGTGATAATGTTTTGATATTCCACCTAGGGAAGTCCTTGGGTGGTGTTGTTTTCTTTTTCTTTTTTTGCTGTTTTTATTAAGTATTATATACTTGATTTAAAATAGTATGTCATCGTGAATGCTGGATATGGTCACATTTTTTAAGTAGATGTAATATTAAGTTCAATTGCAGACATAATCTACTTTCAGTACCTTGTGTTTGTACTGTTTCAATGGTATTGATTGAAAATCAAACTTTCCAAATATTAAAGTGGTTAAATTTATCACCCCTGTCTTTTCTTTGCAAAGCTTTTTCGTGTTATTTTAATAAATTTTTGCTTAAACCTGGCTGTTCTGCCTATGGAGTAGCCATTCTTCTGTTCTTTTACTTTCTCAATAAACTTGCTTTCACCCACAATCAAAAAATTTGCTTAATCTTTGTTGAATAAAATACCATCCAATATTACCATCTAAATATCATTTTCATTTTCATGTGTACACCTAAAATTCAAGCAGATTTTGGGGGAGTGGGGATAAAGTATAACATAATTTTGGTTTTTTTCTGTACCGAATTTTCCTCTATCATTTACTAAAACAACTGGCTTTTTAAAAATTATCTATAATCCAATGTTTGTCATAAATTAGGCAATCATAATTTTTCATTTTTTGTCTATCTCGACTCAAAAGTTTACTGTCTTACTCAGAAATTAGTGGAAGTCTTATTATATTTGTTTTGCATGCAATGCCATATTTTTCTCCAGCATTTTTTAGACTTTCTTTTCTGTTTGTTCTATTTTGCTTTTTTAATAACCTGTTTACTATTGTGATGTGCTTATTGTATATTTCTTTATATTTAACTTTACTGGTGTTTGTATCTTGGATTTGTCCGTGACTTCAGTTAATAGTGTTAAAATATTTTCAGAGATTATCTTTTCAAACTTGGGTTCTCCTTTCTCTCTCTCTTTCTCTCTCTCTCTCTCTCTCTCTCCTAGGACTCCAGCTATATGTATCTTACATAACTTCTCTACGTTTCAAATAGATCTTACTTCTCCCCTCTACTTTATTATCTTTTTGTCTCTGTATGCTTCTTTTCCTTAATTAATTCTCTCTTCTGTAATTAATCTTTTGTCAATTTCATTGTTTTAGTTTTCAATTCAAGAATTTCTACCCCATATTTTCCTCTTTCTAGTGCCCTGCTGATAATCCTTACCACAGAATTTCTTAAACATTTTAATCACAGATATCTAGAACTTCTATCGCAATTTAAGTATGCTACTATTTCCATCTATTATCTTTCTGAGTCTACCTTCATTTCAGCCATGTGTTATTATTTCCTCTTACAGCAGGTAATTCCTGATTAAATGCTGATACTGCTTAAAATAATTTTGAGAGATAAAATTTCACTTAAGATGCTATTATCTTTCTCCAAAAAGATTCTATTTATTTCCTTGATCTAATTGTCATATGGACATATTAAAAGCTGGTTTTGGCTGGGTGTGGTGACTCACACCTGTAATCCCAACACTTTGGGAGGCCAAGGTGGGTGGATCACCTGAGGTCAGGAGTTCGAGACCAGCATGGGCAACATGGTGAAACCCTGTGTCTACTAAAAATACAAAAATTAGCTGGGCGTGGTGGCAAGTGACTGTAATCCCAGCTACTTGGGAGGTTGAGGCAGGAGAATTGCTTGAACCCAGGAGGCGGAGGTTGCAGTGAGCTGAGATCATAGCAAGATTCTGTCAAAAAAAAAACAAACAAAAACAAACAAAAACAAACAAACAAACAAAAAACCTGGTTTCATTCATTGACAAGACTCATATATTTATCTCCTTCTGGTTCACTTCTGCTCCCATAGCACAGTCTGTCAGAATTTCAAAATAGAGCTTGAGATGTTCACTAGACCCTGTTCTATGACAGAACCTCATGCTCAGATTTTGTCATTTTGCTACAAGGTAAATACCCATGGCTTTGCTGGGATCTTCAGACTCTTAGATAATGTTTGTCTTAACTGCCACTGGTGAATCATAAACACCTTGAACATTATATTAAGGTGAGATACTGAGTTGAACTCTATGGGTCTCTCAGATCCCCGCCATCTGGGTAGACGTTGGATACCTTCAAAAAGAAGTTTTTTTCTTCCTCCTACAATTATAGAGAAGCTGCTCACAATTCTAGGTTGGATGCAAAATTACAGTGATTAAAATAAAAAGGAATAAGAGCAAATCTGTTTGCTCATGGGGGATTGTTGCCCGAATTCCTTCCCTATGTGGTGGGAAAGTTGCAACTTCCACCTGTTAATGCCTATCTAGAGTCCCATTTCCCCCATTCTCTCTTGCCTTCAGCTCACTCTTAAAACTTTGACTTAGAGTATACTGAGTTCCTAATAACTATAGATTTTCCTGTCTTGATATTGAGTTGATGACCTGAATGCATTATTACATATTTCTAGTACTTGTTTGTGTTTGAAATGAAAGGGAAGATTTCCTGATCAATTCAGTTCATTGTATCCAACAGAAGTTAACATGATTTTGTCCAATTTTATAGGTCTTCAAATATGTATTCAATTCGTTTCAATTTTATATAAAAAAATATAAGTACTTTAAGATTTACTTCTGCACTAGAAGATTCAGTAATTAAACCACACATTTTGAATATCTGAGCTCATTTGACTCAACAAAGAGAAAGAAATTTTCCACAAATGTTCTCTACAGTAAATGTTCTCATGGATTTTTAACTACTTATTTTTTCTCTCTCTCTCCACACACACACACACACACACACACACACACGTATTTCTAGCTTTGCAAAATGAACAGCACAGTTGTTTTTGGCACTGGGTGAATCTACTTAGGAGAAAGACAGTCACAGAGAAGAATCAAATGCCATCATCAAGAATCTGGTGACAAGATATTTGGGTAATAGTTTATTTTGAAAGTAACTAGATAATGTGCAGAAACATAGACAAGACTATCAACTCTCCCCGATAAGTTAAATAGAAAACAACAAATATTTTATACCTGTGTTACAGAATATACTCATTGCAAAAGGCCAGAATTGAGGCATATATCTCTGTTTCTAACATCTAAATAAATTGAAATTTGTAGTTTATTTACTTTGAATAGCTTTGTAAAGGTTTTAATTCTTTTTTTAAAAGTTTATACAAAATAACAACACTTAATGATTGGTATGGTATACTGTATTTTTTAAATTATTATGCTTATTATTGTTTAACCAACAATTAGTTGTTTATTTGTTTGTTTTGGTTTCATGTCATAAAATTTCTACAGCTTGGAATGTGTAGTGTTTGAATATTCCTGCTATGTGAGAGTCTGATGCCACAGTTTATCACAGTTTAGGTGATACATATTTGCAAACATGTTCCTGGGTACCATCTTTTTCCCATTTCCACCTTCTCTATTACTAACAAGCAAGAAAGATATATTCTTTCATTCACATGAACATTAAAACAACAACTAAATGCAGCATAAGTATTCTCAATTTAGAAAGCAATTGGAAAATTTCAGTTAGGTTATTTTTATGATAATAATAAATTGGTAGGCTAGACCAACATAATTAAAACATCAAATGACAAGAAATTATCATAGATGGGATGACAGAGGTACAGAAAATATAAAAGATTAACATCTAAAAGAATTAACAAATCATGAGAATAATTAAAGGAGAAGAAACAAGAACCAAACTTTTAAATCTCCAAGAAGAAAGAAGCTGAAGAAAGGAAGAATGTTTGAAGTTGAGAAGACCCTTAGAGTTGGTTTAAAGGATTATGGAGCCCGGGGCATTGAGTTCAGGAAACAAAATGGAATCATTACCTCTTAACTCAATATACTTGACTCGGTGAACAAAAGCCTTTTTCACATTTCTTCTTTTCATAAACTATAAAGTCGCTGAGCAGGAAACAGTTGCAACCTGCTGAGAATCTTTAAAGTTTAAACAGCCTTATTCTCAGAGATGAGAACCTCTGTAGGTAAGGAAGAAGAGCTGTCAAATATGTCCTCAAGGTTTCCTGAAAATGTAAGGAAAAATAAGCACAAAGCCTTTGGTGGAAGTGATAATTCCTGCTTTCAGTTTCCCCCACAGATGAGCTAATTATCTCTGTCTTGGTGATCAAACTTGTTTAAGTATGTGTATGTTCCTCGGCCTCCCTCCTGCCCCACTCCACTGAAAAATTCTTTAATAAGCCTCCCTTATTTTGTGCTTAAAAGGACAAAATTCCTGTACATGTACTACCTGAATGTACCACGCTTTGTAGCTTGAAAATATTTTGATTTTTTAACCATCTCCAAAATTATTTTATCTGCCTTCACCCCCCAAAAATCTGCAAGTAATTAAAACACACAAAAACACTTCCAAGGGTCTTTGAGTAACAATAACTATTCTTGAATCAATTTGGAATTCAAGTTTCTTTCTACCACATTTTCAACAAAGTCTGAATATGCTAGTTTAAGAATGGAACAAATGATAAGCCTATTATTACAATTTATGTCACCCAGGACTTTCATTTCACTGTAAGCAGCTGTTCGTTTATTTGTGTCTTCATAAATGCCAGCCCTGAGACTTTACATCTTGAGAGATGGGGGATTACTGGCAGCATTTTTAGCATGTGAAACATTAATTAAAGCAAAGTCACATTTAGGATTATAGTGAGGAAAAAAGAGAAAGGAACCAGTTAGGCAGATAGCTAGGACAGGTCCTTGGTAGAATTCCTTTTTTTCTAACAAAGGATCAGCCCAAAGGATCAGGCTGCAAGCTTAGATAAGGAGACAAAGTCCACCATAAAGATGCCTTCTGTGTAACTAGCAAGGGTCATGTATACACAGTAGGCTTCAGTGAGCACATTGCTTTCCTTTTTTGGACATAGTTATATAAGGGAATTTGCACAGGGAAGGGTGGAAATGTGGAATGTGGATTGTGGGAGGGGTGGGGGAGTGGGCTGGGGCTTGCTTGAAACATGCCTAAGAGGAGTAACACAGAACCCAACATGTCCACAATGGAGAATTCCACCCACTTACACACATGCAGTAAGGGAAATTAAACAACATGGAGTAACGTAGGCTAAGAGTCCGCATGCACATTAGAAGGACAGTAAGGAGCTGTCAGGAATTTGCACCTTATGCTAATGAAACCCCTAGTCCTAACTTGTTATTTGCACCTTACTCATCCCATGAGACTGTTTATAAAAGCCCTTGTATTTGACTGTGGAACAGCAACCCTCTTTTGTGCCCCCTCTCCATTGCAGATAGCTTTCTCCTTTTGCTCATTCAACTTTCACTCCAACCTCACCCTTGTGTCCATGTTCCTTAATTTTATTGATCTTGAGGCAAAGAACTCTGGGTCCTACTTCAAACAAGAAAACTGAAACATTGCGGCACATTGGCAAAGCTGCTACGGTAGTTTCAACAAAAAGAAATAAGAGGAGTTAGTGAATCTCAAGGTGGTTATGGAAAATTGAAGAGTGTGATTCCTACTGCAATCACCCAAGTATAAGTGCAATATTATGCCGACATATAGAGAAACTCCTGAAAAATCATTATTTGATACTGAAAGAATATAAGATGGAGATTTCAGTGAAACAAGCTATTCAAACCAATCATCCATTCTTCAGAACGCTCCACATCAGGGAAATATTAGAATTTTATTTACATTGCTCTGGGATCATTTTCTTGCTAGTTATCTTAGCTCTATATTTAATTTTTAAAAAGCTTTTCACTAGCATTGTTTATAATACAGATATGATGATGGACCATCCCAACTCTGTGTTTCCCAGTGCATAAAGACAATTATTTTATTTGAAAAACTACAATTCATGCTTTGTGTTTTCTTTTCTCACGTTGTATTACTTTGTCAAATTTCAAAGGTGGGGTCTTGTCCATCTTTGAATATACCAATATATATCATAATGTACTATTGTCCAGAAATTAGTAGATGCTTAAGAGATTATTGTAGAATATTTTCATACTGGTGAAGTCCAATATACTCTGAAAAACTTGTCTCATTTGACTTCACATTCATTTAACGGATATTTATTCAGCACTTTCTGAGAGCATTCCATTAATGCAGAATAATACAATGAGCAATTAAAAAGAATCTTTTCTCTTTCCGAGTTTACATTTTAAGTCAGCATAGGCAGAGAACATTATTCCCAGTGGAGGATGTGCCTTCTGCTGGTATTTTCTCATTTCTTTCATATTGAAGCATCATCATCTTATGGTCTTCTAATTATTTCCATTTTTCTTACTCTGTGCCATCTTCCATTGCTCCTTGTTTTTGACCCACACCGACACTATTGGCCATCTTGTAACCACCCAACAGGTTCACCTTGCCTGCTGCCTAGACAGAGCTGATTTATTGAGACAGAACAATTGCAATGGAGAAAGAGTAATTCACACACAGCTGGCTGTGTGGGAGATGGGAGTTTCATTATTACTCAAATCAGTCTCCCAGAGCATTCGGGGATCAGAGTTTTTAAGGATAACTTGGTGGGTAGGGGCTTGGGAAGTGGGGGAAGTGCTGATTGGTCAGGTTGGAGAGAGAATCATAGGGCATCAAAGTGAGCTTTTCTTGCTGTCTTCTGTTCCAGGGTGGGATCACAGAACTGGTTGAGCCAGATTAATGGTCTGGGTAGTGTCAGCTGATCCTTTGAGTGCAGGGTCTACAAAATATCTCAAGCACTGATCTTAGGTTTTACGACAGTGATATTATCCGCAGGAGTGATTTGGGGAGGTTCAGACTCTTGCATCCAGAGGCCACATGGCTCCCAACCATAATTTCTAATTTGTAGCTAATTTGTTAGTCATACAAAGGCAGACTGGTCCCCAGGCAAGAAGGGGGTCTTTTCATGAAAGGGCTATTATCAGTTTTGTTTCAGAGTCAAACCATAAGCTCAATTCCTCCCCAAGGTTAGTTTGGCCTATGCCAAGGAATGAACAAGGACAAGTTAAACGTTAGAAGCAAGATGGAGTCAGTTAGGTCTGATCTCTGTCATAGCCATAATTTCCTCAGCTATAATTTTTGCAAAGGCGGTTTCAATCTCTTCTACCCTCTCTCTGCTTCTTCTCTATATTCCCCTGGTGCTGACCTCAAAGACCCTGGTTTCCCAAACCACCTTATACCAATGGTGTCTAAACATCTAGGAGCTGCATGGATTTCAGCTCCCTTTATTCCAAACCACATTACCCCTCTGCCTACTGGACTAGCTCATAGGCTTGCATCTCAAAATCACCATACACAGATTTGTAGCAATCTGCATCCCTTCAAATAAGCTCCTTTACTTTATTTCTTCACCCAGTGAAAAACCACTAGAGTCATTGTTGCTCCTGCTATCTGCCGAATCTTGTGCACCCAATGATTTGGTAAATCTGCCAAACCTCTGTCATTATCATGTGTCCCATTTTCTCATTTTCTCCCTATCCCCAACCATACACTTTGTTAAAAGCCTCATTATGACTTTCCTAGACTAAAAAGTATAGTCAACTAATACATCACTCTACCTCAGCAACACAGGTTGTTTATTCAAACTTTATAGTGCCTGCCAAGCACATATGCTCATACCCTTGTTGAAAATGGCCAAATTTCAATAAGTGGCAATGATATGGACAGGAGGCAGGGAAATACTGGGTAGAAGAGGGCGGTTCCCCAATAAAGGCCCCACCCACAAGCCTGGGCCCACAGCCCTAAATGAGAACTTCGCATCCCTGTTTTCCTGCCTGAATGTTGCTTTTTCCAAAACCACCCTGGCCCACCACACCCCCCATCCTGTACCCATAAAAACACCAAGCTCCACTGGCAGAGGAACAGAGTGATGTGGCAGGGAAGGAGGGAAAAGAAGAAGCATCTGAATGTTGAGAGGAGTTTGGCTCAGGACCATTGGAGAGGAGTTCTGCCTGAGATGGCTGAACTCCAGGGGAAGATTCTCTTCCCACTCCATCCCCTTTCCGGCTCCCCATCCCACTGAGAGCCACCTCTATTACCCAATAAAATTTCCGAATTCACCATCCTTCAAGTCCATGTGACCTGATTCTTCCTGAATGCTGGAAAAGGACCCAGGTGCCAAGAGGGCAGGGTGTAAAAGGCTGTCTCCCTGACCTTCCACTGAGCTGATTAACACTTAGCCATCTGTGGATGGTATCTGCTGAAAGAGCATTAATTGTAACACACCCCTACATGCTGCCATGTGGTCAGGGCCCAGAAACACTGTCCCCAGCCCAGGCACCAGCTTGCCTGCATGCTCCTCCTCCAGCAAGGGGTTTGAGCACGGCAGCCGAGTAAGCGAGCCACACCCCTGTTGCAAGTCCCATGAAGGGGTGCAGGGAACTCTCCCATCTCAGCAATATTTGTTATTCATGAGGTCATGTATTTACTCATGTACTTCTTTACAAAATAAGCCTTGTGTATTATGGCTGGTCCAACATACAGAATAATGATGATCAGAAAGGTGAAATTAGTGAGCACCAGATAGAGTTTGGCATTTTCATCTATGATGACCATCATCTTAGCAATAGTTGGTGACAAAATTTAACTGAGCTATCAAAGATTTTGAAACATATTTCTATGTAGGGGGCTTATAATTATTTATAATAATACTAATGTGTAAGAACAATGACCAACCATATTTATTTAGATACACCAAACTACTTTGTGTCTCTTGTTCATTATCTAATTCTATGGAAGTCACCTCTCATCAGTCGTGGTTAGACATCTCCCTGAGTAGCATACTTCAATGTCTTTATATTAATAAAACAAAGTCACTGCAGTTACTATCTCTCATTGGGTGTCATACACTTTTATTTTAAAAAGGTGATTTAACGTAGTTTGCAAGTAGAGAATTTGCTGATTGAACAAATCCTTCATTTACCTCTTTAAACAAAACATGTAAGATCCATGTGGCTAATATCCTAAGAAATAGAGGGAGATATTACCCAACCTTCATGAGTACTGAGAAGGTTAAAGATGATTTCTCTAATGTTTAGCACAGTGACTTGTACATAGTAGGTTCTTAATAAGTTACAATACCTTCACACAAATTTTATTCTGAGTTAGATCCTGGCTATGTTTTTCTTTATGAATTCTGTTCTCCAAAAAGGTGTATTTCATCTCAGGTGTAACTCAGAATGATGTGCTTTGAGTATTATACATGAATTCCTTGAGAAATGCTGTATATTATTTTAATTATTCATCTAAACTTTATCCTCATAATCTTGAAGGTAAAAGGGAGTGAGTTGTTAAAAAGATCAGAAGAATAATTTCAGTTGTAGGCCACGGGCATGAAATTTCAAGGATGGTCAAGTTTCAGTTTGAGTTGAGTTGGATACTTTATGCTGTGATTATTCTTAAGGTCATTTTAATCACAGAGCAGTAAAGTTTGATTTGGTAATGTTTCACAGTAAAACCACTGATGTTACAAATGGGAAAATGTTTCTGTGAAGGCCAGTAACAAAACATGTCTGCTCGGAGCAAGGATGGCCAGCGGGAGAGGTACTAAATGTGATAGTAAAATACTTGAAGTAGAGAATAATTCATTAAACCATGATATTTCAAAATAGAAGAGGTAGGGAACATTTTAATTTTATGCTATTATGTGTATGGTAACAAGTGAGCTTTAGAATTTAACTTGAAATGTGCTTTCTTATTCATACCTACCTGAGTCAAGGAAACGGGAACTGAAGATAACTCGCATTCCAAAAAGGCTATAAATTTCCCTTTAAGGCTGGAACATCTAAGTATTTAAAAGTCTAAGGCTTATAGAGAAAGATAGGGGAGCAAACTCATATTTACCTTGCCGTCCTTTCTGAAATCCATAACAATAAAAATCATAAAAGAAAAAAAAATAACTCCATCTAAAATGTAATTAGGGATTGGCCCAGAGCCCAAAGCCCAGGTTGTAAACCAGATCTGTACGGGAGCAAGACACAGACAAAATCAAAGTAGGAAGAATGCAATTCTCCCATTATTTTCTGGGGCTGAACATTTATTCCTACCGAAATAAGTCAAGAAAAACCTTCCCATAGGATTTTACCTCAAAAGATGAGGATTCTGGGTGAAAAAGCCTATGGGAGAAGAGGAAACTGCATGAATGACCTAATTTAACCATTATTACATTCTCACTCTTTCCCTTCCTCACTTTCCCCTACATCTTTCAATTTCTTTATTTTTTTAAGCAGTTATTCACTTTGTGTAAGGCTCTGAGTTAACCAACTCTTGGATGCCAGATAGACTGATCTACAACAGAATATGTCAAAGTTTATGCTAGATGTTCCTAAGCTTCACTATCACATGAAGGGGTCCAATTTTTCACTCAGTTACCCCAAATCAAAACAAACTCCTCATACTCCGTGGTCAATCCTTCAGCCATTCCTATTAGGTCTACCACCAAAATACTCCTCTCTCACCACTCCATGACTACCACTGCCCTTGACACAGCCAAAGCAATGCCATGTTTCACTGGAGTATCAAAAAGAACTCCTAAGCAGTCTGCTTGCTGTCAGGAAATCACCCCCACATCCTTCATTTTCACCCCTCCAATGACTATAGTCCCACCCAGATGAAATTCTGATTCCTTAATAAGTCCTGCACAAACCCAAATTACTCAGACCTCCATATCTTTCTGTCCTCTTCATGTACCCCAATCTTCAAATCCTTCAATCTGCCCTTGTATTAGTCCATTCTCATGCTGCTAATAAAGTCATACCCAAGACTGGGTAATTTATAAAGAAAAAGAGGTTTAATAGACTCACAGTTCTCACGGCTGGGGAGGCCTCACAATTATGGCCAAAGGCAAAGGAGGAGCAAAGGCATGTCTTACATGGTGGCAGGCAAGAGAGAGTGTGCAGGGGAACTGCCCTTTATAAAACTATCAGATCTCATGAGACTTATTCATTATCACTAGGAAGGCACAGGAAAACCCCGCCCCCATGATTCAATTACCTCTCACCAGGTCCCTCCCATGACACATGTGGAATATGGGAGCTACAATTCAAGATGAGATTTGGTTGGGGAAACAGCTAAACCCTATCAGCCCTGTCAACCAATTCTGCTTACCAGCTGTGTGCAGCTGTGTCTCTAGTTTCTTATCTAGTTGTTAAGTTGGCCCATGGATATTTGACCCTGGCTTTCAGGTGAGAGGTCAATGCTGAAGTTATCATTGGGGAGTCACTGGAGTATTATGACATTTGAATGCATGTAGCACTAACAGATCACCAGGGGTAAGTGCAGAAAGGCTAAGAAAAGGAAGTCCTTCACAAAGGAGGCAGTAATCTTATCTGACAATGGTAATCAAAATAACAATAATAGTAAATAATGATAGTCTTGAATAGAACACTATGTGCATGATTCATCTGTATAACAAAACTGAATGAATGCATTATTTTTATTTCACCAGTGAGAAATTATTAACTACAGATACAGAGTACTTAAGTCAAAAAGGCATAGCTGGTAAATGGAGGAGGTGGACTTTAATCCAAGACAGTTTCCATAGTACAGTCCCTCCCTTGCTCTGCTATAATATCTCTCAAATATTGCTCCTACAGGCTGAATTGCTTCTGGGTGAGGCCATAAGAGAGCAGGGTTGGCAGATCCAGGTGGAGCCATAGGTGTCACACATGAAAAAAACTGGAAAGATATCTCTCAAAAAGGCAATCTACACTAGTGGTGTTATTTGCAGGAGTAATTGGGGAAGGTGCATATCTTATAACCTCCAGAACAATGGCTGGATGTCTGCACCTTTGGAAGACTCAGGCTTCTCGCATCTTCGCAGCCTGATGGTTTCCCATTAGCTTTACAAAAGTGATTGAGTCTTACGCAAGGTCTATTATCATTTAAACTATAGCCTAAATGTGTTCCAAAGTTAGCTTGGTCCAAAAACTCTGGAATATTTAAGGGAAAGGCAAGATGGTGGGGTGAGTTAGCTTGGATCTCTTTCACTGTCATAATTTTCTCACTGATTAAATTTTTGTAAAAGTGGTTTCGTGAACTGGCATGGGCTTTGGGCAGAGGGACATAACTGAAGAGAAATAGAACAAGAGAGTGGAGTGTATTGTAAAAAAGTAATTACAAAGCTGGACCAGGAAAGTAAATTGAGTAAACAGGAAAGTGAGGTCATTCAGAGGTGAGGGGTAATGAAAAGGTGAGATCATTGAATTGGAAGTCCTGATAGCATTAGCAGAGTTAGCTGGATGAATAAGAAGTGATATTCAGAAATGCAGATGCATGAATTGGTGATTTAGAAACAAACAAACAAAAAAAAAACAAGGCTGGGCTTGGTGGCTCATGCCTGTAATCCCAACACTTTGGGAGGCCAAGGCGGACAGATCACGAGGTCAGGACTTCAAGACCAGCCTGGCCAACATGGTGAAACCCCATCTCTACTAAAAAATACAAAAATTTGCCGGATGTGCTGGTGTGTGCCTATAATCCCAGCTACTCAGGAGGCTGAGGCAGGAGAATCGCTTGAACCCGGGAGGCAGAGGTTGCAGTGAGCCGAGATCGTGCCACTGTACTCCAGCCTGGGCGACAGAGTGAGACTCTGTCTCAAAAAACAAAAACAAAAACCAACAAGGCCAGGCACAGTGGCTCACGCCTGTAATCCCAGCACTTTGGGAGGCCAAGGTGGGCGGATCACAAGGTCAGGAGTTCACGACCAGCCTGGCCAACATAGTGAAACCCCGTCTCTACTAAAAATACAAAAATTAGCCAGGTGTGGTGGCATGTGCCTATAGTCCCAGCTACTTGGAAGACTGAGGCAGCAGAATCGCTTGAACCCGCGAGGCGGAGGTTGCAGTGAGCCAAGACCACGTCATTACACTCTAGCCTGGATGACAGAGTGAGATTCTGTTTCCAAAAAAAAAAACCACATTAACCACATTATGTCTGTATTATTTATTCCTAATGCCTATGTTAAAGCAATAGGAGGAGTGAGAAGTTCTTGTGTGTAAAAACAAAAAAAAATCTTTGGAAGTCGGAAGTTCAAAGAACTGAGAAGCCAGAATTTGTAGGTGATTACGTATGTGGAGATTACAATCATTACAAAATTACGTATGTGGAGATTACAATCATTACAAAAGATTGCAAAGGTAAAAGGCTAAAAGAAACAGAGTAAGCTTGTTTAGTCCTTTTAGGATACTATAACAAAACACCGTGGACTAGGTATCTTATAAACAACAGACATTTATTGCTCACAGTTCTGGAGGCTGGAATTCCAAGATCAAGTCGGGGCAGATTCAGTGTCTGGTGAGAACCCACTTCCTGGTTCACAGATGGAGCCTTCTCACTGAGTCCTCACGTGGTAGAAGGGGCAAGGAAGCTCTCTGGGTCCTCTTTTATGAGGGCACTCGTCCCATTCATGAGACTCCACCCTCATGACCTCCCAAAGGCCCCACCCCTACTATATTCTCACAGGTGAGTATTTCAAATTATGAATTTTGTGGTCGCAGCAACATACTAAAAGTCTTTAATGAATGAGGAAAGGCCAAATGATTGCAAATTGTATAGTAACCTTTATAAAGAGGTAGTGTGTGTATAGGCTGATAGTACATGCTTTAAATTAGCTAGTTGTTATATGGTAGAAGGAAAGAAATATTGTCTAGAATTGGCATTGAAAAAAAAATCCAGCACTATGGTACGTAAGGTGTAAAAGTAAAAAGAACCTACCACTTAATATGATTTCATTCCAATATTCTCAAGGGGTATCCATGCGCTGGTTATGAGAAATTCTGTACAGGCCAGCATTAATTATGAATAAAATGCAGGTGCTAATTGAGGACTCTGGAAAGCTTCAAATAGAGACAATCACATGAGTGCCACGAGGTTATCTCTTAGGATGTTACATACATATACAATTAAAATGAGTTTTTTTACTGACTCTCACCGCTTTCCTTAAAATTAAATTTTCAAGGCTGACCGCTTTTCTGTCTGCTAGCTAATCAGTATTTCTACAAATCTACAGCATGACCAAATGTTCTTGACTCTAATTATTTGCCTTCCCTTTCTCTTATAAGCCTGATTTTGCTTTTGACCACTGACAACTGATCTAACATCTCTGTCATTTATACGTGACCCAATTATTACTATCCAGATAAACATCTCTGAGTTATTCTTTGACAGTCTATATTTGAGATTTTAAAATATCAGTCACTGCACAAAAGTTTCTATTATGGTTGTCAACAGAGTATGTAACCTTCGATTGTTCCTCACCCAAACCTCCACCCCTTGAGTTTTCTGGTCACCTTCTTACGGCTCATCTGTGAATTTCAATTAAGGTGATTGAGCGTGTTGGCTTCTAAGTCATGAATCTGGTTGTTAGCCAAGTGTATTCTTAGAATTGATTCTCGTTTGCACATAGCTGATTATCTGTCTACACTGGTGGCAGTAGTAGAGAAAGACTTTTAAATTAGTTTGTTTTGTGTATTTCATCAGTAGGTTTATGTGGATATTTAAGGTAGTAGAGAACACAGAATTTAGTTTCAATTTGCATTTCTGTGTGTTTGCCTTGATAATTCTGGTATCTCCTGGTATTTGAGAATATGTGGTTGAGAAGTTGTTACAGTTTTGTGTTTCAGGCCAAATAACCCTCTGTGAGTTCATGTATGTGAGTGTACTCATGCTGTTAGAGTAGGTAGTTAGGCAGACAAGAGTAGCCTGGAGAGGCCCCTCTCCCCTGCTGGGAATGTCAGGTGACCATCAGGTGATGGTAAGGTGGTTGTTAAACTCTCTCTCTAAAATAATAATTGGTCACAGCCAGCACCAAGGAAAGGTAGTCTCCCAATAGAGAGAAAACACCTGAAGCTGGTTGTCAGCAGCTTCCCAATAAGGTCTCATGAGCTGGGCAAGAGGGCTCAAGCATGTGCACTAAAAGGCAAAATGGCGGAGGAATTTAACTTGTATATGACCTTCCTGCAGGAACATTTGACTGGTTAGGGAAAAATGCCTCAACTGAGCATGCACACAACTTCAGTAGACACACTGTGCATGCGGACCCTCCCAAGTGCTGGCAGGGCACTGCACATGCCGACAGCCTGCCCCAAGGGAAAAATCAAGGGAGGAAAAACACAAACCCTGAAGCCATGCCAATGTATACAACCCCAAGTCCAGGGCTGAACCGGGCACTTGGATCTCTCAAGTCACCCACTTAGCCCTCTTCCAAGTGTATTTTGCTTTCTTTACCTCCTGCTCTAAATTTTTTTTTTTTTTTTTTTTGAGACGGAGTCTCCCTCTGTCGCCCAGGCTGGAGTGCAGTGGCGCGATCTCGGCTCACTGCAAGCTCCGCCTCCCGGGTTCACGCCATTCTCCCGCCTCAGCCTCCTGAGTAGCTGGGACTACAGGCGCCCGCCACCACGCCCGGCTAATTTTTTATATTTTTAGTAGAGACGGGGTTTCACCATGTTAGCCAGGATGGTCTCGATCTTCTGACCTCGTGATCCACCTGCCTTGGCCTCCCAAAGTGCTGGGATTACAGGCGTGAGCCACCACGCCTGGCTTCTCTAAATCTTTTTAATAAACTTTCACTCCTGCTCTCAAACTTACCTTGGTCTCCCCCTCTGCCTTACACTCCTCAGCCAAATTCTTTTCTGTGAGGAGGCAAGGACTGAGTTTGCTGCAGACTCGTATGGATTTGCCACTGGGAACAATGCAACCGCTTCATCTAACCGTACGCATTTCAGAGCCTGTTCCTTCTCCCAAGCTTTAGTGTTTACGTTTACTCACTGTCAGCTCAATAATTATCAGGATCTACAAAATACGATTTTTATATCAAGGATAGTCTTGATATAGCATAAATCCAGAAGAAGCTATTGGCTGTAATAAAGCATTATACCTATAGAAGGCCTCACAACAGAAAGAAAAACAACTCTAACATCCTGTGAATAATCTTGGACAAGTACATCGACAGTCTTCAACTCAAAATGGTTAGGCTGAAGATTTTTTGCCTTTACAATGGTACAAAATGGATATGCATTCAGTAGAAACCATACTTCGAGTATCCATACAACCATTCTGTTTTTTATGTTCAGTACAGTACTCAATAAAATTACATGAATTTGTCAACACTTTATCATAAAATAGGCTTTGAGTTGGATGATGTTGCCCGATGGTAGGCTGATATAAGTGTTCTGAGCATGTTTAAGGTAGATTGGGCTAAGCTATGATGCTTGGGAGGTTAAGTGTATTGAATGCATTCTCAACTTATACATATTTTCATTACAGTGGATGTATCAGGACATAAGCCCATTGTAAGTTGACGAGCATCTTTCTAGTGTATAATCTAAACAAGCAAGTTACTAAAAATGAAGATCATGGCAGGCCCCTTGAAATAAGGGCAATGAAATTAATGACGAGAAACATACCTTTAGAAATTACATACATAATTTTTAAAATAGAGGCTCTGGTAGTCAATAAAACTAGTACTTAATAATCACTCAAATCCTGAGCCAATTCAAACCTTTACAAAAGCAGATGAAAACAAATGTCATTGTTATAATGGTGCTGGACGTAGAATGGCATGGCAGCTTCAGAATGTAATCATAAAGTACTTTTATTCTAATGCAGCTATTCCTCGGTAGCATCCAACGGCTCTCAATTATATGTATTTGGTTCCTTCATTGATCAGCGTTTCCAGTAGGCAGCAATGCATGTAAATCCCACATCTCCTGCTGCTTCGTCAAAATGAGTTCCCCTCGCTTCCTTTGGAATTAGACAAAAAGTTTCTATGTTATTACTTTGAATATTTTTGAGAATAAGAATGCTATTCTTTGAATAATCTTAAAGTTAATTAATGAATTATAGGTTTTCTTAAAATTTAACTGAGCAAGTACTCTGGTTGGTTTATAGTGATTGATAATGGTTCATATAAACAAGAAAAATTCAAATTTCTGAAAAAAATTGTATCCTTTATGCTTTAATTGTTTTGCTTCTTTATGATATATATAAAGGCAGTTATATATACAGATATAGTTAAATATAGCCACATAAATGGTAACTATATTATTTACATATGTAGTTAAATATAATTACATATATGTAGTTATGTATTGTTTTTGTTTTGTTTTGTGATTTAACCCATATGTCAAAAAGAAAAATGGTTCAAATATCACTTTAATTAATGGTCTTGGTTAGTAGTTTGTAAGAAAGGAATGCATATTGTACTTCAATATTTTACCCTTTTAATTTATTTAAATATTTGGTTTGCATCCCTAAGAAAAAAGATTAAAGTTCATATAATATCTGCAACCAAGTTACTCTTTGGACAAAGTAGATATATGAAATAATTCTGTTTTATAAATTGTTATTGGCCTTGCCTCAATCTCATCACAATGACAAATAATGTTATCTTAATATTCTTATTTATCAGTTTACTTTTTCCTAAAAACATAATTTGGATTATCTATGTTGCCTATATTGGTTTATCTTAATTATACACCAATATCTCAGTCAGTAACCATTAAGATTATAAAATAATACAACTAGGTGTTTAATAAAACTAAATTATGATATACCATGTCAACATAAGGAATATAGTTCATTGTTATACCCAAATAAAAATAAACATGCAAATGTATATAGGCAAAAGTATATTAAAACTCTTTAAAATGAGAGTTTCAAATATCAAATTAAAGTCAGTTTCTTCACCCTTCATAGAAAGAGTAAGGGATGCTATTTTATTTTTCATTTCAACAAATTAAGAAACACAATTTTAAAGCCCATAATTTAAATAAAGAGATTATACTAAGTAAGCCAAGAGACTCACCTGTTTATTTACCAAAGCAAAGGAAATTTAGAGAAAAACAGAAAAGATGAAAAATAAAGAGAAGAATAAAGAGAATGAAGGGGCCCAACATAAAGATTTTATAAGAGGGCCAGGCACAGTGGCTTATGCTTACAGTTCTAGCCCTTTGGGAGGCCGAGGTGGACTGGACCCTTGAGTCCAGGAGTTTGAGACCAGCCTGAGCAACATGGCAAAACCCTGTCTCCACAAAAAATACAAAAATTAGCCCCATGCATTTTTGGTGGTGTGCACCTGTGGTCCCAGCTACTTGGAAGGCTGAAGTGAGAGGATCACTTGAGCCTGGGGAGGTTGAGGCTACAGTGAGCTATGATCACACCACTGCTCTCAGCCTGCATAACAGAGCAAAACCTTGTCTCAAAACAAGCAAGCAAACAAACAAAGATTTTGTAAGAAAAGGGGAACAAGAGGAGGGAAAAGATGTTCAGAGACACATCTCAAAAGAAAAATCACACATAATTAAAACAGAAAGACATCTTTAAAGGAAAAAAAGGCAAAAATCGTTGTGAGCATATCATTTCTAAAAATAAATAAACATGAAACAGAAACATATTAAGAGACAAGTTGTCAGATCATTGCCTGTACAAGATAAAAATTTATTAAATATTCAAGGTATAGATTTAAGGAGAGAGATCAGTGTTTGGTGTGTAGCTAGTAAGATTTCTAGACAGGCAAGTAATCGGGTTTTAGATACTATTTGAAAGGATTAAATTCAACTGCGTGTTGAGAATGGTTAGACAAAAATAAGAAAATGAATACTCAGGCATCTATGGAGAACGTGAAAGTTTTCAGAGAGGGTAAAAGAAAGTATCCACAATAGGGCTCGAGAAGAAATATGCAAAAATGTCAGATAAAAACCAAAATTGTGTTGTCTAACAAAAGCCTGTGTTTCAAAACCTGTAAGTAGTATCATGTATCTTAGGGCTATAAGGTCATGTGAATAAGTAACTTTTTGGGGAACAAACACAAGTTAACTAAATCCAAGGAACAACCTCTGGTAAATTCTGGTAAACATGGCGGAGAGGTTCTGCCTGATACACATTATATATTCCTGAGATTTTCATAGCATAACTTTTGTTTTTACATTACATTTTTGAGAAGTGACTAGAGTAAGAAAATAATTTCAGCAGAACCCACCAAACGTATTAAAATATACTTTTTTCTGATATTGATTTTCTGAACCAGCTCAATATTCCTCCAACAAAATGCATAATTCCAGAAAATTTCTTACTTATCCACATGTACTGTACACAACAGACTTCAAGACTTGTCCAGATCTTCCTGAAACTTTAGATGAAACAAGGGTAGAATGTCAAGTTTTCTTGCTCCATAAAAACAACTAAGATTTGATCTACTCTCCAATATGCTGCAAGCTCATGAGAGGCATAAAAGAAATAGACAAATCTATTGTGAAAGACGTGAATGCCATTCATGTTTAAAACATAAGGCATGTGACAGACACTTGTAAATTAAAAACCATCACAGACATTTGTGTTGTGATTTGTTTTCCTCTATAGTGTTAAATTTCAATGTGCAACTCTGGAACTGAAATGAATTAGGCAACATTTAAAGTATAAATCTCTGCCAATAATGCTTAAAATATGTGCTTTAGAATAGTGTTGATTTAATGTATATGATGAATTTTTTTCTTTAAATTTAATTATTTTTGTGGTCTAGGGCTTCACTCACTTACTCATGTTAAGATATGAGAAAAGATGTATGCATGAGCCAATGAGATAATTTCCATGGCAGAATATCAACATTGCCAATAACTACACAGTGGCAGGGGGTACGAAATAGAAACGGAGAGTTGACAATATCCTTTGAATATCTATGAGACTTGAAAGAGAAAGAATTTCATTATTCTTTTCACTGACAGACAAGTAGACATGTTAATGTGAATAAAAGGTGATATTTTACAATTCTATTCTGCTTTGTCTATTGGGATAACTTCTTCAGGAAATTAACTTGCATTTGTTGGGAAATTGAGTTGTCTAATCCAACTTTGAGTCTTAAGACATAACATGAGTTATATATATATTTTTAAATAATGAATTAGCTCAACAATCATAAGGAATTTTTTTGGTTCAATATTTGGTGGTACCATAATCCTAATATTAAAACCCTCACTTAAAATTTATAATTCTTAAAATATCAATAACACATTTGTTAAGAAAAACTGAATGAACAATTTATGCTAGTGTAACTTTTATTGGGTTTACATGAAGACTTAAATCTGGAAACAAAGATTTCTAGACATACAAATATTATAGGTTAGAATGCTAATGTTGCCCATTATTTACACAAAAGTATCTTGTCTCTGGGAAAATTGCTGAACTGACATATCATTCTTCTAGACAAGTAATTGTCACTGGTGAGGAATGAAGGGCTCTTGGAATTCATATGCCCTATTAATTCCAGGGCACAAAGGGATTTCTACTAGTAATCAATCAACTATGCGAAGTTATCCAAAGTAAAATAAAATTTAAATTTAAGTTAGCTTTTAATTTAATAAAAATAGAGAGTATATTAGTCATGATCCACTCAGAAAAACAGAACTCACACCAACTTGCTAGGTGCAGTGGCTCATACCTGTAATCCCAACATTTGGGAGGCCGAGGTGTATGAATCGCTTGAAGTCAGGAGTTTGAGGTCAGGCTGGCCAACATGGTGAAACCCTGTCTCTACTACAAATACAAAAATTAGCTGGGTGTGGTAGTGTATGCTTGTAATCCCAGCTACTTGGGAGGCTGAAGCATGAGAATCACTTGAACCCAGGAGGCATAGGTTGCAATGAGCCAAGATAGCACCACTGCACTCCAGCCAGGGCAACAAAGTGAGACTCCATCTCAAAAAACAAACAAACGACAAAACCCCCCAGAACTCACACAAGCTAATCTAACAGAATCATTATATAAAATTTATGGAAGGGGGTTGTTTTGGGCTGACCTCCTATACCAGGTCCCAACAGACCAGATTAAAATGGAGTCACTCATGCTAAGTGCCAAATAACAAAAGTGAAATTTTAGGGAAGCTGGAAAATCCCAAACCAATTAGTTTTGCTCAAGAATAGGAAAGTCACAGCAACTAATCAGAAAGGGCCCAGATAACCTGAGTCAGCATAAGTCCTCTCTGCTTTAAACCTTACAAGAAAAGTGACCTGAAGTAACCTGATGTTTACTGAGCTACTTCTTTTGATTATTATTATTTTGAGACAGAGTCTCACTCTGTCACCCAGGCTGAAGTGCAATGGCAAAATCTCGGCTCACTGCATCCTCCGCCTCCCAGGTTCAAGAGATTCTCCTGCCTCAGCCTCCCAAGTAGCTGGGATTACAGGCATGTGCCACAATGCCCAGCTAATTTTTTTGTTTGTAGTAGAGATGCGGTTTTGCCATGTTGGTCAGGTGATCTGGCCCACTTCGGCCTCCCAAAGTGCTGGGATTACAGGTGTGAGCCACCACGCCTGACCCCAAATTAATTTTAATAACACACCAAATACACACATACACACATCAATTATACATGTTTTTTAAATGCTTACATCTAGACAGCGTGAGAAAAAAGGGAATTTGTTTCCATCAATAATGTTTTAAAATACATTTTGTTTTCTTTACGAACTCTCCTTGTTAGCATTCTCACATATGCCAACCTGATGAAGGCAAACACGAAGTATGGAATGAACAACAAATCTTCAATTCATGGACTGCAAAAAATAATAATAAAAAAAGAATTAGCAGGCTAAATCTTTTAAATCCAAGACACAAGAACTAACTGGCACTCAACTAATGCACAATGCTCCAATGTGGGGAAATTGAGCTTCCATTTTCACAGCCTTATGAAGTGCAAGGGAAAGAACATAAAGTCCCACACTTAGTCAGTGTAGCGCATCTAATACAAAACTCTCACAAATGTGGACCCTGAAAGCATTTCAACCTCAGGAAGGGTGAATTAGAAATGTGCCCTCTCACGAAGATAGCAAAGAAAATTGCCTATCTGCAATCTCGGCTGTCAATAGAAGGGATAAATAATCTACCCTTGCAAGCTCATAACCACCAGGCAGTACATTTTTAGCCTGAATAGACAATTACTCTGTGGCCCCAGAATTTTTATATATAAATTAATTTTTATTTATTATTATTTTTTTGAGACAGGGCCTCACTCTGTCGCCTGGGCTGGAGTGTAGTGGCGTGATCTCAGCTCACTGCAACCTCCACCTCCTGGGTTTAAGCAATTCTCCTGCCTCAGCCACCCAAGTAGCTGGGACTACAGGCATGTGCCACCATGCCCAGCTAAGTTTTGTATCTTTAGTAGAGATGGGGTTTCACCCTGTTGTCCAGGCTGGTCTCGAATCCCTGACCCCAGGTGATCCACCTGTCTCAGCCTCCCAAAGTGCTGGGATTACAGGCATGAGCCACCACGCCCGGCCAAATTAATTTAAAGTGACCTCACACTTTGTGTCCCCAGCCCCTGTCAGACGCAAATCCATATGCTCCCATAGGCTTTGACACAATCCCACAGAAACAATTGCAAGACAAATCATAGGCTATCATGCCAAAAAATCGTGAAATGCACAGAAAACAAAGGCACCAGGAGGGAGAGACTTCAGGGATAACAACCAAATGCACAGTCTTCAAATACTTGCATAAATACACACTGATTTTTTTTAAATGCATATGTGATACCAAAAAACTCCATTGATCGTGATTATAATTTGAAGCCATTACCATTTTTAAAATCTTGATACATTATGGTGCATATCCACTTAGAGTGTTAAACTGGATGTAACAAAAGCTGTGTACATGAAATCCAGTTTGTCATGGGAAGCCTCCAGTAGATTTTAATTTGGACATACAGGAATCCAGCATTTAACTTTGTTCTTAATCTTTTGCATTATTTTATTATTGATGTTTTCTATTATAAAAGTAGCTATTGTTGGCAAATTTATATCAGTATCCCTATCATTGTCCCTTAATGTGCTATACAATATTATTTTTTATACAGGTGAGCACTGGTAATTGTGTCAGGTTGTTTTATTGCTGCTGTAAGAAGTTGCCACGAGCCTGATGGTTTAAAACAACACAAATGTATTTCTTTACAGATATAGGAGCCAGAAATAGGCCTCCCTGGGCTAACATCACGGTGTCCACAGAACTTCATGAGGCTCTAGGGGAGAATTCACTTCCTTCTGTTGTTGATTGTGTGTGTGTGTGTGTGTGTGTGTTTGTTTTAACTATGTGGAAATAAAATCTCAAGAAGGGTACTATAGAACAGGTTGTACTGAGTAATAGAAAAATTTAATAACCTCACAAATTGAGCTGAGGAATTGTCCCAAAACATATAAACATACACATTGTGTGTGTATGTGTGTGTGTGTGTGTACACATTTTAGAAGCTTCATATGCTTTATACATTATGTATACTTTACATATATTAGATATTACATGTATTTGATATATTTATATATATATAATTTATATAAAATATATACTTTATATATAATATATCTTATGTGAAAAAATATATAATACATTTTAGTACACATGGTATTTATATCCAGATTTTTGAACCCCATTTTTTAGGGAAAATTATAAAGGAAAAATGATATGCTGTATCAAAGGAAATAATAATTTACCATTTCTCACAACTGAGGAAAGACAGGTGTTCTACCAAGAGTGCTCAATTGGAACTGTGCAAGTTAAAAAAAAAATTCAAAGAAAAAAGCAAATCAAGCCAGTTGGGCATAATTTTGTGAAACTTCATTAAATCAGGAATAAAGAAGAAAACCCTTAAGCTTCCAGAGTAAACATCACACACACACACACACACACACAAACCCCTATACTACATCCAAGTGAACAATAATCTCATTGAGATTAGAATTATTTCTTATATATTTTATTGGAAATAAACTTCATATTACTACTGTAAACAATAATCTCTCTACCTTGCCGTAAATAGAAATTAACAAAAAATATACTATCTTCTTTATTTTTAACAATGCTTTATCAAATATTTGTAAGATCAAGGAAATATAAATTGTTATGACAAAGCCTATGATCAAGAGTACCTCTCATTCCAGTCCCTGTCTGATGTGGTTTGGCTGTGTCTCCAACCAAATCTCATCTTGAATTGTAGCTCCCACAATTCCCACATGTTGTGGGAGGGACCAGGTGGGAGGTAATTGATCATGGGGGTGGGTCTTTCCTGTGCTGTTCTCGTGACATGAATAAGTCTCATGAGATCTGGTGGTTTTATAAAGGGGAGTTCTCCTGCACACACTCTTTTTGCCTGCGCCATGTAAGACATGCCTTCGCTTCTCCTTTGCCTTCCTCCATGATTGTGAGGCCTCCCCAGCCATGCTGAACTGTAATTCCATTAAACCTCTTTCCTTTATAAATTACCCAGCCTCAGGTATGTCTTTATTAACAGCTTGAGAACAGACTAATACACTGTCATAGGCAGAAAAATGATCCCCAAAGATGCCCACATCATTTTATCTGGAACTTGAGTATGTTATATCCCATGATGAAGGGAATTATGGCTGCAGATGGAAGTCGACAGGCTAAACTTAAAATAAAGAGATTATCCTGCGTTACCCAGGTGGGTTCTACATGATCCTTAAAATTGGAAGAAGGCGTTAGAAGAAGAATCAGCTCAATGTTGCTGGCTTTGAAGACATTAGAAGGGACCATGAAAAGAAGAATGGCAGCAACTTCTAGAAGCTGGAATATGCAAGGAAACAGATTCTCCCCTACAGAGAGAACCCAGATCTTCCAACACCCTGGTTTCAGCCCAACAACATTCATTGAGGACTCTGGACTTTCAGAACTGTAAGATAATAACGTTTGTTATAAGACATCAAGTTCGTGGCAATTTGTTAGAGCAGCCACAGCAAACTACTTCCAGTGCACACACATCATGCCATGGAATTATGTACTTATCATTCCCTCAATTTCTACACAATTTTGCTCCACATTGCATACCCTCTTGTGGAACTTGATTTTCTCCATAAGCTTTGTCTATGAGACACACGCAGACTTATAGATGTAGTTTTGCTTCATTTCTCTTTATTGCATCACTATGTCACAAGCTTATTTTTAGGATGATGGTATATCTTAGGCTCCCCCATAGATACCCCATTTACACACAGTTTAGTTACTGTTAATGTCCCACCTATTAACAGATGTGTTGAACCTGCTTTGCAAGTTATTATCGGTGAGAAAATTATAACAGTAAGCTAAGCCAACCCAATCCCCATCTTGCCTTTCCCTTAATTATTCCTGGGCTATTGGGCCAAATTAACTTTGGAAGACACTTAGGCTACAGTTTAAATGATAATAAGCCTTGCCCCAACCCACTTTTGTAAAGCTGATGGGAGGCCATCAGCCCGGGGAGAGGAGAGGAGCTTGAGTCCTGCAGACATAAAAGGTTGTCAGCCATTATTCCAGAGGTTATAAGATACACAACTTCCCCAATTACTCCTGCAAATAAAACACCATTGCAGATTGGCCTTTTGAGATATCTTTCCAGGATTTTTGCATTTCAGACGCCCATGGCTCCACATGGACCAACAACCCCCTTCTGTGGCCCCACCCAGAAGTAATTTGGCCAGACAGGAGGACAGCTTCAACCCGCTATGATTTCATCTCCACCCCAACCAATCAGCAGCAGGCTCCTGTTACATGGCCACCCCCACCCATTCACCCAAACTGCCCTCGAAAAAACCCTAACCTAGGAGCTTTGAATGAGATGATTTGCACAGGAGTCCATCTCCCGCGTGGCATGGCCAGGCTTGTGTCTATTAAACTCTTTCTCTACTACAAAGTCATGGTCTTTCTTTCTGCAGTGGGCAGGAAGAACCTCTCAGGTGGTTACAAGGTGAGTTCTACCCATTTTAAGGCTATCATCAACAATGTTGATAAGAACATAATTCTACATGTCTCTTTAGGAAACATAGCCAGAAGGCAAAAGAATGGGTTTAGGATATATTTTACTTTTCAGATAATGAATACCAAATTGTTCCACAAAGATATCACAACAAAACACACACTGACTCACAGTATGTGAGTTTCTGTTGTCTTCAAGAGAGATTTCATACCTATTGTCAGATTTCTAAATATTTGCAATCTCACAGGTGTAAAATGTTAAGGTTTTACAGTTTAGTTTTTATTTTTCAAGTTACAAATGAGGTTGATTGTATTTTGTTTGTTGGTCATAAATATTTTATTGTCTTTGAAATGTAGCACTGAAACTCAAATACTATTTTATGGCTTTTTACAATCGAGTTTTGAAGTGTTTAATGTATTTCAGATATTTACCCTTTGATGTTTATGTCTAGGTTAGTCAAACTATTTATAACCCAAAAGAAACATATTTGAAAGTGAAAGGATACACTATTATTTCTGAACAAACTGGGACATATGGAAGCCTAAATCTTTGTTGCAAATATCAGCTGTTAATGAATAGCATTTCAAGTTTTAATATAAAAACTTAATCATTTTATTTACTTATTTATATTTATTTTTATTCTTTATTTAAGAAACATTTGGCTGGGCACAGTGTCTCATGCCTGTAGTCTCAGCTACTGAGGAGGCTGAGGCAGGAGGCTCACTTGAGCCCAAGAGGTAGAGGCTGCAGTGAGCCATGACTTTGCTACTGCACTCCAGTCTGGGCAACAGAGCCAGACCCTGTCTCTTAAAAAAAAAAATATATATATATATATATAAATAAATATATGTAATACATATTTATATATATAAATATATATGTTATATATATAAATATGTGTTTTTTATATATATATAATATATAGATAGTCCATGCAGAAGAGGTGAAAATAGTTACTCATGTCAATATACGATGGCCCAATATTATTTTTTCCCATAAGTATAACTGGCCATATCATTGTGAGACTATACCAGCAAATAAATGGGAAGGCACAAGAACTTTTTTTAAGATCTCTCTAGAAGTGAATTTTTGAAATGTGAAACTGGGCTTTTTCCTAGTATCCCAGCACTACTTGATAGATAATCTCTCTTTGCCCCACTGTTTGGTAATTGCATTTCTCTCAAAGAAATGTTTTTATGTTTCCTAGTTCTAGTTCTAATCACTCTCATTTGAGCTGTCAATATTTAATCCCTCTGTATTCGCCTTACTGTCTTCATTACTACAATTTCTGGAACCGTTGGCACACTTTTGGACAAGTTCTGATCTTTGCATTCATCTTCAGAGGACTGTTTTCTGTTCCTGTTTCAGCTAAAGACAATAGATCCACTCTAATCCTAAAGCGATTGTAATGGTGTATAAATTTAGTGGGACAAATGAAGGAGCAGACTTTATGCTGACTTTCTAGGTAAGATTCCCAGAAAAGTTTCTAGAATCACTAAAATTTATGGATATTTTTTCATTTGCTATGATTTTAAAAAGCTGGAATTCTGAGAGGTATGTCCTCTAGTTGACATAGATGGACCCCATATGTCTCAGTCCCTTCAGGCTGCAATAACAAAAACATCATAAACTGAATGGTTTATAAACAACAGACATTTACTGCTCACAGTTCTGACGGCCAGAAGTTGAAGATTAAGGCGTGGCAAATTCAGTGTCTGGTGAGGACCCACTTCCTAGTTCATAGATGGTGCCTTCCCACTGTGTCCTCCCATGGTGAAAGGGACGAGGGAGCTCTAGGGGGTGTTTTTAAATAAGGCACTAATCCCATTCACAAGGGCTTCACCCTCATGACGTCATTACCCCCCACATTTCCCACCTCCTAATACCTTGAAGATTAGGTTCCAACATACAAATCTAGGGGGACACAAACACTCAAACCCATAGGCAGATTCAAATGTATGCCACACTCCACTCCCTGTTCTACCACTCAATAGCTACAAACAAGGCAATTGTAAAAATATGCACTATAATTGTTGCAGAAAAACTGAACTCACTCCTAACCACGCCAGCCAGCAGAAGCAAGAATTTCAAATGCAATTGTTTTCCCAGAGGTTTTCACATCTTACAAGGATGTGTCTGCTTAATAGAAATTGGATCGTGTTTGGCCTCAAGTTGTAAATCCAGCGACATGTAGATTTTAGCATTTTAAATAATGCAACAAAATCTACACCGTGCCTTAGAAGGCACTGGTCTTTATTATGTGAGAGAATATGTTCTGTAAGTTCCACAGGGAAATCTGTAGGGAATCTGATAGCACGTACTTGGGATTTACAATTATGTTAAAGATGGAGGATTTTCTTAAACATGACTACTTCATACTTTTGCCATATTTAATTTTTCCAATGCCACACAATATAGAATTTTAGTTTTCTCCTTAATTTATTTATGTATTTATTTTCGATATGGGATCTCACTCTGCCACCCAGTCTGGATTGCAGTGGTGCAATCATAGTTCACTGCAGCCTCCAACTCCTGGGCTCAAGCAATCTTCCTGTCTCAACTGCCCAAGAAACTGGGACTACAGGCGTGCACAACCATGTGTGCCTAATTTCTTTAAAAAACTTTTTTGTAGAGATAGAGTCTTGCTATGTTGCGTAGGTTTGTCTCAAACTCCTGACCTCAAGCGATCCTCCCACCTCAGCTTCCCAAAGTGCTGGGATTGTAGGCATGAACCACCATGCCTAGCCCTCAAATTGTTCTTTCTCAGTTGTTAGCTGTATTTTATAGGCACACACATATACATGCATGCTTTCATATGCACACACACATGCTCAATATGTATACCCAAGCACATATACACATACATTATAAATACTAGGTTTTAATACTTATATATAGCTTCATACTAATATATACAGTTAGCAATATATTTGGTGTTAATATAAATTATATCTTTTGATAATGTTAATATAAATTGTATCTTTTGCAAATTACATATTGTTATTGCTGGTATAGGAATAATTTATTCTCTACTTTGTAAGATTCAACTATTCCAACTATATAAAAACTGTGTTGATAAATCCATAAAAGTACGCCGCCAAGAGTAAAATCCCCTGGAAATTTGCAGAAGGTGTCAATAATATCTTTAAAAATATATTTTTCCCTGATGTGAGCCGTGAATATAGGATGGAATGTTTTATCACAGCACTGCCAGGAAATTAATAGTTGGATAGTGATCACTCAGTGAAAAGTAAAGTGACTGGAGATAGAAGCTCAACCTTCCTTTGGTTTTGTAAAGTTCAAGTTCTATTAAAAAGCATGAAGACTGAACTTGGAAACCATTCAGGGTGCCTTGCTTCCCTCATGGATGAGTACTCACATTCCAAGTTCATCTTCAGCTAGGCTACACACGACTGAATATAAGACCACCAAGAAACTAAGATAACTTTGTATTCCCATGTAACTAAGTAATTTAGTTTAGCAGCTCTTAAAAATAGTTTGTTCTGAGGATTATTTTTATTAATGTCCTTAAAGCCATTTAATTAGCTTCTTCCTTGTCTTTGGTACAAAACTGATAAAAAGAAAGTAAGTGTGACTAAAGTGGAGAGGAACAATAGAGATCCCTTAGTTAGGGATGAAAATAAAAATAAAAATACAAGCACTTTAATTTCATGGATATTAGTTCTGTTAGGGCAAATACCTTGAATATTTGGAAGCCACCTTCGGTGTACCTAATGTTGAAAACCACTTATTTAGGATTGCATTTTATGTTTAAAAAATGCAACTGCAGATTGATTGATTTCATTCTGTTCGTATAGCATTTGACTGAGAATTGGTGTGTTTTGCTGGAAGGAGGTCTTCGTTTATTTGCTTACTTGTACATTTAAAATTTTCAACTTTCCTAAATCATCTACAGGACCACTCTACTTAATTCAATAATTAGGTGCATAATTCTTGTCCTAAAAATGTTTTTCTTCTAAAAACATACTTACAGTTGTATATACAATATTAATCTGCTGATGTTGATCTTTGTTTCTTCAGTTGATTTTGATGCGTGTGAACAGCCTTAGCATTTTGAATAATTTCCACTGGAACTTTCTCTCGTTAAGAAAATCATATTGTTTTCTTCCTTCTCTTCTTATGGGCTAAAAGAAATAACCAGAAAATAATTTCTAATATAGATATAATTAGTAACTTGATTTAAATAATAACACTATTTTACATTCAGAATATAGGATTTCTATGGTAAACAAAAAAATAATTTTTTGCATGGTTTATTTTTTAATAGTTATTACATAAGGCTTAATGATGTAACATCAATTTGATATGTTTTTAAATTTTAAACATACATCCTCCTATTTTGACTGACTTTATTACCACTATAGTCTCTGAGAAGCATTCTCTTCCAGAGACCAATAAGAGAATCGTTAGATTTGTTTTAAAAAAAACCCACCAAAAAACAAAAAACAAAAACAAAAGAACATAAAACTATCAGTTCCAAAACAAGAAAGAGAAGATGAAATATTATCATTGTTGAATAATGTCCCATTATGTTGAATACGTCCCGATGTTGAATATGTTGAATAATGTTCCAATATGTCCTACATCTCCTCATATAAACCTTAGCTGGAACTTTCCTATCTAAATGTCTAGCTATGCTGTTGGAGTGTTAAGTAGGGGAGGAATGCCTCATGTTATGGCAATTCATTATTGTTTTTTCTATGTGCTTGTGAGTTCCGCCTTTTGGAATGATGCCTGACCTTTCCACAAAGAGGCTGTTCTGATTGCTGTTGATTTAATTACACAGATGAACTTTAACTCCTGAAAGGTAGTACTCCAGTCATTTGATGCAAACAAAGCTGCCTCTCTTATCCTTTATTATAAAATATCCTATGAAACTTCAAAGCTGGCAGAATCAATTTTATCTCTTGCTGTTTTCCCTGATGTAATGCTAAAACTTTAAGCACTTCTTCTCCTCCTTCCTCCTTCTCCTCCTCTTTTTCCTCCTCCTCCTTCTCCTTCCTCCTTCATCTTCCTCCTCCTCTTCCTCCTCTTTCTCTGTAATAAAGTATACTATACACAATAAGAAATTTACTTTTTTTTTTCATTAGATGCACGTGTTGCTTATTCCCTTGGAACCAATTAAGATATTTTTGCATAATTTAATTATTTCCTATCAAAGGGAAAATATATCTATAAAAAGAGGATAGACAATAGCTATCCAGAAAGAGAAAAAAGAAATAGGACATGTGTTTAAGTGTGTCAGATTTCAATTAATTGATTCTTATATTGCTATTCATCATTACTATTTAAAAACTTGGAGATGGTAAGTACAATTGAGCCAGAATGACTCTTACTATGATTGTAGTTATTTTAAATGCCTCTGTATTAGAGTTTGAACAGTATAAACCCAGGTTTTAAATATAAGCTTCCCAGCCCTCCGTCACAGGTGATGATTTTAAAGGCCACAGAGTTTAAGCAGTTGTAATATTTTGAATAATACTGCTAGAGTTCAGGTACCGAAAATTACCTCCGCCCTGACATTTGTTTTACCATTCTAAGGTTCCAAAATCCACTCTTTAGAACATTTAACTTCAACAAAATAACCATGGCTTCCAGTGCGGAAGAGGAAGATAAGAAAACAGGAAATCTCATCCAACTTCTATGTCACCTTCTCTTTTGACTTCAGACGTGTGTTTCATCCAGTGTCCACAGTATAGTCAATCCTTGAGCAATGTGGAGATTCGGGGCATTGATCCCTTCACTGTAAAAATCTGCATGTAACTTTTGACTCCCCCTAAACTGAACTACTAATATATTCAATGTAAAGTGACATTTTACATTATTTGCCTTGAAATAAAATTATTTTTGAAGATGTGATATGTATTTTTCTCTCATTTAAGATTTCTTCACACATTTCCATAAAGTACAGATTCTGGAGTTGTGAAATTGTGTGTAGTTTAGGATTCATGGAGAGAGAGAGAAGAGAGGAAAGGCTCAATGTCTTCAATTTGTAGATAATAAGATGATCTTTCTGGGGTCCCCATCACTTGATCCTGGAAAGATCAGTGAGGCTCCCTGCCTCTTATTGAGCTGCAACTTCTGTTTCTGCCTGTAAACTTTATCAATTCCCCCACAGGGAGCTTCATCAATGCCAGTGGAAAGGATTTAATTATTTTGTTCTGCCTGGTAGAGATACATTAACAAATGAATCCCCCTCTGGGACTGAAGGTTCTGTGAAATAACGTCAGTTGTTACACAAACTTCTTGTAAATCATGAGAGGCAGTGTTGGGAGGCAGAGGAGGAAGGACAGTTGTGACTGGTCCCAGCACATGAGAAAGGTCATCTCTCTGGAATAAGGCTTGACATTTGAGTTCTCCCACCACATCCAGTCCTCTGCTGACCTTTCTTCCCCACCTTGACACATCTCTTTTCTTGCAATTAAGTATACACTCTTTCCTTGTTATCCTGATAATTCCCACATGTCAAACTACAAAGAAGATGGGCAAAGATCAGACATTTATTCTTATAGCTGTTTGACTACACATCTCTGTTAATGCTTCGGCATACTATATCCATGACATAATATAACATATGTGAAAGGAAAATAAATCTTGGAACCCCCAAATCACCAAGCCAAGGGAAAAGTGAAGCTAGGAACTACATGAGGCACACTTGCCTGCCATTTTATTCCTAAATAAGGCAGCTATAAAGATAGAAAAGCTACATACCTCCGTCACAATTTTCCCACATGGAAATTCCTTGTGGGCCTCAATATCTTCACCCTAAAACAGCTCTGTTGAATTTCACCCTGGCAATGTAAACTGATAGCTTATCTTCGCAGGCACTGGACAGAAAGTCATCCCTCTAAGGCTCACCTGAGACAAATGCATATCTGATGGCTTCCTCTGCCCTATTGTTACTGTAAAAACGCAGATTCACTGAGTCCAACTAACACGTGTATTCAGTGAAAAGACAATGAAGGATTCAAAAGAATGTAACCTTTTGTCTCTTATCTACCTACGACCTGGAAGTCCCGATTCAAGTTTTCCCGCCTTTCTGGACCAAACCAATGTACATCTTACACATACTGATTGATGTCTCATGTCTACCTAAAATGTATAAAACCACACTGAGCCCCGACCACCTTGAGCACTTGTCATCAGGACTTACTGAGGCTGAGTCATGCGCACGTCCTTAACCTTGGCAAAATTAGCTTTCCAAATTGATTAAGACCTCTCTCAGATACCTTTGGGTTCACAAAAATAAGCTCAAAAAATTATTTACAGTGCTACCTGGATGGGTAGAAAGCAATGTAATTTATTTACTCTGGAATTAATTTGCTTTTCCTCTTATGTCCTAACCTGCTGGCTAGTAGAGAAAAACAAATCAACTCTCTCTTTGACGTGGGTTTAAACTCAGTCTCATTCAACGCTGTGAATAGTTTTTGTTTGTTTGTTTGCAGTGTTGGGCAACATTTCTTGGAAAGAAGTCTCAAGACTCTCTGTTTTCTGTCTCTTGTTTCTCTCTCTAAGATGTGAAGGAGAGACTTTAGGCTCTTGGATATAAAGGAGAGATGGTTCATTGGGTGCCATGTTGGATTATCCTGGTCTTTGTCGTTGCACTTTGTCTACCTGGGAGCTATGTGCTATGCTAGACTTCTGAATTAATGCCCCTAACAGGTTCTGTTCACTGTCTTTCTCTGTGCTACATCCTGACTGATGCACCTTCACCATGGGTGCCATTATGGGGACAGACCCTGACACTCTTCCTTGACCCTTGATCTCCATTCATTTGAACCAGGAACTCTCTGCTTACTTCTAGGATCCTGTGACTTTGCTTGGTCTTGTAAACCAAAACGAAAATCCTAAGCTCTCCAAACAACTCAACAGATCTTCTCTGGTCTCCGGGGTCCCCAGAGAAACCTGAAAAACTAAATACCTGGCCATGACAGGAATGGAGGTGGGACACAACTCATTATACCCCTCCCATTTGGAGTTTAGGCACAACAACTGACGGGGGTTTGTGCTAAAATAAAATAGAAACAAGGCTGGGCACGGTGGCTCATGCCTGTAATCCCAGCACTTTGGGAGGCTGAGGTGGGCTGATCACGAGGTCAGGAGATCGAGACCATCCTGGCCCACATGGTGAAACCCCGTCACTACTAAAAAAAATACAAAAATTAGCTGGGCATGGTGGTGCATGCCTGTAATCCCAGCTCCCCGGGAGGCTGAGACAGGAGAATTGCTTGAACAAGGGAGACGGAGGTTGCAGTGAGCCGAGATCATGCCACTGCACTCCAGCCTGGTGACAGAGCGAGACTCTGTCTCAAATTTAAAAAAAATAAAAAATAAAAAATAGACACAATAAGACTGACAAAGCAGACTCTTTGTGACAATAAGGTAGCAAATTATAAACAGGACCTAAGGCTGTGCCAGGCAAGCATTAAGTCTTGCATCTCTGCAGGTCACTCTGACCCATTGTATACTGGTTAACAGACTTCCTTATCTTAAACATTCCTTTCTGCTGACTCCAAATTTTTAGACAAAGCTTTACTCCTTGAACCAATTGCAACTTAAATAATCTCTTGGCCAGGCAGGATAGCTCATGCCTGTAATCCCAGTACTTTGGGAGGCTGAGGAGGGAGAATCGCTTGAGCCAAGGAGTTCCAGGCTGCAGTGAGCTATGATCACACCACCGCACTCCAGCCTGGGCCACAGAGCAAGACTCCCTGTCATTAAAACAGGGAGTTCGTGCTAAAAATATTCTAAAAAATATTCTAAAAAAAATAAGAATCTCTGAACCCATCCATAACCTGCAAGGCCCTACTTCAAGATATTCCAACTTTGTAAGCAAAACCAATGTATACCTTCCACGTACTGATAACTGTCTTTATTTTTAACTCTTGACTCCCTAAAATATGTAAAGCCAAACTATAATCTGACCACCTTGGGTGCACTTTCTCAGGAGTTCCAGAAACTGGGTTCCTGGATGATGGTCACTCATTTGGTTCAGAATAAACTTCTTTAAAATATTTTACAAAGTCTAATTTTTCTGTTAACAGTTTTAGCACACAGGTGAATTTTTATTAACCTCAGAACATGCAAGTGATATGAGGGGAGGGCCACACATCCTTTTAGGAGGTTGTTATTTTCAAAGGAGTTTCTGGCCAAGGGAGTCAGTGCAGAATGAAATCTAGCTTTACTGTGTTTACTAATCTTGGTTTCCCAGACTAGAGTTATGTCTGCCCAGAGCACCGGATGCCTTTTTCTAATTCACACTCAAGTTTATCGAGCTGCAGGGTTTCCTTGAAGTGGTGTTGCGTGATAATTAAGTAAGGATAAGACCAAGGTTAAAGGAAAACCTGTACTTCAATTTTCCCCCAAGTCTTATACCATTATATTAATGTGCCCCTTCTTGGCGCCTGGTATGTAGCTAGCAAGTTATTAATCTCTCTGATTTATTTAACATGGGAAGGGGAGAAAAAAATTGAGATCACATTGTTTTAGTCCTTTTGGAAATTTTATGTATATAAATATACATGTATATGAAAATATAATATAACATATTATATATTATACATTATTATAAAATATTAGGTTTTTATGTATATCTTCATATATATTATAATACATATATATAATATAAAATATAGTCACATATTTTATTATATTCATACATAATATATAATATGTACCTCATAATATATTATAGTATGCATTATATAAACATTTTATTATAATATTTAATATATTATATATTCATATGCATATTAATGACATATATGAACAATGTATAAATTATATATCATTACATATTATATGTAATATATAATATAATATTACATTATATAATAAATACAATGTTTACTATAATATACATTATATATTATATTATATGATATATTATATTATTTAATACAATATATGATTTATTATGAATTATATATTATAATGTAAAATTTATAATTTATTAATGATACATTATATCTTTTAGTATAATGTATTATATATTATATTCAATATTATAACATACTTACATTATTATACTTATACTTACATATTATAACATTATACTAACATAATATTTAATAGACTATATTAAATATTATAACTGTATTATAGTATTTAATATAGTCTATTATATTATTAATATAATGTATGTTATATATACTTTATATATTAACATAATATTGTATTATTAATATATTATACATATTAATATAAAATATGTATTGTTAGTAAACTATGAAGTATATATAATATATAATAAATCATATGCAACATAATTAGTAATTATATAATTAATATATTATACTAATTATATAATAGTTATTATATATGCTATCTAATACATAATTATATCACATATATAACATATACAATCATATATATGAATATACATCATATATGTATATAACAAACCTAGATGGTGTAGCCTACCACACACCTTGTGTAGAGGGTCTAGCCTAGTGCTCCTGGATTACAAACCAGTTACCATACTGAATACCGTAGGTGGCTGTAACAGAATGGTAAGTATTTGTGTATGTAAGCATAGCTAAACATAGAAAAGGTACAGCAAAAATTCAACATAAAAGATGAAAAATGGTACCCCTGTATAGGGCACTTACTATGAATGGAGCTTGCAGGACTGGAAGTTGCTCTGGGTGAGTCAGTGAATAAGTGGTGAGTGAATGTGAAGGCCTAGGACATTCCTGTACACTAGTGTAGACTTTACAAACACTGTACAATGAAGCTACACTAAATTTATACATTTTTTCTTTCTTCAGTACTAATTTAACTGCCCATCAGGTTCACCTTGCCCACTGACTAGACAGAGCCAATTTATCAAGACAAGGGAATGGCATAGAGAAAGAGTTACTCACACAGAGCTGGCTGTATGGGTGTAATAGTTCGTTTTCACACTGCTATGAAGAAAGACCTGAGACTGGGTAATTTATAAAGGAAAGAAGCTTAATTGACTCACAGTTCTGCATGGCTGGGGATGCCTCAGGAAACTCACAATCATGGTGGAAGGGGATAGAGAAGCAGGCACCTTCTTCACTGGCCGGCAGGAGAGAGTGAGAATGCAGAGCAAAGAGGGGAAAAGCCCCTTATAAAACCATCACATCTCATGAGAACTCACTCACTATCACGAGAACAGCATTGGGCAAGTGCCCCCATGATCTAATCACCCTCCATAAGGTCCCTTCCCCAACATGTGGGGATTAGAATTCAGACTACAATTCAAGATGAAATTTGGCTGGGGACACAGAGCCAGACCATATCAATGGGAGACTGGAGTTTTATTATTATTCAAATCAGTCTTCCCAAGAATTCAGGGATCAGAGTTTTTAAGGATAATTTGGTGAGTGAAGGGCCAGGAGGTCAGGAGTGCTGATTGTTTGGGTTGGAGATGAAATCACAGGGAGTCAAAGCTGTCCTCTCGCACTAAGTCAGTTCTTGGGTAGGGGCCACAAGATCAGAGGAGCCAGTTTATCGACCTGAGCCGTGCCAGCTGATTCACTGAGCGCACGGTCTGCAAATCATCTCAAGCACCGAGCTTTGGTTTTAAATAGTAATGTGATCCCCGGGAGCAATTTGGGGAGTGTCGCAATCTTAAGCCTCCAGCTGCATGACTCCTAAATCATAATTTCTAATATTGTGGCTAATTTGTTAATCCTACAAAGGCAGTCCAGTCTCCAGGCAGGAAGGAGTTTGTTTTGGGACAGGGCTGTTATTGCCTTTGTTTTAAAGTTAAACTGTAAATTAAGTTTGGCTTATGCTCAGGAATGAACAAGGACAGCTTGGTGGTTAGAAGCAAAATGGAGTTGGTTAGTTCAGATCTCCGTCACTGTAATAATTCTCAGTTATAGTTTGCAATGGTGGTTTCCCTAACTTAACATTAGTTTACTGCAACTATTTTTTACTTTAAACTTTTTAATTTTTAAAAAATCTTTTTGAGTCCCATCATAACACTTAGTTTAAGACCCAAACACATTGCGCAGCTGTACAACAATACATTCTTTATATCCTTATTCTATAAGACTTTTTCTATTTTCAAAATTTATTATTATTACTATATTTTCTTTTCCAACCTTTTTTAAAAAACTAAGACACGAACACACACATTAGCCTAGCTAGACACACAGGGTGAGGGTTATCAATATCACCATCTTCCACCTCCACATCTTGTCCCACTGGAAGGTATTCAGGGGCGATAACATGCATGGAGCTGTCCTCTCCCGTGATAATGATGCCTTCTTCTGGATACCTCCTGGAGCACCTGCCTGAGGCTCTTCTTGAGGGATAGATTTGTCTGCACTACACACACAAGACTCATGTGTTTCACTACAATGTTAAGATGGCTACAATGTCATTAGGCAAAGGGACTTTTTCAGCTCCATTATAATGTCATGGGACCACCATCCTATATGCAGTTGACCATTGACTGAAACCTCGTTATATGGCCCATGACTACGTCTATATCTCTATCTAATCTACATATCATCTCCAAAAATAGAAGCATCATATGTTACTCAAATTGCCCTGAGAAGTCTGCTTTTTTCTCTACATTGTCTGGATAGTCCAAGTTATTTTATGAAATGCAGACAAGAATGTAAGACATTTACCTCTAACCATCCGCTAAGCTCAATCTTGAATTGTGCTTTAATTTTGACCTTCAATGAGTCTTGGCTTCATTGGGATGCAGCCAGCAACCACATGACAACTACAATTGTCATATTTAAAGGATATCTGTTAGTGTATCTCTTAAACTGTTTGAGTCAGGAGGGATTTGAATCCATTCAACATTTTATCTTCCTTTAAGGCTTACAGGTAGACCAAAATAAGAAACATGTATGGCAGACAATTTATTTCAAGACAAATTAAATTTAGTTTAGCTTTCTTTTTCCCTTTGATTTTAGGCAAATCTTTCTTTTTTATGAGAGTTTAAACTAATTTATTTAAATTTTTGTTGATTTAAAAATATATATTCTTACTAAAACATGTACCTCAAAGGTGGCTATCCACCTATATAATACACTGACAACACATGTATGCATAGTAACATATTTTGAAAAGTATTTTCTATTTTCTACAATCATAACCTTGTTGACAGGTTTTAAATTTTGGAAGCAGATCTTGAAGTTTTAGTTAACAGAATACAGATGAAATGTCAGAGATTTTCAAGGACATAGCTCGCCCATACATTTTTCCTTAGGGATAAAAAGAAAAAGACATAAGGAGTCAACATTAATCAAACTAAACTTTCTGAATTCTGAATAGTTCTGACCCACATTTATCTATTTTCCGCAGAAAATGCAAAGTACCATCTCTGTATAAATGTTTAAACATTAATTTTGCTTCGCTTTTAGAATAAATTTCATTTTATTTTCCTTGCTTGTGTATGTTTTATGGACCTCCGTGGAGTCTAACTTAAAATGCTGTTTGTGGAGTTTTAATAAGATAAGTAAGCAACAATGAGGAAGGGGGCCCAGGTCGGGGGAGAACAATTGTGAGAGACTCTAATCACAGACAAACCTCTGGCACAACATCCTGCTCCCAAATGCCTCTCTCTGCACGTAGCCCCAGGGACACAAACTTGTTCTGCACAGAGTCCCCTCCAGCACAACTCTATAAAACTTCCCTCTAGCCTCTGCCTCTTTGCAGACAGCTTTCTTGCAACATATTTTCATGCTTTCTCGAATATATCTGCCTTCTTTATCCACAACTGTCTTAGTAAATTCTTTTACCGCCAGCGATGCTGGCCCCAGCCAGTGCATCCATGACACTATTTTCAAAGATAAAAACACAAAATAATAACAAAATATCTACTTTAGTATTTAATCAGAAACCGTGGCTTCACATAAGATGATGAGCATATTTCAATCAAAACTATTGGCCGGATGCAGCAGCTCATGACAACACTTTGGGAGGCCGAGGTGGGGAAATCACTTGAGCTCAGGAGTTGAAGACCAGCCTAGGCAACATGGTAAGACACCATTTCTATAAGAAAAGAAAAGGTTATTTAACAAAATATTGACCCAAGTTGTGATCTTTATTCAGAAAAATAGTTGTGTTAGAATACTGTTTTTTTCTGATTTTTTTATTAAATATATATTTCTCCAATATATTTCAAGTTTTCCACAATAAACATATTGTCTTAGCAGTCAGAAGAAAAACCCACACTTTGTATTCTTTGTTGTTTTGAGAAAGTGGATAAACTGGTATACATTATACAGTCATTCCTTGGTATTTATGGAGAATTGGTTCCAGGACTCCTACCGATAACCAAAATTCATGGTTGCTCAAGGACCTGATATAAAATGGCATCTTAGTTACACATAACCTACGCGCATGCTTTCCCATACTTTAAATCCTCTCTAGATGATTTATAATACTTAATAAAATATAAATGCTATGTTATATACTGCATTGTTTTGTGATTTATATTTTTATTATATTGTTATTTTTTATTGTTTATTTATTTTTCCCAAATATGTTTGATCCTCCATTGAATTCTTGGATGTGGAAGCAACGGATGGAAAGCACTGACTATATATGTATATCCGTATATCTGTACTTGAGTGTGTGCACATGCTTGCATGTGTTTGCATGTGTTTTTTCTTTAATTCAGATTCATGTCTTATCTGCAAGTAACACAAGTGGCAATCTTTTTTTTTTTTTTTTTGAGACAGGGTCTCACTCTGTTGCCCACGCTGGAGTGCAGTGGTCCGATCTTGGCTCACTGCAACCTCTGCCTCCTGGGTTCAAGTGATTCTCCCACCTCAGCCTCCTGAGTAGCTGGGACTACAGGTATGTGCCACCGCACTCGGGTAATTTTTGTATTTTTTGGTAGAGACGGTATTTCACCATGTTGGCCAGGCTGGTATTAAACTCCTGACCTTAAGTGATCCCCCGTGCCTTGGCCTCCCAAAGTGCTGAGATTACAAGCATGAGCCACCACGCCCAACGTACAAGTGACAATATTTATAGATTCATAATTGTAAAACAACCATGCCATCTTTCCTTTATTATATGCCCATGTGAAATCATTCCCACCAAACTGACAATTTCATAGCAACTTGCTTTTTAACACTGTTGGGTGAGACCAGAAAAACCTTTAGTCTAGGACCAAACTACTGAAACAATACTCTACTTTATTTTATTTATTTTATTTTTTTTAAGAGACAAGGTCTTTGCTGCCCAGGCTAGATTGCAGTAGCACAAATCAATGCTTATGGCAGCCTCAAACTCTTGGGCTCTAGCAATCCTCCTGCCTCAGCCTCCCAAGTAGCTGAGACTACATGCATGCACCATCATGCCCAGCCTGATATTTTTATTTTTATTTTGGTAAAGACTGGGTCTTATTATGTTTCCCAAGCTGACCTTGAACCCCTGGTCTCAAGTGATCCTCCTACCTCAGCATCCCAAAGAGCTGGAATTACAGGCATAAGCCACCATGCCCCGCCTGAAGTAATACTCTTGAATATATTCTGTGTTCGTGTCCTGTCTGTTAGGTGGTCTTTCTGTTTTCAACGGTTGGGAGTTAAAGTAGGCACTTTCCTTTATAACGTGTAGGAAATGTTCTTTTCTCTGTCTACTACTAAACAGATCAATAGACCCTTGATCAACACATATTTAAATCATATGGGCCTACTTATACTCAGATTTTTAAAAATAAAATTTAGACCAAGTATGTCTGCCTCTCTTGCCTCCTCTTCCACCCTCTGCTTCTCTTCCGCCTCTGCCACCCCAAGGCCAACCCTTCCTCCTCCTCAGCCTACTCAATGTGAAGATGACAAGGATGAAGACCTTTATGATGACCCCTTTCCCAAAAAGGTAGAGTTTGCAAAGGGTGTACCTAATCAAACATTAGTAGTATGTATAGTCAATCACGTTGAGATAAATGAGTTCAATAAATAGAAGCAGACCAAAAAATGACATAGATAGTAGAATTAGTAGAAAAGAGTATTAAGCAATCCATTATAAATTTCCATGATGAAGAAAGTGGCCCAAATTATCAACATCATAAAAAGAGCCCAGAAAACTGTAAAAATTAAATTAGGCTTCTAGAGTTAGAAGATGTAATGTCTGAGATAAAGATTATATTAGGTGAGATTAATAGCATATTAGACACAGAAAATAAAAGATTAGTGAAATTGAAAACTCAGCCAATGAAATTATCCAAATAAAACATCAAGATTAAAATGATGAATAAAAAAGAGGACAGAGATCCAGGGAACTGTGCGACAACCTTAACCAAAATATTACACAGATAACTGGAATCAGAAATGGTGGGAAAAAACATATTTAAAGAAATAATGCCAAAAATTTTCTAAATTTAGTGCAGCTCATAAACTCACAGATCCATAGAGTTCCAATGAATATGAAACAGAAAAAAAATTTTAACACAAAAGCAAGTCATATCATAATAAAAATCAAAGTACTATAAACTAGTAATAAGGAGAAATTTTTAAAAAGTGTTAGCTTAAAAATTGTCTACAGAGGAATACAGATAACCACAATGTTCTCATCATATAAAATGCAAGACATGAGACAATTTTCAGAGGAAATCTTAAAGAAACACAAGAGAATAATAGCCTAGAATACTAAACTGATTAAAAATATCACTCAAAACTAAAATTGAAATAAAAACTTTAAAAAATACACAAAAACTGAAAAAGTAAACACCCACAGACCAGTACAACAAGAAATGTCAAAGAAAGTCATTTAAGCAACAGGATAATTTTAACAGATAGAAATGTAGATTTACACAATTGAATCAAAAACTCCAGGGATGACACATAAGACAGTAAGATATAAAAGGAATGTGTGTTTTCTAAAAACTCGATTTAAAAGGTAATTGATGAATGTCTTAGTCTGCTAGGGCTGCCATAACAAAATACTCTAGATTTAGTGACACAAGCAATGAAAATCTATTTTCTGGCCAGGCATGGTGGCTCACACTTGTAATCCCAGCACTTTGGGAGGCCAAGGCAGGTGGATTGCGTGAACTCAGGAGTTCAAGACCAGTCCAGGCAACATGGTGAAACCCCATCTCCACCAAAAATACAAAAATTAGCCGGGCATGGTGGCATGTGCCTGTAGTCCCAGCTACTCAGGAGACTGAGGTTGGGGGATGGCCTAAGCCCAGGAGGCAGATGTTGCAGTGAGCTGAGATCACACCACTGCACTCTAGCCTGGGCAACACAGCCAGATCCTTCCTCAAAAAAAAAAAAAAAAAGAAAAATACAGATCTTTTTTTTTTTTTCCTCAAAGTTCTGGAGGCTGGAAGCTCATAATCAGGGTTAACAGCATGGTCACCTTCTGGTGAGGGCTCTCTTCCTGGGTTGCAGATGGCCACTCTTGGCTGTGTCCTCACTTGGCAGCCAGAGAGAGAGTGTGCTCCATGGTCCATTCCTTTTCTTATAAAGATATAAATCCCTCGTGACCTCACCTAATTCTATTCACCTCCTAAAGCCTTCATCTCCAAACACTATCATATTGGGAGTTAGGGCTTCGATATATGAATTTGTGAGGGGACATGAACTTTCAGTTACATCATGTTACATGTTAATCCTAGTACCAATAATAAAATGGAAAGTAAATGATCTTAATGCTTCAATTAGGCCAGGCACTGTGGCTCACACCTCTAATCCAAGTTCTTTGGGAGGCTGAGGTGGAAGGATCGCTTGAGCTCAGGAGTTCAAGACCAGCCTGGACAATATAATGAGAGCCCATCTCTCAAAAAAAAAAAAAAAGATTAGCCAGGCTGGGAGGTGCACGCCTATAATCCCAGCTACTTGGGATGCTGAAGTGGGAGGATTACTTGAGACCAGGAAGTCAAGGTTTCAGTGTATTTTAACAGGTAGCTATGCCATTTACACACACTATGCAGATCCCAGCTGACTTTGGGGTACTATGATTCTTGTGTTCTCGGTTCCTGTGCTGCCCAAGAGCTACTCTCAAAACCTGGGCACTATTTCACACTGCCATTCAGTTCCCCAGCATGCTCGTATAGTTAAAACCAATATCAAACAATATCCTGCTGATAAGAAATTAAAGCAAGGAAAGCAAAAAGTCCTCTTTCAACCTCATTTTCATAATCCTGTCCTGTTACACTCACTGTAGTTATTGCCCTGAAACTTACTTTCCCACCAAACAGAATATCTTGAGGACATGTCATATCTGAACCTGTATATCTACGTTGTCTAAATAGCTGTAGATCATCAGAGAGCAGAAATATGCTATGCATCTGTGGGACTCTTTCCACAGAATTTACCACTTGGGACATCTCCAAATTCCTGCAAGTACAATGTTGCAATGATGTTTCTAGTTGGTGCCTCATTATGAACATAACCTATTGAAATGATATATATATATATATATATATGTCATTTCATAGATATATAAATTTCATAGATATATAAATGTGCCCACATTGGTCACTGGCCTTACTATGCTCACATCATGTGAAAGAGATGGAGTAATTGACTACATAAGAAATATTGGTAGGGACAGGAGACAGAGAAATTCTGGGCAGAAGAGGGTGGGTCCCCAGTGAGGGCCTCACCCTCAAGCTGAAAAGCCTAATACCACAGCCCAAAGTAGAACTGACATCCTTGTTTTCCCACTCGAATCTTGTTTTTTCCAAAACCACCCATGCTCACCCTGCCCTGCTCCTGTGCTCATAAGGATCCCAGGCTCAGCAAGCAGAGAGAGGAGAAGAGGAGAAGCAGCTGGACATCAGAGACTATGGTTGGACATTGGAGAGATGTGGCTTGACTTCGGAGGGACTGCTTGACAATGTAGCTTCGGAGAGGAGTCCAGCTGTCCCCAGGGGAAGATTACCTTCCCACTCCATCCCCTTTTCAATTCCCCTTCCTGCTGAGAGCCACTTTCATTGGCAATAAAATCCCCGCATTCACCACCTTCAATTCATTCGTGTGACCTCATTCCTCCTGGACTCAGGACAGGAACTCAGATGCCAAGAGTGTAAGTGCAAAAGGCTGTCACACCGATCCTCCAGTGAGCTGTTAACACTTAAGCCATCCACGGATGGCAAAGCTACAAAAGAGCACTGTTAAAAGTGTTAACTTCCTCTGGGGCTTCAGAAGTCATGGGTGAGGGGTGCAGCACAGCAGGTCGAGTGAGTGGAATTCGCCCCCGCCAGTGCCCATGTACTCCAGTTTCCACCCGTGTAAGGGTCAGGGAAATATCCTGCTTCAATATCGTACTTGATAATATAAAATTTGTTGCTATTTGTATTCACCAAAGCTGAAGTTAAACAAAGCAATGTGTAATTCCAAATAATAAACACATACCTCCTCAATGATAACCCCCTTTGTTTAATTCTGCTTTTTATTAATTTTCCCAAGGTCCATTTTAATTTCACCATTCAATTTCCTCTTGCAGATTTCCTTGTACTTTCTTTTCAGACTCACAGAACTTCAGACTTCACCCACCCTCTACACACCCTCCTCCCTCGAAAGAGTAGGAACAAACATAAGTATATTTATGTAAACATTTAATAAAGAGTAAGGTTTCATTTAACCTAAATATGTTTATATAAATATATTTATGTTTGTTCTTACTCCTTGAAGTTCTTTGAGGGTTCATAAAATAACTGATCTTTCTCCTAGTGAAGCAAGGAAATATGTAACTCCTACCTGGATTTCTAATCATACAGACGGCAGAGATTTGAGGCACCCATGTCGGGGATGGGTAAAACTGATGGTAGCAGAAGGCAGACAAATCTCTAGGCAGACAGGGGAGGATCCCTGGTGAAACCCCACCTTCAAACCAAAGACAGTTTAAAGCCTGAAAGCCAAAGCTATGAGTCTCAGTAAATCCACAGACTAGATTGAGAACCTCTTTTCCCGTTTGGCGTGCTTTCCTCTGATGAACCCCCAGTTTTCACCTATACCTGCCCTACCCTAATTGGTTTTTACACTGTTGCCTTTTTTGCATACTCACAAACCAATCAGCACATACCCCCGATTCTGAGCCCATAAAAGCCCTGGACTAAGCCACGCTGGGAAAACCTCCCATCTTTGGGTGGGAGAGGACTTTCCTGCCTTCAGTTAGGGGGACCACCCTCGGATCTCCTGCTTCTGGTCCGCTGAAAGCTGTTTCGTCACTCAATAAAATGCTCTGAGTTGCTCGCTCTTCAATTGTCAGCGTATCCACATTCTTCTCAGATGCAGGACAAGAACGCAGGACCCAGCTGAACATGGGCAGGAAGAAGGCTGTAACAGTGTGGCCCTCTGCCCTCCACCAGGGGAGGGTAGCCGCCCTATGCAACGGAAGCAGCAGGGGGACCAAACTAGCCTTGGAGTCATGGGCCGGAGCAGGGCGAGGGGCTGACCAAGCTCTTAACACACTACTGTCCATCAGGCTGTAGACAGCGAGACTAAAAGAACTAATTAGAGCACTGTAATACACCAGCCCCCCCGCCCCACACCGGGGCTTCCGGGTCACGGGCAACCCTGCCCGGGTGTCACCGTGTTCCCCTCAGGGAGACTCACCTGGCGCCCACCTCTGTGCTGGCGTTTGGAGCAGTGGACCAGACCCTGCACTTGCTTGCTCACACACCTCCCACTGGGGCTGAGTGCGCAGTCTTAGTGGCTGTGGGACCCACGCCGGAGTAGTCAAGGCATCTCCTAAGGCAGACCTGGATTCAAGCGAGGCTCGTGAGGGGCATTGTCAGCTAGAAGTCTCCAGCCTGCAGTTTGACCAAGAAAAATCCTGCATTAAGATGATTTGGTTTGAGAGCTGCTTTGGTGAAAAAACTATAGTTTGTGAATAAACTTTTAGACAAAACACCTCATACCTGGGCTGACCATGGAAGAGAATGCTATAAATCTAGAGACCATCCTAGGAAATCTTGCTCAATGGTGGCACCTGTTGCATCACACAGCTCCTACCACCTTGAAAAGGAAGATGAGCAGCTGGCAAAGTCCTTTCTCAAACTCTACTCCACAATTAATCGTGGAACTCTAGCCTTGGGAGAATTGTTGACTCTTGATCAGATCTCCAGTTCTTCAAAGCATATAATTTCTTCTTTCTCTCACCCTCCCATATATAATTTCAGACATATGTAGATAGTCAGCGTAAACTTCTTGGTCACATTACGTCATGGGTAGCCAGTTAGAGAGAGAGCAGCTTTTTACAGATACACCTTGGTGGCCCCTGGAAAAATAATTTTATTCCCTCTTCTGATAATTCTGCAAAACTATCATCAACCTAATTTTTATAAATCTAGGTCTAATGTTTTCCACCATTCTGATAAATCCATGTTTATTTCATATTATGTTATAAAAATATCCAAGGAAGGGAAAATTCAGAGTAAAGGCATGTGTGTGATATTCAAATCATCTCACCAAGATGCTGGAGTTTTTCCCCTTTAGAAATAATTACTTTGTGGAGACAGCCTCCAGGGACTTCTTTTCTATCATAAAGCAAAACATAGATTTTAGAAAAGAGGCCTGAAGGTGGCTTTCAGCATCATAATTAACTTTCAAATGTGTTGTTTGAGTTTTTTGAGTCATTAAACCCTATTTTGATTCGATCTCTTCTGTGATCATTATTTCATACCATTCTTTTTTTGTGATATATATTGAAACAATGTTGTTGCCACTGTTTTAATTCAGCACAGCATAAATAACACTGTGATGTGTATTGTAAACACTGAAAAACTAGAATGTATGTTTCAGAATCACTAGATGCGGACTGATGATTGCTCAGATGCAAATAAGAAACAAATAGAAGAAATACTGTGAATTTTGTTGAGGGAGAAAGCAATAAGATAATTCCAAAAGAGAGTAGTGCCAATCTACTTATCTATGACTAAAGTAGAAGATTCAGTGGGTCTATTCAAAGACAAAATGGTGAGGTTACTGAAGTTACGTTTTACTCGTTGCAAGCATGTATTTACTGCCCATCTCTCATCTTTCTCGACTCCTTTGTTCCGTAGCAAAATCTGCATAGACTACGGTATTTGCCATTCTTTTGTTAAATTGACACCATAAGTAAATGATTTATGTCCCTTGCTAACTGAACAATGATTGTAGAAGCTACACTTATTATGCACTTTATGTAGTCAGAATCTGTATTACCCACCTCCACATGAATGCCCATCTCCTGCTAATTATGCCCTTGAATAATCTCCTCCCTTCCTATGTGGGCTGGAGCTAGTACCCTAATTCCAAGCAACAGATTACAGCCAAAGTCATAAGTTGCACACAATTAGGCATGGATGATAATGAGATTTTGTGTAACATATAATATTGCAATGTTTGTTTTGCTGGAATCTTGCTTGTATCAAGAAACCATGGATGGCCTCTGGAGGTGAGGGTGTATTTTCTTATAAAATTCTCTCGCATCCGATCTGTGGACTTAACCGTCTCATACTTAAGGACATTAAAATATATGAAGTGGCAATTGGCGAAATTAATGAGGAGATGTAGAAAAAAACCAAAGCCATATTTTCAGATTTTAGCACACCTTTTCTTGTAATTTTGGATCCATAATATTTTTAAAAGTAAAGATATTAAGGCTCTCAAACACATAATGCACACAAGCTAATGGACATAGTAGAAACCTACACCCCTCAATTAGAAAATACACATGAGTTCAAACACACCTAAAACAAATATTAGTGTGTAGAGAAAATATATGTTTCAACATGATTTGGGCTTTCTGGGCAAAGTTTACTGGGATGTGAGTTGAAGGACAAGCTTTGGAAGTTAAAACATAACTGAATTTTAAATATGGCTTCTAAAAGAGTCAAACTCATAGACGCTGAGAATACAATAGCAGTTGCCAGGTGCCCGGGAAGGAAGAAATGGGAAGTTGTTATTCAATGAGTGTCAAGTTTCAGTTCTGCTAAATGCATAAATTCTAGAAGTCTGCTGTACAACACTTTGCCTATAGTGAACACTATGGTGAAACGCACTTCGAAATGTGTTGAGTGTAAGTTGCATGGTAAATGTTTCTGTTCCCGGACCAAACCAAGGGTCGGGCTGCTTATTCTTGCTGCCCAATAATGAGATGCAGATGAACTGGGAAGAAGGGAGTTTATTTCTGTAATCGAGTACAGGGAGAAGGCTGGGAAAATATCACCAGACCAACTCAAAATTACAAAGTTTTCCAGAACTTCTATACCTTCTAATTGATATGTCTACGTGTAAGCGTGCATTCATCTAAAGACATTAGTGATGAACTTCTAATCTAGAACTAAGGTCTGAGTCCTGAAGACCTTCCTCTGGAGTCTCAGTAAATTGACTTAATCTAGATGGGTTCAGGTGCCTGGGGTAATTACCCTTATCTTGTCTCCTGCTAAATCGTGGAGGTTTGGGGAGTTCATTCAGACCCCCAATAAAAATTTGTTTAATCCTAAAAGGGTCCTGTTAAGAATTCCTTCATTATCTTGTCACACTTCAAGATCCAGGAGAGGCCTGGGCAAAACTCTTGGTGGGCTTTTGTTACATTCCAGCCTTTGTATAAGGGCGCTGGATCTTTCAGCTTTTAATATGTAACTTCACCACTCGGTCAGTACTGAAACAGTTGTTATGGAGGCCTGCCTGTTCAGCTGTTAGTGAGACCTGGCCTGCTACATTTCTACCAAAGAACAAACAAACCAACAAAAAACAAAGAGACGCAAGGGAACTTTGGGAGATGTAATGTATCTCTATTATCTTAACTGTAGCAATGGCATCATGGGTGTTTTTAGATACTCAAACTTATCAAATCATACACATTAAATTTGTATATATCAATTATACTTCAATGAATCTGTTAACAAATTTAAAAGATGACTGAGGACATAGTGAGTATTCAGAAGTGATTTTCTTGCCTGAAAATATGTGCTCCTATCACCACCAGATTTGATGATTCACTGTGAGAACTCCTCGTGCAGTTCTATTCATAGCTATGATTTATCACAGCAAATGGCAGAACACAAAATCAGACGAAAGAAAAGATGCTTACAACTATTCACAATAGCAAAATCATAGAACCAACCTAAATGCCCATCAACAGTAGACTGGATAAAGAAAATGTGTTGCATATACACACACCATGGAAAACTATGCAGCCATAAAAAAGAATAAGATTATGTTCTTTGCAGCAACATGGATGGAGCTGGGGGCTGTAATCCTAAGCAAACTAGCACAGTAACAGAAATCCAAATACTGCATGTTATCACTTATAAGTGGGAGCTAAACATTTTTTTAATTTTAGATTCATAATTTAAAACAAAACAGTAAAGTTGAGAACACATGGACACAAAGATGGGAACATCCAACGCTGGGGCCTACTTGAGGGTAGAAGGTGAAAGAAAGGAGAAAAACAAAAACAAACAAACAAAAACAACTTATGGGGTACTATGCTTATCACCTGAGTGAGGCAGTAATCTGTACACCAAACCCCCACAGCATGCAATTTACCTATGGAACAAACCTGCACATGTATCCTGAACCCTTAAAATAGAAGTTAAAAAATTAAAAACAAAAATTAACAATTTAAAATTAAAAAAATTTTTAAAAGATACATGCTTCACTGCACCAGAGAAAATTAGGTGCAAGCTTCCCAGAGTCCTCTCTGTAGACGTGCTAACTTTTTCTGGTATTGAATTTTGATAACACATGCAAAAATGTTGTCTATCAAGGAAGCTCATAAAGGATCAGTGCTCAAAGCTCTTTTCAGTGTCTGATTGTATAGGTACCTTCTACCTAGCACATCCCAAAATTCCAGACTCCCAGAAGGAAATTTCAGGCACCCAATGTGAACCACATTGTGTGTACTAACTCTTGAGGCATCGTGAGCCACTCTTATCACTTAGGAAAGAGCGAGAACATACCTGAAATCTAAGTTTTCAGGAGCCAACTAAAGACTTACCTTGCAAGCTGGCTTTCTGAGGCCATGTCTCCACCGTGATATCTCCCCATAATATCTCACCATGATATCTCTCACCACGATACCTCACCATGATACCTCTCCAATATCTCTCCATCATGATAAAAAGGTATACAAGGTACAACCTTCTCAGACATCAAAAATGACTGTCAAGTTGAGCTATGAATTAGTGGATTAGAAACATGCAATGAGGAGAATGGAACATCCTAATTCCTGGCCACAATATTGCTTGCAAGATGGGATGAGATCCAACATGAGATGAATTTCAATACAGTATGGTTCTCACTTTCGGTACTTACTGAAGTTTTTGATGACCCTTGCCCGGTAGAAATCCAAGACAAGTTTATACAATGTCTTTTCAGATTTTTCCATAAACAACAATAAAAATAACCCTCCAAAACCCCAAACAAAGTAAAGCTAAGAAGCATGAAGAACGCTGCGAGGAAGTTCAGCTCTTGCGTTGACTCACCCATCAAAATGATGTAAAATTGAACTGTTAACCTGGGGTGATGCCATAAAAAAAAATGCCGTTGCTTTTTTGTCATTAGTCTTCTCCGTAAACAAGGTATGATGACAAAGAAAACAAACAGAATGGGGGGCAAATGGATATCACCCTGGAAATTGGGATCCACACACCAAGAGAAATAAATTGAGCACCTTTCTTAAGGGAGATGTGCTTTTCTTGCACTTAGGCACTGCTGGATTTATCCATCAGTAACAGGTTCCTGCTCCCCTCTGGCCCTGGGGGAAAGAAAAATGTTGACTTTCAAAGGCTTCGAACAAGGTCAGGCTGGAAATATAAATATCTGGAGCTCATTTTGAATATTTATCATCCCATATTCTATATTATTTATAGCTCCAATCAAGATACCAATAGGAGTTCTGTAAATTCCTCTTAGAGAGACTGCATGCCCCACCTACCACCCTGCAAGGCCCTAAAAGATCATAGAAAAAGAAAAATGACTCTCTTCGCAATAACAATCAGTCAATGACAATGAGACTTAATAATTTCTATTAGTCTTTTAGGGGCAGAATTTCCGTCTGAAAGCATGCAAATGAAGAAACTTGAAAATTGAATTTACTCGAAATATTCCTCTCTTAAGGAGACTAAATCAAAAGGTGTAGACTCTGAGAACTGTCCTGTTGAGATCATTTCTAGTCTCCATCACAAGGTTGTGTAATGAAGTATTTGACTCTTTTCCAGGTTTATGTTTTCTTATTAATAAGGCTCACCTCGGCACTGATGGCTTGCCACCCGCGTAGTAAGTTTTCCAGATATTTCCATGTGCAGAAACTGTCCCTATTAGATGTTAAAATAAATATTTATGGCTTCATGTGTTGTAAATGCACACAGCAAATTCTCAAATTTGAAATCTATATGGTATTTCTTGAAATGTAATCTAATTATTTTAAGAAGTTGAACTGTTCAATATGACTAGGTTTGCAGTGTACTCATATGCAGTGGTCAATATTGAGTGTCAACTTGATTGGATTGAAGGAGGCAAAGTATTGTTCTTGGGTGTTTCTGTGAGGGTGGCGTCAAAGGAGATTAACATTTGAGTCAGTGGACTGGGAGAGGCAGACCCACCCTCAATCTGGGTGGGCACCATCTAATCGGTTGCCTGCATGGCCAGAATAAATAGCAGGCAGAAGAACGTGAAAAGACTAGACTAGTTAAGTCTTCTGGTGTCCATCTTTCTCCCATGCAGCAGGCTTCCCGCCCTTGAACATCGGACTCCAAGTTCTTCAGCTTTGGGACTGTTGGACCTTCGACCACAGACTGAAGGCTGCGCTGTCGGCTTCACTACTTTTGATGTTTTGGGACTCCGACCGGCTTCCTTCTTCCTCAGCTTGCAGACAGCCTATTGTGGGACCTCACCTTGTGATTGTGTGAGGAAATACTCTTTAATGAACGCTTTATATATACATCCGTCTTATTAGTTCTGTCCCTCTAGAGAACCGTGACTAACACAACATGGATAAAAATTTCCTTCAATTGGGTATTTTGAAAATTTTGATCCAAAATTTGAGATAATATTTAACCATGCTTTCACTAATGCCTAGTTTTTTGTTGTTGTTGCTGTTCTGTTTAATGTATACCTTGACATCCAGCAGTTGAGATCAAGCACACTTTGGAGTTAGAATAAAATATAGAATTCTCTAGCAATGTTAGTCAATTGCTTAATGCTTCTCACCAGAAATAATGTGTTTTGTAATGAATTTAAAACTTTTATATCTAAGTTTTGACTTGAACATGTAGCGTTCAAGAAAACAAATGCGTTTAGTAGCATTATGAATTACAAAACTATGATACGGAATATAGCAGTTACATTTCCCATGAAATCAATATTAACACATAATCTTATTTTAAATGCCTTGCAGGGATTGGTCCCTGTTTTGTTTTTGGTTTTTATGAGTCTGTATTTATTTTTATTGAACCCAATGTTGCAAGAAATATTTCAAAATTTTCATTTTATACAGACTTTAGTTTTATAGCACTGAATTACTTGTTTGAGATGTAACATTTTGCTTTTAGACTGGGTGCTTTAGAATGGTTAATCCACAAGCAAATACACTTCTCATAGAATTATGTGTATGTTACAAACACAATTTTGACAGCAATTTTATAAAATCTATTTGCAATCACAGGATCCCGACCCTCACACATATTCTAAATGGTGAGCGTGTGTGTGTGTTTCAAGGTCATCCCAAAGGGCTTCGTTGTCAAGAGCATCGTTACATAAGGAGTAGGAATTGTGATAAATAGACTCTTTTCTACATTGATTTGGCAGTAAAAATTCACCAGTGAGTTAATTTGGGAACACATGTAGTAATTCTGTATTACAGTTGGTTTGCCTTGAAACTGGTGTAAGGGAAAACACACTAATAAACTTGGGTTATATGGTGATGTTCTGGTATATAGAGAATCCTCAAAATTAAAAATTAGTTACCTTTATTGATAAAAATGACACAGCAACTAATGACACGTGTGAACATGCACACACACACATATGTGATCATAATATAACTGTATATAACATATAAAATAACATGTAACATAAAATATAATATATGACATATAACATATATAATATAAATTATACATATTATATATAAATATTTATAATATAGTATATACTGTATTATATAATATATAATACATATCATATGTCATAATATATACTATATAATATATATTTATATATTATAAATACATATTAACATACTGTATAATATATAGTATACTATAAATATATAAGTATATAATAAATGATATAACATATGATATATTAACTTGCTGTATAACATATATGTTTTATATACGTTGCCATATATTATATATACTATTTAATAACATGAAATATATTATATATATGAAATATATTATATTCTATAGTATAGATAATATATGACAACATATATAATATATATCACATTATATTATATAGCATACATATCATATGCTGTTATATTATTTATTGTATACTTATGGATTTATATAATATATAATATAATCAAGTTATTATATATAACATATAACATATGAAATATATTACATGACATATGTTATGTATTATATATGCAATATAACATGTATATAACATGTTATAGGTAATATATAATGATATATAATCATATGTAATCATATATACCATATAACACATGAAATATGTTATATATTACTGTATTACTTCTCATAGAATTACGTGCATGTCACAAACACAATTTTGACAGCAGTTTTATAAAATCTATTACTATATTACTATATGTAATATATATTTCATATATATTACACAGTGTATATACACATTATATATACACAGTGTTATATAAATAGGCTTATATATTGCATATACAATAATTACATTATGTTATATATAACATATATGTTATATATAATAATAATATACAATCATTAGGCTTATATATAATAACACATGAAATATATATTATTATGTATTATATAATATGTTTTAGGTTATATAAGATATATGTTATAGGCTGTATATATCATATGCTACATATATAATATATAACATATATATAAATAAACACTAAAGATGAAGTGTGTCCAGTATTTTATTTTAGTAAAAAATATTTAAGAGTAATTGATTCAATTCTATTAACTGTAATTTCATTTAAAATGTCCTTTTCACACCAGTCCTTAGATTGGTAATTGTCAGAAATAAAAGAGTTCGATGTTAGGTAGAGACGTTCACTTCACAGTGGGAAGAGCAATATCTTTGTATTCTTTTTTAATATTCACTTTTCTAATTTGTTGAACATCCTGGCTTGTGTTTCATATTTATTGATATGCATCACTATTTGATTTGTCCCTGTCATATTTTGATCTATGACGATACAGAAGATAATCTTTTGAGTTTTTGCATGGGCTACTCATACACCTTAAAAGCAAAGCCACCGGTTTTTAAAAATGAATCCTTAACACAGCAGAAGCAAAAAAAAGGGAGAAAGAAAGTGATCTCAAAACAAATAAGAAATATGAAGAAAAACAACTTTCATTAGGCTTAGGCATCATAATTTTTATTCTAGGATTTTTTAGCATCTAATAATGTTTTTTACTCTCTTGGTAAGCAACCCGACTACACTCTACAAAATTCAGCAATGCCCGAGGATGTGAGTATATAAAGCAGCACTTAGCTCTATGGAATTTGTTTTGTTCCAATTACCTTAAATTGACACTAAGACCATACTTTAAAGTTGGTCTACAATGGGGAAATCTTTAGGTACTGACATGTGAAAAATCTTTAACCTATGAATGCCTGTACTCTTGCAAATGAAGATGTGCATTTTCATTACAAAGTGTACTTCTTATCACCCCCGAATTATACAATCTGATTTCACAACAGAACTGTTTGTACAAGCTCGTCCCTTTTCCCGAAATACTCTTCCTCCTCTTGACTATAAAGCTAATTTTGACTTGGTCTTTTGTAATCGAGTGTATATTTAATTTCCTTAATGAAGACTTCCCAAACCTTTTAGTCAAGTGACTTCCTCTTCCAAATACATAACAAAGTACATACATTTGAAAAGATTTTGCCTATGTTTTGGAGCCTAAGACCCCTTCTCAGGGATGGTCTGAGTCAGAGGTTTTTTGTTTTTAATTGTTTATTAATTTCTTTTTAAATTTTTTTCAACTCACATAAAAATTGTACATATTCTTGTACATGATGTTGTGATAATATAATGTATAGTGGTCAGATAAAGGTAATTAGCATATCCATCATCTCAAACATTTATGATTTCTTTGTGTTGGGACCATTTAATATCCTCCTTCTAGCTATTTGATAATATATATTATTATTAACTATAGTTATTCTACTGTAGCTGCCTGAGGGGTCCTTTCTGCCTGCTGTGCAAATAAGGACTATGGCATTTCAGTAAAGAAAGAGTATAAATACGCACAAGGCCAGCCACACCACATAGGGGACCAACTTAGTACTCAAATCATCTCATCCGAAGCTCCAAAGCTTGTAGGTTAGGGGTTTTTCAAAGGCAGTTTGGGGGAAGGGGTGGGAATGGTTAGGCTTGTTGCTGACTTGTTGGGGGTGGAGCTGAAATCCTAGAGGAAATCTGTCCTCCTGTGAGCTGAACGGCTTCTGGGTGGGGCCACAGAAGTAGAGTTGGTCCAGGTGTAGCCATGGGTGTCAGACATGCAAAGATACCTGAAACGAGATCTCAAAAGACCAGACTAGGATAGTAGTGTTATCCTCAGGAATTGCCAGCAATGTATGTCTACATCTTAGCAGAATCAGGCTCCTCTACTCCCCTCAGCCTGATGGACTCCCTTTAGCTTTACAAAAGTCGTTGAATTTTGGGCAAGCCCTATTACACAAACTATAGCCTAACTGTCTTCCAAAGTTAGTCTGGCCCAATAGCCCAGGAATAATTAAGGGAAAGGCAGGATGGGGGTGGGTTAGCTTGGATGGCTTCTATGCTTATAATTTTCTCACTGATAAAATTTTTGCAAAGCAGTTTCATTACAGTGGCATACAACAGCCAAAAGTAGTCTTCCTATCTAGCTGTAAGTTTGTATCTCCCTAAATCAGAGTTTTATCTTACTCGTTTTCTCAGTTCTTCTTTTAACCCAAACACTAGAACAGAGCTTGCTGGATTACTTGTTGACTGATATGTTCACGAGGTTATACTGCTTACAAATGACACCTCATATCTGTCATATACCAGTAGGCAGGGAGTGGCACATTATAAGGTTAAAGAAAAGGAGGAGGACTATACTATATAATTTTATACTATATACTATACTATAAATTTTATACTATAAAATTTATACTATACTACACTATAAATTTTATACTATCAAAATTTAATATAAATGTATATTACCTTCTCTAATTATTGTTAATGTGAATTCCATTGAATTAATTCGAGCTGAGTTACTCAACTATACACATTGTTTGCAAGAGTCTGTTTTCAAGTCTGGAATCACTTATGTCTGGTCTATTTCTTCAAAACAAAATAACAACAGTAACAACAGAACAACAAAAAGAAAAACACAAAGAATGGAAGAAAAAAGTGGCCTAAATTTCAAATATACTCAGTTAAGCCAAAACAAAAGCAGCTTTCATGAATTAAAGTCAAGAGATGTGTTCAGAGAACTTCAGTTGAATTCCCCATTGAAGACCTTAAGCATCATAGATCGAATCTCAGCATATATTTAATGATTTTTTTTACCAGTTTTTTTTTTTTGAAAGAACAGTGATGTAGAATAAAGGAAGAAATATTGCAAGCTAAGGGTAGAAAGTGGTATGGTAATATTGACCTAGTTTTTTTTAAATAGTAGTTCAATTGAGTGAATGGAACAGATACTTAAACAAATAAGTGATGGATTTATTCATGTTTTTGGAACGGAAGAGTCCCCTGACCCCCTCGAGGGATTTGTGACAGGGGTGTGGCTCATTTGCTCAGCTGCTGCATGCTCAAACCCCTTACGGGAGAGGAGGTGCATGCAGGTGAGCGGGTACAGAAGCCAGGGCGAGTGTTTTTGGGCTCCAGCCCCACGGTAGCATCTAAGAGTATGTTACAATTAATGCTCTTTTAAGCAGTTGCTGCCTTTGGCACCTAAGTGTTAAACCAGCTCAGTGGAGAGTCAGGATGACAGCCTTTTACACCCTGCCCTCTTGGTACTCGGGTCCTTGTCCGGCATCCAGGAAGAATCGGGTTAAATGGACTTGAAGTATGGTGAATGTGGGGATTTTATTGAGCGGTGGAAGTGACTCTCAGGGGGATAGATGGGAAGCTGGAAAGGGGTTGGAGTGGGAAGATGATCTTCCCCTGGAGTTTGGCTGTCCCACGGCCAATCTCCTCTCCAATTATGCCCAGCTGAACTCCTCTTGACATTCAGATGCTCCTCTTCTCCCTGCCGTGCCATCTGTCTTTCTTCTGCTCTTCTGTTCAGCTTCCTGTCTGCTTGTGGAGCCCAGGGTTTGAGGTTTATATGGGTACAGGATAGGGGGGCATGGTGGACCAAAAAGCAACTTTTGGGCACAAAAACAGGAATGCCTATTCCTATTTAGGGCCTCAGGTTTCCAGACTTGAGGGTGGGGCCTTTGCCAGGGAGCCACCCTCTTCTACCCAATATTCCCCTGTCTCCTGCCCATATCAAAAGTTCTGCCTCATTTGGTAATTGTAAAACGAAAAAAATCAAGTTTCACCAAAAGAGGGGATTGTCTTTGACTTTGACAAGTGCTTAATGCAACCTGTATTATTTAAAACTTCTTTTTCAGAATTAGTTTTATTTGGCTGAGTATGAGAAACTAATAAAACTATGTTAAAATCAATTTTATAGGAGATCTCAAGATTTGTACATTTACATTACATATGAGACATAGTTAATATGTTTATGATTAGAAACCAAATATTCACTTATTCCTAGACACTAAATATTAGGTCTGATGGACATTTTGTTCATATAACTACCACAGTAACAAAAATTAAAAAAAAAATCATCTCATACTGTAGACACATCCATTTATTCCTATTAACTAAATATTCTGTCTTACTGGCACTTTGGAAAACTGATAACTACATCAAAAGTAACAAATCAGCTGCTAACAGTGCTTAGATAACATCTGATGGCCAGAAGAATGCCTTTAAAAGATGCTTTAAAAGTGTCAAAGCAGCAAAGGAAATCTTTCAGCTTTCACAAAAAAAAAAAAAAAAAAAAACCCATCATTAATCCATGGTTTCTCAGCCTTGGCCCTTTTGACATTTGAATTCTGATCATTCTTTGTGGTGGGGGCTATCCTGTGCTTTGTAGAATGTTTAGCAGCGTCTACCACCTATCAACTAGATGCCGGTAGCTCTCCTCCCCTTGCCCCCAATAATGACAAAGAAAAATGCCTCCAGACATCAAATGACCCGGGCAGAGGCACAAAATTGCCTCCAATTGAGAAGCACTGCCTGAATAGCATCACGGTGGTGTTTTAAAATAATGCATTTTCAAAATCTATTATTCCAGAGTGCATAGTACGCTACAGGGTTAGATTCCTTCTTTTCTCATTACTCGGGATGTATCTATTTCTTCTTTCTGTAATATTACTTCCTTTCCTTTCTCCCTCTCCCTCCACTCCTCTCTGTTTTCTTTCTTCTCTGAACAAATACCCTTCTGCCTACTGCAAAGCAAAAACTGCACAAATCCAGAGATGTGACAATTACCAAAATCCAGAACAGTACAATACATCAAATATTCAAGAGAGAGAGTTCTGGAAACATCAACATTAATAATGATCTAGTCAATGCCATGCTTGTTTTAGGATCTGCCACCGTACAGGTTTGTCCGATTTCTGATTCTCTGAAAGAGAATCTCCCAGGTTCTCTTTCATTTTCAGTAGCACCATATGGGAAAAGCACCTTTCGGTAATTCTATAAAATGCATTGCCAATATCCAACACATGTAAGAACTCCCTCACTGTATACCTCCTTTTTAAAAAACTTTGAAATCATACTGGACCCCCGGCCTCAAGTGTCTGGCATGCCATGAGGATAGACAGAAGAAATATTGCCTTTTATATATATCAACTAATTTAACATACCGAGAGAGGCGTTCTTACCAATTATATATCGCTTTTCCCCCAGGCAGTCCAAATGAATCCATGTTGGTGTCCAGTTATAATTATCTTACCTCCTTTGGGTCATTGAGGAGCAGATTCCTACCTATCTCTGTAGCAGACATGTAAACGCAAACAAACACACTCTCAGGTGAGGTTTCTACACATAGCATGTGCTTCTTTCTGCACATGCACTCACTGTTCATTACCTCCAAGGGAGTCAGAGACCTTCACTTGAGAATGACAGTCTATTAATCTTATCGGTTCCCTCAAGAAGAAAAATACCTTCAGCTGTGCTGTCAGGAGCTAGGAGACCATTATCAGGAATCTTCCTCAAGGTTCTAACTGAAAACACAGGGGGCTTTTCAAGATGGCCAGAGATAAGTTACCATAGGGGAGGCTCCTTCAAAAAATTGCCATGTTGACAGGGACCTGAAGAATGAATCAGAATTAGGAAAGATAATTGCAAGATGTGTAGAAAGGGGGTCTGGGTAAAAGAAAACAGATGTTATGAGCATTCCTGAGACTAAGCAGAGTGGTGAACTTTTACTAGTTTGTTTTTACTGCAGTGAAGATCATCAGGTGTGGCCTAGAGAATCACGGCCCCAAAGATGTCTACATCTTAATGAAACAGGAGAGTTCCCTGACCCCACTGCAGGGCTTGTGACAGGGGTGTGGCTCGCTTGCTTGGCCACTGCACACTCAAACCCCTTATAGGAGGGAGAGCATGCAGACAGGCAGGTGCAGGAGCCGACGAGAACACTTCTGGGCTCCGGCCCCTCAATAGTGTCTGGGGGCGTGTTACAATTAATACTCTTTTAGTAGTTGCTGTCCACAGATAGCTAAGTGTTAAACCAGCTCAATGGAGAGTCAGGGTGACAGCCTTTTACACCCTGCCCTCTTGGTACCCAGGTCCTTGTCCAGTGTCCAGGAAGAATCAGGTCACATGGATTTGAAGGGTGGTGAATGCAGGGATTTTATTGAGTGATGGAGGTGGCTCTCAGTGGGATGAATGGGGAGCTGCAAAGGGGTTGGAGTGGGAAGATGATCTTCCCCTGGAGTTTGGCCGTCCCATGGCCCATCTCCTCTCTGACTGTCCCCAGCCACACTCCTCTCAACGTTCAGATGCTCCTTCTCTTCTCTCCTTCTCTGCTATGCCTCTCTACCGCACTTTTGCTCCTCTGCTCATTTGCTCGTGGAGTCTGGGGTTTGGGGTTTATATGGGTACAGGATAGGGATGCGTGGCAGGCCAAAAGGTAACATTTAGGGCCGTGGGTTTCCAGGCTTGAGGGTGGGAACTTTTGCTGGGGAAACCACCTTCTTCTACCCAATATTTCCCTGCCTCCTGTTCGTATCATTAATCTCTAGAACCTGTGAATGTGCTGCCTTAAAAAGGAGATTGCAGATGAGATTAGCACTGCTAATCAGCTGATCTTGAGATGGAAAAATTATCCGGGGGCTCCAATGTCATTACCAGGGTCTTAAAAGTGGGCCAGGCACGGTGGTTCATGCCTGTAATCTCAGCACTTTAGGAAGCCACAGTGGGAGGATCACTTGAGCCTGGAAGTTGGAGACCAGCATGGGCAACATAGCAAGAGCTCATCTTTAATAAAAATATACATTAAAAAATTAGCCAGACGTGGTGGAGTGTGCCTGCAGTCTCAGCTGCTTTGGAGGCTGAGGTGGGAGGATCACTTGAGCCCAGGAGGTCAAGGCTGCAGTGAGCTATAGTTGCACCACTGTATTCCAACCTGGGCAACAGAGGAAGACCCCGTCTCAAAAGAAAATTACCTACATACACACATACAAACATATGTACATACATTCACACATAAAGTATAAGAGCACAAAGTCTTTAACAGTGAAAGTTCACACTCATTAGGATAGGTCCTATAAAACACATACACACACAAGCACACATACACACATGAAAAACAAATAAAAAACACCCAGGAAATAACAAGTATTGGCATGGATGTGGAGAATTTGGCACAGATGTGGAGAATTAGGAACACCTGTGCATTGTTGATGGGCACATGAATTAGCACAGCCATTGTGGAAAACAGTATGGAGGCTACAAAACTCCCCCCCAAAACAGAATTACCGTATAATCCAGCAATTCCACTTCAAGATACATATCCAAAATCATTAAAAGCAGGGACTCAGATGTTTGCACACCCATGTTCATAGCAGAGGTATTCACAATGACCAAAAAATGGAAGCCACACAAATGTCCACTGGTGGATGAATGGATAAGCAAATGATGGTCTAGACAAACCATGAAAGCCATACAAAAGAAGGGAATTCTGACACAGGCTACAGCATAGAGGAACCTTGAGGACATTATGCTGAGTGAAAAAGGGTGATAAAAGAAAAACTTCAGCTGCATTACATTTAAGAGTTTAATTGAGCAATGAACAAGTCACAAATCAGGCAGCCTCCCAAGCCAGCGTAGGCTCTGAGACTGCAGTGCAGCCATGTGGTAGAAGAAGATTTATGGACAGAAAAAGGAAAGTGATGGACAGAAAACAGAAGTGATGTATAGAAACAGGTGGATTGGTTACAGCTCAGCGTTTGCCTTATTTGAACACAGTTCGAACAGTTGGATAAATTTGATTAGCCAAAACTTGGTGATTGGCTAAGTGTAGGCCACCGTCTGTTTACACCTCCACTTGTTATAGTTCACGATGTACAGAAGAACATTTAGGCCGAACTTAAAATATGTAAGGCGGCAGCTTTAGGCTAAACTTGATCTAACATAAGCCAGTCCTCCAAAGACAAATATTGTAGGATTCCACTTATTTGAGGAACCTAGCATAGTCAAATTCATAAAGACAGAAAGTAGAATTGTTCCTGGACCAAACCAAGGGTCGGGCTACTTATTCTCCTGGCCCGATAACGAGCTGCAGATGAACTGAGAAAGAAGAGAGTTTATTTCTGTAACCATGTACGGGTAGAAGGCCTGGAAAATACAGCTAGACCAACTCCAAATTAGTTTTCCAGAGCCTATGTACCTTCTAATCTATATGTCTATGTGCAAGTGTGCATTCTTCTAAAGACATAAGTAATTAACTTCTTCTAATCTATAACTAAGGTCTGAGTCCTGAAGACCTTCTTCTGGAGCTTCAGTAAGTTGACTTAATCTAAATGGGTCCAGGTACTGGGGTGATTACCATTATCTTGTCTCCTGCTAAATCATGGAGGTTTGGGGAGCTATTTTAGACCCCCAATAAAACTTGTTTGTGGAGGTCTGGGGAGTTTCTTCAGACCCCCAATAAAACTTGTTTAATCCTAAATGGGTCCTGTTAAGAATTCCTTTGTTAAAAATCTTGTCATGCTTCAAGCCCCAGGAGAGGCCTGGGCAAAAAACTCTTGATGGGCTTTTGTTACATTCTAGCCTTTGTATAAGGACACTGGCTCTTTCAGCTTTTAATATTTAACTTCACCACTCAGTCAGTGCTGAAACAGTTATTACGGAGGCCTGCCTGCTCAGCTGTTAGTGAGGCCTGGACTGCCACAGAATGAAGGTTGCAGATGCTGGGGAAGGGCAATGTGGATTAGTGTTGCAATGGATACAGAGTTTCAGCTGGGGAAGATGCAAAACTTCTGGAGGTGAATGGAGGCAATGGTTCCTCAACCATGTGCATGTGCTGCATGCCGCTGAACTGAACACTTAGCCAACTCCTTGATTTTAGCCCACTGAGTCCAATGTCAACACATCCACCCTCCAGAAATGTAAGATAATATCTGAGCTTTTTTTTTTTTTTAAAATAGGATCTTGCTCTGTCACCCAGGCTGGAGCACAGTGGCATGATCAGAGCTCACTGCAGCCTGGAACTCCTGGGCTCAAGCAATCCTCCCATCTCAGCCTACTGAGTCACTGGGATTATAGGCTAAATGTGGGCTATTTTAAGTCACTAGGTTTGCAGTCATTTGTCACAGCAGTAAATAGAACACTATTTTCAAGGCTAGAAAACAGTAAGAAGAAAGGGGTAGAGTTAGCATGGGCTATGATAAATAATATGGATTTTTTTTTTTTCTTGAGACAGAGTCTCACTCTGTCGCCCAGGCTGGAGTGCCATGGTGCGATCTTGGTTCATTGCAACCTCCGCCTCCCAGGTTCAAGAGATTTTCGTGCTTCAGCCTTCTGAATAGCTGGGATTACAGGTGTGCACCACCATGCCCAGCTAACTTTTGTATTTTTAGTAGAGATGAGGTTTCACCATGTTGGCCAGGCTGGTCTCAAAATCCTGACCTAAGGTGATCCACCCACCTTGGCCTCCCAAAGTGCTGGGATTACAGGCATGAGCCACCATGCCCAGCCTAATGTGGATATTTTGTTAGGGGCACTAACCAACAAAGATTTTTATTTTATTTATTTTTTTGAGACAGGGTCTCACTCTGTTCCCCAGGCTGGAGTGCAGTGGCACCGTCACTGTTCACTGCAGCCTCTAACTCTTGGACTCAAGGGATCCTCCTACTTCAGCCTCCTGAATAGCAGGCACCACAGGTGCACACCACCACACCCAGCTAATTTTTTTGAAAACATTTTATAGATATGGGATCTTGCTATATTGTCCAGGCTTGTCGGAAGAACTAGACCAGGTGATCATGTTCGTTTCTTTGAGATGAATATAAGTGAGAGTCTGCAGATAACAAACTGTGACAAGACTTTCAGGAATCCACAAGAATAATTTTGTGTACCTAACTAACAAGTACCTGGTGACGGGGATGAAGTGAATCGGTGAGCCTGAGAGATATTCACAAGAAAAATTGACAGAGCATTGCCAAAGATAGTTAGATGCCTTGAGGTAATGATGTCTTAGGACACAACATTGTTTTATTGTCACCTGAGTGAAGACTCATGAAGATGACACATTACTTAGGGAAAAATGAAAATTCAGTTTGGACATGTGCAAGGATTTTGAGTTGGCTTTGGTTTATCCAGGGAGAGATGGATATTCACTGGACAGATGGATACAAGGATCCAAATTATAAGAAGACCATTTTATGAGATAGCCAGGTTTGGCTGCCATCAGCATAGAAAGATTCATCAGAGCCAGGGGAGAGAGAGAGAATTTGACCTGGGAAAATGGAGATCTGATACAGAAGATAAAACAGTGGAAGGTTGAATCCCAACATCTACTGATTTTAAAAAGAGAGACACAGGAAGAAGAGACAGGGAAGCTTCTACATTGGAAAAAGAAGAGGTAGGAGCAAGAGCAAGAGAATAATGAAGAATAATAGGAACAGGAGAATCATGTTATGGCTACAAAGGAATGACAAAGTTTCAAACAACAGGAAATGATCAGTAATGATGCATGCTCTAGGAAGCTCCAGAAATGAAATGGTTGAACATTGCTCTACAGATTTTAAAACTGAACAGTGCTCAGTGACTCCATCAGTAGAGATAGGGTGTTGTGCATTGCAAGGAATCTGGATAATAGCCAATAAAGCAACACACATCAGAGAAGAAGGACAAAAGGGCATCCGTATGCTATTCAGTAAGCTTGGCCTTGAGACCAGAGGCCATTTATACCATGAACAATGATTGTAGATCATCCAGATTGAAGATATTTTCCCAGAACAACTAGAAACCGTATGGTTAAAATGCCCTATTTTATGACAGATAATTAGAGCAGTGCAACATTATAAGGCATTACTCAAAATAATGATTATATATGTGCCATTTTTTTTGAGAGAGTCTCGCTCTGTCATCTGGGCTGGAGCGAAGTGGTGCAATCTTGGCTCACCGCAGCCTCAAACTCTCAGGCTCAAGCCATCCTCCTGCCTCAGCCTCCTGAGTAGCTGGGACTACAGGCCTGTGCCATCACACCCAGCTAATTTTTGTATTTTTTTTTAAAATGTTGCCCAGGCTGGTCTCGAACTCCTGGGCCCATCAATCTGCCCACCTTGGCCTCCCAAAGTATCAGGATTACAGGCATGGGCCACTGCACTCAGCTAAGTGCCAAATATTTATGGACCATCCACATTTGACGATAGTTCAATTTTAGAATAGATACTGTGCTTAATTGGTTCACCTTCAAAACATAATGATTATGACTAATCCTAGAACGTTAAGCACTGAGTTGCAAGTATCCAAATAACACCTCACTGAATTTATTAATGAAGCAATTTTTTACATAGATCTGATGTCTAAATGTATTAGAGAAGAAAACAGAATTCAAACATCTCATAACTAAGTACTTGACCACTTGTTCTGGTATAAACCTAATCTCCTACCTTACTAAAATTCTGTTTGGAAAATTTATTTGTTTTCTTCTTAAAAAAAAAAAAAGAGGCAGCATCATACGGAATGTGTATTGAATGCTCTAATGTGTTTGTTTAAGAACTTTGTTGCCTCTTAATGTTCTTTCTCTCTCTCTCTTCTCAGTAAACGTGTGTGTGTGTGTGCATCTTTGTCCGTCTGTAAAGTATACCTATGTACACATAATTTTTAAACACATACACCTTTTACATGCATAGAAACATACTGCTTCTTGCAAAATTTAATTTCCATTGTTTTTTATCTGTATACTTCTGCATTAATCCTACTTTTAAGATGTCACATTTACTTCAGAAAAGGAACAGTTTAATTTAAAAAAAAATCTGCAAAAATGTACATGAAATGTAAATCCACACATCTTGTAAGAGTTCCATTCAATAATTTAAAGCAGGTCCATTTTGACGTCTCCTCTTTTAAAACCCAGCATGGTGAAATTCACCTACAATGGCACTAAATTATTGATGGGTACCTTTTTTTGATGCTTAAGAGGCTGAAAACAGAATAACAACTTCCCCTGACAGCACTTTGGCCTCCAGTCTCAGATTTCTTCAGTAAAAGACACCCTACAAGACCTTGGACAGATGCAGCCCCAGCTCCATAACAGGCTGCCTAATGGAAAAAAAAAATGGCCGAGGGAACTTCACTTTTCTGCAAATGCATGCTTGTCTTTTTTCGCCAACATATCTGTCTTTATTCAGTTTCACCAGGAGTCAATAGAACAGGAGTCAGTGTGAGCAGAATATAAATAAACACTCATTCCAGAAAGAACTCTCAGTTCATAAAAGACACAAAGTATACACCTTTTCATTTAAATAAGAGCTGGAATGAATCTCCAGAAATCACTTGGTCTTTTTTAGAGAGAGCAGCAGCAGGAGGAAGTCAACTACTTGAGTCTTGACCGCCTATTTTGACACACACCACCATTCACTCAACACTCAAAATTTTGCAGAATGACCAGTGAGTGCTGGTCAAGGATTCAGACCAAGACTACATGATGCACTGGACAGAGGGCTTTCTCCAGTTGCATATTCTGAGAACCTCATTTCTGGGAACAGGTGATTCAAAATGAGTAGATTTGTAATATGAAAAAACCACTGATAACAGGAGCTATACAGACAAATAAGATGTGAGGATGAAGGCCAGGCACAGTGGCCATAGCCTGTAATCCCAGAACTTTGGGAGGCCAAGGTGGGAGGATCATGAGTTCAGGAGTTCAAGACCATCCTGGCAAACACGGTGAAACCCCATCTCTACTAAAAATACAAAAAAATTCGCTGGGCATGTTGGCTTGCGCCTGTAATCCCAGCTACTTAGGAGGCTGAGGCAGTAGAATTGCTTGAACCCTGGAGGCAGAGGTTGCAGTGAGCTGAGATCACGCCACTGCAGTCCAGAGCTTGGGCGACAGCGCAAGACTCCGTCTAAGAAAAAAAAAAGAAAGATGTGAGGATGAAAGAGACTGTGCTAGGTGATAACAGAAGGTACCTGTGATACTTTGCATGGCTATGACAACACCATAGACTTGGGGGCTTAAACAACAGGCATTTATTTCTCACAGTTCTGGAGGCTGGAAACCCAAGATCAAGGCATGGCAGATTCAGTGTCTGGTAAGGACCTGCTTCCTGGTTCATAGACAGCACCTTCTCACTATGTCGTCACATGGTGAAAGGGGCGAGGGAGCTCCACGAGGTCCCTTTTATAAGGGCGCTAATCCCATTCATGAGGCTCCACCCTCCTGACTTCATCACCTCCCAAAGGCCTCACCTCCTAACACCATCATCTTGGGGATTATGATTTCAAGATAGGAATTTGAGTTTGGGGCACAAACATTCAGATTGTAGCAGTACTATTAAAGAGGAGAAATTTAGGCTGGACAGGGAGTGACAGGCAGGAGCTTCCACTCCATCACATGGAGGTGGAAACCAATCCCACAGCACAAACATTTTTAGCTAAATAACTTTGGTGAGCTCAAGGAACCAAAAGAAGGGCAGAGTAACCAGGGCATACTGAATTGGTGGAGAAAATTAAGAGTTTAAGTAGCATGTGTAGACAAGCTTATCATTTATTGCTTTGATCACAAATACAAAAGACTTGAATGTTATATTCTATGTGATGGAAAGTCAATAGTTCCTATTGAGCTCTGGGGCATAATGACCTGCTTTATATTTTTACAAAATCATACTGACTACTATGTAAAGAATGGGTTATAGGAGACGGAGCATGGAGGCTGAGAGTCTCTGAAGCAGGTTTTGCCATGGTGTAAGTGAGACAAAGTGGATGGGATAATGGTATTAATCAGAGTAGAGGTATCAGGACACACGTACTGATCAGAAGTAATCAACAAAAGAATCAAAGGCAACTACTGATTTTTAATTTTTCTATTATATTAAAATATGCATACCATAAAATTCACTTTCTTGCTTTCTTTAAAAAAAAAAAAAATTGAGACAAGATCTCTCTCTGTTGCCTGGGCTGGAGTGCAGTAACACAAACATAGCTCACTGCAGCCTAAAACTTCCGGGCTCAAGCGATCTTTCCCCTTCAGCCTCTTGACTAGCTGTGGCTATAGGGACATGACACCGTGCCCAGCTAATTTTTATATTTTTAAATCTTTTTGGTATAGACAAGGTCTTGCTATGTTGCCCAGGCTGGTCTTAAACTCCTGGACTCAAGTGATTCTCCTGGCTTAGTCCCCCAAAGTGTGGAGATTACAGATGGTAACCACCGCGCTGGACCTACAATTTCTTTCTCTAACCATTTTGAGTGCACAATTTATGGTACTGAGTACATTCCCTTTGTTGTATAACCGTTACCACCATCCATCTCCGTTATATTTGACCCCTCTCCACACTCCCTGGCATCCCCCATTCTACCTTCTGTCTATGATTCTGACGATTCTCAGTACCTCATATGAGTGGAATCATACAGTATTTGTCCTTTTGTGATGGGCTTGTTTTGCTTAGTGTCACGTCCTCTAGGTACAACCACGCTGTAGCATGTGTCAGACTTTTATCCATTTTAATGACTCCCATTCATTAAATGTTGTATGGATAGACCACATTTTGCTTATCCATTCATCCCTTGATGGACACTAGGGTTGCTTCCACATGTTGGCTGTTGTGAATTGTTCTGCTATGAGCACGGGTGTGCAAATATCTACTTCTATGTCCTTGATTTGAAAAATTAAGCAGATAATGGTGCCCTTTCATGAAACTGGGAATTCCCTGTGTGGAGAATTATACCGTTTATATTTATCCTTGTTAATTTTAGATAGTTTTATAAATAATTTTCCCTACTCCTTAAGTTTCCTTGAGGACTGGCCAATCCTTTCCTTATCCATGGGAGAAGTGAGGTGTCTGACTTGAAGAGTTTCAGGGAAGAGACTTAACATCTCCTTCTCCTCTAATCTTCCTCCTATTTTGTGAGGCTTATTAACCTCAGAAGCAATAGAATCTATTTTCTCTCTCTTGTCACAAGATGATGTTGTTTTCCATGGACGGACCCCCACAAACCAAAGGTCACACACCGTTAGTAAATTAAACAAGGATAAAGCTGGATCCTGGGCTGGCTTCCTGGGAATGCTGAACTCAACTGAGAAAGAGGGATGTGATACTTCATTTGGCCCCTCCAAGAATCTATGCAAGATAATTATTAAACAATCAAACGGAATTATGCAAGAAGCTGGAAACTTTACAGGTTTTGACTTGAATAGAGAGTTCAGGGCTGCAAGCAAAGTTTGGGGAGTTATTATCACACTGATGATATTAAAAGCCAAAGCCACGCAACTAGATGAAATTAGGTAATCAGGGTGTGTAGAGAGAGAAGGAATCAGTTCCTGATTCTGGGTATTCTAACAATTCAGTAATAAGCTGAGGAAAAAGGGCCAGTGACATAGAAAAAAGGGGGTTTACATCTGTCCTGGTCATGGGAAAACCAGATCATCATTTTGGCAACAGACACAAGAGAAGGAAGAAAATGCTGCAAGATGGTGAGATTGGCCATGTCATGTAAGAACAGAAAAGCGTGTATGGTGATTTCCATTGCCAATCTTATCACTAACATACCACTGCAAATTTGGAGGGAGGAAACAACTAAAAATGCTAAATCCAATATTTATTTAGAAAAAATTTATTAGAATTCTTGTCTTGTTCTCTCTCTCTCTCCCTTTTTTTTTTTTTTTTTTTTTTTTTTTTTGAGATAGGGTCTCACTCTGTCACCCAGGATAGAGAGCAGTGGCACAATCACAACTCATTGCAGCCTTGACCTCTTGGGCTCAAGTGAGCCTCCCACCGCAGCCTCTCAATTAGCTAGGACTACAGGTGTGCAGCATCATGCCCGGATAATTTTCAATATTTTTTGTAAAGATGGAGGGTCTCCCTATGTTGTCAAGGCTGATCTGGTCTCGAACTCCTGGGACAAAGCAATCCTCCTCCCTCAGCCTCCCAAAATGCTGGAATTACAGGCATGAGCCACCACACCCAGCCCTAGACATCTTTTGACATGAATCATGGATTACTGAGGTCACAGGAGAGCATTAAGTCTTTATGAGCAAAAGGCAAAGGAGAAACAGGAATGTAACAAATAAGAAGCATCTTGGTCTGGACGTGGTGGCTCACGCCTGTAATCCCAGCACTTTAGGAGGCTGAGGCAGGCAGATCACAAGGTCAGGAGATCAAGACCATCGTGGCCAACACAGTGAAACTCCGTCTCTACTAAAAAACACAAAAAATTAGCTGGGCGTGGTGGCGGGCACCGGTAGTCCCAGCTACTCGGGAGGCTGAGGCAGGAGAATGGCGTGAACTTGGGAGGCGGAGCTTGCAGTGAGCCGAGATCGCGCCACTGCACTCCAGCCTGGGTGACAGAGAGAGACTCCATCTCAAAAAAAAAAAAAGAAGGATCTTGAAGCTGTTTCCTATTAAACACTCATTTCGCTGAGTTTTAATAATTGTGACTGCATATGGAACAGGGAAGACAACATTGACAGCCCACTCAAAGGGAGGTTAACAGGAGAACCACCACCCCATGTACAGTCCACACTGCAAAGAGCTATCCCTACACTGAACACATGAACTAGAAATACCCTACACTCCCAGCATCTTGGAAAGGACATAGACAGGCATGATTCCTTCCCCTTGGGATTGTGGTATTGAGTGATGAGAAAATAATAAATACAAAGAAATTTGAACCAGAAGTGAATGCACCAGAGGGTTCTCAGCCCAAATGCACTCTATCTGCCTTGTTCAAGTATGTGCTAACGTTAAGATGAAAATATAAAGTCTGCAGCTATAACAGTGAGTGCACAGATTCCTGGAATGCAAAATGGCTTTCATAATCTACCTTTGTTGGCTGGGCATGGTGGTTCACGCCTGTAATCCCATCACTTTGGGAGGCCGAGGTGGGTGGATTACCTGAGGTCAGGAGTTCGACACTAGTCTGACCAACATGGAGAAACCCCATCTCTACTAAAAATACAAAATTAGCCGGGTGTGGTGGTGCATGCCTGTAATCCGAGCTATTCGGGAGGCTGAGGCAGGAGAATCACTTGAACTCGGGAGGCAGAGGTTGCAGTGAGCCGAGATCGTGCCACTGCACTCCAGCCTGGGCAACAAAAGTGAAACTCGATCTCAAAAACAAACAAACAAACAAACAAACAAATCTACCTTTGTCACGGGTTTCAAAGAATGTATCGATTTTTACTTCCTTTTAAAAATGTGTATTTATTTATGTACTCATTTATTTATTTTATTTGTTTACATTTAAGGGGAACAACTGCAGTTTTGTTACAGGGATAAACATATCCATTGAGGTGGATATGCTTGGTGAACATATAGAGGTGAAGTTGGGCTTTTAGTATAAGCATTACCAGAATAATATACATCGTACCCATTAGGTAATTTCTTATCCCTGGCCTTCCTCACCCTCCCACTCTTCCTAGTCTCTGATGTCTATTACTCCACTCTTTATGTCCATGTGTACCCATTGTCTGGCTCCCACTTATAAGTGAGAACATGTGGTATTTGACTTTCTGACTTACTTCATTTAAGATAATGGCCTCCTGTTCCAACCATGTTGCTGCAAAATACATGATTTCGTACGGCTGTATAGTATTCCATGGTGTATATATACCACATTTTCTTTATTTAATCTTCTGTTGATGTACACTTAGGTTGATTCCATATCTGTGCTATTGTGTATAATGCTGCAATAAACATACAAGTGCAGGTGTCTTTTTTTTTCATATAATGATTTCTTTCCCTTTGGTAGATACCCAGTAGTGGGATTGCTGGGTTAAATGGCAGTTCTATTTTTAGGTTTTTGAGACAGGTCTGTCCTGTTTTCAAAGACATCGTACTAGTTTCCATTCCCACCAACAGTGTATAACTGTTCCTTTTTCTCCACAGCCTTACTATCATCTGTTATTTTTTGTCTTTCTAGTAATAGCCATCCTCACTAGGGAAAAATTTTATCTCTTGGGATTTTAATTTTTGTTTCTCTAATGATTAGTGATGTTGAGCATTTTTTTCAAAGAATTTCAACAGATAAATGAGAGTTGACTACAGAGTCTGTGGCCCAATTCATGCAACACAGAGGAGATGTAATTGAAAGAAGAAAAACAGTCAAATCAACAAAGCTTCCAAATGTAAAAATGATCAGAGGTAAAACGTAAAATAAGTATGCTTCTTCCGTATATAAATGCATCTAAATAAATGAAAAAGGGAGTGAAAGCAAGAAAGGGCTCCTAAGAGGAGGGGCCAGAAAGTGACTGATGGTGTGAAACATTTAAATAAAGGACCCAACTATGGTGAGACTAAGGGATGAACAACTGAAAAGTGAGTTTAAGAAATATAAAATAATAAAATGAAGATGCTTGAAATGTAGCTATTCAAGGCTTTAGGGGGAGAGGTGAGAAAAATGGGAGGGCGTGAAACTATCTTTCAAGTGATTGCCTAATGGTTTTATCAAATTAATTGAAGATACTGATTCTCAGTTAAAAAACCTGCAATCCAAACAGCATATGTACAGACTCAGACCTAGAAAAAGTATAGGCTACAAATTCAGAGAAACAAGGCGAAGAAAAGATCTTACAAGTAAGAAAACAATTTTTAAAAAGAAAAACAAAGTAATAACAATTCAACTGAGGTCTGATTTCTCCACAATAACCTCAATGTACAGCTCTAAATCCAGCAAAATACCCTTCAGGAGGAAGGTCAAAGTGAAGATAGTTTACGAAGTCAAAAAGATCCTTTTAGAATTTATTTTAGTGGTGGGTGGCAAAGTCTCAAAGAAGTTCTTAACATTATTTGAATTTTGTGGCAATGTCTCAAGAAGGAAGAGCACAATTCAGATTCAAAGTATGAGAAACAAGGAAAACGAAGAATATTGAAGGTGGCCAATATGTAGCTAAATCTAAACACACATTGACTCGATTCAGTGAAAATGATAATGCACTATGGAAATTGAAGTATAATAAGATAGAACTAACTAAAAACATATGACAACATCAGCTCACATAAATTAGAAATGAAATGTCCAGGCTTCAAGTTTTCTAAGCCCCTTTTGATGTTCAGCAGAAAAAAAAAATATTGCTTAAATTCATCCTTCAAACATGTTTGGGGAAAAATACTGTCAGATAACCTGTAATCTAGAACACATCGAGTAGAAAAATAGAAAAAGATTTTTTTTTAATTAAAGAGATCTTTAAAAAGCAAGACAGACCATGTGGAAGAAACATAAAATAGAAAATAAATATTTAGAAACAAGTCAAAATACAGAACATCTTTTGCTTGGCATGAATGCTTTGTTCCTGGAAAAAAAAAAAAAAGCATTCTGTTTGAAACTAACAAGGACCCTGCCTAGGCAATGAATGAAATGGTTAAGGAATTAAGAAGGTGTGGCTTTGAGTGGGCTGGCCATATTAGGCTCAGCGACATGTACAGCTGATAAGTAAATACATCTTCAAGGCCCAGACTCAGACACCTCAACTCTCATTAGTAAAAACCACTGGTCTCAGCTTGAGCAATGGTAAGAAGTTCAAGAGCTTATTGTGTCCACAAAAGTCACAGGGAACTGAATATGAAGGGAACCTGGCTTGTGTGTTATTTCATATTTGTGCTTTTGATTTTCTTTGCATTTGTAAGTTAAAAAAAAGCAATGGATTGGAAGATACATTGAAGAGCAATGAAGTATATAAAGGGGATTTATGCTATAGGACAGGAAAGTTCACACTCACTTTAAAGGGCTGGAGGACAGATGGTGTCCTCAGGGTCAAGGCAGGTTACGGGACGGAGGTGGAAGATCTGCTTAAAGAAGTAATTGAATATGAAAAAAAAATGCTATTTCGGAGGAACAGTTCCAAGAGCACAAGAGAGGGTCTTGAGAAAGGAGAGGAGTGGGTGAGAGGGGACTGGGTGAGTAAATAAAAAGCAAAAGAAACACAAAAGTGAAAATATGAGAAAATCATGAGAGTTTAAGACCAACTTGGATGGAAATAAAGATTGTTTATTGACTCTAGTTGTCCCCATTCAAGACACTGGTGAATAATAATTATAATGCAAGCAGTGCAGTTTTTTGTTTTCTGGTTTCAATGTGAAAACTGCTATTGAATATGTTTCAAATAGCTTGATGACCCAGTGAAGCGAAACAACCAATTGGTTAATTTGACGTAAGAAAAACTGGTCAATTCAGTTTAAAATTAGACTTTCTTCCACTACCTTGAGTTGTGATGTCCTGAAATACCTCAATGTACGGCTTTTTTTTTCATCTAATAAATGGACACATAACGTATCACAGGCTTTGCATCAAGATACTGCAGACATGCTAAGTTTCCAAAAATTGTATCAGATCTTTTGGGAATCATTCTGTCCTTGGTGCAGTAGAATTCCTTTCTTATGGGCATTGATTGATACGGAAAGCTTAATAAAGTTTTTTCCACATTTGGATCTCTGACACTTGGTAGAAGCACCTTAGCAAGCTCATCACAGGAATCTGAGCAAGACTTCTTTTATTGTCTTTCAGAAAATACATGCACGGCATTATCACCAGGCAGAAAAAAACTCATACCTTCTTTTGGGAGTTTATACATCCTTGCCTTACATAATTCTACTGAATGTCAGTTGTATTTTGGGAGTAGAGGCATAAAGTGAAAGGAAATGGCAAGATCATCCTTGCTGTGCTTAGAGGATTTTGTATAATTGACCACTTTGCTATTGGATAGGAAAATTAGGTTCAGCGGTGTGTACACATGATATGTAAGTACATCTGCAAGGCCCAGACTCAGACACCCCAACTCTCGTTAGTAAAATAAAGAGAAACCATCTAAACCTCCCCCAAAGGACAGACCCATCTTTTAGGAACTTAATGAAGTAAGTAATGACCATGAAACACCACAATCGTGTATACTGATGAATGCAACATTTTTCTGTCCAAAGCTTTCCTCCACAAGACTGTTTTAGCAATATCCTCCCAAGATGATTTAAAGACATTTACCTTTTAGATTGATATGCTGTTAGTATTAAGACTGATAAATAATTCATTCCACACTTCCCATTCCAATACCTTGATGTTATCAATTTATCTCTTTGAGAGTTGTTTATGTTGACAATGATACCCTTAAATATTTTTATTGGTGAAATTTGATACTGTCATGTCTAATTATTTTATATGAGTTTATTACACAGCTCCTATGGGGCACACACAGATGGGATTTTATACCTATTTTTTATTTTATGTGCTCTAGTATTTGTCTTGTGTAATCAATCACCTAGTGTCAAATATCTAACCATAATTATTTTAGCTGTGCTTTATGAAATGATTTTAAACATTCAAGGATGGATATAAAAACTCCTGCTTTTATGTGGCATGTATGCATGTGGTGTGTATGTTTGTAGTAGCAGCAGTAATAGTAAAAAAATCCTAGTAGACTGGGATAAAACGCAATTTAATTGAAGTTGATAGACTATTACAGTCAAAAAACAAAAGTTTTGCGGTGTTTCTATGCCTCATTATTTTAGCTCCATATTTGTATCAATATGAATTATTTGATAAAGCATCCCTTGAGTATTTAGAGTGTTTGAAGTATTATGGAGTCACAATTAAAGAAAGACAATTAAAATGTAACAATATGATATGAAAGACAATGTACCTTGTAGGGAGAAAAAGCAAGGATGTAACCATCAAAACAGACTATTCTAAATAAGATTTCAGTGGTACTTTTTTCTCAGAGTTCAATTATAAACTGAATCATTTAAAACACCATCAATACCAATCCGAGGAAACACAAGAGTTCATCTCATACAGAGACCAGATGACCGATGATGCGTCTTAGATGCCAGAATTCTGGCAACTCACTACAATTGCAAACTCATCATTGTTTCATTCCTGAAATCCTAACGCAATCATTACCTGTGGGATTCCTTTGCTATGCTAACAGAACCAATCTGATACATTGTTGATTTCTGTTACTTAAGAGAGCATTATTGTCATACAATATTCCATAATTTTATGTGTGATTTAACAAGTGAAACTACGCCACCTTGATGGTATCTGGTTTAAACCTTCATAGACTTCACAGCTTGATGCAGTATACATTGCACATACCAGAATCTCAGAGTCATTTATTTAACTTTTTCATCAGAATTAAGGTCTATGTTGTAAATCATATATTGAAATATTAACAGTAACTTTTCTTCTTTAATCTCTAATGCTAACATTTAACTTCTGTTTATTTTTAAGGAAAAGGAAAGAGAAAAAAGGACAAGTGAAGATTTGGGTCAGAAGAGATTAAAAAAAAGAAATTGGAATTTAGTTTCAAAGAAAAATAACCACATCCAAATAGAGAAGGGGCCCACAGTTTGTTAGCAGGGCTGGGTGGTGGGACTGTGTGTTCATGCAGCTGTGGTGAATGTGAGGGTGCAGGCAGTGCTAACAGGCACCACGTACGTGTAATTCCTGGGGACAAATGTAGGCATCACACATAATGCCTACATCAACACCTGTACTTAATGTACGCTATGGAGCAGATTATGAAACATGTTTAAAATTCAGTTCCATAATTTGGAAGAGCATTCTTTAGACTTGGGGACAGTGGGCCTCTGCAGTCATAGCCCGCATGAAGGGAGCAAAACCTTTTTCTAATAATTCTCTTACCTCTAAAAGCGGATGTGTGGCGTCCATTTTTGCAAACTAAAACATGTCAAAATTCCATTCTGAGACCCTTCAGAATGTCCATAAAGTCACAGCACATGAAAAGTTTAAAAACAACAAATATAGTCATTTTTTTTTTTTGAGACAGAGTTTTGCTTTTGTTGCCAGGCTGGAGTGCAATGGTGCAATCTCGGCTCACTGCAACCTCCGCCTCCCAGGTTCAAGTGATTATCCTACCTCAGCCTCCCGAGTAGCTGGGATTACAGGCAGGCGCCACCACGTCCGGCTAATTTTTGTATTTTTTAGTAGAGACGGGGTTTCTCCATGTTGGTGAGGCTGGTGTCAAACTCCCAACCTCAGGTGATCCGCCTGCCTCGGTCTCCCAAAGTGCTGGGATTACAGGCGTGAGCCACTGTGCCAGGCCACACTCAAATTTTTAAAATCAAATTAAGTACATGAACGACTCTGCATGTTTTGAAAATTGTTGGGTAAATTTTTTTCTTAAATGAAGTCACTTCTAAAAGTTTCTCACTTACAGTTAATAATTCGAAGCTAAGAATTAGAAACATTAGAGATGTTTGTAGAAATTTGCCTCATTTGTACAATATCACCTTCCCTATGTTTAAATTTTCTTAAAATATGGGTATTTTAACTTCTGCAAAAATGGTGGCCTTTGAAGTAAGTATTGATAGTTCTGAGAGAATTTATGTGTTTACTTTTATTTACTTTCCAACTCATCTCTCTCTCTAAATCCAAATGTCATCCATGATAACTATATATGAAAGTGTGTGTGTGTGTTTGTGTGTGTGTGTGGAGAGAGAGTATGTGTTTCTCCTCCTAAAATCTATAATTCATTATATAAAAATGTAATACTTTTTTTTTTGAGACGGAATCTCGCTCTGTTGCCCAGGCTGGAGTGCAGTGGCAAGATCTCCGCTCACTGCAACCTCCACCTCCCAGGTTCAAGCAATTCTCCTGCCTCAGCCTCCCAAGTAGCTGGGATTACAGGTGCGTGCCATCACACCCAGCTAATTTTTTTATATTTTTGGTAGAGACGGGGTTTCATTATGTTGGCCAGGCTGGTCTCGAACCCCTGACCTCAGGTGATCGGCCCACCTCGGCCTCCCAAAGTGCTACGATTACAAGCATGAGCCACCACGCCCAGCCTAAGCTTTTTAAGTTGTTTTAACTTGTTGCCCAGGGTCTCACTAGGATTACAGGAAACTTGTTTATTTCTTTGATAAATACAGATCCTGATTATTCCTTCTAATAACTTGCAGAAATCACGGTACTATCAGGTCCCTATGTTGCTGGAATAATCTGAAGGCCTGTATTTAAGGATATTTACACACATTTCAGGATGTGTGGTAATACTTGAATCTGAGGTAGGCCAATAATCTTTTACTAATATATTGAATCTGCTTCCACCTGGAGTCGAATTTCCCTACCAATGCAGTAGTTTACTAGTCAACTTTTAATTCTACATCTTCTCATATTTACAAATATAGTATATCACTGCCATTCTAAAAGGCAATAGAACTGGCAGAACTCAATGACTCTTTTTTACTTGTAATAATGACTCTTAAATTTGCACAGTGAATTTATTTTAAAATGCAAAGAAAATATTTAACAGACATCCATAAACATGACCAAGTTGCCTTTAGCTTTAGATCAACATATAACCTAAATACTGAAATTATACCTAGTAACCCACTGGATGCATTAGCATAGAGAACACACCCATATACTAACCATTTATGTCGATAAATAGAATACTGACAGCACCTCAGAAATACCCTTCACATCCTGTCTCTGTCGCTACTCATTCTATTCTCCCCAAAGCCAAGCATGTTCAATTAACTCTGCCTGTTTTGATACCTTATAAAATTGGAACCATGCAGTTTGCTTTGTGTGATATTTGGTTTACATTACTTATTTTCCTCAACATTTGTTTGGAAGGTTTATCTATGCTATTTGTAAATATGCTTGATTCATTTCTCTGCTGTATAATATTCCACTATATTCATATTCTACAATTTATTCATTCTATTATATTTTACTACATATTTGAGTTGTTGCCAATTTACAGCTATTGCAATTAATTATATCTGGACAAAAATGCATGATCCTTCTCTCCGGTAACTTTATATTTTCATTATTAGTTTAAATAATAAATGTAAATTGGATTATTTAATTGGTTGTTCCTAGTATAGAAGAAAGATACTGATGCTGGCTAATTACTGAGTAGTCACATTAATATTAATGTTTTATAGATTCTCATGCCTGCTTATTATAATGTGTATCATTTTTATACTTTTTTTTTGAGACAGAGTCTTGCTCTGTCACCCGGGCTGGAGCGCAGGGGCGCCATCTCAGCTCACTGCAACCTCTGCCTCCCAAGCTCAAGAAATCCTCCTGCCTCAGTGTCCTGAGTAGCTGGACCACAGGCATGTGCCACCATACCCAGCTAATTTTTGTATGTTTTGTAGAGATGGGGTTTCACCATGTTGCCCAGGCTCAACTCAAACTCCTGGATGCAAGCGATCTGTCCTCCTTGGCCTCCCAAAGTGCTGACAATACAGCCTGAGCCACCACACCTGGCCCTGATACTTTTAAAAAAACATTCAGGTATTTCTGGTATTTTCTTGTCATTTTGCAGGGGATAGTTCCTCAAATATAGTTTTGAATAGGTGCAGGGATTGTGGAATTCTTATCTTTCTCTGAAAGCCTTTGATTCTCACAGAAACTTTTTTTTTTTTTTTTTGAGACAGAGTCCCACTCTGTCGCCCAGGCTGGAGTGCAGTGGCACGACCTCGGCTCACTGCAACCCCCACCTCCCGAGTTCAAGTGATTCTCCTGCCTCAGCCTCCTGAGTAGCTGAGATTACAGGCGTGCGCCACCATGCCTGGCTAATTGTTGTATTTTTAGTAGAGACAGGGTTTCACCATGTTGGCCAAGCTGGTCTCCAACTCTTGACCTCAAGTGATCTGCCCCCTACTTGGCCTCCCAAAGTGCTAGGGTGACAGGGCTGAGCCACTGCACCCAGCCCTGATTCTCACAGAATCTTTAAAAGTGACCACTTATAAATTAAAAGAAACTCCCCTGTCAGTTCAGTTTGATAGAATAGTCTTGCAAAATAATCCAGATCTGGTATTCTTTTGGGAACATGAGTTTTAAAACAAAAGGAGGGGGGATTTTTTAAGCATTTTTCCAAAGTGGAGACACTAGTGTAATGAACTGCCAAGTACTTACCTTAAATAATTATCAACTGAGGACCGGCTCGTTTCAGCTACATGTACTACCAAAACCCCAGATAATGTCACGCATTTTAGTGAATTATTGAGAATCATTAATGAATAAAGTTTGAGGATTTAAATGTCTTCTTACCTGTGTTGGGGTGTTTTACTGTTTCAAGGACACCGTCTATGTGATAAAAATTATTCATTATATTCTGTCATGATTTTCTTAAATCTCTGTCTAAGCTAGTGTCTCATTTTTCATGCATACTAATGTTTGTTTATGCTTCTTTCTTAGTAGGGAAGTCTTGCCAATGTTTTCTTATACTATTACTCTGTTTCATTAGCTAGTGTTTTACATTTTATTTGCTATATTGATTTTCTCCACCAGTCCATTGCACACAACACAGTTACTTAATTTTCCATTTGTTTTCTTTTTATTATGTTTGTTTTTTATATGTTTTTTTCCTAATTTTAAATTATTTTCATCTTTTACACTTAACATTCTGCTTTTGTCATATATCACAGGGATTACTGTGTCAACGTCTTTCCAGTCTGAAAAAATCTGTTTTTTTCTTTTGGACTCCTGAATTATTTAGAAGCGGGTGAGCATTATTACCATCCAACTATATGATGTGCTTTTTATTGACTTTTGTTATCAATTTCTAATTTTACTACAGTGTTGCCAGACAATAATAATAACAGTATTATTTTTGTTGTATGTGTTAGGATTTATTGTTAGTGTAATATATTTGTAATTGTTCCTGTATGAAATGTTATATCAAAGTCCTTCAGTGCAACTATTTATTCTAGTTTGTATACACATATTTTCTAAGTTACTTTCTTCTTATCAAACTGTTTCTGAGAAAGATATATTTAAATCTAACACTGATTCTGAATGGGTCAGTTACTTTTGTCATGTGTGTGTATGTGTGTGTATATTTGTTATTTTCTTAGGTGCAGACAAGGTCAGAATTTTGAATTTTAGTGATTTTTGATTTGCCTTTAATTACAAATTTCTGAAGGCTTTCTTGCTTCCCATGTAATTGTAATTGGCTTTGCAACACACAGTGGAGAAACAGCAACCCTCAGGCCTGAGAGTTCCTCTAAGGAGGTCACAGTTCCATTATTTAAAATAATAAGATTTCTCTGTCTACAAGGTTTGCTACACAATATTATAAATGACACATAGAGCAATGTGGTCTTACTAAATAACTCATTCAGTCTGGCTACAGAATCTTATGTATACAGCGTCCTCAGACATTCTCCTGGGTAACTAAGAGGTCAACAAAGCTATCAACGCAAGTAGGTTATCAATGCTTTAAAAGATGAAGTGTAAGCCTCGGGAGGTGGGTAGTGTATGGTTTGGATCTGTGTTTCTGCCCAAATCTCATGTTAAATTGTAATCCCCTATGTTGGAGGTGGGACCTGGTGGGAGGTGATTGGATCATGGGGGCGGTTGCTCACTAATATAGTTTAGCACTTCCCCCTTGTGCTCTTGCTGTGAGTGAGTTTTCGCGATGTCTGGTTGTTTAAAAGTGTGTAGCACCTCCCACCTCTCCTCTTCCTCCTTCTCTGGCCATGTAAGACATGCCTCGTTCTCCTCCTCCTTCCGACATGATTGAAAGTTCCTGGGGCCTCCCCGTAAGCCATCATGCTTCCTGTACAGCCTGTAGAATCATGAGCCAATTAAACCTCTTTTCTTTATAAATCACCCAGCCTCGGGCATTTCTTTATAGAAGTGCAAGAACGGACTCATACAGCAGGCAAATAAAAATGATCACCAGAAGGTGAGGGTTGAAAAGTTACCTTTGGGTACAATATTCACTATTCAGCTGATGGACACTCTAGAAGCCCAAACCCCACCACCATGCAATATATGCATGTAGCAAGCCTGCACATGTACTCCCTGGAGCTACAGAAATAAAACAAGAAGCTGGCACAGTGGCCTACACCCATAATCCTAGCACTTTGGGAGGCTGAGATGGGGGGATCACTTCAGCCCAGGAATTGGAGACCAGCCTGGGCAATAGAGCAAGACCCCGTATGTACAAATAATAAAAAAAATTAGCCAGGTGTGGTGCTGTGCACCTGTGGTTCAATCTACCTGGGAGGCTGAGATGAGAGGATCACTTGAGCCTGGGAGTTTGAGGCTGCAGTGAGCTATGATTCCACCACTGCACTCCAGACTGGGTGACAGAGTGAGACCCTGTCTCAAAAATAAATAAGAAAAAGGCTGAGTGCAGTGGCTCATGCCTGTAATCCCAGCACTTTGGGAGGCTGAACTCCTGACCTCAAGTGATCCACCCAGCTTGGCCTCCCAAAGTGCCGGGATTACAGGCATGAGCCACCAGGCCTGGCTCAAAAGCAACAATCATGTAGTTTGTAAAACTAACTCTGGGATTAAAGGAGAAGTATGTAGACAACGAAATATGTTTTGTTAGAGATTTATAGGAGCATTGGAATGAACTGACCAAGGACAACAAAGTTCTCAATTTCCTGGAACCCTTGCTGGTGAACACATGTCTGGGGTCATGTCTTGATCCCAACCTTAACACATGTCTCTTCCCCCGCCCTTAACACAGAAAGAGCCTGAAATTTGTACTGACGTAAGAAGGTACTTTAGGATGCTAGTCCACCATCTTCTTGGTTTGCTAGCTCTCCGAATAAACCTGTTTTTCCTCCCATGAAGCCTCATCTCTCAAGTTTTTGCTTTCAAGTGGTGAGCAGCTGAACCTGGGTGTGTTTATAGCCTCACACAACTTATATAAAAAGTTTATAAATGCTGAGTTTAGTATTTTAAAGTGTCTCTGCCTAAATGAACATTAGTTAGACATAAATTATTATGGAAGCTAAGCAATGGTAAAACCTTAAGCTTCTCTGGCTTAACAGGTTCAGCTCTGTTGGAGATTCCCACAGTGGTGGGGAATAGATTGGCAGCCCCTTACCGCCATGAGTGCATTCTCTTGGAGAGTCATTTCTTCTTCCAGCCTCTCTGCATTCTCTCTTCTATACTTATATTTTTATTGCTATAAATGACTGCTGCTTTATGTCTAGAATTATTTTGTTTCTTCAAACCTATGTTAGTAGTTAATTCATAACATGTGGGATGCATATGAATCTATAGCTGTATAATTCTTGCAGGTATAATTGACATAAGATGAAGTCATACTGGATTAGGGCAGACCTTAAATCTGATGGCTGGTGTCTTTGTAAGAGAAGGAGAGGAAGAATTGGATAAAGAGACGCATGGAAGAAGAAGATGTGAAGATGGAAACTGGGGTTGGAATGATATGGCCACAAGCCAAGGGACACCTAGAGCCACCAGGAGCCCACCACATTTCCATTGTTTTAGAAATTCTTCTTTTTTTTTTTTTTTTGAGACAGAGTCTTACTCTATCACCCAGGTTGGAGTGCAGTGGCGCAATGTTGGTTCACTCCAACCTCTGCCTCCTGGGTTCAAGCAATTCTCCTGCCTCAGCCTCCTGAGTAGCTGGCATTACAGATGTGAGCCACTGCACCCGGCCAGAAATTCTTCTTGTTTTAAGCCACCCAGTTTGTGGTCATTTTAATGGCAGACACGGGAAACTCATACAACATATATACATGGAGGTATAGGTATATTCACATACACACGTGTACGTACAGTCATATGCTGCATAATGACAGATTGCATATATGATGACAGTTCCACAAGATTATAATGGACCTAAAAAATTCCTATTATAAAGTGCTGTCCTAGCCTTCCTAGAGTTGTAGTGCAAATGCATTACTCATGTGATTGTGGCCATGCTGGCGTAAACAAACCTACTATGTTGTCAGTTAAATAAAAGTGTGCAGTAACGCCCTAGGCCTTCATACCCACTAATCACCCACTCATGGACTCACCCAGAGCAACCTCCAGCCTTGCAAGCTCCATTCACAGTAACTGCCCTATACAGGGCTACCATTTTATATCTTTGATGCTGCATTCTTACTGTACCTTTTCAGTGTTTAGATGAACAAGTACTTGCCACTGTGTTGCAGTTGTCTGTGGTGTTTAGTATGGTATTGTGCTGTACAGGTTTGTGGCCTAGGAGCAATAGGCTCTACCATATAGCCTAAGTGTGTAGTAGGCTGTACCATCTAAGACTGCATAAGTACACTCTAGGATGTTCGCACGAGAACTAAATCACCCAAGGACACAGCTCTCAGAATTATTCTTGTCATTATGTAACACATGACTGTATATACATACACATAGGCGTAGACATATAGAAACAACAATGTAACTGAAATGGGATCCGGCAACCTTCACAAACCAAGGCAGCTTTTCTCTGGGTCTCTCTCACAGGAGTCAGCATCCCTTTGCACATGGGATCCAACATGCTTCTCTGCATATATGATCAATCTTCTATCATGGGCCATCATTAGTCCCAGCTTAGAGAACATTAATAAAAACATGGCCTTTATTAGGTGGCAGACCTCGAGTTTTACATTATCCCAGTGGCTGTGTGTGACATCCTATAAACAGTAGCAACAACCCTCCCGTTCTCTGTATCTCTGTGCCAGGCTCGTCTTTCTCGAGCGTTATCACAGGAAAACAAGGTTTGTAACCTATTTGCCGGAGTGTAACCATAAGCTCCTCTTTTCCCCATAACTAATGAGGCAGTGGTAGATTCAGAGTAGGTCTATCTATGCAAGCGTGTGTGTGTGTGTGTGTATAAATATCTATGTGTGTATGTGTGTATATATGTATACATGTGTGTATATATCGATGCGTGTATGTGTATATATGTATATATGTGTTTGTATATATCTGCGTGTATGTGTGTATATATGAATATATGTGTGTGTGTATATATGACAGATTGTTCTTGATACTCCCTCCTATGAGAGAATGTAATATATATACATATAAATAATATTATATAATATATAATATATAAATATATGTATTATATATTTGTTTATATTTATTAGATATAAAACTTTCATATATAAATATATTTGTTATATATTTTTAATGTAATATATAAATCAGAATGTACATATATGATATATAATATAAATATTATATGTTTTATATATAAGTTATATTTTATTGATATTTAATAGTTATTTATTACATAGAATGCATGTAAATATTTATGTATTTATGTATTATATATTTGTGTATTCTATATTTATCATATATAAAATGTACATAGTATATAAATATACATATATGTTTAATGTAGTATGTAAATAGAAATACATACACATATAAAATACGTAATATTTATATTATATATTATATATTTCCATTTATATATTAGAAATGTATATATTGTATCTATATATTATATATTATATTTATAGAATCTATTTTTACATCATATACCATTTAGTCCTTGTGCAAACATCCTAGAGTGTACTTACACAATCTTAGATGGTACATCCGTGTATATATACTCATATAAACATGAGATTCTCCAAAGTGTTTCCAATAAAATCACCATCTAACTGGCCATTGTGCTGTGCTAGGATTCATATCATATACTATTTACATCATATACTATTTAGTCCTTGTGTGAAATCCTAGAGTGTACTTACACAATCTTAGATGGTATACCCATGTATATATACTCATATAAACATGAGATTCTCCAAAGTGTTTCCAATAAAATCACCATCTAACGGGCCATTGTGCTGTGCTAGGATTCTCTCAAGAGTTTAAACATTATTAAAGATGCATGGACACACAATATAATAATAACAGTGGTAATATTGCAAGTCGTTACAGTAAAAGCATATAATTATTTGACAAGAGCTTTATGAATGGTAGTGCTTAACATGATAGCAGTGCAAAAGTGAACATAAAGAAGATTGGGTTTTGAGAACTGTATACCTAATTTGAAGCCATGTGAATAAACGAGTTCTGATCAGAATGAGAATTCGAAGAAAGAGGAGTATTCTATTCAAACTGTCTTAGCTGGAGGAATAACAAGTATCAAAGATGGGAGAAACTGATTGCATAGAAATATAGTAGAAAGAAATTGTGGATGAGAGTCTACATCCACAAAAGCTATTGATGAAATGGATTTCAAGGAAGACCTAGTGAAATGGTCAAACATTTTCAGCAAAATCACAGGAAATTGCTGGCAAGTTTACAGAATTGGATAAAGCACAGGCAGCACAGTCTCACTATGAAAATAACTGCAGCTAAGGTATATTGGATGTGTAGACTATACCACACTTGGTGCCAGCTATTTATGCTCATTTCATCATTGATCAGCACATCAGTTGTAGAAGGCAGATAATAATATTCAGCTGATTTCCCAGAGTCTGAAGTCATCTGGACACATTCCTAGAGTGACAGATGGCAGACTTGCTGGGGGACAACTCTCTTCTTCCCTCTTGCATGGAAACCTTTCAAATTCTAGCACATGTTAAAGGGGACGCCATTTCCTCAAAGCACCGTTTCTTCTTTGCCTATTCCCCTGACCAAATTGCTTCCTTTGATTTTACATCCAACTGCAGTCCTTTCAAAGGATCAGAATCAGCAGAAATGCTATTAATCAACAGCAAAAGTTACTCAAATTCTGAGTTAACAAGTGCCATTTGGAAATTCAGCTGCAGAAACTCAAGTAAGAAACTAGAGAAACCTATGACATAATAAGAGATTTGACAAACTTCTCTAGGGAACCGATAAAATAACTAGACACAAAATCAGTAGAAGATTGTAAATATCTAAAATTGGAAAACATTATTGATCAACTAGTCTTGTAATCTACAAAACCTTATATCCACAATGTAAAATACACATTCTTTAGAACATGTAGAATATTCACTATGAAAGGAAAATATATTGGAACCCCCAAATCACTAAGCTAAAGGGAAAAGTCCAGCTGGGAACTGCTTAGGGCCAACCTGTCTCCCATTCTATTCAAAGTCACCCCTGTGCTCACTGAGATAAATGCGTATCTTATTGTCTCCTTTGGAGAAGCTAATCAGAAACTCAAAAGAAAGCAACCATTTGTCTCTTATCTACCTATGAACTGGGTGCCGTCTTCCCACTTCGAGTTGTCCCACCTTTCCTGGCTGAACCAATGTTCATCTTACATATGTTGATTGATGTCTCATGTCTCCCCAAAGTGTGTAAAACCAAACTGTGCTCTGACCACCTTGGGCACATGTTGTGAGGACCTCCTGAGGCTGTGTCACAGGCACACATCCTCAACCTTGGCAAAATAAACTTTCTAAATTAACTGAGACCTGTTTCAGGTTTTTGGGGTTCTGACCACCAAACAGACTACATCCTGGGCCATAAAGCAAATTTCAATAACTTTCAAAGGAAGAAAATCACACAGATTTTTCTTCTCTGAACACAGAGACTCACCACTACAAAAATTCTAAAATGTTTGAAATTAAGAAAGAAAGTTCTAAGTAGTTACTACCAAGGAAAAATAAACATGAAAATTAGAAAATATTTTAACTGAAAAATAAGAAAATTTTAATGAGACACCTGGCAAGTTTTTTAGAGGTCATGAAAAACAGTGCTAAGCAAATTTAATTGTTTTAAGTAAATTTGACCCTTGAAAAACATGAGGGTTGGGGGCACTGATCCCCATCCACACTCAACAATCCACATTTTACTTTTGACTCCCCCAAAACTCTCCTCCTAATAGCCTACTGTTGGCCAGAAGCCTTGCTGATAACATAAACAGTCGATCAACACATATTTTGCACGTGATATGCTGTATTCTTATAATAAAGTAAGCTAGAGAAAAGGAAATGGTACTAAGAAAATCATGAGAAAGAGAAAATATATTTACAATTCTTAAGTGGAAGTGGATCATCATAAAGGTCTTCATCCTCATTGCCTTCACGTTGAGTAGGCTGAGGAGGATGAGGACAAGGAGAAGGAGGAGAAGAGTTTGGTCTTGATGTGTCAGGGATGGCAGAAGTGGAAGAAAATCCATGCATGAGTGGACTTGTGTGGTTCAAATCCGTGCTTTTCAAGGGCCAGCTGTACTATTTATTAGTCATGTGAGACTGGGCTCTGGAAGAGAAGTTTTTAACAGAGGGATGAAAAATGAGTCTCTGTGATATATGGATGACATTCAATGGCATGCCACTGTATGAAAGGAGTGAATGTCAGTAAAAGGCTGAGTCAGAATTTGACAATATCAAGATGTCAGGGAAAAGCAAAGGAAATGGCAGACTGAGAATGAGCAACCAGTATAGTAGGGAAAAAACACACACACACACAAGGCAGTGTGTTGTCCTAAAGACCAGTACACGAAAGTGACGAGCTGTTTCAAGACAGAGACTGAGCATTGAAAATAGGATTCAGCGCTGTGAAGTTATCAGTAACCTTTACATAAATAACTTCCCAGAAACAGTTGTACCAAAACCTTGAGTGGAGTATTATTGAAAGAGAATGGGCAGGTGGAAAAAATGGAGGTATGGTAAGGAGACAGAGCTATTATGGAGGAATTTTGCTGACATAGGAGCAAAAAAAAAAGGCGGTGGGGGGAACAGGAGTGGTGGTGGCATTACCTGATTGAAAAAATGAGATTGTCTCAGCCCCTTCTGGCTGCTTTAACAAAATATCTTAGATTGGTAATGTATAAACAATAGAAATTTATTTCTTACAGTTCTGGGGTCTGAGAAATCCAAGATGAAGTCATGGCAGTTTCAGTGACTGTTGACGACCTGCTTCCTGCACCTTCGTGCTGTGTCCTCACATGGTGGAAGGGGCAAGAGAGCTCAGTGGAGTCCCTTTTATAAGGGTGCTCATCCCATTCATGAGGCTTCACCCTCATGACCTCATCACCTCCTGAAGTCCCCACCTCCACCTACCATTGAGACATGCTTTGGCTATGTCTCCACCCAAATCTCACCATGAATTGCAATCATCCGCATGTGCCAAGGGTGGGGCCAGGTAGTGATAATTGAATTCTTGGGGCAGTTTCTCCAATACTATTCTCATGGTAGTAAATACGTGTCATGAGACCTGATGGTTTTATAAATGGAAGTTCCCTTGCACAAGCCCTCTTGCCTGCCACCATGTAAGACACGATTTTGCTCCTCATTCGCCTCTTCCATGATTGTGAGGCCTTCCCAGCCATGTGGAACTCTGAGTCCATTAAACCCTTTTCCTTTATAAATTACCCAGTCTCAGGTATGTCTTTATTAGCAGTGTGAGAACAGACTAATACACATTGCAATGAGGGTTAGGATTTCAACATATACATTTCAGAGGACACAAAAATTCTTACCATAGCAAGAATCAAGATAATTGTTTTAAAAGATAGAAAATATGACAAATTTTGTGTGCTCATGTGGATGGAAAGGTTTCATTAGGGCACCAGTCAAATAGCTGTATTTTTGAAAAGAAAAGAGAAGAGAGAATCCATTGTGCAGATGAAGGGATTGTGTTTAGAGGAAATACATGTACCATTCATCCGCATTAAGAAACCACAGGGAAGAACAGGTAAGTTGACTTGTTGGTAGCTTGGTGAATGTGCAGGTGGAAGCCCATGGAAGCTTGTGTGTCACCCCTTCCTTTGAAAGAGAACTTAATCTCCTGATTAGCAGAGTAAGTGTTGGGATTCCAGGAAAGGAAACTGCAAAACATCTCTCGGAAAGAGTTGAAGGATTCATAGACTGGGAAAGTATAGCAGGAGCACCCGGAAGCCCCACTTGGAGCTCCTGAATCAGGAATATAAAATCTGAGCAGTTGGTACGGTTATTTGTGTACATGGATGAAGGCCAATGGGGTGTAGGTAGAGTTTTATTTAACCCGAATTGTGGTTGCAACCTAGTACAAAACAAAGCAAGACAGAAGCAAGAGATTCGGGGAACTGGCATTGGAGTGATTATGATGTTAGGTCATGGGATTTCAGTGGGGAAATAGGAAAAAAAGAAGGCGTGTTTCAGTGAACTTTTGTTAGGCTCTGTGGATGGGGTATGCTGGTGGGGTCAATGATGTTCTGAAAAGCTATGGGAGACTGGCAGTGGTGAGCTGCAAAGATTGTAGTTATTAGAAAGGGGATGTTGTATTATTAAGATTATAAAGGAGTGGTGCTTATTAGAAATTATAATATGTAAGGAATTAGGTGAAGTAGAGAAAAAAGTCATTGGAGGTAAGATTTTCAAGAACTGAAGGGTGAAGGTGTTGAAAAATTATATGTATGTATGCTAATATCAAAAATGAAGCCTGGGCAAAGTGGTTCACACCTGTAATACCAGCACTTTGGAAGGCTGAGGTGGGAGGATCACTTGAGGCCAGGAGTTTGATATAGGACTAAGTAACATAGGAAGACCCAGTCTGTACAAAAAAAATAAGATAAATAAATAAAATAATTAGCTGGGCATGCTGGTACATGCCTGTAGTCCCAGCTACTCAGGAGGCTGAGGCCTGAGGATCACTTGAGCCCAGGAGTTCCAGGTTGCAGTGAGCCATGATTGCACCATTGCACTCCAGCCTGGGCCACAGGGCTAGACCCTGCTCAAAAGAAAACAAAAAAGAATTAGGTGGGGAGTATAATTGGAGATGATGAGAATTAAGCAGGAGGTACAATGTTGAGAAATGAAAGGGACTAATTTGAGTGCCAGTAAAAGAGGGTGATAAAATTTCATGTCATAAGATTATAGAATAATGAAATCGATATAATCAGATGGTATGACATCTAAAGCTGGGTGGCTTAAGAAGCCATATGGCAAGTGGTGTGAGGGTGAAAACTGGAACAAGGCAAATGTGGAAACTAATTCCAGCTCCAGTACAAGGCTTTGAGGCAATTCTTCTGCCTGCTGCACCCAACTCAGAGCCTTAAACAGCTGCAGGGGAGGTGATGTCCCGGAGGGAGAGTTTTAGAACCAGTAGTAACAGGAAGAGCTTTCTAATTCCAAGGGGCAGTGGGAGGATCTCAGAAGTTGTGTACAGGAAGGAGATGGACCGACAGATTGCTACCGTAGAATATTGGAGTCCAGGAGGTGAAGTGGGCTGACCTGTAAGCTAGTGCTATTGTATGACTGATAAACACAGAGAAATGGGACGTCAGGCCACAGGGGGAGCGAGGATGTGAGTGCTGCAGGTTAGGGCTGTCTGCATTCCTGAAGCTTCCTTGTTACCTCTGGCAATGGAGCCTGGAAGAGCAGGAGAATGGTCATCTTGTCTCAGAGCCTCACTTTCGGGTGGTTACGTGGCTCTGGATTCCTGGACTCTCTAAAATCACTCCTATTTACACAACTGTGTAATTATTAAGAACTGTATGATGGCAATTAAGAATGGCCTGGAAACACTAGAAACCAAACCCAGTCAAAAACAACGAACAGTCCTCAGTATGCATTTATTAAATCAATGCTATAGAATCATCTTACCTTGTTAACACTTACAAAGTCCCCTGGAGGTTTTCTTCTGTAACTTGCTCAGCTTGTGTCTTCAACAGCTTCCCATGTCCCTCATTGGTTATAGATCCTTCCTACGTAGATGGTCTATGGGAAGTATTTTTAACATGCCACACATCAAAATTGTTCTTTGCTTTTTTACTTTGTAATTCAAGAGCTTTTAATAAAAGACATCGGTATGGTTTTCAGGTTTCAGAAATAAGCCAATTTGCTTTTTAACTTTCAGTAAATAAGTCACAGCAAAGAAAAGAATCAAAGGTAAGTATCTTATATATGCAAAATGTATACAGTGCTATTGAAAGTTTAGCAGTAATATCCATATACATGCTGAAGAAAAAGTTGAATACCATATAGCAAGGAATTTGATATTACATAAGTTGGTTTCCTGATCTTTCAACAGGACTGAACACCAAGGTGCATAAAAATTCACAGACATTGGAGATGTTCTTAAGCAGGGAACAGAGTCAGCTCTTTGTGGGACAAAACTGGTTTGAAGAATTACCCCTTGGAAATGTTGCAAGGAGTGCAATGGCCACCTACTGTCACCAAGAGCTGCTGATTTTGCTGGAAAGAGTTTCCCAAAATTGCCTCAGGCAGCTGCTGGTGGAAGCCAATCTGAAGCTCATGGGACTGGACTTCACTTCAAGTTCATAAACTACCAAGTATATTAAGTTCGTTGGCCCCAATATTTCTACAGTCTACTGTGATCCCAGTGTAAATCACTTTGTTGGACATTTAAAGAGGTTTGCAAATTTGAAGTCAGAAGTTTACAGTGAGATAAGTGGGCAGGGAGGAAGAGAGAAGAAAGAGATTCTGTTAAAAATATGATTACCATTTTTATTACCAAAGAAGAAGAAAAATTAAAAGAGAATATTTAATGGCATCTTTTAATGTTCAAATATATAGCAATAGAGAATAAAACAGTAGTTCCCAGGGAGGGGGTGGTGGGTAGGAAAGGGGGAGATGTACATCAAAGGATATAAAAATAACAAATATGTAGATGAATAAATCTAAAGATCTAATGTATATTCTAAAGGCGATAGTTAATAATACTGTATTGTCTATAGGATTTTTACTAAAGGAGTAGATTATAACTCATCTTGCCAGAGGGGGAAAATGAGTAACTATGTGTTATGATGAATATGTAAATTTATTCCACTATAGTAAATATTTTGCTACATATGTAACTTATAACATCATGTTGTATAACTTAAATATATACAATAAATTTATTTTCAAAAAAGAGAGTATGTAATATGCAATATACATATGTATGTGTGTATATATATACATACACACAAATATAAAATTTAAATGCACTTATAATTTACAATTTGCCTATATTATAATTTACACTTGAATTTACAGAATTCTTCACCTGCTCAGAAGAGAAGAGATCGTAAAAGCAGAAAGAAAATATGATGGAATAAAAGCAAAGTTACACCAACAACCTGTTTTCAGATTTCCCTGACCATGCTAGTCTCATTGCCTGAGAATGTTTTGGGTTTAATGCCATAATTTGTGATGTTTAACCATACTTTATGCATTGAGCATAGAGCAGAAATATGAAAATAAAGATTGTCTGCAGACTATTTCTTTTGATTTATGCAGCCTACACTTAGACAATGCAATTTCATTTTGCTAAATTAGGTCTTTAGCAAAATTTCATACATGTATTCTAGGTTTTCTGTTTTCGAAAGATGGTTATTGTACATCCTAATTTTGAAAATTAAATACAGTCTCCAGATGGATTCATTTCACTTTCTGTTAAAAGTCTATTATAACTTCTGCTAAAATATATGGTTAAATATTGCTATTGCCAACAACTAGCATAACTATGCATTAAAGATTCAGGGTACATGAGAAAAGGGCTTATGTAAAGAATATGCTGAAACAGATGTCTCTGTAAGTAGTGATGATATTAAGAAACAATTCTGAACGAAGACTATACAAGCAGTCAGAAATAATTAGTGATAACCTAGCTAAAAAATATTATAACATTGTACTGGATATATACAAGCAGGTTTGATTAACCTAATGCATCTCCTTCATGTTTGTTTATAAGTCAGTAAGGTATTAGACTGTCTTCAGCTGTTCAACAGTATTACACAGTTTTATTACTATCCTTGCTGTCACAATAAATTACTTTGTGTTTCCAAGATAACGTAACCCATTTTGCCCTGCTAGTCTTTCTGATGTAGTTTTGCTTGGTGAAAATGCCCAAAATTTAGGAATAAATATATGGTAGAGTTTCTAGTTGGATCAATGCAAATCCATAAACTTATTATTTTATTTTTATTTTTTAGATGGAGTTTAACTCTTATTGCCCAGGCTGGAGTGCAATGGCACAATCTCGGCTCACTGCAACCTTCACCTCCTGGGTTCAAGTGATTCTCCTGCCTCAGCCTCCTGAATAGCTGGGATTACAGGCACCTGCCACCACGCCCGGCTAATTTTTTGTATTTTTAGTACAGACAGGGTTTCACCATGTTGGCCAGGCTGGTCTCGAACTCCTGACCTAAGGTGATCCACCTGCCTTGGCCTCCCAAAGTGCTGGGATTACAGGCGTGAGCCACCACGCCCGGCCTCCATAAACATTTTTAAGGACACACAACACACATATAATATGAATATTTCTAACAGAATATTACATAGCTTGTTTTTTTTCTTTTAATTTTTCAGAGACAATTGATAAGTGAATTGAAAAGTGACTCCTACTTTAAGGGGAAGTCGGATAATTTTCTTACAAGAAGTCTAAAATCCTCAGATTGGTTTATTGCAACATGCAGCAATAAAAGCACAGAACACTTCATTATGTACTGGCAGCTCGGCTTTATTGTATTTTCCCAGACACTGTTATAACACTCTTATATGTTGGGTTTATTAAACATTTTTATAGCAGTTAATCTGTAATAAAATTTATGATTTAATATAAGGGGTATATGTGGTATAATGCTTAAGTGTGAGGAACTACAGAGGCATAGATAATATACCTTCTCCTCCAAAACCATGGACAGCTCCATGAATACTTGATCATGCCTACTGCTCTTGGGTCGACAAGAAATCTAGAAAGAGATTAGTCCTTGATTCCGATCCTTGATGATGACAAAAATTCTGCATTTTACATATATAAAGGGAGAAATAGAAAATCCATCTATCGCTTCTGATTAAGGAGGGTCAAGATCTGTGCGAGAAGGAGGAATGTGTTTGCTGAGAGTCCACCATCAATTGGGCACGCGGAGGGAGGCATTTTGTGATGTCAATGTAGGTGCAAAGTGATCATCTCGATGACTAGTAGGAAGACTATTTTGCAAAGCTGGGGAGAAAAACCAGTAGACTGTCCATCATCATTGTTATTTATTGCACAGTAAAAAGAATCAGCACCTTTATTATTCAAACTTTAACCAGTTTTTATTTTTTTCTTTTTTGAGACATGGTCTCACTCTGTCCCCCAGGCTGCAGTGCAGTGGTGCAATCATAACTCACTGCAGCCTCAACTGCCTTGGCTCAAGTGACCATCCCACCTCAGCCTCCCAAGTAGCTGGGATTCCAGGTGTGCACCACCATGCCAGGCTAACGTTTAAAATACTTGTAGAGATGTGGTCTCACTCTGTTGCCCATGCTGGTCTCGAACCTCTGGGCTCAAGCAATTCTCCCACCTTGACTTCCAACGTGCTGGAATTACAGGTCTGAGCTGTTGCTCCCACACTTTTTTTTTCCTTATATGAAGGGTGTTCACGGATAACCAGTTTCTCTTGATTAACATTATGTCATACCAATTTCTAAAAATACAACTTATATGTTATTTTCTATGCTAAATAACATTATATACACACAATATGCATACATATATATAATGCACACCCTATACAGATATGAGTGTGCATGTGTTGAAGACATATGTATATACACACACCTATATAGCCACATATATGCGTGTATATATATCTTCAACACGTGCACACTCATACCTATATAGGGTGTGCATTATCTACATTCCTACAGCACCTGCAGCTCAACCTTTAGAAAGCATTTCTTCACTATTCTACATTCCTTTGTTTAATATTCACCACCCAGAAGTGTGATGGCTTATGCAAATAACTCATGGGTGTTTGCATAGCAGAATTGAAGTAAATTTTATGCTCCTGGGGAAAAAATATACAAAATCATACATGCATGCCCACACACACACACACACACACACATACACACAGCTGGTTGAATCTCGCCTGGCACCACTTTGATACATTGTCTTCTTTGACTTCTACATTTAAGGACCCCTGTGGTTACATTGGTACCATCTGGAGAATCCAGGAAAATTTCCCTGTGTCAAGGTCAACAAATAAACAAATACCAAGTTCAAAACAGAAAAAAGAAAGCAAATCTATTGAAAAATTTCACTAAGTCACAAAACATTCTTAATGGTAAAACAATAATAGATAACATGCTTTGACTGCTTACTGAATTCTATGTATTATGATAAGCAGTCTCCAAGCATTCTCATCTATTTCTCATGTCCATCCTATGAACTAGGTATGTATTGTTATCCCATTTCACAGAAGAGGAAACTGGGGATGAGAACTTAAGCAAACAACAATATTCATTGTGAAAGATACACCGATTTCCTGGGCCAGAGTGAAACTAGTAGCAAAATCAGAGTTAAAAAAGAGAAGACTCATACTGAGCTACTTCCAATTTTGGATAAACATAAGATTCAATTTTTCTTAATATATCAGTTTCGGAAGGGTTATTTTGATGTTTAAATGTGGTAATAATAATAACAACCTTACAATAATCCTTGGCCTTTGGAAGTTACTGTCCATCTCTCTTTTATTAGTTTTAGTTACTGTTCATCTTCTCTTATTAATGTCAAGATTTGTTCATGAGAAGAGGACTAACCAATCCAACAGAAAGTTTGTACTTCGAAAAAATCCTAAGTCTGAAGCATGTGCATTTAAAAATAGCAACGAAATAAACAGATTGCTTCTGGTATTGTATGTGAAGAGAAGGAATTAGTTATTTCAGTCTAAACACATGACATATAGATAAATATATATCTAAGTGATAATATATGGCATTGTTTTCTATCAACTTCATGGAAGCTGATCCAGTCTAAGATGATTTTTATGGGCTATTTTTTTTTATTGCATGTATCTCATAAGATACAAAAAGAGAGGAAGTCAATTAGTAAGCTACATAATTTTAAAGTGACATTATTGTGAGAAACATTGAAACCCTATAATATTGTTTAAAAGCAAACAATAGAGAAAACATAATTGTATAATATGCTAAGAGACTACTCTTCCAAACTCCTTTACCTCAATAACAATTTTCTGCCTGTCTTCTATACTATTGCTACTAAGAAACCAAATAAAAGCTTTTTTCTTTTCTTTTCTTTTCTTTTCTTTTCTTTTCTTTTCTTTTCTTTTCTTTTCTTTTCTTTTCTTTTTCTTCTTCTTCTTTTGTTTTTTTGAGACAGGGTCTCACTCATGGCCCAGGCTGTAGTGCAGTGGCATGATCTCAGCTCACTGTATCCTCTGCCTCCTGGATTCAAGCCATCTTCCCACCTCAGCCTTCCAAACAGCTGGAGCTACAGACATGGGTCACCACACCCTGGTATTTTTTTTTTTTTTTTTTTTTGAGATGGAGTTTCGCTCTGTCACCCAGGCTGGAGTGCAGTGGCGTGATCTCGGCTCACTGCAAGCTCCACCTCCTGGGTTGAAGTGATTCTTCTACCTCAACCTCCCGAGTAGCTGCGACTACAGGCGCATGCCACCACGCCTGGTTAATTTTTGTATTTTTAATAGAGATGGAGTTTCACCACGTTGGCCAGGCTGGTCTCAAACTGCTGACCTGAGGTGATCCACTTGCCTTGGCCTCCCAAAGTGCTTGGATTACAGGTTCAAGCCACCATACCTGACGTCCAATTTTTTTCTTTTCTTTTTTTTTTTTTGAGATGGAGTTTCATTCTTGTTGCCCAGGCTGGAGTGCAATGACATGGTCTCAGCTCACTGCAACCTCCACCTTCTGAGTTAAAGCAATCCTCCTGCCTCTGCCTCCCAAGTAAGTGGGATTACAGGTGCCCACCACCACACCTGGCTAATTTTTGTAGTTTTAGTAGAGATGGGGTTTCACCATGTTGGCCAGGCTGGTCTTGAACTCCTGACCTCAGGTGATCTGCCCACCTCGGCCTCCCAAAGTGCTGGGATTACAGGCGTGAGCCACTGCGCCCAGCCTCCAAATATTTTTTTCTAAATTTTCACATAAACTTGTGCAGAAAATCTTTAACTGAGGAATAATCAGACTATTACATTGTAAACAAAATAAGTAGATAACTCTCATTAATACTGCAAGCATTTCATGAGCTAATCACCACTTCATGAAACAAAATAAATGAAAACTAAAATATGTTTTCTCTCTTTTCAAGGAGATTTCCTGCAGACATCCACTCTACTCATTCTCCAGTTCATCATGATACATTTCTTACCTTATGCCTATGTTCTCTCTTTTGTTTGATTTTAAAAATTAACATATACATTATTTTAACCACATAACATATTGAAAATAATGTAAAAATGCCTCTCTGACCAGCAATTACATAATGAGTTAATACTTTGTTACACATTTTTCAAAGCATTCTTTTCTTAAAGAAATAAAATATGAAACTAACTACCCTTCCTTAATATATGCTTGCCTCTGTTCTCAAACGTAGCCACTTATGAGTAATAGGTATACTTTTTTTTTTTGACAGGCTCTTGCTCAGTTGCCCAGGCTGAAGTGCAGTGGCACAATCACAGCTCACTGCAGCCTTAACCTCCTGGGCCCAATGATCCTCTCACCTCAGCCTCCTGAGTAGCCAGGATCACAGGTGTGTGCTACCATGCCTGGCTAATTTTTTAACTTTTTGTAGAGATGGGGTCTTGCTATGCTTCCCAGGCTGGTCTTGAAATCCTGCGCTCAAGTGATCCTCTCGCCTTGGTCTCCCAAAGTGCTGGGATTACAGTCATGAGCCACTGCACCCTGCTGGTATACATTCTTTATGGGCACATTTTTCCTATGCTGACTAAATACATGTTCTCCTGTAATGATAAAATTCTGACGAGTGCCATTTTTCAATTTACATTTTTCACTCACACCTAGGCTGATACATGTGGATCTGGTTCATTTTTTAAAAATGTGTGTCTTAGTCTGCTTTCTGTCGCTTATAAAAGAATACTGAAACTAGACAATTTATTTCTTAAGAAATATATTTCTTAAAATTTTGGAGGTGAGAAGTACAAGGTCAAGAGCCCTCATTGGCTGAGAGCTTTCTTGCTGGCGGGTACTCTTTTTAGAGTCCCATGAGGTGGTGAAGGACCTCATGTGGTTAGGGGGCTACGTGTGCTAACATCTTTTCTTCCTCTCCTTCTAAAGGCATAAGTCCCACTCCCATTATGATTCTTTAACGCATTACACTCCCATTATAAGCTAGTAACCCATTAACTCATTAATTCATGAATGGACTAATCCATTCACAAGGATAAGCCCTCAAGGCCCAATCATCTCTTCAAGGTCTTAACTCTTAATCCTGCCACATTGGGGATTAGGTTTCAACATGAGTTTGGAGGAGACAAATATTCAAACCCTAGCAATGTTATAAGATGCGGTTCAATTTTCTTAACAGTTGCAAATTGCTGCACCTACTAATAGCAAAAATTTGCCCTTACTGTCATAAAAACAAACTCTTACTCATTTCGCAATATTTACTCTTAAAAAACAATATGAAGATTACCATCCCTGGTATGGTTTGGCTCTGTGTCCCCACCCAAATCTCATGTTGGGTTGTAATCTGAGTATCGGAGGTGGAGCCATGTGGGAGGTAACTGGATCATGGTGGTGGTTTCTAGTGGTTTGGCACCATCCTCCTAGTGCTGTCCAGTGATAGAGTTCTCATTCAATCTGGTTCAATGTGTGGCACCTCCTTCTTTTCTCTCTCTTCCTCCTGCTCCCATCATGTGAGATGTGCTGGCTTCTCCTTCACCTTGTGCCATGGTTATAAGTTTCCTGAGGGATTCCCAGCCTCCTGTAGAGCCTGTGGAAATGTGAGTCAATTAAGCCTCTTTTCATTATAAATTACTTAGTCTCTGCTAGTTCTTTACACTTATTTATAGCGGTGCGAGAATGGACTAATACAGAAAATTGGTATCAAGAGTGCTCCTTGTGCTGCCATATACATTGATCTAGTATAGAGGTAAAACTGCTGGGTAGAAAGCTGTGCCTGTCTGCAACTTTCCATGATATTTCAGTTTTACTGAGTACCGGTAGTAATTTTCACATAGCCATCATTGCATTTGTGTGTGTATATGCATGTGTGTGTGGGTGTGTGTGTGTGTGTGGTGTGTGCACTCTTCATGACTTTCTGACCCTATAAGATGTTACAGACTCATCTTATATATTCCCTGCCTCATTCCTACATTCAGCCATGTTTCCCAGGATCCTTGGCTAATTTTAATGGAAAATAGTATGAGAAACCAAATTCTGGCCACCAGATGTGCTTGTTCCCACTAGAGTATTGTTTCTTCAAGGCCTTCTCAGCTGACAGAGCAAGAAAACATATGTGTGCAAACTAACCCATGTGTATATACATACCCCTAAAAATTTCTATATGTAATTATTTGTGTCTATATGAAGCTATACATAATTTTATCTTGAGGCCTTCAACTCTCTCTAATCCATTGCCACATGGGTTTTACTAATTTCTTTCAATACTAGCTCCCACTCCAACAGTGAGAAACCTGCCTCCCACAACCTGCCATCTATTGTCTTAATTGTTTAATTCCAGTACACATGTGTCATGGCTTTAGAATTGTTAACCCCTACGCTTGTAGGAAACAACTTTATCAACTAGAGAACAGGGCTTTATCGGCAGTTCCTTTTGCCTTTAGTCTTAAAGATTCACAGAGATGCAAAGTAATATTAGGCTAGAACTGCTGGTCTCTCCTTCAGCGAGACTGCTTCACACACTTGTAACATTATCAAATTCTTCTGTTTCAGTGTGCATTTCATCCTGGGAGCCCCTAAATTCCTATTTTTTGTTGTTTCTGTTTTCTTTTAAGTCGCATACATTTAGTTCAGTCTTCATGCTGTAAGGTTTTATGATTTTTGACAATTGTATAGTGTCATGTATCTGCTATTACAGTATCATACACAATACAGTCAGGCCTTTGTACCCCTTGGTTTTGCATCAATGGATTCAACCAACTGCATTATGAAAATACTGAAAAAAAGAAAACAAAAAACAATGGATGGTTGCATTGGCACTGAATATGTATAGACTTTTTTTCTTGTTATTACTCCCTAAAGAAAACAGTATAACAACTATTTACATAGCATTTACATTGTATTAGGTAGTATAGATATAATTTAAAGCATACAGGAAGTTGTGTGTAGTTTATACTCAAATAATACAGCATTTTATATAATGGACTTATTCATCTGTGGATTCGGTATCCACAGGCGATCCTGGAACGAATCCCATATAGATACCAAGAAAGGACTCAAGTTCTATTACCCTAGGAGTATGCCATGTGCTTCACCTGTTCAAAAGTCTCCTCTCCTCAAACACATGGATAACCCTGATCTGTTTATTGGCTGTAGTTTTGCCTAGTCAAGAATATCATGTCAATAAAATCATGCAATATAAAATCTTTCAAGATTAACTTTCTTCACTTAGCAATATGCATTTAAGAGTTCTCCATGTCTTTGCCTGACTTTATGACTGATTCATCTTATTTTTGAATACTGTCTTAGTCCATTTGTGCTGCTGTAACAAAATATCTTAGACTGGGTAATTTATAAAAAGCAGCAATACATTTCTTACCATCTGGAGGCTGGGGAGTCTAAGATCAAGTTGTTAGCATTAGGTGTTTGGTGACAGCCTTCTTGTCACAGCCTCACATGGCAGAAGAATAGAAGAGAGAGAGAGAGAGAGAGTGAACTTACTACTGCAAGCTTGTTTTCTGAGGTCCTAATCCATTCATGAAGGTGGAGCTTCCATGATTTGGTCACATCCCCCCAGTCTCCACTTCTTACTGCCACCACAATGGGGATTAAATTTTAACATAAATTTTGGAGAGAACATCATCATCAAGCCATAACAAATAGTGTCTGAATGGATGGATGTACCACTATTTCTTCTGATTAGATAAATGAATTCACTGAGTCTTTTTTTCACCTCACTTACCTAACAGTTAAAAATCCACCAAATTTACAGGGATAGAATCAGCATTAAAACTTGTGCCGTGACTCCAATATCAACAAGTGATGTTTCTCTGCCCCACCCCAGTCCTGCCCCTAGAGTCCTTCACCATGATTACCAGTGTGAAGAAGAAATCTAACTCTAGGCATGATATTTTTCTCTGCATTCCAGGATTGTATTAGACATGAGGATCGTTCCTCTCTCTGGCCTGCTATAAGGTTGTTAATTCTCACATAAGAAGGTTGTGAATTGCTGGCCTACTTAGGAACACAGAAGTCCTCAGGCATTACTGGGTTCTATTGATTGAACACTTTCTGACAAAATCCCATCTGTCTGAGTCTGCACTGAGACACCATGTTTTAACTGACTAGTTGGCATGGTGTGTGAATCTCTGTCTAGAGGATTAGTTTCCTACAACTGCTGTAACCCATTATCACAAATCTAATGGCTTAAAACAACACAAATTTATTATCTGACATTTCTGGTGTTCAGAAGCCTGGCATGGGTCTCATTGGGCTGAAAGCATGGTGTTGGCATGGTTGCACCATTTTGTTTGGAGGATTTTGGGGGATAATCCATTTCCTTGCCTTTTGCACTGTCTGGAGGCTGTCCACATTCTTGGCTCATAATCTCTTCCTTTTTTTCCTCTCTCTGGAGGCTGTCCACATTCTTGGCTCATAATCCCTTCTTTTTATTTATTTATTTATTTATTTTTGGTCTCAGAGTCTCACTTTGTCACCCAAGCTGGAATGCAGTGATATTAGTGGTATTAATACAATCATAGATCACTGCAGCCTTAACCTCTTGGGCTCAAGTGACCCTCCTACCTCAGCCTCTCAAGTAGCTGGGACTGTGGGCTAGTGCCTCCACACCTGGCTAACTTTTTTATTTGTTATGGAGGCAGGATCTTGCTGTATTGCCCAGGCCGGTCTCAACATCCCAGTCTCCTCTCACTTAAGTCTCCCAAAGCTCTGAGATCTCTGGTGTGAGACATTGCAGCTAGCCTCTTTTTCATCTTCAAGGCTAACAGGAGCTGGTCAAGTCTTTCTCACACAAAGTCTTATCTGTAGTTCTAACTCCTCTGCCTTCCTCTTCTACATTTCAGGACTCTTGTGATTACATTGCTTGAGTTCACTTGGCTAATCCAGAATAATATTTCCATCTCAAAATCTAAATCTAATCATACCTGCAGACTCCATTTGGTCACGTAACACTCCATAGTCACAGATTATGGTGATTAAAATGTGGACATATTTGAGAAGTGGGGATTCGAGGAATTATTCTTCCTCCCATACAGTTTTAATTTTGCCATTTATAAGACCTGGACATTTACTAAGAGAATATATACTTTAGGTGTTTTTAATATACAAAAAAGGAATGATGTAAGGTGATGATATGTTAATTTACTTGACTGTAGTTTTCATTTCACTGTGCATATGTGTACTGAAGCATCACATGGTACACATTAAATTTATACAATAAAAGAAAAGACCTCCAAGGCAGAAGGATTGTTTGAGCCCAAGAATTAAAGATCTGCCTGGGAAGCACAGCAAGACCCGATTTCTACAACAAATTTTTTAGAAATTAACCAGGTATGGTGGCACACCTGCAGTCCCAGATACTCAAGAGGCTGGGAAAGGAAGATCTCTTGAGCCTGGGAGGTTGAGGCTGCAGTGAGCTATGGTCACACCACTGCACTCAAAGACTAAGTAACATGAGCAAGACTCTGTCTCAAAAAGAAGAAGGAGAAGAAGAAGGAGGAGGAGGAGGAGGAAGGAAAGAAAAAACCTGAGAAAGTTTCACGAACATTTTTAAGTCTTATGTTCTTCCACGTAAGGGAATATAATAAAACGAGTTCATGCCTGCAGGTGAGAGAATTAAATGCATCCATATGTGTAAAGACTTGTGGTATGGTGCACAGGGTTAACAAAAGCTGGTTTTCCCCTGTCCTAATCCCTCTTCATAGTCAATTTGCTAAGTCCCTAAAAGCCACTCTTGATGAGTTGCCAAAGGCATCTTAATCAGGGTTTTTGTCCTTGACTACAGATGCCCTAATGACATGTAATAAAAATGTAGAGTCTGTGGCCTTTGGGGGAGTACACAATGAAGAATGTAGAAAATTTAGCCTTTGCACCTCATCAAAGGCCAGCACCTGGTTAACTGTGTTCTTTTTTTCGGAATTCTTCACATCTTGGCCTCTCTTGAACAACAACATTTATCATGTTCAGAATGCACTACTTCAAGGATTGCAGCTTTGCTTATTTTTTAAAAGAAAAGCTTACTGCGCTGTGAAAGAGTTACTGGTAATATACTGATACTTCCTAAAGAGATTTAAAATGTAAATTTTATTTCCATAATTTTATTGCAAGCTCTGTGAAAAATCATAGGCTGATAAGTACCCAATGACATAGAATAAGCTCTTATTTAAAGCCTTTCTTGTTTAACTTTTTATTGTAATGGTAGCATATAATCACGAAAATTTTTAAAGGGGTAATCAAGTAACAAATTAAAAAAAGAAAATTCCCCCTTTCTAAGCTTCCAGTTTTTCTTTCCAAAGTAGACCCTTTCAGCAGTCATTAGCATTTCTTAAAAAATGTTTTCAGATATATTTCAGAATGGTGACATCATCCCATCATTGGAACCACTCAATTCTGGAATAGCCTGACTCCAGAATCCTCCCAATTCATTTTCTCTGTGTCAGCAATACAGAAGTGGAATCCATGATGAATATGAGAATATCTGGGTCAACGCTGTGACCTCCTGGTAGTACTTCCTATCTTCTCCTCTAAGGTTTTGCCTAGGAAACCACCTGCTACAGTCAGCCACCCTCTCTTGAAACTAGGCCTCCGTATACCTTTTAATCCCATTTGCTCGAAAGTAGCTAATTTGTTCTCCTCAATGTGCCATTCAGTAAGCATTCTTCACATTGGTGAAATCCTCTGTCTTCAGGACAGCAACACCCTATTGGAGAGTGTCTCTTCAGGGAAAAGCTGTTTTAGCTACGTAACACGTAATAATACTCCCTATGTAGGAAAGCATAAGGATCCTAGAAACCTTCTTAGAACAAGACAGGGAACGTATCAATGAAACGTACACGTGGAAATAAATAGCTCAGCAAGTTATTCTGCCCCAAGTGGAGATTGACTTTGTCTTCTAAGAGACAGGGACCTATTATCACATGAAATTAATGAGTGAATCATAATGGATTTCTCTGAGAAGTTTTACTTTATGCATTTTTGGTGTTTTGTTATGTAACATCAACAGAGACATATTGCATTGATGGCATTGTGCTTTACAATTTTCATTTAGTGATGTTTGTCTTACTATTAAGAAATGATTACTATTAAGCAAGGCTTGTTCAAATCTTGGTTACATGTATTTTCATAAAAGTGTTGCCCTTTCTTTAATTAAAAACTCTTCTAATTAGATTTACATGTATCTATTGACTGTATGAGTTTACATTTCTTTTATTGATATGGTGTAAGACTTCATGAAATTTTAATCCAGCCTTAGATTGTGATAACTTTTTCTAATATCTCTTGTTATCACATGTCTTTCAATGGGCTGCATCTACATTATTTTAGTACTTTACCTCCCTTATTTGACATACCCTTTTGGTGTATGAATGGTGTGGTAGTGGTGCATACAAATATTTCTATTTTTGTAACTAAACTGTTGATAGTAAGGTTTTGCTTCCTCGAGTGCAGTATTTCTCAAAATGAGGCAAAGGACCATTGCATTAAGCCAGCTGAGTGATTGAAAAATATGATTTCCCTTTCAGATAACCATTTAACTAGACTATCTTAGAGGACAGCACTTTGGAATATGTATTTTATAAGCCCCTCATGTGATTTTAATACATTGTAATGTCTAAATAACACCCTTCCAGACATTCCTTATTCTTAAACACTATCTGTCCATTTTCACCATTAGAATCTCTTGTACACCCACTGGGAAAATAAACAAACAAACAAACAAAAACTATGAAACTAGCAAGTTTTAAATCTTCCCTCTTTCTCTATTAACATCAAAATATTTAAAGGTACATTAAAGGTACTTTCAGTTTTGTAACTGAAGTTTTAAAATTGTGAACAGGTCGTTATTTATTTCAGTGGATTCAAAGTTCACTGAGGATCTTTTATAGATTTGTTTTCATCCATCATGAGATACTTATTTCACTTTCTTTCTTGGCTGGCTGGAGTGTTTTTCCACAAATTATATTACTTATTTGCTTGTCCATTTTGTGTTTTGATTAGATGATTTTTAAAGAGGTAGTGACCTCTACACTGTAGGAGTTCTTACTTTTCATAATGACTACTTTCTTCTGATTTAAGTAGGAAATAATCAAGGTATCCAAATTTGAGAATCTAAATGTATTTACTATGTAGAAATTGTGCTAATCTATTCTCTCAGTGAGTGTAGCTATGGAGAAGTCTGAAGAAAATGTTATCATTTTCTGCCAGTAAATTACTTGCACTCTGTACCTAATTCACATATATATGATATATGCATAATATATCATACAAATCATATAAATGTATCTGTCACTGATATATGCTTACTGTTTACTGTGAATTGAAATTAAGCTTTATTTTTCTTTGGGAAATAACGTATCATTTTGTATCTGTACTTTGGAAAATCCTTTCACTTTTTTTCATGATGTAATTGCCCAATGGGTTCTTCTTGCCTGCTGCACAGATGGAGCCAATTCACTGAGACAGTGGTATTTCAGTAGAGAAAGAGTTGAATCACAGGGCTAGGCACAGGGAAGGCATGAGTTTATTACTCAAATCAGACTCACTGAACATTCAGAGGCTAGGGGTTTTTTTCAAAAATAATAATTGGGTAGGCAGGTGACTAGGGAATGGAGAATGCCGATTGGTTGGGTTGGGGATGAACTCATAGGGGATTGGAGCTGTCTTCAGTCTCTGTGTGGGAGCCACAAGACAAGTTGAGCCAGTTTCCTGGTATAGGTTATTGATCTGGGTGACACCTGCTGGTTCACCAGAATGCAGGCTCCAAAAAATACCTCACTCACCAATCTTAGGTTTTACAATAGTAATTTTATCTGTAGGAGCTACTGGGGCAGTTGGGAATCTTGTGGCCTCTGGCTACTTGGCTTCTGAGCCATAATCTTCAATCTTGTGGTTAATTTGTTAGTTTTACAAAGGCAGTGTTACTGTTATCAGTAATTCTTATATTTACAGCATTTCTGACTAGCCAAATTGAAATATGCAAAGGAAATACATTGTAAAAGAAAATAAGATTTCAGAACCCTCAAAGTTTATGATGCCAAGGGGAAAGTTAAATCCTGGATACTGAGTCACATAGCATGTCTGCAATTTTGCTTTTTAAGTGTTATTACCTTTATTTTTAAATTAAACTATAAACTAAATTCAATAGGTTCATAGACATATACTCATCTTTAAACACATCACATTGTATATAATAAATATGTACAGCTTTTTTATGCCAACCATACCTCAATAAACTGGTTTTAGAAAAGCAATTCATTACATAAATATTGAAAGAAATCAAAACATTTTACCCTGAAATGTTGTCAACCAAGAGCAATCAAAAATGTCAGATTCTATCTCCAAGAGAGTTTATTCAAGACAAAGTCTGTGGACAGGTCACACAGAAAACAAAGATTCTGAAGAAGAGAAGTCAGGGTTCTGAAGTGTGGACATTTTTAATTCCTTATGTGGACAAAGTTTAGGGAAGTTTAACAGAATTTCATTGTCCTTCTCTGTAAGGCTTGATGCATAGTTACGACAATCTGGTTACTTAAAGTGGTGTCTTTCTTTTGGGAGAGGTGTGTATGCAACATTCCACACTGAAATGTAACTGTCATCTTGGGTCTTGGGATCATCTGTTCTGAGTTAGGCACAACATGATAAAGGATGCAGTTAGTCTATCTATAACATAGATCAATGATGGGAAAGGGGAAGTCTGATGTCTGGTCGCTTCTAGTCATTTACAGAACAAAAGCAATGAGGAAGACAGTTAATCCACAATCTAAAAAGCAAAATTGCAGATATGCTATGTGACTCAGTATTCAGGATTTAACTTTCCCCTTGGCATCATAAACTTAGAGGGTTCTGAAATCTTATTTTCTTTTACAATGTATTTCCTTTGCATCCTTCAAGATGGCTAATCAGAAGTGTTGTAAATACAAAAATTGCTAAAAAGCTGTCTTTTGTGGGGGAGATTTGCATCTGCAGAAAAAATCTGCCTCAATACAGCCAGGCTTTCTCTGAGGTCCTCCCTTGTCTCATCTATGAAAGATGAACTAAGAATCTAACACCTTTTAAGATCTGAAAGATATATTCACCATCTAATCTCTCTGAGGGATGCTACCTGGAAGGTTTCATCTGCATAAGGAGACCACCTTTGCTAGCCAGGTGCCTCCACTCCCTCTCCCACAACCTGTCTTCACACCATAACCTGATTTACCACTATAATCGGGTTTTTGCACATGCTCTGAGCCATTATTCTTTATGTAACCCCAGTATGGTATAAAAGCATCAACCATCTGGCCATTTCTTTAAGAAATTTTGTAAGACTCCACCCACATGAATAAATTCATATTGAAACCTCCTTTGCAAAATTATGACAGTAAGAGAAACCTGACATGGCCAACTCCATCTTGCCTCTAGCCTCACAGGTTGGCTGTCTTCACTCATTCCTGGGCATAGGTCAAGCTAATGTTGAGAGAAATTTAGTTTATAGTTAATTTTATTATTTTTATATTTTTGAGACAGGTTCTCCCTCCGTCACCCAGGCTGGAGTGCAGTGGCAAATTTTGGTTCATTGCAACCTCCACCTCCCAGGCTCAAGTGATCCTCCCACCTCAGCCTCCCCAGTAGCTGGGACTACAGGCACAAGCCATCATGTCTGGCTAATTTCTTATATTTTTTTGTAGAGATGGGGTTTTGCCATGTTGCCCAGGTTGGTCGTGAACTCCTGAGCTCAAGCAAGCTTCCTGCCTTGGCTTCCCACAGTGCTGGGATTACAGGTGTAAGCCACCACTCCCATCCTATAGTTTAAATTATAACAGCATTTTCCAAAACTGCCTTTGTAAACTAATAAAAGGCTACCAGGTTAGGAGGCTGAGAGGGTTCTGAATTCTAGTATGATGTAAGCATAGTTAAATAACTACCAGCCAATATTTGGGAGGTCACAAGATTTTCAACTTCCCCAATTACTCCTGCAGATAACATCACTATTGTAGAACCCAAGATTGGCCTTTTGAGATGTCTTTTCAGGTTTTTTTGCATTTCTGAATACCAATGGCTGTACCAGGACTCACCAATCAGTTTTTTGGCTCCCATTCAGGAACTGACTCAGTGCAAGAGGACAGCTTCAGCTCTTATGATTTCATCTCCAACCCAACCAGTCAGCACTCCCCGCTCCTGGGCCTCCTACTCACCGAACTATCTTTGAAAAACCCTAATCTCCAAATGTTTGAGGAGACAGACTTGAGCAATAATAAAACTCTGGTCTCCTGTTTAGCCAGCTCTGAATGAGTTAAACTCTTCCTCTATTGCATTTTCCTTGTCTTGATCAATCAGTTCTCTCTGGGCAATGGGTAAAATGGGCCCATGGGGCAGTTACAGTATGGAACCTTATTAATCTGCCTATTGGCAGTTGATTTTTAGTGAATGTTCAGAGAGCAAAGGGGAGGTTTTTCCCTTGGCTCCTACAACATAAACAGAAATGGTTGTAAACGTAGATGTAGACATTGACATGGAAAAAGACGTAAAATGTTGACAGGTAAGGAGGTACCATAGACTAAATGTTTGTGTCCCCCCAATAGGCTGAAACCTGAACTCCCAATGAGATGTATTTGAAAATGGAGCATTAGGAGATAATTAGTTTTAGATGATGTCCTGAAGGTGGGGCTCCCATGATGAGATCGGTGCCTTTGTAAGAAGATGACCAGCCCAGAGCTCTCTTTTTCTCTCTGTCATTGAAACCACCCTTGCAAAATTATGACTGAGACAGTGAAAGAGATCTGACCTAACCAACTCCATCTTGCTTCTGACTTCCAAGCTGTTCTTGTTTATTCCTGGGCATAGGCTGCACTAACTTTGGGAGGAGCTTAGTCTATGGTTTAAAACAAAGAACAGCCCCTTCCCAAAACAAATCGCCTTCTTGCCTGGGGACTAGACTGCCTTTGTAAAACTAATAAATTCGCCACAAGATTAGAAATTATGGTTTAAGAGTCAGGCAGCTGGAGGCTACAAAATTCTGAGCCTCCCTAAACTGCTCCTAAGATCAGTGCTCGAGATATTTTGTGGACCCTGCACTTGATGGATCAGCTAGCACAACCCAGGTTGATAAACCGGCTCATCTGATCTGGTGGCCCCCAACCAGGAACGGACTTAGCCCAAGAGGACAGGTTAAATTCCCTATGATTTCATCTCCAATCCAACCAATTAGCACTGTTGACTTACTGGCCTTCTCCTCCACCCACCAAATTATCCTTAAAAACTCTGATCCCTGAATGCTCGAGGAGACTGATTGGAGTACTGATAAAACTCCAGTCTCCTGCACAGCCAGCTCTGCATGAACTACTCTTTCTCTATTGCAATTCCCCTGTCTTGAGAAATCGGCTCTGTTTAGGCAGCAAGCAAGATGAATCCACTGGGTGGTTATACCATATGAAGATACAGTGAGAAGCTGACCATCTACAAAGCAGGAAGAGAGCCCTCTCCAGAAAGCAGGTTGGAGTCTTGATGATCTTGGATTTCTAGCTTCCAAAACTCTGAGAAATAAGTTGTGTAAGCCCTCCAGTTCATGGTATCTGTAACAGCAGCCTGAAGAGTCCTTCAAGAATCCCTCACATAGACATAGAACTGTGTACACATGTAGAAATATATGAAAGCCTTTAACAACCGAGGACACATCTTTCAGATGTCTATGAAAGAATCATAGATACAAACGTAGTGTCAACCTTAAATAACCAAAAAGATCAGAATCTAATTCAAAGAAAGTTTATTCAAGAGCAAAGTGTGAAGATGGATGAATCACACCCAGCACACCAACTCCAAAATTATGGAGTAGGCATGTTAAGGTTTCATTTATAGAGGCAGAGACAGAGGGGTTTTTAGCAAGATTACCACATTATTCATACAAGGTTGGCACATATTTACAGCAGTTGGATTGGTTATAGGCAGTTTCTTTTTGGGAAGAGTACATTTAACTTTTTTTAACAGAGGGTGTAATAGTGATGGATTTTCTTCATCTAGTCTAAGTGAAGCAGGGCAACCCAGGGGAGGTTAATCAATCACAAGCATCGTTAATTAAAAAGGCAGAAGGTTTTTTTTTCTCTTATGTTGCTTAATTCTCTCTAGTCTTTGTACAGAACAAGGAAAATTAAAAAGTGAATTAATCTATGATCTGAGAGCAGAAGTTGTCACCATATGTGCCTCAGATCACAGTCACATCTCTCTCAAGGCTTAAAGTATTTTTGGGGGCTCCACAGCTTTTAACTTATATTTATTTTCACAATAAACATAGTCATAGACATAGAAATAGATGCAAACTGTTAATAGTAAAGGAAATATCCTTCAGGAATCTAGTAAACGCACACACACATACACTAGTATGTTATATATGTGTGTGTGTCTGTGTGCATGCATGTGTGAGTGTGTGTGTATGTGCACACATGTGAAATTAAGCTGGTTTCCTTGATTTCAGAAGAGGCTCCAAAGCTAAGAAACATCATGTCCAAAAATAAAGTACTGAAACCGGCCTTGCTGTCTGACGTGCCACCCAAAGTTCTTTGTCTCATAGCTGGGGAAATCAAGGATGCAGACACACCAAAGGAGAGGTTAGAGCAGATGTTTGATAAGCAAAAGAGAGAAAGCTCTCTGCCACAGAGAGAGGTCCTGAAAATGGGTTGCCATTTCACAGTTTCTGGGAGCTCTACCGCATACTCCTAGTGTGCATGAGACCCCTTAGCTTGAGTAATTCCATATTGCTTTGTGGCCCTTACAGTGCATGTGTCAGGGGACAGAATTTTCCATTGTGGGCATGTCTGAGAAAGTCTCCTGTGTAGCCCTTCTTATCTGTGCAGCTGTGGGCATATCTCAGGCAAGCCCCCTGTGTGCAAGTTCCCTTATCTGTGCCTGCAGACTGTTCCTTTGTTTGAAAGAACTTAACCAAGAACCCACCCTAACTGCCTGCCTGACCAGTCTCTTCCTTCCTCCACACTCAGCACTAGATGACCTAGGCAGAAATCTTGACCCCGAAGCTCATCTCCAATCTCCATGATACATAAGGATAAGGTTAGTATCCAGTGAAATAATGAGAGCTGGTGAGAGCTCCTTCATGGGACATTTTCAAGTACTGTGCATTTCCCTGCTGATAGGAGAATATCAGAGAGATTCCACTGTGAAATTGACTGAGAGGACATCCAGTGTCCTACCCTATTTGGGCTGCAATAACACAAATGCCATAGACTGAGTGGCTTCTAAACAACAGGCATTTATTGCTTACATGTCAGGAGACTGGAAAAAAAGTGGTAGATTTAGTATCTGGTGAGGACTCACAGCCTGATTAATAGATGGTAACTTCTCACTGTGTTCTCACATGGTGGAAGGGGTAAGGGAGACCTCTGGGGTCCCTTTTATAAAAGCACAAATCCTATTTATGAGGGCGCCACCCTCATCACCTCCCATCTCCTAATGCCATCACCTTGACATTAAGATTCAAGATGTTATTCTAGGGGAACACAAACATTCAAAGCATAGCATCAAGAGACCTTCTGAGTGAATCTGGGGTTCAGAGACTAGAGAGCCTGCAAGATGATTCTTACCTGAAGAAGTTGAATGGTACCAGGTTGTCTGCAAACCTCAGTGAAGGCTGAATAAAGAGGTGAGACTGCAAGAATATAGGCTTGGTTGTCTGGTGTTGTTGGGCAGCACAAAATGATTGACAGTTTCCTTGGGCCAAGTGTCTTCTGAAAGATGGCAGCCCTGAGCCCCCAGGTAGGTCTCTGATGAAAGTTCTCTCCTCTAGGAATGTGACTCTGCAGGAAAAATAGGGCCCAAAGTATGGCCAGAAGCTGGAAGCAAGAGCTGCAGGGTGTCGCGATACGTCCTGTAGGAGCAATAACTACCCAAGGAAAAAAATTGTATAAGTGAGCATGGCACCCTTCTCCATATACCTTTGCAAACTTGAAAAAGGTTAGGAGATGAATGGAAAGTGATAATTAAAAACAAAAAAACAAAAAAAAAAACAGGGCCTGACCCTGTTGCCCAGGCTGGAGTGCAGTAGCTCGATCTCAGTTGACGGCAGCCTTGACCTCCCAGGCTCAAGTGACCCTCTCATCTTAGCTTCCTGAGTAGCTGGGACTACAGGTGTGTGCTACCATGCTTGGCTAATTTTTTTCATTTTGTGTTTAGATGGGCTTTCACTGTGTTGCCCAGGCTGGTCTTGAACTCCCGAACTCAAGCGATCTGCCTACCTGGGACTCACAAACAGTTGGGATTACAGGCATGAGCCACTGCACCTGGCCTGGAATTTTTAAATATAATAACAGATTGAAATTATATTTTGGATTGCATTGGCCATTTAAATGTGAATGAATCAGATAATTCACTAATATCTGGAATAGCCCAGAAAATATATCAAGTACACCTGAAATACCACCTACAGGAAAGACATTAAAATAGGATAGCATGACAAACTAATATTTTCCCATGATTTCACCCAGTGACTCAAAGAAATAGAGAAGCCTGCTGAGAGATACCTTGAGAAGAAAAATATAAAAAAACAGTCCATTCAAAGAAGGTTGAATATCAAAAAGGAACTCTTACTGAGATAAGGGAGGAAGAGTAGATGTTTCTCTTGACAATGAGAAATAGAACAGCAATTGTGAACTCCAGGGAAAATCACAGTCATGCAATGTTTTCAAGTAACGTGCTGGATTTTAAGAAAGAAGAATATGACTGTCTTGATACGTGGACTATACTTAAAGCAGTTCATGTTTAATATCATGGGACTAAATCACACAGGTTTCTGTAGATTCATTCATACTCCCTGGAGTCCACTGGTAAATATCCACATAAGGATTATTCTCAATTCTATTGATTGGTTTTTAATTTTCAGAATCAACATTATTGGAAGCCAATAGGAAGTCATTATTTTTACAGATTAAAAAATATCAGTTTCAAACTTTGATCAATTAATGAGTGAGAAAGCCAATGTAAATTAAGGAAGGCAAGAGGAGATATCAAGGAAAATATATAATGCCTACTTTACTAATCACTTAGAGAGAGATGTGATATCCTACAGTCCATATGTAATGGTTCAAGAAATAGAGATATAAAAATATTATTTTTAGACTGAATCTTTCAAACAATGAAGAATTATAAAAGTTATGAAGATTATAAGGGTGCATTACTTTTCATTGTTAGGTTGGAGTAAATAAATGTATCTTAATGTTCATAAAGAAGTCGGAAGTATCATCTTGGCTGAAAGGAGAGTTGAAGAAATAATGAGAAATGATTAACTTGGTGAGAACTTGGCATGAGGACAGATGAACAATTTTCCATTCCATTAGTAGTCTTTCATGTAACTGAGCTTTTGTTTCTATGGACATCCACAAATATTAGTTTTAAATGGTATTTGAAATCATTCTGTTGTGAGAATTTTCCTCCCTCCAATGAATAAACACAGGCTTAAAGGACGTAAGTCACCTGCAAGTAACTTGCCTGTATTTAAGGTCAGGGGGCCGGTTAAAAAAGGGGCAATGATATAAACCAGATATGTCTGACTTCAACACCCATTTTTTTCTTTCCATCAAAAATTGTTTCCTCAATAAAAATATATTCAGAGATAGAAAAAAAAGCCATAGGTTTTTGTTATATTTCCTTGAATAAATTCTGAGATCAGTCAAGCCCTTATTCTGCTTGCCTGAATGATCACATGGGGGCTCGGCGCGGTGGCTCATGCTTGAAATACCAGCACTTTCTGAGGCCGAGGCAGGCTGATCACTTGAGGTCAGGAGTTCGACACCAGCCTGGCCAACATGGCGAAACCTCATCTCTACTAAAAATACAAAAAAATTAGCCTGGTGTGGTGGCAGGCACCTGTAGTCCCAGCTACTTGGGAGGCTGAGGAAGGAGGATCACTTGAACTTGGGAGGCGGAGGTTGCAATGAGGTGAGATCATGGTGCTGCACTCCAGCCTGTGTGACAGAGAGACTCCATCTCAACAAAAATTTTAAAAAGTGGGAGGGGAATGTTGGCGTGTGAAAAGCAAATTTGGATTTATGTAAATAGACATTTTTCCCGGATAGGGTGATTGCAACAGGATGACTATAGCAGCAGTCGGGTGAAATCTCCTTCTATGATATCTGCTAGCATCTCAAAGGTTAGGTGGAAAAGGAGCTTTTCTTTTATGGGGATGGAAGATGAAAAGGTAACTGATTCAATCAGTAGGTGAGAGGATGTTTTACTCCAGGCCAGCTATTCTCAAGCGCCTGTTAAAGACAGGCAATATGCTTGTTAACAAAAAGTTCCTTTAGCAAGCCTGTTGTTCTGACTAATGCATGGGGATAAAACAATTCAGTTAATCATTTAAAACACAATGAATCAATATTTGAAGGGCTTGGTGTGACTTTGTCGATCAAAAACAAGATGTAGGATGGGGTGGGGGGGTGTTGAGAGGCTGTGACCTCAGACTTTCTCACCTAAGTCTTAGGAAAGATGTTCCTTGCTGGACCCAAAAGAGGAAGGATTTCTTAAGCATCCCTGTTTTCCAGGGCAAGAGGGCTCCAGTGAAATTCATCCATTCATTATTGTCAGTTTCTAGAGTTAGAGATACATTCTAAAGGATTTTGACATAGATTTATACATGTTAGGCATCTGAGTGATGATGACTTTTACGTTTTGTCAAATGGGGATTTTAAATGTTGTAAGATGTCAGTTATAAAATTTTGTCCTGTTTAGTACTTTAGAAAGTAAAGGAATAAAAGAATGGCTACTCCATAGGCAGAGCAGCCAGGATTAAGCAAAAAATTATTAAAATAACACAAAAAAGCTTAGCCGTTTAGCAATGCAAAGCATTGACCGTTAGGAACTTTTTAAAAAGTCTACTAAAATAACAGCCAGCCATAACAAAACTTTTATTGAAGACCACTCTCTTATCCTAAATTCCCCCCTCCACTGAGACGGGGCAGGGGGCTTGCAGGGTGCCCCTTCAAGCATAGAAATATAAGAAAATCTTGAGTTCCATCAAGGGAAATTCCAGGCACCTGGCTAACCCTGAGAAGTAAACGAGCAACTTGATATGCAAGAAGGTAACCATAGCTTAAACAATAGCCAAGAAAGTTAGAGTCATGAGATGATTGGTTCCCACATGGAATAAAAGTTAACATTTTAACACAGGTACCTGAGTTGTTCTTCAGAAACCCACAACCGCACCAAACGGATCTACTAGCATGTAGACCTCAGATAAGGGGAAACAAAAGACTGAACTCTGACCCACAACCTTTGTTTTAAATTTCTTCCTGAGGGGACTGGAAGAAGTCACACCCACAGGTCAGAGCTAACATTCTTTTCTGCTGAACCCAGTCTTTTGAGATAAAACGTTGCCTCCTTAACCAATCACAAATCAGAAAATCTTTGAATCTACCTGTAATCTGTGGGCCTCCCACTTCAAGATATCCACCTTTTTAGGTCAAACTGTTCCCAGACCAAACTGAGGGTTGGGCTGCTTATTCGTGTGGCCCAATAACAAGGTTCAGATGAACTGGGAAAGAAGCCAGTTTATTTCTGTAACTGGGCACGGGGAGATGGCCTGGAAATTGTTGCCAGACCAACTCAAAATTACCAAGTTTTCCAGAGCTTCTATTTCTAAGCTATAAGTCTATGTGTAAGTGTGCATCCATCTAAAGACATTAGTGATGAACTTCTTCTAATCTAGAACTAAGGTCTGAGTCCTGGAGACCTTCCTCTGGAGCCTCAGTAAATTGACTTAATCCAAATGGGTCCAGGTGCTGGGGTGATTACCCTTATCTTATCTCCTGCTATATCATGGAGGTTTGGGGAGTTCCTTCAGACCCCCATAAACTTGTTTGTGGAGGTCTGGGGAGTTTCTTTACGTCCGTAAAGAAAAAAAACCTTGTTTCATCCTAAACAGGTCCTGTTAAAAATTCCTTCGTTATCTTGCCATGTTTCGAGGCCAAGCAAAGCCCTGGGCAGAACTCTTGGTGGGCTTTTGTTATATTCCAACTTTTGTATAAAGGTGCTGGCTCTTTCAGCTTTTAAGATTTAACTTCACCACTCGGTCAGTGCTGAAACAGTTGTTATGGAGGCCTGTGTTAGTGAGACCTGGCCTGTCACTAAACCAATGTATAATATCCGTGTATTGATTTAGGATGTTGCCTGTGACTTCTGCTTTACTGAAATGTACCCCTGCGTTTAAAACCCATTACTTGCAAGCCATCAGGGAGGTTGGGTGTGAAGTGTGACCTGCCCCATTCTCCTTGCTTGGTACCCTGCAAATAAATGCCCTCCTTTCTCTTGCTGCAAAACCACAGTGTGAATGTTTGGCCTTACTGTGCCGGTTAAGGAGACCCCAGATGGGTTCAGTAACATCACCAGCACTTTGCTGGAATCATAAAGACTGAGTACTCTTCAAGGTCAAGACTGCAGAGTCTCAGGGCTTGTCTGCTGCTATTTATAATATAAGCCTACTCACAGTCCCTTGCTTCCCATGCTTAAATCACGGAAGCAGAGACATTTGGGACACCAGGACAGAAATCTTTCAAATGCCAAATACTTGTAATTATCCACTTCTCACATGCTCTTTCCAAAACAAAAAGTCAAAATTTAAAAAGTGGTTGACATTCCCAATATAGATAGATTCCAAGTTTATCAGACGTGTCTCAAAAGATTAATCAGTGATTGCCTCATCTAATATGTCCATGAGGCTACAGTATTTTATTTATTTTTATTTTTCAAGGCATTTTCTTCATGATTCTTCTACTGTATAAAGAATTCTCCAAAAATAAAATAGAAGAGGGAAAAAGAAACCTCATTAAAATACAGGAAAGTTATTGTTTCAGTGATTCTCAATACGCATTAAATAAAAGAAAACTTGGCAGTTGAGCTTTGAAGAAGACAGGTGTTGAAAATATGCAACTTAGGCCGGGCATGGCTGCTCAGACCTGTAATACCAGAAATTTGGGAGGCCGAGGCGGGTGGATCCCCTGAGGTCAGGAGTTTGAGACCAGCCTGGCTAACATGGTGAAACTCCTTCTCTACTAAAAATACAAAAAGAAATTGGCCAGGCATGGTGGCAGGCACCTGTAATCCCAGCTACTCGAGAGGCTGAGGCAGGAGAATTGCTTGAACCCGGGAGGTGGAGGTTGCAGTGAGCCAAGATCGCACCATTGCACTGGGGGACAAGAGCGAGACTCCGTCTCAAGAACAAAACAAAACAAAAACAAACAAACAAAAAAGAAAATATGTGACTTCATTAAGCCAGAGATCAAATTAATTCTTGTAAAGGCAGTCCATTGAGGTGGCTAGGAAATACACGAAAGCAGGTGTTCGGTATTCAAAAAAAGACTTAGGCACAATTCTGTAAGTACAGTAGTTTTAAAATAACACATTATGAAATGTACAGTGTGTATTTTCAGGTTTTGTCCATCCATGTATCAAGATGCTGGCATAATTATATTGATCCCAAACATCAAACTACTTTAGAAAAATGAATTATTTAGGTGATGTCCTTTGATTTACTTGTGCTGATGAAAATAGACTTCATCTCAGTTTTTTTCCATCATGTCTCGGAATTACAATAATTTTATCTTTAAAGATAAGCAATCTGTACACTCTGAAATAATGGATGGATACCGAGGACATATGGTAGTTTACCTCATACTTCTTTCAGAAAATGAGTAAAATTACCAAATATTGTCCTGTTACATAAAACTTAGATTTATGTTGAAAAAGACAATATTTTCTCCTTCATAAACTCAGTAGCAGAGGGATATCGAAGAATCCTCAATAAAGTCATAAAGATTTACTTCTATAAGCACCGTCTCCTTTGAAAATGGCAAAGTAAAAATGCAACCAGAAAGAATATTAATGTCAATGAATAGAGATATTGAATGGAACTGGGCAAATAAAATTACATAACCTAAATTGACAACTTCCACAGGCCCTGGGGAATGGCTGTTCAAAATACACTGCCTACTTGCTTTTCCCCTTTCTTTTCTGTTGACTAACTTGCAGTAAACACTCAACCTTCTGTCTCACAGAGCCACACCATCTAGCCCCACTTTAGGAGATGTGGGTGGAATACCGGGGAGGGAGGCCCTTGGGAAAATGCCTTGCGTTTTTACTCTTTCTTCTTCCCTTTCTCCTTGAAATTCATAATCTGTGGACAGTCAGTACTACTCAGATGTTTGTATGTGGTTCTGTGGATAGATGCAATAGACAGATGAAATTAATAGACAGAAGATGGATAGATGGATAATAGAAAATATACATTAACAATAGATATAAAATATAGCTAATTGATGATAAATGATGGATGTATGATAGAAGATAGATAAATGAGAGATAGATGATGGATGGATTGATAGATAACAGAAATGCTATTTAAATAATAGATATGAATTTAGATAATTGAGGAAGGCAATAGATATAGCTAGATGATGAATGGATGGATAAATAAATGACAGAAAATATATTTAAATGATAGCTATGAATACAGCTTGTTGATAATAGGTAATTGATAAATAGATAAACAGGATAGCTAGGTAGTTGAGAAAGATAATAGAAAACATATATGAATAATATACATAAAATTTAGAATATTGATAAATATATAATGATAGATAAACGATGGATGGATGGAAGGTTAGATAATAGAAAACATATTTAAGTGATACCTATGAAATATAGATTATTGATGATAGATCATATTTGATAGATGAGATAGATGATGGATGATGGATGGGTAGGAGATAAAAAGGTAGATAAATAATAGACTTAAGAGACAGACTAGTACAATAGATGATATTCACATCTATATCTCTCTCTATGCAAACAAACATACACATACACACTATATGTGTATACACCTATCTATACACAAAGAATTTTTTTCTCTCTTTTTTTTTTTTGAGATGGCATCCCACTCACTCTATTGCCCATGCTGTACTGCAGTGGTACGATCTTGGCTCACTGCAGCCTCCACCTCCTGGGTTCAAGCGATTCTCCTGCGTCAGCCTCCTGAGTAGCTGGGATTACTGGTGCGCACCGCCATGCCCAGCTAATTTTTTTGTATTTTTAGCAGAGACAGGGTTTCACTATGTTGGCCAAGCTGGTCTCCAACTCCTGGCTTCAAATGATCCACCCGCCTTGGCCTCCCAAAGTGCTGGAATTACTGGAATGAGCCACTGCGCCTGGCCAATGTTTTTCTTATACACTTGGATCAAAAATTGTATGCATTTATAACATTTTCAGATCCCATTTCATTACTTGCTGTAAGGTTCTAGCATTGAATGTCTACCTATTTACTTAAAGATGTTTTCCCCTGCATCATTGCTATCTTTAAACCTTTTGAGCCTTGCAATACCGAATGCAGGAATAAAGTGGCCTGGTCTCAGTGTTTGTACAGGTGTTTGGATGGACCTGCCTGATGCACTATGAAGAAGCATTGCATCTCACCCGGTTTCCAAGAAGGTAGGGACTACCACAGTCACTACAAACAGGAAGGGAAAAAATAGGACTGTCCTGACAGATTCCTAGGGAAGTCAGCCTATCATCACTCAGGTTCAATGAAAGATAAAAATCTTTGTCTTCTTACAGGAAACATACAATCTCAGAATTTATGTATGTTTTTCCTGTTTGCATTTATTATTCATTTTGATTTATATTGTGTCACTTTTGTTTCATATTTGCCTTTCTTGGTTTTAAGTTTTACTGTAAGAGTAATTAAACAATTACTCCTTCTCATTAAATAATCTATTTGCCCATTCTCTTTTTTGTCTTTCATCTCTTTATACATTTATGAAATTCCCATGTATTCTATTCTTTTTTTTTGTTTTTTTTTTTTTGAGACAGAGTCTCGCTCTGTCACCCAGGCTGGAGTGCAGTGGCATGATCCAGGCTCACTGCAACCTCTGCCTCCTGGGTTCAAACGATTCTCCTGCCTCAGCCTCCCGAGTAGCTGGGATTACAGGCACGCGCTACCACACCCAGTTAATTTTTGTATTTTCAGGAGAGATGGGGTTTCTCTATGTTGGCCAGGCTGGTTTCAAACTCCTGACCTCAAGTGATCCTCTGGCCTTGGCCTCCCAAAGTGCTGGGATTACAGTCAGGAGCCACCACGCCCAGCCTATTCTATTCTTTTATGTTCATCTTGAATACTTAATTTTTTATAAGATGTATTTTTTATCACTGCTTTTGAAATTCTTATCTTCCCCTAGATTCAATCAAGTCTAGGCAAATCTTTTGTCAGGGTACACCGTCAAGAGATTGAATCAGTGGGGATGACTGAGGTGGTAGATTTTCAGAGAAGTTGGCTGTACTAGGTGTTTTCTTCACCTTCTAAAAAAATCATTGAATCCTAGCCATTGAACAGAATTCTAGCCATTGAACGTTCATTGCTGATTTTTATTTATGAACTTGAATCACATTCTCTCACTGTCTCCACTGATTTTCATTATGACTCTAATGTTTAATAATCTCATATGTGTTCTATGATAAGTATGATGCCACTATGATATTCTTGGTCTGGTAATCATCTTTTTATTTCTATATGAACCTTCTTAAAGTACATAATTTTTTTGTGGTGTTCAGAAATGTGAACTTGATATGTCAAAGAATGAGAATCATTTTTCTTCCATCTTTAATTTTATTGGTGTAAATGAGACTTTAGCAATTCCTTTTAATTCTGAAACATTCTTGTGGAAATAACTTTGCATCCATACTTGCCTTGGTAAAATCATATATTCTGTGAAGGAGAAGACAGTTCATTGCCAATATTTTAATACATCGATATGAGGTCTGCATGTGTAAGACATCTATTCTAAATGTCCCCCCTCATGATGGCTTGTCTCCACGTATTAATGTCAAATGAACCATCTAGACAAGGTGGTTTTGAGGGAATAGGATGATTTTGTTCCTACCAAAGAGAGCTGCCTGCATTTCTGTCTGCAGTAAGTTGTACTGTCACTATGGTGGTAACTAAGTGATTCGATTTTACACTTTTACAGTGGGTCAAATAGATGTTCACTACTCTTAAAAATACATCAATCCCTATTCATTATTTAACAGTCATGTTAGCTAAATCTTCAACTACTTGATATGCATTCAAATATAAAATCATAATGCATGCACTTATGCAAAGAATACGTGAAATTTTAAAATTTAATCCTAAAATCAACCTGGTAATTGTATTTATTTGATGATTACAGAAATTGAGACCCAGTGATTTCACGTTTACTAGTGTAAACATTTCAGAAGTGACGTGTAATTAAGAACCGAACAATGTATTACATGGTTTTTTATTAGGTTAATTACGTCATAAGTTTAATGTTTCAGGGGTTATTGCTGTTGTGTTAACTCTTTATACCATGAAAAATTGCTTGCAATACTCTGGTTTCTCTTCAGATCACATAAATCTTTTGCCTTTTAAAATTGCTTGAGATTGAAAACAAGAACAGGTTTTCAACCATTTAAACTTCTGACATAAGGAAACAAATTGCTCTTGTGATTACTGAAATTAGTCAGAATCAACAAAATATATGAGCAAAAAAAGCTATTTACATATATCTGTAGACATAGATGTAATATTTATATTTATATATGCATACCATGCTTCTTACAACTGTGAATCAAAGCTTCATTTACAATTTCTGATTCTGAGGGAGGCTAGGGATCAAAAAAATCTCAGACTTCACCACCATATAATTCATCCATGTAACCAAAAACCACTTGTACCCCCAAAAGCTATTAAAATTTAGAGAAAATAGGAAATAAAAATAAAATGTAAAAGTAAATTTTGCCTTCACTGTACCCACAATCAAAAATTAATTTCAGTAATTACATTAATCTGCACATTGCCATCTTTACAGGGATGAATTACGTAGAACTCAGTTAATTCTGTCCGTTAGTGTTAGATTTTTTAAATATTGTTTTCTCTGCATCCCAATGGCCCTCTCATCAGTTTTATTTTTAATCGATTTTTAAGTGAACTAGCATGTTTCATTTGAGACCAATGGTGGATCAGAAGAATAACATTACTTACCAGAATCTTTGGCATAAGCACATGGGCCATATCTGTGCACAGAAAAATATAGTGGGTTTCAAAGAGCAGAATATTTTCCTGAGCTTGTAAAGGCCTATTTTGTTCTCCAAATAAAGGTGTTTTATAGAGCAATGTATTAACCTTTTTTTTTGTCTTCTGGTTGACATGCATAAGTGTGTCAATATCGACTATTAGGAACCTATTTATAAACATTCAATCATGGGGTATTGTGTGAAGTAGCAGTGGCATGAGGTATCGAGTGGCATGGGGATTGAGTGCAGTGGCTCAATCGCAGCTCACTGCAGCCTCGATTTCCCAGGCTCAAGCGATCCTCCTGCAGCAGCCTCCCAAGTAGCTGGAATCACAGGTGTGTACCACCATACCTGACTAATTATTATTATTATTATGTATCGCTATATTGTCCAGGCTGGTCTTGTACACCCGGCCTTAAGCAATCCTCTTGCCTCAGCCTCCCAAGGTACTGAGATTACAGGCATGAGACACCACATCCTGCAAAGAAACGCTTTTAATTCAACTCAATTCAATAAGATTTTATAGAGTCTATACTCTGTGCCTAAAATGTCCCCCACCACTAAAAGATAAACCACTTCTGTGTAATGTAAAAAGATAGAAAGATGGATAGATAAGGTACATAGATAGATATGGGTAGGTATTTTAATGGGGAAGATAGATGATACGTAGGAATAGATGATAAATATAAATAGATGACAGGTAGATAAATTGATGATAAATAATAGATCATGATGATGGATAATAAATACACATACGTGGTAGATAAATATAGATATAGACCATAGATAAATAGATATTGCCTGTGTAATAATTAAAACAGCACATACTAAATTTTCAAGATATAATTACTAAATTAATGACAAACAAAAGCAACAATACATAATTGTTTCAATAGAAACTCTCATAAGTAAAGTTTAGCAGAATATTGATCAATTGCCTACCCACATACTCTGTCTCTAGGCAAGTAATATAAAGGGTTCTTCAAAGTGTAATTAACGTGAACCAAACTGCATTGTTAAATGTTTTACTTAAAAAGAAATTATTTTACCAAATATATTATGAATTCAATAATGATAAAAGTCATAATTGTGTTTCCAGTTTAATTAAAGAATACATCAAGAATCAGAGAAACTTAACGTGAGGGGAAACGTTGGAAATAATTTATTCTAACACTTATACTTAGATAGCAATTATTTTTAACTTTGGTCCCAGCTGTGACGGATTCATTGTTAAGAGTTTACAATGCTGAGTTGAGATGCATGAATCTGTCAAACTCAAGTTCCCTTGAAAAGAATGTGGTAGACTGATTTACTCCAGGCCTGTCTCGCTCATCAACATAGAAGTGAAATTACAGATACACATGTGTAAAAAAGGATTGCATAAAATACAATATTCATCATGACTACTTGAAGTTCATTTCAGGAGCGTACAATCTTTTTCTTAGTGCTGGAATATTTTTTAAAATATAATTCACCCTTATTAATATATAAACCATCATCTCAATAGATTCACTTATCAATAGATACCAACAAATCCATAAAATATTACAAATTTTCATGCACAGAACTCTCAGAAAACTGGAATTCAAAGGTCCTTTCTTAACGAGGGACAGACCACTAAGAAAACCTATAGCAAATAATGTTTGTTATATTTAAGATCAGGAAACATAATAATGCTTTTTATCAGACCTCTCTTCTGTATTTTGCTGGATAGAAGAGGACAGAAATAAGAGTTTTATGAATTGAAAAGGAGGAAAATGTCATTATTTATCAACCATATGATAATACATAGAAAAAAAATCCAGACAAATATACTGATAATTGGTCAAATCAATATTAGTATTTAATAGTGTTGTTGGATACAATATCAAATTTAAAAATCAGTTTCCTTTCCTTCAATAGTAACATCATTTAGAAAATGTAAATTAGCATATAATTTATAAAGGCAACAAACAAATTTACTTGACAAAATATAATTAGACTCAATAAATAATGATGTCAATTCTCTCCTAATTAACCTACTAATTCAATGAAATTTAAATAAAATTGCCAAAAGGATGTGTTGTAGAAATCGATAAGCTAATTAAAAAATTTATATAGACAGACAATTGCCTGACATATGCCAAGAAAATGTTTCTGGAAATGCTGAAGGTGGGAGATGTGTTCCATGAGATTTCATGCCTTATTACTAAATCTTAGAAGAGCAAAATATTGATGCTAGGATAGGTTTACCTATCACCAAAAACAAAGAGTGAACCCAAACAGATATTTATGGATACATAATTTATTCATTCATTCATGAATGAAGAAAGGTAAACCTTTTGGTAAAACATCCTTGTACAAATGATAAACTTTAAATAAATAATTAAATTTAAAAAATTACAGGTTTGCTTAGAGCTTGAAGCCAAATATTAGAACTTTAAAACTTAGGAGCATTAAAAACATCAAAAATTTCAAAGTGTTTGAAAATATCTTTATAACACTGGATGATTAAGTATATCAAAACCTGGGCCAGGCGCAATGGCTCACACCTATAATCCCAACACTTTGGGAGACTGAGGCTGGCAGATCACCTGAGGCCAGGAGTTCGAGACTAGGCTGGCCAGCATGTCAAAACCCTGTCTCCACTAAAAATGCAAACATTAGCCAGGCCTGGTGGCACACGTCTGTAATCCCAGCTACTCAGGAGGCTGAGGCAGGAGAATCGCTTGAACCTGGGAGGTGGAGGTTGCAGTGAGCCGAGATCAGGCCACTGAACTGCAGCCTGTGACACAGAGTGAAACTCTGTCTTAAAAAAAAAAAAAAAAAAAATATATATATATATATATATATATATATATATATATATGAAAAACTATAACCAAAAATGTAAAGTTTGATTTATTCAACTACATTAAAGTTAAAAATCCTGTCCATCCAATGTTAAAGTAGACTGACAGGTGAGGCATCCAATTCGGAGAATATATTTTCAATATATTTTACCAGCAAATATATCAACAAGATACGCACGAACACACATACCTATACTACAGTATAAATATTGGGAATATTTTAAACAGGTGGTTTAGAGAAAAGTTATCATTTAGGTCTTATAAAAATATGAAATCTTTAAAGTTCATTCATAAAAAATAAACATAAATTTCATTAACAATGAGGAATCATTTCTTACCCATATCGTTGGCCGAAACACTGAGCGACGTTGAGGCGTGGATCCATGTGAACCTTCTCTCATATCTTGGATTATAAATTCTCACCATGCTTTCAGAATAGTTTGCTGTCACTTTACAATGTCTATTCTAAAAATGAACAATAAATGAAGAATCCTACTTGAATGCATATGTCATATATACTCAGGAACTCCTTAGACCATGAAACACCTATAGGCATGTTTCTAACACCTTCTTTTGAAGGAGCTAGAAAATATAATATGCATCATGACCAATTGAAGTTCATTTCAGGAATGTACAATAGTTTTCTTAGTGCTTGAGTATTTTTAAAATATAATTCGCCTCTGTTAATATACAAACAATCATCTCAATATATTCACTTTTCTATAGATACCAAAAAACCAATAAAATATTGCAAATTTTCCTGCACAAAACTCTCAGAAAACTGAAATTCAAAGGAGCTTAGAATCCTGAAAAAAACTCAGAACATACACATGCTTATCAAAAAGAGAATGGATAATCATTTGTGTTAAATCAATTACACAGAAATACTACACTGCAATGAAGATCCCTAGGCTTCATGAATATGAATCAATATGGGTGAATCTCTGAAAAATATCATGTTCAAGGAAAGAACCCAAGGAAGACACTACAAACAGTAAGATTCTTTTACATAACATTCAAAATCAAGCAAAACTTAAGAATGTGTTCTCTAACAATAGAGTAGTGCTAGAAAACTTAGCATGAAATCAGTATAGTTGTCTCCTTTCATGAGTAAGGAAAGCATTGGTTGAAAACAGAAATCGAGTAGCATTCATTTACTTTTCCATTCCCTAACTCAGGGCCTCCTTCACAGGTGTATGGCCCCAAGCAATTGCAAAGGGTCCTGGGGTCAGAAGTGCCCCATGCTAGGGTTAGAGGTCTGCCACTGCTGTCTTGAAATTCTGAAAGAGTTAATCTTTGCATTTTTGTTTTGTACCTGGAGTGCAATGGACGAAGAGGCATGCATGCACGTGGTCAGAGGAGATATGCATCGTATGCAGTTCTGCCACTGTTCTTTGCTACCCAATAGCGTACAATGCTCATGAAGCCCCTTGAGCACAGAATTCTGCTGGACTGGCAATAGGGGGAATTCGGTGAGATTCACAGTGTGCACAAAGGGTGGCTGTTACTTCTACGACAAAGTGAGTGCTCTTGCAGCCCAGAGAGGCCATGCTTTGTGTCCAAGTTAGAACTTGCTTCAAATATAGAAAAGTGGCAATGACATTCTAAAAACAATCCAAGAACAAACAAAAACTCTATCCTATCTCCTATTCTTCTTGACACATCGGCCAACCACTTATGCTGAAAATGATGCCATAGAAGGGATGGGATGAGATGACAACCTGTGGCTCCCCTTCATTGCATGACTTCCTTACCATCAGTGAGCTGAAGGTACAGTGTTGCTAGAGTATGTCCATATCAAGAAGTGAAATAAAATCAGCTAAGTTCATTTTGTGTAGCACACTTCCCGTGTTGTGGTAAGAATGCAGTAGATACTTACGCATGTGCTACAAAATAACAGCTTGTGTAATTTCAGTGATTTCTGAATACATGTTAACTGCTCAGATATTGGAGTTCAAAATTGGCATTGCACAATATAAAGATAAAAATGGAAAACTATGCCAGTGACTAAATATTTTAATTTTTCCTTACTTAGAAAGACATCAAAAAGAAATTTATTTTTTAAAGACATGACAAGTTGAGAAAGAGTAGAAGAAAACGGGAAAAACAGCTTTATGTTTTAGTACTGTTAACAGTGCTATGAAATTGGCCAACTTTTTCTGGAGAGAGTCAAATAGTAAATATTTTCAGCTCTGTGAGTTATATAAACTCTGTTGCAGTAACTCAACTCTGCCATTGTAGCAAAAAAGCAGGCACACACAATACATAAATGAATGGGTATGGCTGTTTTCCGATAAAACTTTATTTATAAAAACAAGTGGTGAGCCGGATTTGGCCCATGGACCATAGTTAGTCCATGGATATGCTAAGGTAAGAAGTCCACTGTAAGACTTCTTAGCAATTCAAACAACATGAGGGGAAAATCTCCTACAACCTTAGGATTTTTTTTTAAACATTTCTGAGTTTCAGGCTAACCGGGCATTTGCATGATGCTGAACAGTAATTGTAGGTATCATATTTATGGCAATATTTTCAGTGTTTGGGAGTCACAGATGAAGGGATTGACTCAGGTAGTTCCAATATGGATCATTTAGTCTGTCTTCATGCTGCTCTTTGGGCAAAGCATAGGAAAAATACCAGCAGTCTAGTGATATAGAATTTCTGTTTCTAGTAGCTGTGGGGTTATAACTTTCAGAGAATTGTTTCTCTTAAAAAAAGACTTGAGAAAGTCACTCATAGCTATGGCCAGTGGCATGAATGTTTCATGCCCTCCAGCTTCAGAATCTAGACACTCTGTGCTTCTGTCATTTTAGTTCTATAGAAATACTGCAGTGTGATAGGAATACTGCATACAGAGATTGAGATTCAGGATAGTAAATCTCTATGCCTAGTGTAGTTTTGCTTTTGCTAAGGGGAAGAGTAAAACATATGGGTGTGTAAAACTCACCAGTGACAGCATCAACTGTTTTTTTTTTCTTTAGGAATTCAGACCTCATGAAAGGGTCAATGAAGAAATGATGTTTTGATTTCCCAACAGGATTACCCAACATTTCTCTGACAGTACCTGCCAGTTACTTCTTCCCTAAAGATTTCTGCTGCCCAGAGAAAGTCTCTAGTTTAGCCAGAATTTCTCTATAATATCGTTGGTGTTGCCCCATGGGTTTTAGCTAAGCAGTATCCATCTTGTGCAAGAGAGGCTCGTCAGGGCAACTTCCTGAACAATAAGCTGAGATGATCATGGGGGAAGGGGATTAATGAAGGACTGTTACAGAAATAAAGAAAAAATCTGCAGTAGAGCAACAACTCCAACCCTTGCTGGAAAGTTTCAGTCAGACACTGACATTTCCAAAGTGCCCATAAATCAACTTTTAATATACTGTGGATGCATAGAGGAGGCTGTCCATATGTTTCTTTTTTGAAGTTTTAGGCATTATTTTTTTCAGTGTGAAGAAGCTGTAACCTTAATAAGTTCAATAAAACAGAAATATACATAAGTACTGCTAATAAAATGACTAGGCCAATTTTGAAATGTAAACTTAAAATGTAAAATCACGGGATCTGAGCCTTGCTCAGAGTAGGAGTCCATGCGGACATCGGCTAAGATTCCAGAATGACTACCGTCTTGACTTACACTTTTAAAAAGTGCACTTCTGATGCACTTCTCACTGCATCAGAATGGTCCCTCAGATTTTCCATAAGACCTCTGAGCTATTCCTCCCAGTTGCGAGCTGCCCAGCCATCCAGACCGAAACGAGGAAGACATTAGCCAAACCCAATATAAGGAATATTGTGGTGGTGGATGGTGTTCGCACTCCATTTTTGCTGTCAGGCACTTCGTATAAAGACCTGATACCACATGATTTGGCTAGAGCAACACTTACGGGTTTGTTGCATCAGCCCAGTGTCCCCAAGGAAGTAGTTGATTATATCATCTTTGGCACAGTCATTCAGGAAGTGAAAACAAGCCATGTGGCTGGAGAGGCTGCCCTTGGAACTGCCTTCTCTGACAAGACTCCTGCTCACACTGTCACCATGGCTTGTATCTCTGCCAACCAAGCCATGACCACAGGTGTTGGTTTGATTGCTTCTGGCCAGTGTGATGTGATCATGGCAGGTGGTGTCGAGTTGATGTTCCATGTCCCTATTCGTCAGTCAAGGAAAATGAGAAAACTGATGCTTGATCTAAGTAAGGCCAAATTTGTGGGCCAGTGACTGTCTTCAATCTCTAAATGCCAATTGAATTTCCCAGCACCTGAGCTCCCTGAGGTTTCTGAGTTCTCCACCAGTGAGACCACGGGCCACTCTGCAGACCAATTGGCTGTTTCTCGACTGGAACAGGATGAATATGCACTGCGCTGTCCCAGTCTGGCCAAGAAGGCACAGGATGAAGGACTCCTTTCTGATGTCGTACCCTTCAAAGTACCAGGAAAAGATACAGTTACCAAACATAATGGCATCCGTCCTTCCTCACTGGAGCAGATGGCTAAACTAAAACCTGCATTCATCAAGCCCTACGGCACAGCGACAGCTGCAAATTCTTCTTTCTTGACTGATGGCGCATCTGAGGCAGAGGAAAAGGCTCTGGCAATGGGTTATAAGCCGAAGGAGTGTTTGAGGGATTTTATGTACGTGTCTCACAATCTGAAAGATCAACTATTATTCAGACCAACATATGCGACTCCAAAAATTCTAGAAAAGGCAGGATTAACCATGAGTGATATTGATGCTTTTGAATTTCACAAAGCTTTCTCAGGTAAGATTTTAGCTAATTTTAAAGCCATGGATTCTGATTAGTTTGCACAAAATTACATGGGTAGAAAAAGCAAGGTTACATTGCTTCCTTCGGAGAAGTTTAATAACTGGGGTGGATCTCTGTCCCTGGAACACCCATTTGGAGCTACTGGCTGCAGGTTGGTCGTGGCAGCTGCCAACAGATTACGGAAGGAAGGAGGCCAGTATGCCTTAGCGGCTGCCTGTGCAGCTGGAGGGCAGGGCCATGGTATGATAGTGGAAGCTTACCCAAAATAATAGATCCAGAAGAAATGACCAGGAGTTTCTGTGCAACACTAACACTAGGCAACGGCATTTCAGTGCATTCCTAAATGACATTTATAGTTCCTAGCTCCTGTTAGGAAAACGATTCTTGTGGCCTTCTGTTAAATGCTTTGCACTTAAGCCTTGCCAGTGTTCTGAGCTTTTCAATAATCACAGTTTACTGCTCTTTCAGGGATTTCTAAGCCACCAGAATCTCACACAGACGTGTGTAGGTGGTTGTTTTTGTTCTCTCTTGTCACTAAAGACTAAATGAGTGCTTGCAATTGGGAAAGAGGTCAGCTGAGATTCGGAAATCATCTTTGTAATATTTGCAAATTATACATGTTCCTATCTGTATCCTAAAGAAAATTGTTCTCTATAAAATACAAACAAATTTCCCTAAATTAACTTAATTCTGGAAAAATAATTCAGAATCTAAACATCACTGAAAACTTATAAAAAATGTTTAGATACATAAATATCATGGTGGTCAACCTTAATAAAGTGGGGAAATATTGGAAAAAATGTAAAAACACACATATATATGTTAAAGTTATGTACATATATAAATTTATATGTTTATATAAAAATTAGTATATATAAAGTTTAAGTATATTATGCATATTTACATATACTTATATACACTTTTATATAGTACATAAATGAATATCCACCTCCATATTTAAATTACATCTTTAGGCTGGGCATGGCAACTCATGCCTGTAAATCTCAGCACTTTGGGAGGCCGAGGCGGACGGATTGCTGGAACTCAGGAGTTCGAGACCAGCCTGCGCAACGTGGCAAAACCCTATCACTACCAAAAATACAAAAATTTTCCAGGCGTGGAAGCTTGTGGTCCCAGCTCCTCGAGACAGAGGCTGAGGTGGAGAATTGCTTAAGCCCCAGAGGTCTAGGCTGCAGGGCGCCCAGATCATGCCACTGCACTATAGCCTAGACCACAGAGCAAGACCCTGTCTCAAATAAATAAATAAAATAAAATATCTTACATCTTTATATATGTACCTGGTTTTGTTTAGTAAAATTATTGTATATATGTATATAATAATATATACAGTATACTTATATATCACTGCATTAGTCCATTTTCATACTGCTATAAAAAGATACCTGAGACTGGGTACTTTATAAAGGAAAGAGGTTTAATGACTCAAAGTTCCGCGTGGCTGGGGAGGCCTCAAGAAACTTACAATCATGGCAGAAGGTGAAGGGGAAGCAAGGCACGTCTTCTCACGGCAGCGGGAGCGAGAGAGAGCAAGGAAGTGCCACAGTTTTAAACCATCAGATCTCATGATAACTCACTCACTATCACGAGAACAGCAATGGGGAAATCCGCCCCTAGGATCCAATCATTTCTCACCAGGCCCCTCCCTGGACACATGGGAATTACAATTCCAGATGAGATTTGGGTGGGGACACAGAGCCAAACCCTATCAATCATATATAATTACATTTATTTATATATAAACTTGTATACATGTACACATACATATTTATATATACACTTGTATATACATACATATACATTTATATATTTACATAAAAACTTGTATACATATAAATTGATATACAGATGGTCTTTGACTTAGGATGGTCCCATTTACAATTTCCGGACTTCACGGTGGTGTGAGAACAATATGCATGCAGTGGAAAGTGCTGTTTTCCTCTCTTACCAGGCTGGACAGCAGCAGGGAGCCAGCTCCCGCTCATCCCTGCAATCAGAAAGGTTCACAGCCAACATTCTACAGTGTTCTGTGTTGCCAGAGGAGTTTGCTCCACTATAGGCTATGTAAGTGCTCTGAGCATGTTTCAGGGAGGCTGGGCTAAGCTATGATGTTTGGCAGGTTAGGCATATTCAATGCATTTTCAAATTACGATATTTTCAAGTTGCTATGGGTTTACTGGGATATAACCCCATCATAAGTTAAGGAGCATTTGTACCTAAACTTGTATTGATGTGTGTGTGTGTGTATATATATGTATATATATATATATATATATATATATATGGTGTGTGTGTATATATATATATATGGTGTGTGTGTATATATATATATATGGTGTGTATATATATATATGGTACATATATATGCTACATATATATGGTACATATATATGCTACATATATATGGTACATATATATGCTACATATATATGGTACATATATATGCTACATATATATGGTACATATATATGCTACATATATATGGTACATATATATGCTACATATATATGGTACATATATATGCTACATATATATGGTACATATATATGCTACATATATATGGTACATATATATGCTACATATATATGGTACATATATATGCTACATATATATGGTACATATATATGCTACATATATATGGTACATATATATGCTACATATATATGGTACATATATATGGCACATATATATATGGTACATATATATGGCACATATATATATGGCGTATATATATGGCACATATATATACGGTACACATATATATGGTACACATATATATGTACCATATATATATGGCACATATATATGGCACATATATATGGTACATATGTATGGCACATATATATGGTACACATATGTATGGTACATATATATGGTACATATATGTATGGTTCATATATATGGTACATACATATATATGGTACATACATATATGGTTCATATATATGGTACATACATATATATGGTACACACATATATGGTTCATATATATGGCACATACATATATATGGTACACACATATATATGGCACATATATATGGTACACACATATATATGGCACATATATATGGTACACACATATATATGGCACATATATATGGTACACACATATATATGGCACATATATATGGTACACACATATATATGGCACATATATATGGTACACACATATATATGGTACATATATATGGTACACACATATATATGGTACATATATATGGTACACACATATATATGGTACATATATATGGTACACACATATATATGGTACATATATATGGTACACACATATATATGGTACACATATATGGTACACACATATATATGGTACACATATATGGTACATACATATATATGGTACACATATATGGTACATACATATATATGGTACACATATATGGTACATACATATATATGGTACACATATATATGGTACATATATATAACTTGGATCTGTGCATATTTTATATGTTTGTGAACATTTATATACACATTTTTATATCAATACATACATTTATATAAACATTTACCATATACAGTTGACCCTTGAACAACACAGAGGTAAGGAACAACTCGCCGTCCCACTCCCACATGTATTTGAAAATCCATGTATAACTTTGACTCCCCCAAAACTTAACTATTAATCGCCTACAGTTGACTGGAAGCCTTACCGATAACGTGAACAGTCAATTAACACACATTTTATACATTATATGTATTATATACGGTATTCTTACAATAAAGTAAGCTATAGAAAAGAAAACGTCATTAAGAAAATCCTAAGGAAGAGAAAATATACTTATTATTCACAATGTGGAAGTGGATCACCCTAAAGGCCTTCATCCCCATCATCTTCACGTTGAGTGGGCCGAAGAAGAGGAGGGAGAGGAGGTGGTCTTGCTTTCTCAATGGTGGCAGAGGTGGGAAAAAAACCAAATATAAGTGACTCACACAGTTCAAACCCATGTTGTTCAAGAGTCAACTGTATATGCATATACACACACATACATACACATTTATATTTAAATTATATATTTATATATATACCTAATTGTGTTTGGTAAAATTAATTTTGTTACACTCTTAAATTTTTTGTTATTTGCATTTCTTCTCTATGTTTCAACATTTCAAGCCACAAAAAATAGACACAATATTCTGACTGAATGATTACAATATGGGCATCCAGGTAGTTCTGTTTAGACAGTTTCTAAACCACCAGCTACACAGACACATCTTATAGAGCTGCCATCTAAAAAGGAGATACACTAGATTATTTTTATGTCATTAATTGATACACAACACAGGCATTTGTCCCCAAGGGCTTCCTCTGTCATAGGATGTTTACTCAATTTATGTGAACAAATTCCAATTTGCAGTGGAGTGCCCTAGAAGCCAAACAGAATGCAATGAATTTTAAATGTCGCTTGCTTGATGTTCTTAATTTGGAAAATATTTAAAGGATGTGCACTGTTACAGTAATGAGTATGTGTGTGTGTATATATATGTGTGTGTGTATACATGTGTGTGTCTGTGTGTGTATATAAAATAAATGTCATATACACCTACATATAAATGTATATATTCATTTGCTTTAGTGCTTTTTATTACATAAAGTGATTATTGGTAAAGTTGAAGTTTACCAAGTGAAGTTTGTTGAATGCAACAAACCACCACCACCTTGGCAGCTATAGGGAGGTGATTGTCATCAAACAAACCTCAACTTCACCAAAAAATCATTTTATTTAATAAAAAGAATTAATGTAAATTTCATCTTTTAAAAATTCTAGGTTAAGGAGGCATCTTTGATCTCTATTTTGTTCAAGGGTCATCTGTATATGTTAAATGTTTATTAAAATGTTTAATATTGATGTAAAAAATGTATATAAATGTATATGATATTTTTTATTTATATATACACACATATATACACACATACTGATTACTATAATAGTGCACACGTACATATTGATATAAAATGTATATACAATTGTATATAAATGTATATGACATTTGTTTTATTTATATATACACATATATACAACATGCTAATTTACAGTAACAGTGCACATGTATATATTGATATAAAATGTATATATAAACATATGTAAATGCATATGACATTTGTTTTACATATATACACACACACATAAACACACACATATTAACTACTGTAACAGTGCACACCTTTTAAGTATTTTCTTCCAAATTAAGAATATCAAGCACACTATATTTATAATTCACTCTATTCTATTTGCCTTCTAGGGCACTCCATTGCAAATTGAAACCGATTCACAAAAACTTATGAGAGAGAAAGCCATTGAGGACAAATTCCCAAGCTGTGTATCAATTAATTATATTCTCACTATGTCTTCCAAAGTACATTTTTATATTGTCACTAAAAATACATGTATCACTAAATAATACCTAGTGAATATTTTTAAAATTTACATTAGAAGTACATTATTGTATAATCTTTTTGTAAATTATTTTATTATCCTTTTAGTTATGCATAGGTTGAGCCAATTTGTGTAACTGTGATATAGCTGGTATGCACACACTAGGAGTTATTAACACTTAATTACTCCCTTTCTGCTTGATCATTTCCACTTTTCCTCTTTTACAAACAATATGGCAAGAAACAAAGTTATCAATGCTTCTTTGTGTATATATGTGAGCTGTTCTTTGGGAGTATTTTTTTAGTGCTCTTTATAAATATTAAACTTATTTGCCTTCAACAAAACTCTAATTGCCCTAATTCATAAAATGAAAATCTAAAGCCTAGTTACTAAATTGCTCAAATCACACAGCTAGCAGGAAAAAAAGCTGAGATCAAACCCAGCCTGTCTGTCCCCAAAACCCTAGTAATTAAACGTGTCCTGCCTTCTCAAAGGTATTGTTGAGTAACATATGCGATTGGAGGCTTTCCATTTCATTAGACAATACCAAAAGGCTTTTCCAAATTGGGTACAGATTCCCTTTTGCTACAATTCCCCAACAATGAATACAGCAGACATTTGAATTTTTGCTAAGCTAATGGCTGTGAAATTCCATTTCTTTGTTTTAATTTTTCATGGCTTTGATTTCTGGTGGAATGGAATTTAATGGCCTATGTTTATTGATCTTTCAGATTTTCCCCATTAAGGGGAATTAGGCTTGCTTTGTTTTGTTTGTTTGTTTTAAGACCAAGGGACTGGAGTTCCCGTCACCCACCTTAATTTAGTATTTGGATGTGTTTATTTGTTTGTTTCAGACAGTCTAGCTCTGTCACCCAGGCTGGAGTGTAGTGGCACGATCTCGGCTCACTGCAACCTCCACCTCCCTGGTTCAAGCAATTCTCCTGCCTTAGCCTCCTGAGTAGCTGGGATTACAGGCACCTGCCACCACACCCAGCGAATTTTTGTATTTTTAGTAGAAACGGGGTTTCACAATGTTGGCCAGGCTGGTCTCAAACTCCTAACCTCAAATGATCCACCCCCCTCGGCCTCCCAAAGTGCTGGGATTACAAGCATGAGCCACTGCGCCTGGCCTAGTATTTGGTTTTATTTTAATTGAATGATTGAGTCAAAATGAAATTTGACAATGATACATATTTACTTTTATTTTCTAATTAAATGTGGCTATTTCACCAGGTGCTCAGCTTGATTCCCAGAAGAAATGGGAAAGCTTTGTGGAAATATGAGAACAAGGCAGTGACAATCTCATTTTGCTTTGTTGAATGCTGACACAAGATAGATAGTACCTACTTTTAAATTTAATTTCCCTCATACTTGTCAGTAAAAAATGTTTCTTATGCTTGAAAAGTTCCTTGCCAGAATATGTCATTTGTGAAGGTGCAAACCTTCTTATAAAATCGGCACCTCAGCATCATACTTGCATAATCATGTCACCCCAGGAAAAGCTTTAAAGCTGTGAGAAATGCTATTTTACTTACCAACTACAAAACTTGAATGGCATAAATTGAAACCATTTATATGTATACAGACACACACACACACACACACACACACACACACATATAAAACTCCTACTCCTTTTATTCTTAATTTTATTTATTTATTTATTTATTTTGAGACAGAGTATCACTCTGTTGTCCAGGATGGGGTGCAGTGGCATGGTCTCCGCTCACTGAAGCCTCTGCCTCCCGGGTTCAACTGATTCTTGTGCTTCAGCCTCCAGCGTAGCTGGGATTACAGGCATGTGCCACATGCCCGGCTAATTTTTGTATTTTTAGTAGATATGGGGTTTTGTCATGTTGGCCAGGCTGGTGCTGAACTCCTGGCCTCAAGTGAACTGCCTGCCTCAGCCTCCCAAAGTGCTGGGATTATAAGCGTGAGCCACCTCACCCAGCTTCTACTCCTTTTAAAACACTGCATTTACCCATTTGGTACCTTAGATGTAAATGCTATCAAGGACTGTTCATTTTCAAGCAGTCCTAGACAGTCCTATATAGCATTTATATTATCTATAATATAAATATAATATATAATATTAAGATCATATTTATATTTATAATATATAACTGTTATAATTATATTTATAATATATTATATAAATATTATTTATACATTATAAAAATATATTTATATTTTATATTATAGATAATATGAATATTATATTTATATTCTCTATTATAGAGAACATATATTATCTATAATATTTATATTATAGATAATATAATTACAGTCCAAGTAACTGGGAATACAGGGGTAAACTATCATGCCTGGTTAATTAAAAATTACTATTATTATTTATATCTATAAATAGATAATATAAATATAATAGATAGATGTAAAAATAGATCTATATTTATAGATAATATTAATATTAATATTATATTCATATTTATATTATCTATATTTATAGATAATATAGATACACATCAATAATTAAGAAAAGGATTATTTTAGGAATGTACTAATACTATAAAAATAATAGTCTTGCAAATAATTGCTCATAAATCTGGAACCTTATTTAATCTTCTTAGCTTTCATTTGAAAGCTGTGTTTGTCTGTGTCCTGTGTGTGTGTGTTTTCCGGTTCTATTTTTGTGTACAGATCACCTCTGTCTCAGTCTGCTTTGCTTTGCTATAAAGAAATACCTGAGCCTGGGTAATTTATCAATTTATAAAGCCTGGTGTTTACCTGACTCACGATTTTTCAGGCGGTATAAGAAGTCTTTTCTTCTTGTAAATACCTCCGGACGCTTCCAATAACGGCAAATGTGAAAGGGGAAATGGAGGGTCACATGCGAGGGAGGGAAAGACAGAGGAAGAGGGGTGCCATGCTCATATGAACTATACAGTAGGAACTCACTCATTCCCAGGGGCACCAAGCCATTCATGAGGAATCCACCCCCATGACAAAAACACCTCCTGCCGGGCCCCACCTGCAACATGGGGATCAAATTTCAATATGAGTTTTGAAGGGTCAAATATCCAAACTATATTGACCCCTAACTTAGTCTTGTAGAACAGCAATCGTTTTATTATGCTAACGATTCTGTGCTTTAGGGACACTGAAAGGGTTCATTGCGTATGGCTGTCTTGGCCCATGATGTTTGGAATTTACAAAGGTAGGGAGGTCACTCTGGCTGGGGAATAGAATGAAGTGAAGGTTTCATGACTCCTATGTCTGCGGATGGATGCTGGCTCAGTAACGGCTCTCAGATGGAATGTATGAGGCACCTCCAGGAAGATGCTTGGGCTTCATTTACAATCCAGCCTCAGAATGTACACAGTGTCACTTCCTTTGGTTTCACAACCTTGCTCAGATTCCAGAGGAGAGAGCATCTTTTTTTTTTTTTTTTTTTTTTTGAGACAGGGTCTTGCTCTGTCTCCTAGACTGGAGTGCAGTGGTTTGATCATGGCTCACTGCAGCCTCAACCTACTGTACTGAAATGATCCTCCCCCTTCAGCCTTCCAAGTAACTGGGACTACAGGGATGAACTACCGTGCCTGGGTAATTTAAAATTATTATTATTATTGTGTAGAAACAAGTTCTCACTATGTTGTCTAGGCTGGTCTCCAACTCCTGGCCTCAACAATCCTCCTGCCCTGGCCTCCCAAAGTGCTATTATTATAGGCCTGAGCCACCACACCAGCCGGGAGCATCATTTGTCTGAAAAGAATCTTAAAGCTTTAAAGTCGCTCTATATGAAGGGCCTGTGGATTGGGAGAAATTCTCTGAACATCTCTGATAAATACAACTGATCACAGGGAATATGTTTGTGAAGTTTTGAAAAATGACTTTCTTTGAGACATGCATGTGATTCTAACATTGTGATTTCCTTCAGCTAAACCAGCAAATTGTTCTGTTCAGAAAAAAGTACATAATGATAGATAATCTGTAACACTATAAAATAGTGGTAATTTTTCCTCTTATGATGTCAAAATTTCTTCAAGTAAAGGATAGTCTTATAGAAATAGTGCCCTATCATTTATTCTGTATTATTATGTGTCCCTTGGTTGAAATTTACAAGGAAGAAATTTCTCCATTACAATCACATGCTTGTTTTAGCAGACTATTGCAAACCTTTGTTTCAAACTGAGAAATCAATCTTAACAAAATAATATGAAATAAGCATGAAATGTTAAAGCCGGAAAAAAAAGGCCAATGGATTTTTCATAATGAAAAATAAGAAAAAAGTTAGGCAATGAATACTTTTTTTGTTTGTTTTTGAGACAGGGTCTCGATCTGTGGCCCAGGCTGGAGCACAAGTGGCGTGATCACGGTTCACTGCAGCCTTGACATCCGGGGATCAAGCAATCCTCATTCCTCAGCCCCCCAAGTAGCTAGAGCCACAGGCACATGCCACCAAACCTAGCTAATTTTTTAAAATAAATTATTTGTAGAGATGAGGTGTCACTATGTTGCCTAGGCTGATCTCAAACTCCTGGCCTCAAGCGAACCTCCCACCTTCGTCTTCCAAATTGCTGGGATTACAGGTGTGAGCCATCATCCTTGGCCAGCACTAATTTTAATATTATCACCATGTTTCCTCTCTGTAGGAAACGTTTGCCTAACCCAGACACAGCATCAACATTTCTTAAAAAAAAAAAAAAGTCAATCTATACTGTCTTCAATATGGGCAGAAATACCCAAATGGTCTAGACAAAGAGCTCACTTATTAAAGAATATCCTATTATTGGAAAGAACAAACATTGAGCTAACATGGAAAAGAATCCCATTCGGTTTTGAAGTTAGATGGTATTTAAGGAAACGATTAACCACATTATACATAGGGGAAGCCAGAGTTCTTAGTGTGGAAAAAAGGGAGACACAAATACGTCCTATTATAATGAGGAAAAGCCCAAGACAAGGAAACAGTGTGCAAGGTACAAAAAGTGTGATTTTGACACCCATCAGATGCTGACGTTCTTGGAGTGATTCAGAGAACAGGAAAAGCAAATGATGGATTTGGCTGCATCCGTTTTCTCCTTCCTAGCCTTGGTTTTTGTTTGACTTTTGTTTTTGTTTTTACCAAAATCAAACTCTCTGATGTCAGTCCCTCCTAATTCCACCTGGGAAATGCTGTTCATGGATTTAGTATCCAGTTAAGAGGCAATGTGATGGCTGGGGATGTTGTCCAAGGCTGGCACCGAGATATCAAAATCCATATCCTACCTGGATTCCTGGGTGCTGTTTTACCGCCTCTTCTCTCTTTAGTGTTCTCATCTATAAGTTCAGCCCAACCAAATTTCTCCCTCATCAGCTTGTGGTGATAATTTATTTCTTATTTTATTTTATTTTATTATTTTATTTTATTTTATTTTATTTTATTTTATTTTATTTTATATTTTATTTTATTTTTAGAGACAATGTCTCGCTCTGTTGACCAGGCTACAGTGCAGTGGCACAATCAGAGCTCACTGCAGCCTCGACTTCCTGAGCTCAAGCGATCCTCCCATGTCAGCCCCCCAAAGTAGCTGGGGCTGCAGAAGCGCACCACCATGCACAGCTGATTTTTTTATTATTATTATTTTTTGTCGAGACAGAGTCTTGCTGTGTTGCCCAGGCTGGTCTCAAACTCTTGGCCTCAAGTGATCCTTCCTCCTTTCTCTCCCAAAGCAGTGGGATTACAGGCATAAACCACCGCACCTGGCCAGCTCCTAGTGATGATTATTCTCCTAATTGATGCTTTAAAGTGCCTGACACATAGTAAACCTTCCAGTCATGTTGTTTGTTATTACTCCTATAGTTATTTGTATTGTTATTTGTGCCATTTGTTTTTCTTCTACTTTAGGCCTTGTTCTTCAATTACAAAACAAATGCCATTTCATGTTAAAGAATTTCAAAGCATTGGTGAGATGACACTTGATTTCCTCAATAGATATCAAAGAAATAATATATATTTATATAATCATATGAAATAATGCATTTCTTTAAAATAGCTGCTTCAGAATTCTGAAAAAGCTACCTTTTATGTAAGAGAAAGTTTTATAGAAGTGGTGAAATTAAGTTGGATAGTAAAAAAGAAAAAAAAAGAACGCATTTTTAGTAAACTCACATAAAAATTCCAACTGGCAACATTTAAAATATTTAGGATTAAACATATAACTCTAAACACCTAAAATGTACAGAATATGTTTAATGCTGATTGTAAAATGTTATGATTTTCCAAGTGGTTGGCATTAAAATGTTTCACCATTAAAGTCATTCATTTATGTGTTCCTCCTTGTGTCCAAAGTTTGAAAATAATTAGCTGCAATGCAAAAACATGAATCAATTTCATTTTTCTTTATCAAATGTATGTAAAACAGAAGACAGGAACTCCTGTTATTAATGAGACTACTACTACTGAATTGTTACAGTTGTAGACAAAAAGCACAGGGAATTGATGGTATTGCTAGTTTCAGGAAAATTTTTTTAAAAATCATTTGTGATTGTTAATTCCACAGATAAAATGCTATTCCCTTTCTTTCAAATCATCACAAAAAATACACCATGCAATTTACTGTTGAAGGCAAGTACATTTGAGACAGGTCTGTTCTCAGTCTGCTATTTCCTAACACAATAGTTATTGAAATGCAAGAAAAATCAATGTTAGGAGAAGCAGTAGCCTTTCATTTCTGCAGTGCTTGATTCTACTGCTATCACTCTTCTTTGTGTCAATACACAGGGAGGGCGTCTTAGTCCGTTCTCACATTGCTATAAAGAAATACCTGAGACTGGGTAATTTATAACGGAAAGAGGTTTAATTGACTCACGGTTCCACATGGCTGGGGAGGCCTCAGGAAACTTACAATCGTGGCAGAAGGCAACGGAGAAGCAAATACCTTCCTCACAAGGTGGCAGGAAAGAAAGGGAGCGTTTGAAGGAGAAACTGTCAAACACTTATAAAACCATCAGATCTCATGAGAACTCACTTACTATCATGAGAACAGCATGGGAGAAACCACCTCCATGATCCAGTCACCTCCCACCAAGTCCTTCCCTCAACATGTGGGGACTATGGAGATTACAGTTCCAGATGAGATTTGGATGAGGACACAGAGACAAACCATATCAGAGGTGTTAACTATGAGCAACAATGACCCAGATAGCTCATTAATTTAAAAAACACAAAACTGATGCTTCCATATGCTTATTCCAGGAAAATACGATTGTTTCACCTCAAGAGTTGTAAGGCTATTTAATATGCATATACACATATATTTAATCACATTTTTTCACGTATGTGCATGTATGATGACACACATACACACACATGTAAATCCACCTTCCTTTCTCATGCTACAAGTTCAAATTAATAAAGCTTTGATGTCATGTTTTTATGACATGTTTATTTGCCAATTCCTCTGTGTGTGTGTGTGTATTTATATGTAAGTGTGTTTTCCTGTGTCTTTGGGTGTGTTTCTTGTTATTCTTCCTCTGCTTTTTAAATTGCACCTTGTTCCAACATTATTCTTTTGAATCTAATGCATCTCAGGTCCCTCTGAAGCCTGCAATTAGAACTGGATGTGGTTGCCTTAGGAAGGGGAGATTTATTCAAGATTTCCAAATTGCATAGCCAAGGGAACAGAGAAAATACATTCTCTTTTTCTACCCTGAACTTTGCAGAATTGAAGCCTGTTTTCTTCGAAGCACTTCCCTTTCTATATGAAAAAGCTCTGTATTGCTCCCCAATTTCACAATAATTAGGAAGTAGCCTGTGCTTCTGCTAGTTCTGTAAGGCACTTTGGACAAAAGGTCCTAAGAAAGCAATTTTACAGTTGCTTCCCAAAAGCCCTCGTCAAGGCAGAATAAATCAGCCAGGTGTCCTGAGATAACAAGAGCACAGAATGGAGCAGATTTGGAGTTTGATACTAATAGTGTTAAGATTAGCTCAGAGCACTGAAATATAAATTCAGTCCCCCCACCCACAAACTATACCTTCCACATCTAGGAACCCCAAAGCAGTCTGAGTCACCTCCTGCATCAAATCTAGTTCCACCAACTTGAATCCTTCAGCATCATCCAAAATGTCTCCTTACTTCAATGTCTTGAACAAGAAGTTATGCAACTAAACATAAAAATTACAAGTGGCCAACCCAACAATAATAAGGATGACATTCAGGAAATCATGCTAAAGGATGCTTGAAGGACGTGCTGGAATTTGTCAGGGAAACATTAACTGTTGGAAGAAAAGTTCACTCCCACAGTCTCATACCTCACAATAGAATGTGAGTCGTCTTGTGATTTGCATTTAGGATCCGAACTCTCATATTCAGGTGACCTTGTGATCTCCTGAGCCTCACAAGACTTGTTTTGCCATCCTTGAAAATTTTCCCTTTTGCAAAGGTTGATAAGGACATAAGAAGACACAGAGTCGCAGAATAATTTGATATTAGTTCATATGACTGGGAGAGATGGAAGAGACGGGACATGTGATTGGGGTCAACGCCATCATTTTGCAGGTGAGAAAACTTAGGGCACTGCGAAGTCAATTCTCCAGTGGAAAGGGATGCCTAGTTAAAAGCAGAGCTGGAATAAGAGCCCCCATGACTTTTATCTCAAGCCCAGGAACCCTTTCATTATTTTACCAAAATTTATGCGTCGTATATATAATACCAGGACTTATAGCTCCTGTCTCTTGGAATTCAATTGCTGATGGAGAACCTCTAAGTATTTTCTTTGGTAAGGAAAACCCACTCAGGGATAAAAATGTTTCAAAACGAAGCCTTTAAATATAACTTCTTTGTTTTTGATGCCGGCAATCAAATATTTGAATGTCATACCATACCTCACACGAGAAAGATCAATTATTTGATAAAAGAAGGTCTGAAAGGAATTTTTACTTCTGAAGAATTTATGATTTAGACCTGAAAGGAAGTCAATTACTATGGAATTTAAACTAGTTCCATGTAACAATGAAGTATTTACTTACTATTAAAACAATGAACTCCTATGAATATGCTTTGTGATTGAATATTTAAGATTTGGCAATTTTAAAATTATCCAGTTGAATCTGAGTCATGGGGAAGTATTTGTTGACCAATATTTTAGAAAGATGGCTTTCATAGTCAGAATCATGGCCTCCAAAGATGTCCACATCCTAATCCCATGCAGTAGACAGAATAATGGCCTCAAAGATGTCGATGCCCTAATTTCATCTGAGAGACAGAATAATGGCCCCCAAAGATGTTTACATCCTAACTCCCATGTGGTAGACAGAATAATGGTGTCCCCCAAATATCTATGTCCTAATCCTCATGTGATGGGCAGAATAGTGGTGCCCCAAAGTGTCCACATCCTAATCCCCATGTGGTAGACAGAATAACAGTCCCCAAAGATGTCCACATCCTAATTGACAGAATAATGGTATCCCAAAATGTTCACGTCCTAATTCCCATGTGGTAGAAAGAATAATGGCCCTAAAGATGTCTACGTCCTAAATACCCCTATGGTAGACAGAGTAATGGTCTTCAAAGATGTTCACATACTAATCCTTGTGTAGCAGGCAGAATAATGGACCCCAAGATAGCCAAGTCCTTAGAACATGTGCATTTGCTAACTTATTTGGCAAATATAATCCTTGGAACACGTGCATTTAATCCTTATTTGGCAAATCCTTATTTGGCAAATATAATCCTTGGAACACGTGCATTTAATAACTTATTTCGCAAATATAATCCTTGGAACACGTGCATTTGCTAACTTATTTGGCAAAAGGTACTTGCAGATATGATTAAATTAAGGATCTTGAGATGAGGACATTACCCTAGATATTACAGATGTGAACCCAATTTAATTTCAATGGTCTTTATAAGAGGGAGGTAAAAGGCTCAGAGTGAGAAATGGAGACGTGACAATGGAAACAGAGGTCAGAGTGATGTCAGGGTCATGAACCAATAAATTTGGATATCCTCTAGAAGCTGAAAAAGACACGGAAACAGATTCTCCCTTCAAGCCTCAAAAGGAGTGCAGCTCTGCTGACTCATTTAAGTTCTCTGATTTTCTTTTGTTTTTCTTTTTCTTTTTTTCAACTTTTGTTTTAAGTTCAGGGCATATGTGCAGGTTTGTTATATAGGTAAACTCATGTCACAGGGGATTGTTGTAGAGATTATTTTGTCATCCAGGTACTAAGTCTAGTGCCCATTAGTTATTTTTCCTGATCCTCTCCCTTCTCCCATCCTCCATCTTCCAATAAGCCCCAGTGTGAGCTGTTCCCCTCTGTGTCCATGTGCTTTCATCATTTAACTCCCACTTATAAGTGAGAACATGCAGCATTTGGTTTTCTCTTCCTACATTAGTTTGCTAAGAATAATGGCCTCCAGCTTCACCCATGTCCCTGCAAAGGACATGATCTCATTCTTTTTCATGGCTGCATAGTATTCCATGGTGTATATGTACCACATTTTCTTTATCCAGTCTGCCATTGATGGGCATTTTCAGATAACAAAATAAATTTGTGATGTTTGGAGCCATTGAGTTTATGTTTGTTTTGTTACAACAGCCACAGGGAACTAATGCAATGGTTAAAAATAACCATTTTCCAAAACGAGACTAAATAGCTACAGAGTATATGAATATAAAAGAGTGAACTTAAAATTTCTCCTGCAGCTTTCAATATTTTTGGATAGAAGAATATGAATGAGTCCTCATAAGGTACCACTTATGATGCTCTTGTCCCATTTAAGGTTGAGCCACTGAATCTTGTTCCCTTCTTCTTTCATGTTTCATGATGCAGCCATTGCTACAAGGCACCTTGAGATTCTCTGTGTGCATGATAGCCTTTGGTGTTTTGAATGGGAATGAAAACAGTGTAACTAAATCATAGAAAGAGTTGTGTCTGTCATAGTTAGGGCTGTCTAGGGCATGTTGTAGTTGACACTCTTGGATTTTTTTACTACTGAACTCATAATGAACTTCATCATGATGAACTTCATGATTTTTTCTTACTGCACTCATGATGAACTTCAACGGTACTCTTGTGAGAAGATCTTTGGGTTTTAATTCATAACAGAGAAGCTGAATAATAACCACAGCATATATTTACCTGAAGACAATAGTGTCAGGAATTTTAGGAGCTGCAGATGTACTGTGTCATAATTATCAATACAGTTCTTTCTCTTTTTTCCCCCAATATAAATGATAATTTAAGGCAAAATTGTAAAAAATCAAAATTAATACCAAAAACATATGATGAACAAATTATGAGCATTTCAAATAAAGATCAGTATTATCAACTATTCCTTTGCCTCGGGCTGTAATATGACACTCTTCCTGATGTCATTTGTCATGGTGTTTTAAAAAATGTATTGTTCATTAAGATATAATGCACATACAATGCAGTTCTCAAACAACACAACTTCAGTATATTTTATTTATTTATTTTTTTGAGCCAGGCTGGAGTACAGTGCTGTGATCCTGACTCACTGCAACCTCTGCCTGCCAGGCTCAAGTGAATCTCACGCCTCAGCCTCCTGAGAAGCTGGGATTACAGGCGTGTGCCAGCATGTCCAGCTAATTTTTGTATTTTTTAGTAAAGACAGGGTTTCACTATGTTGGCCAGGGTGGTCTCAAACTCCTGACCTCAAGTCAAATGCTGGCCTCAGCCTCTCAAAGTGAGAGGTGAAGACAGCTGGACTTCCTGGGTGGAGTGGGGCTTGGAGAACTTTTCTGTGTCTAGCTAAAGGTTTGTAAACGCACCAATCAGCACTCTGTAAAAACGCAACAATCAGCGCTCTGTGTCTAGCTAAAAGATTGTAAATGCACCAATCAGCACTCTGTAAAAATGGACCAATCAGCACTCTGTAAAATGGACCAATCACTGCTCTGTAAAATGGACCAATCAGCAGGATGTAGGCGGGGCCAAATAAGGGAATAAAAGCTGGCTGCCCGGTCCCTCAGCGGCAACCTGCTTGGGTCCCCTTCCACACTGTGGAAGCTTTGTTCTTTTGCTCTTTACAATAAATCTTGCTGCTGCTCACTCTTGGGTCTGCACTACCTTTATGAGCTGTAACACTCACTGCAAAGGTCTGCAGCTTCACTGCTGAAGTCAAGGAGACCATGAACCCACTGGGAGGAACAAACAACTCCGGGCGTGCCACCTTTAAGAGCTGTAACGCTCACTGTGAAGGTCTGCAGCTTCACTCCTGAAGCCAGCGAAATCACCAGCCCACCAGAAGGAAGAAACTCCGGACACATCTGAACATCTGAAGGAACAAACTCTGGACACACCACCTTTAAAACCTGTAACACTCACTGCGAGGGTCCGTGGCTTCATTCTTGAAGTCAGTGAGACCAAGAACCCACCGGAAGGAACCGATTCCGTACACAAAAGTGTTGGGATTACAGGCATGAGTCACTGTGTAATTTCAGTGATCTTTTACTATATTTACATGCTGTGCAACCACCATTAACATTTAATTCCAGACATTTTTTATCACCCCAAAAATAAACTCAACATTCATTAGTGGTCACTCTCCATACTATCCTCCTCTCTCCCAAACCCTGGCAATCTGTAGTCTACTTTTTGTCTGTGGGTTTACCTTTGTGTACCTTTAATAAAAATGAAATCATGTGAACTTTTGTGTTCAGCTATTTTCACTTACTGTAATGTGTTATGGTTCATGTTGTGGAATGAATCAGTACATTTTTTAAATGGATAAATAATGTCCATATTATGCATTTACACATTTTATTTATCTTCAATTCATAGACATTGGGCTACTGGTATTTTTGACTATTTTTTGATTTTTTGTTTTTTAAAATTTTTGTGGGTACGTAGTAGGTGTGTATATTTATGGGGTACATGAGATGTTTTGATACAGGCATGCAATTTGAAATAAGCACAACATGGAGAATGGGGTTCCATCTCCTCAAGCATTTATGCTTTGAGTTACAAACAATCCAATTACACTCTTTATTTTAAAATGTACAATTAAGTTATTGACTGTTCTAAATAGCAATACCACAAACATTTGTGTACAGGTTTTTGTGCAGACATATGTTTTCAATTCTTTTGGCATATACCTATGAGTAGAATTGTTGGTCTATAAGGCAGTTCAATGTTTCACCTTTGGAGGAACTGCCAGACTGATTTGCAATATGGGTAAACCATTTTATATTCATACCAGCAACAGATGAGAGTTCCCATTTTTGTGCATCCTCACCAGTACTTGTGACTATTTGTCTTGTTGATTATAGGCTTCCTACTTTCTGTGCATTTGGAACTAAAATACATTTCCCATAGGTAGCATGTCCATTCTGCCAGTCTCTGATTTGGGGTTGGAGTGTTTAATCCATGTATTGCTGTATTTTTATTTTTTGGCTCTTCATGTCCTTTTATTTTGTTGTTGTTGTCGAACAAGTTACAAAATGGAGCCACTCTGAAAATTCTCTCTGCTTCCTATTTTGTTTTTCCGTGTGTTGTTGTTTCTGCTGCTGTGTATTTCTTTGTTTAATGACTTTCCTGAACTAATTCTGCAATCTGTATTATTTGTTGCATGTGTTTCCACCAAAGTGTCTTCACTGTTAGCTTGGTGTTCAGCAATGATTGGACAACGATTGCCTTAGTTGTCTGCAGTCTCCTGGTCTAGCTGAGGGGCTCTGTGTTCCTGCTAGTGCATGATTTCCACACTCCCTCAGGCATAGTGTTCTTTCTCTACTTAGTAAAATTCAGCCATTTCTCTTGAGCACATGCTGCTTGGATACTTGCAAGTCTTTGTTTACTCTCCAGAGCTAATTGGAATCTCTGTCTTAGCCTTTACTTCCTCTTGGAGCAATTCTTCAAGGTCAGACATAGAGGAATCTGAGGTCTTTCTTAGGTCTTTCCCCTCCATGTGTGCACATGTTAGCATGCACACAACCCTCTGTGTGCATGAATCCTTCTTTATTCCCTGGAACACATCAGAGCTTTTAAATGACCCCAAGGGCATAGAATCCTCCAGGTTTTCTTCTCAATGTTTTGGTTATTTTAGTATCGTCCCCAGCTTTTATTACTACCTTGGGCAGCTGCACTTTTATACAGTTACCTCTGATTGTTTTTGACTACTCCCCCAGGAAAAAGGCTGTTTCACCTGGTGAGCTCTATGTCACGTCAAATAATGACAACTTTGTGAGTGGGGTCTTCTGGGGAACTAGCAGACAGGTCAAATAATGACAGTTCTCTGCGGATGGGGCTTCTTATTCCTCCAGTGGCTGTTCTGCTACTAGTTGCTCCTGAGTGTGGGATGTTTGTCAACAAGACTACCATGGAACTTGGGAGAGAACAATTTGAAACCCTGCAAAAGCCACTGTTCTTACTGAAATTCATCTATTTTTCTTGAATAATTGCTCCAGGGATAGCCTTTGGTTCAATGCTAGCCTTTGGTTCATTTTCCAGGCTCAGGATATTTTCTTATGAATTTTGCCAAGTATTTTTGGAGTAGAGGCTTCTTGGAGGTCATTACTGTGCTATTCCCAAGGATGTTATTTCCCAGTTCTTTCTTGGCCTATGTCGGTTTCAAGCTGTTTCTAGTGACCTCCAAACACCTCTTTTACTCCATTTCAGGAAATGGCAAATCAGATTGACTTTGGGGTTTATCTCTACCCCGAAGGCTCCAGAATGCCCTTGCATTGTCAACTCATTGCAGTATAGATAAGACATGCGCTGGAGCATTAAGTATAAATTCTACATGACACAAAGTAACAGAAATCTCTATCTCTGTGAAGTGATTAAAATGATTGCTCTTCCTGCATTCCACATATAAAAGCATAATTATATTTAATCATTCTACTTTCTTCTGTGTGTGACCTTACCACACAGAAATGAGTCATATGGCAGATTTAAGTGCAAGAGTCTGCAAATTGTCCTTTAAAAGCATCTGATGCACAGGGAACAAATGTGCTGCATTTTTAAATTTGAGTTTGAGAACACCTGAAACCAGCCAAGAGCTATCCAAGTCCTATTTTCCCTCTGCTTGTTGTGGACTGCAATTCTGTAAAGGATGAGAGGAGTAGATATTGCAAAGAAGCCTCCAGTCAGCTTAACATGCTTTCTCTCTGCACCTACTTCTCGTATGCAATGTACCACAATTATTTCTAACTTAGTTAAAGTCAGCAATTAAATATTACACTCAGCATCTGAGTATTTTATAAAACATTCATCTTTGGGCAAGAAGATAAACTGGAAAGTTCTGTGGCCGGCATTGTGTCACTTAATGTTTCATCTACTCCGTGAGTATTTGTTGGACATCTACTCTTTATTAACTACTGGATCAGTCAGTGTGGGGATAAATATGTATGAAGTGGTATTTCTTCCACAAGGAACATTTCATTTTGTAGAACTGATCATCACCTTATACCACATGGAATGCATGGGTTGAAAGAGGCTTGCCTTGATATTCCTCAGTTATTTACAGAATAAGAAACTGGCTGGCTGTATGCCATGGCTCACATCCATAATCCCAGCACTTTGGGAGACCAATGCGGGAGGATCACTTGAGGCCAAAAGTTCAAGACCAGTTTGGGAAACACAGCAAGACCTTGTCTGTACAGAAACTTAAAACATATATATTAGGTGTGTGTGGTGTTGCACACCTGTAGTCCCCACTACTTGAGAGGCTGAGGTAGGAGGATTGCTTGAGCCTGGGAGGTTGAGGCTGCAGTGAGCCATGATTGCACCATTGTAATCCAGCCTGTGCAACAGAGCAAGACCTTGTCTCAAAATAATAATAATAATAAAACAACTATCATGACAAACAGAGTACTAGCATTGAAAAGTCTTCAAAAATTTTAAAAGAGGGAAATTATGGTGGAGGTGACGCTTGTGCCATGAAGAGTAATAGTATTAAAAATTCAATTTTAATACCTCAGCCCCCACAGGTCTGGTAAATATCCTCACAGGTGAACCTCCGACTTCTCACCTCTTGTATTACAAGAAGCTCCACAGACTGCACTGGAAAGAAAAAAGTGAACTCAGACGTAGAAGTGTCTAATGCTGACATCTTGTTTTGTCCCTTAACGTTCGTCTGGTTTTCAGTTAATTATTAAAATACCTACTTAAATTACTTAAATGCCTGTTTAAATATCTATTTGAAATAGTCAAACATGTGGAGCAGATTGTAAATCGCAGTGGCTATAGAAAACGCAACAGAGGTGAGCTTTCAGACAGGGCTTATGTCCTTTAGAAAGGCAAATGGGACATGCTGGGGCATTTGCAGCATTAGGGTGGCTATAATCTTAGATCTCAGGGGACATTGGACAACCATTTGCAGGGCTGGGGCTTGGGTGAGGTAGGTGAGGCTTCCTATTGGGTGGCTGCGACATTTAAGGGGCTGCTGTAAGCTCAGTAATCAGGATAAATGACATCCTAATGAAACTTAAAAGAAGCAATGTTTACACAAAGAAATCATTGGTGAGCAAAATACTAAAATTTTGAATAAAGACAGATTGTGCAGGGTGGGGATTAGGGTAAGGCAAAGAATACAAGTTATGCAAATGGATTGCATCATGTTAACCCTTTTTTTTTTTTTTTTTTTTTTTTTTTGAGACGGAGTCTCGCTCTGTGGCCCAGGCTGGAGTGCAGTGGCGCGATCTCGGCTCACTGCAAGCTCCGCCTCCCGGGTTCACGCCATTCTCCTGTCTCAGCCTCAGAGTAGCTACAACTACAGGCGCCCGCCACCACGCCCGGCTAATTTTTTGTATTTTTAGTAGAGACGGGGTTTCACCATGTTAGCCAGGATGGTCTTGATCTCCTGACCTCGTGATCTGCCCACCTCGGCCTCCCAAAGTGCTGGGATTGCAGGCGTGAGCCACTGCACCCGGCCAACCCTTATTTTTTTAATGCCTCCCTTTCTTGTACAGATGGCAGTTTGAATGACAGTAAGGTAAGGTGACTCCCTCAGGACACCCTTTGCCCAGCAAGTTATTGGTTCTCAGGCAGTGAAATCCCAGGTTATATTTGGTCCCTTCCAAGCCACAGTGGCATGGTATTATAAGTTGAATGGTGTCCTCCAAAGCAATATGTTGAAGTCTGAATCCCTGGTACTTATGAATGTGACCTTATTTGGAAATAAGGTTTTGCGGATGTGATCAAGTTATGACAAGTTCATTTGGGTAGACCCAAATCTAATCTGTCTAGTGTTTTTTTATAGAAAGAGGAGATTAGGACACAGACACATATAGAAGAAAGACTATGTGAAGGCATGCAGACAGAAGACAACCATGGGAAGATGGAGGCAGATATTGGAGGGTTGCATCTCCAAGACAAGCAATGCCAAGAACTGCTGGCAACAACCAGAAAGTAGAAGACACAAGAAAGGATACTCCCCTACAGATTTTAGAGGGAGTGTGGCACACACAGAGAGAAGACAGCCATGCGAGATGGAAGCGGATATTGGGGTGGTGAGTCTACAAGCAAAGAACACCAAAGATTGCTGGCAACCATCCAAAAGTAGAAGAAGCGAGAAAGGATCCTTCTCTACAGGTTTTAGAGAGATCACGGCCCCACCAACCCTTTTATTTTGGACTTCTGGCCTCCAGAACCATGCGATAATACATTTCTTTTGTTTCCACCCATCCAGTATACAATACTTTGTTTTCGCAACCCTAAGAAACTAAAACAGCTAGTTTACTCTTTCTGTCTTTGGCTGTCTGAAACTCACTTTCCAAAAACAGCTGGTTTCACTTGGGCACAATGCTGGTAAAATATATCATGATCACCTTTGTCTGACATCAAGAATATAAACCACTAAGTATGTATGCATGAAAAGAGAGAGACCTGAAGGATGGCATGGAAGAAGATGAGATCTCCTAGGGTTGCTCAAAGAAGGAAAGTACCTTGGCTTCTAAAGAGTCTTAATCTACTCCCTATTCCACTAGTAAAATTTGCTTATGGAAAAATATGCAATGCATAAAATCCTATATTACTCTTTGCAGAAACACCAAAGGTTAAATATTATATATAGCACACTTTGCTAAGGTGCTTGCCTTCTTCTGTTATAGTACGGAAGGAAATGTTTTTATGTTACTTGAGTATAATTTCCTTAACTTTTTTTTAGGTTAACTTTCTAATTAAGTAATTTTTGATAGGTCAGTGGCCACGTATTTGGTAACATTTTATCAAGTTAAATAATGTCAAGTAAAATATACTGCTAAGAAGAAATTGTGCTGTGGCAATTTTAATCAGAGTGTTACCAGCAAAATACTAATGAGGCATTTTAGTTTTAAAAGGTTGACCTTTTTAGTGCCTTTTCTATAGCAGGGCATGAAACTTTTAAAGTGATTCGTTTTTAAGCTAACCTTCAATGTAAAACATAACCTTCTGTTTTTGGCGTGCCTATTTTTAAGTCTCCATATGTCTTAAAACATTCTGCAGTATTTCATTTGAAGCCCAGTTATTTCTAATAGATAGAGCGCAAACACAGTGACTGCATGAGACTGCTGATTGCAGGATTTTGGAACCCTAAGGATAGTGCACTTACAAAAGAACTGCGGTAAAATATACATAATATAGCATTTTCTATCTTAACTATTTTTAAGTGCACAGTTCAGTGGCATTACGTACATTCACATTGTCGTGCACCATCCATCTCCAGGGCTTTCCAGTGTCCCAGGCAACCACCACTCTACTTTCTAGCTCCCTGAATTTGGCGACTCCAGGGACCTCACACAATGGGAATCATATAGTTTCATCCTCTTGTGTCTGTCTGGCTTATATCAATTAGCATAATGTCCTCACCCATGTCCTTATCCTTTTATGTCTGGCTTATTTTACATAGCATGAGGTCTTCATCCATGTGGTAGCATGTGTCAGAATTGCCTTCCTTCTTAAGGCTGAATTATATCCCATGGTATATATAGAACCTGTTTGGTATTTTCATTCATACATTGATAGACACTTGGGTTGCTTCCTCCTTTCAGCTATTGTGAATAATATTATTGTGAACACATGTGTAGAAATATCCATTGGACTCTTTACTTCCTTTCTTTTTTTTTTCTTTTTTTTTTTTTTTAACAAGGTCTCACTCTGTCACCAAGGCTGGAGTGCGGTGGCACTATCATGGCTCTCTGCAGCCTCAGGTCTCAACTCTGTCATAAAGGCTGGAGTGCGGTGGCACTATCATGGCTCTCTGCAGCCCAAGCCTCCCTGCTCTGAGGCGGTCCTCCTATCTCAGTCCGCCAAGTAGCTGGGACTACAGGTGTGTGCCACCACACCCAGCTAATTTTTGTATATATATATTTATTTTTATTTATTTTTTTTATAGAGACAGGGTTTTGTCATGTTGTCCAGGCTGGTCTTGAACTCCTGGGCTCAAGTGATCCACCAGCTTTGGCCTCCCAAAGTGTTGGGATTACACGTTTGAGCCACTGTACCTGGCCAGAATCTCTGCATTCAATTCTTTTGGGCATAGACCTACAATTGTATTACTGGATAATATGGCAGTTCTATTAGGTTGGTGCCAAAGTAATCATGGTTTTAAAAATAATGGCAAAAGCCTCAATTACTTTTGCAGCAGTCACCACCCTATCACAGCTTATTTTCCACCACACTCCTTTAGGCTTGAACAAATAAATACAATACACTCAAAAACTTAGGTCTCCGCCCTGACTCACATACATGAAAAATGCACAGATATCATCTTCTGGTGCTGAAAATGATTGCTTAGTTTTAGCTAATTGTTTGGAGAGATCTCATCACTCTAAAACCAACACAATCCTGTTAAATGCAAGTATATTTTGTGCCAAATGTAGGATAATTTAATGCAGTGGGATGAATGTGATATTTTGCTGAGGAATGGGCAAAAAGACCTGCAATAATTATTCATTGAATACATATTCAATTAGGACAGAAGATGGCAAGCTTCTCCGTAAAGATCCAGGTAGAAGTTTTCTGCTTCGTGGGCCATGCAGTCTCTGTTACAAATACTCAATTCTGCCTTCATCACACAAAAGCAGCCATAGATAATATGGAAAAAAAATGGGTGAGGCAATGTTCCAATAAAATTTTATTTATAAACCCAAGTGATGGGCCACATTTAGTCCCTAGACCAGATTTGGCTCGTAGAGCATAGATTCCTGACTTTCATGGCCCTGGAAATAGTGAAGAAAAAAGAAAAAGACTTTCCTCTTATATAGCCTACACTCTGGTTGGAGGTAGAGAAACATGATAAAGAAATAAATCAAGATATTAAATAATCTGGTGAATCACATAGTTTATAGTCAAGCATGTTTTGCATTAATCTTTTTGCAACTAAACATGCTGTGTCTAGCGCCCTAATCATATTTAAGTCCTGGTTTATGTTGCGATGTTATTTTTGCGTTGATTCATATGTCAACAAGTGGCAAAGGGATCAGACCAGCACCTTGTCCACATAAATTATTTTTAAAGCTCTTTGTATTAGCCAAGGTTTTCCAGGTAAACAGAACCAACAGGATGTATAGAAAAAGATTTATTATCAGTAATTCATTCATATAATTGTGGAGGCTGAAAAGTCCCAGGATCTGCCTTCATAAGCTGGAGACCCAGGAGAGCTAATGGTGTCCATTCCACTCAGAGTCCAAGTCAGAAAGCATGACAGCCCATATTCTGAAGAATATCAGGCAGAGACAGAAAATTATTTTATACTTCTTTCTATTCTATTCAAGTTTTCAACAGATTGAGTGAGGCCCACCTACGTTAGGAAGGGCAATCAACTTTACTCATTCTGCCAGAAACACCCTCACAGACACACTCAATAGGGTTTAACCAACTTTCTGGGCACCCCTGGCCCTCACGCTGACACATTAAATTAGCCATTACACACTTCCATGCATGTAAAGAGGATGGAATAAGGGTCTTTTTTTTTTTTTTGAGAGGGAGTTTTGCTCTTGTTGCCCAGGCTGGAGTGCAATGGTGTGATCTCAGCTCACTGCAACCTCTGTCTCCCGAGTTCAAGCAATTCTCCTGCCTCAGCCTCTCCCGAGTAGCTGGGATTACAGGCATGCGCCACCATGCCTGGCTAATTTTGTATTTTTAGTAGAGACAGGGTTTCTCCATTTTGGTCAGGCTGATCTTGAACTCCCGACCTCAGGTGATTCCCCGGCCTCCACCTCCCAAACTGCTGGGATTACAGGCATGAGCCACCAGGCCCAGCCTGAATGAGTGTGTTCTTACTGAAATAGAACTTATCCTGAATTTGAATTTATCTTCTTTATCTGCTTTGCTTTTACTACCACCATTTATATGTGACTGAATGAATATTTTTTTAATATCGTGAAATAATACAGACACATCTGCAAATATATAGTAATGTTCCAACTTTTACTATTATTTATAATTTTCTCCTTAACTTAATAAAGTTTTTCTGCTTTTTTTTTTTTGAAGAATTAAATTTGGTTTAGGTTTATCATAATTGCTTCCTTCCTTCCTTCCTTCCTTCCTTCCTTCCTTCCTTCCTCTCTCTTCCTTTCTCTGATTCACACACTTTTTCTCTCCCTTTCTTCCTTCCTTTATTTTTTCATTTTTTTCCTTTCTTTCTTCTTTTCTTCCTTCCTTCTTTTTTTTGATATTTTCATGTCCCACATTCTCAATGGTATGTACTTATTCTTCTGTTATATTCTGGTTTTTTGCTTCGAGATTTGAGCTCATTTATTTTCAAGCTTTATTCTTCTTCAATATTTATTTTTAATACTATTTTTTCTTTGTTCCTTGTAAAGAGGATGGAATGAGTATACTATTACTGAACTAGAACTTAATCCTGAATCTTTCTTTCTCTTTCTTTCTTTCTTTCTTTCTTTCTTTCTTTCTTTCTTTCTTTCTTTCTTTCTTTCTTTTCTTTCTTTCTTTCTTTCTCTTTCTTTCTCTTTCTTTCTTTCTTTCTTTCTTTCTTTCTCTTTCTTTCTCTTTCTTTCTTTCTTTCTTTCTTTCTTTCTTTCTTTCTTTCTTTCTCTCTTTCTCTTTCTTTCTTTCTTTGTTTCTCTCTTCTTTCTCTTTCTTTTGACAAGATCTCTCTCTGTTACCCAGGCTAGAGTGCAGTAGCACAATCTCTGCTGACTGCAGCCTTGACATCATGGCTAAAGCAATCCTCCACCTCAGCCTCCCAAGCAGCTGGGACTACACACCTGCACCATCACGGCTGGCTAAGTTTTTTGTCTTTATTAGAGACAGGGTTTTGCCATGTTATCCAGGCTGGTCTCAAACTCCTGGACTAAAGCGATTCACCCACGTCAACCTCCCAAAGTATTGGGATTACTGTCATGAGCCACTGCGCAAGGCTATTTATTTCTTTAGTAGCACTTAATAAGACTTTGAAAATAATTGTTTTGTTTTACTTTGGTTCTAAATTAGTTATGATGTCGGTTTTGATTACCTTTTAATTGCCTTTTGAAGTCATTGGTTTTTAAAGATAACATTTATGATTTCCAAGTTATGAAAGATGTTTGTGGAGATACTTTTTATCGTTGTTTATAATTTACTGCAATAGACCCCAACACTTGTTTTATAAATATTATTGGCTAAGCTTTCTTTCTTGCTGCCTTCTGTCATCCACTGAGAGAGAATGTTAATATTTTCAGTTGAAATGTGTAATTTTTATTTTTTTTATTTTCCTCAAAGATAAAGGCTGTCTCAGTTGGTATTCTCTTATAGACTTGTAGTAAAAGTATGCAAATAAGATTCTTAGCATCCTGCCCAAGAGTCTAAAGTCACCAGGATGGGATTTGCTCTGATTATTTCTACATGTGGTTAAATTCCAGGATTTTTCCTACATAAAAATGAAAATGCAAACTATGATTAGTGGCTTTCTCTTCTTCTTCTAAGCTGAAAGGATAACTGTAACATATTTCTGCCTTTAAACATTTTGGGTTAAATTTAAATATGGACATCTTAAAATTTTTTTTTTAATTTTTTGTTCATGGTTTGGCATATTTGAGACATCTCTCAATTACATAAACCATGTAGCTAATAAACCACATTGTATAGATGTAAAGTACTTAGAGACTAAGTGAATCCTGAATGTGGTCTATTTATCATTGAAATAATGTTTCCCTTTTTGAGGAGAAAATGAAATATCAATTATATATTCACAAATAAAATATGCACATGGCCACATTATGCATGACTCTTAGTAACTTTTTAGTTACTTTTTTTTTTTTTAACTTCTAGTTACTTTTGGCTCTGTCCAAATGACCTAAATTATCTGCTCCAAATATATGCATGGAGGGGTCTCAAACTGGATGTCTCTTCTGACATTCTTAATATAGTCAATGACACAATGTTTCTCTCTGTCAAAATCGCGGGACCTCTGCAACCCTTTCCTCATAGCCAAACAGTGTTCAATTAGTGACCCTTCCATTTACTTCTCTATCCTGTATCTGTTCCTTCTATTCCATTCCCTCTATCATAATTCTAAAGATAAATGGAATATTGCATTTAAATTATTAGTCAGCTCAGAAAAGAAAAAAATAGCACACTTAAATTAGAATGTTACGAAGATAGTTTGTTTATACAGCTGAGGTGAAGCTCTTTGGGAACTATAAAAGAGCACCACCCCCGCCAAAAAATAAACAGGATTATTGGCGATTAAAGTGCAACCATTTGTATGCTCAAAGCAATGAGAGGAGAGAATAGTTATTGTCAAAAATTGTGATGACTCTGAGATTTTACCTTCCTTTCAAGCTAACACGTTAGCTGGCCATAGTTTTATAAATACTGGCAACAGACATGAAACTTTTAACTCAGAAACAAAGGACTTTATTAGTGATAGTGGTCAGTTGATTTCTACCTTGCCCAAGTCTCATGTTTCACAAGGGGTTATGAAGGGACAGGACCAGGTGCATGCTACATACAGAATTAATTTGTGTCCCAGGTTAGGAAACAATCTTAGGAAACACTCATTCTTAGAAGACAGCTACTAATAATAAACTTTCCCAAACTTGGCTCTGCTGGGATGAATTATATTTATTATCCAGGAAAGCAAATAAATGTGGACATTACCTCTACCATCTAAGGGCACTCACTACACAAATATCCTTGAAAAAAATAGTGCAGAACAGAGAGAGAACTGGGTCTCTTGCCTGTCTCCATTCTTTTTGCAGAACGAAAGCTGTTTTTTGTTTTTTTGGGTTTTTTTGTTTGTTTGTTTGTTTGAGACAGGGTTTTGCTCTATCACCCAGGCTGGAGTGCAGTGGTGTGATCACAACTAACTGCAGCCTCCACGTCCCAGGCTCAATCAATCCTCCTGTCTCAGCCTCCTGAACAGGCAGGACTAGAGGCATGCACCCCCATGCCTGCCCAATTTTTCTATTTTTTATAGTGATGGGGTCTCACTATGTTGCCCAGGCTAGTCTTAAACTCCTAGCCTCAAGTGATCCTCCTGCCTCAGCCTCCCAAATTGCTGGGATTACAGACATGAGCCACTGCACCAGGCCAAAGCAAGGGTTGCCATGACCTTGCTTGCGAGTCATGCAAACACATGACTGACTGAAGGGAAATCATGTACTAGTAAGCTGAAAGAAATGGGTAGATAGAAAAGGTCACATTGGGAGCACCAGTCATTTTAGGTTGAGAGACACTGCCTGCCTAAGCTGATCCTGCAAGTGGGAAGCCTGTGAAGGAAATCTCTAACCTCAATCTTCTACCATCCTTTGAAATCCTAGTTGAATCCGCATGGAAGTCATAAGTCAATGGATCCCATTGTTATACAAAACTCATCCTCCTGGGCACAGGGTAGGGTGGGGAGACATAAGCAATTATGGCAGAATCTATAATACATGTTCTGCAGTCTCTCTCTACTTATCCTATTCAACCTCACACTACCTTCGTAGGGATTGTCTGAGGTAATTTTAGTATAACAACAGCATCTGGATGGAAAAGAATGGAGACAGGCAGGAGAACCATTTCTCTCTTATTAGTCTAGCAAGAATCCATTATTGTTTCCCACTCCCGATGGCTTTGAGACAAAATCGTTCTTCTCCTTTGAACTCCAAACACTAACTCTATCGATTATTTTCAGTCATCACTCAACATAAACTACAGCACCCTGGTGGTCTCATTTTCTGTGTTCAGGCAAAAGTTTCAAATTTGTCAACTTGCATATAAATCTGTGAGTTTTTCTCTTATCTCTCTAACAGCATGATTTCAGTGTGGTGGATTGGATGTTAGTCGTACCTTGGTCTCTCACTTTAGTAGCTGGATGTGACATTAAGGTAAATTACTGAGTGTGTCTAGATCTGTTTTTCATCACAAGATAACACTAGTATTTACGCCAATTTCCAATTATATATTGTTAGGTTCTAAAGGTGTGTCCCCTCTGAAATTTATATGTTGAAAACCTAATCACCAAACTAATGGCATTAGGAGATGGGGTGTTTCAAAATATGATTAAATCATGAAGACAGAACCCTCATGTAGATTTGTATCCTTATAAAAGAAGAAACAGCCAGAAGTCACCATCTATGTACTAGAAAATTGGCCCTCAGCAGAAATTCAATCAGCATTACTCTTGGACTTCCCAGCCTCCTGAATTATGAGAAATAAATTCCTATTTTTGATAAGCCATCCAATTTATGACACTTTGTTCTAAAAGGCAGAACAGACTGAAACACATATGTATAAAACATTTCAGCAAGGGATAAGATGCTAGTGAGTACTCAATAAGTATTAAGTCCAAAGAACAACACTCAATGAGAAATTCTTATCATTGACATTTCATTAATAGTTCTTAATCAAATGCTAACTTTAGGACTCCATGCCTAAATGACTGAACCCCCAATAAAAACCCTGGACATCAAGTCTCAGGTGAGCCTCTTTAGTCAACAATACTCCATAAGCGTTGTCATACATTGTTGATGTCATACATTGTTGCTTAAAAGTCCATTGAGGCCAGGTGCAGTGGCTCACGCCTGTAATCCCAGCACCTTGGGAGACTGAGGCAGGTGGATCACAAGGTCAGGAGATTGAGACCGTCCTGGCTAACACGGTGAAACTCTGTCTGTACTAAAAATACAAAAAAAAAAATTAGCCAGGCATGGTGGCGGGCACCTGTAGTCCCGGCTACTCAGGAGGCTGAGGCAGGAGAATGGTGTGAACCCGGGAGGTGGAGCTTGCAGTGAGCCAAGATGGCACCACTGCACTGCAGCCTGGGTGACAGAGTGAGACTACGTCTCAAAAAAAAAAAAATGTCCACTGAAAGAGGACAACTTGTGCCTGGTTTCCTGGACTCAGTCCTGTGCACCTTTTTCTTTGCTGATTCTAATCTGTAACCTTTCACTGTAATGAACCATAACCATGAGCATGATAGCTTTTCTGAGTACCATGAGTTCTCCAGCAAATCATCCTACCTAAGGGTGGGCTGACGCAACAACCAACTAGAACAATTGAAATTTGCAAGAATTTTTAGTGATCTTGATTAAAACCAACCATTGATCTCAAGAAAACATTAAAGATTATCCACTTCCTTGCATTCAAATTCTGGATTAATTTTAATGTGAGGTTCCCTATAAATATTTGTTCTGTGGCTGAGAAGAGGGTGGTTAATTTTTACCGATTCCATTGCAAACTCACATTAACGTATTTCTACACTTAGTGAATATATACACTAGAGATTCTATTTTGTGTATTCAATCCATTTCATAAAATAAACTTTCTTACTTTACATATTTATTTATCTCAATTGCCAACTTATTGTTTATAGTTGGTGTGTCATTCTATACTCTGTATTAGAAATAACAGATTATATATCTTGATCAATTATATTGACTTTAGTATAATTTCATCCCTTTAATAAGTATACTTTTTTTTTTTTTTGAATCAGGGCCTCATTCTGTCATCCAGGCTGGAGTGCAGTGATGTGATCCTAGCCTACTGCAGCCTCAAACTCATGGCCTCAAGTAATCCCCGCTCCTCAGCCTCCCAAGGTATTGGGATTAGAGTTGTAAGCTACCATGTCCAGCCAACATAAAATATTCTTGACTGGAAACTTCTATAGGTATTCATAAAGCATTTCATTTTTATAACTACTAGTTTCCTCTCTCACATCCTGTTTCTAAAATGGAAAGTTTCTAGGATTATGATTTGGAAACTACTGTTTTATCTTCTATGTCACAATTCTGACAATGTGCCCCTTTATGTACTTTATGATAATATTTAGCACTACATGGATATTTTGGAAAATGTTAGATTTTTAATTTTGCTTATAAAATAAATACTGTATAATAAACACTATGTTAATTCTCTTTCAATCTTCTTATTGTTCCTGAAATGTAGTGGTTCTCTTCTAGAGAAGTCTAAATTGGCACACATTTACATGTTTTCAAGGTGAAAAGAACTCCCTATTGACTTACCATGGCAAGCAGCTGATGTGTAAAAATGAAATCCGTAACACTTATAGACATTTGTTTTCTAAACCATTTATGGGCAGAATTCATAAACACAAAAAGAGCTTAAGTCAATGAAGGTTTTATTTCAGTCTTTAGCTGAAGTCTTTTTCTATTACAGTGTTGAAATACGATTGTCTGGCATTGTGTCAACTAGATTTAAAAATAGCTAACTAAAGACAGGAACACAGTCTGAACATAATTAATAAAGGGCATTAAAGAAATGGCAACAACTTTAGAAAATGCAATGATAATATGAGGAAATATCATTACGGTTGTGAAGGTGAAGAAAAGGTATTTGCGGTATCTACTGGGATCATGAATTAACACAGATAAACTAAAATTTAAGATAATATTAACAATAAAAGTTCTTTATTCCTAGGCTTTATCCATTTCATAAAAGTAAAAGGTGGACAAGATATAAACGATATCTCAGCAAAAAAATTATATACCCTTTTATTCCATTTTATTATAAATTGTAAGCTTAAGTGTCAAGATTATTTATCAAAGAGCTTTTGTAATGCAGAACATGTAAATGTTAGTTTAGGGCTAGAGCAGGCATAACAAAATAACACAGACTGGTTGGTTTAAACAACAGACATTTATTATCTCACATTCTGCAGGCTGGAAGACTGAGATATAGGTGTGGGCAGGGCTGGTTCCTCCTGGGGCCTCTCTCCTTGGCTTGGAGATGCCGTCTTCTCCCTGTGTCCTCACATGGTTGTCCATCTGTGTGTGTCTGTGTCTTAATCTCCTCTTCTCATAAGGACCCTATACCCATTCTATGGGATTAGGGTCCACCCTGGGGAACTCATTTTTGTCTAATCACCTCTTTAAAGGCCCTATCTCCAAATCCAATCACATTGGGAGTTTGAACTTTGACATATATATTTTGGGGATGGAGCAAAATGCATTCCATGACAATATCAGTAATCCATACTGGGTATCATTTTAAATATCAACAAGACTTTTCTCACATATTAGTCATTGTGATGAAAACATCAATATTTTACCTCTACATTTTAAAATTGCATCTTAATACTTCAGTTAAAAATATATGCAGTAGGGGCCAGGCGTGGTGGCTCATGCCTGTAATCCCAGCACTTTAGGAGGCTGAGGTGGGCAGACCACTTGAGGTCAGGAGTTCGAGACCAGCTTGGCCCCATCTCTACTAAAAATACAAAAAATAGCCAGGTGTTGTGGTGCGTGCCTGTAAGCCCAGCTACTTGAGAGGCTGAGGCAGGAGAATTGCTTGAGCCTGGGAGGTGGAGGTTACAGTGAGCCGAGATCATGCTACTGCACTCCAACCTGGGTGACAGAGCAAGACTCTGTCTCAAAAAAAAAAAAAAAATAATATATATATGTATGTATCTGTATATAAAGTATGGGACAGAAAATGACAATATTTTGACCACTGTTTCTGGAATATGCCACTAATTAGAAAAAGAAAATTGGGTCTTGAATAAGGCTCACTTTAGAAATAGATGTTACTTTTGGCAAGGTGTTGTGGCTCATGCCTGTAATCCCAGCGATTTGGGAGGCCAAGGCTGGAAAATGGCTTAAGGCCAAGAGTTCGAGACCCACCTAGGCAACATAGCAAGGCCCAATGTCTACAAATGATTTTCAAAAATTAGCTGGGTGGGGTGGTGCATGCCTGTAGTTCCAGCTACTTGGGAGGTTGAGGCAGGAGAATTGCTTGAGCCCAGGAGTTTGAGGCTGCAGTGATCACCACTGCACTCCAGCCTGGGTGACAGAGCAAGATTATGTCTCAAAACAAAAGAAGGAAGGAAGGAAGGAAGGAGGGAGGGAGGGAAGGAGGGAGGGAGGGAGGGAAGGAAGGAAGGAAGGAAGGAAAGGTAAGAAAGAAAGAAAGAAAAAGAAAGAAAGAAGGAAAGAAGGAAGGAAAGAAAGAAAGAGAAAGTGATGTTACTTTAGAGCTTTGAATATCAAAACAAATAATCAGGACTTGCTTATTGATTACGTCAGAAAATGTTGTATTAATTATGAATACAAATGGATCTGCACAGTATCCAGTATAGACTGAATAATAGACTATGCGTATCCTACAAATATCCTGGATGTATGCATTGTGATTTCTCCTATAGATTTAAAGCTCCATGCTCCATCCTTCCATTGACTGATTCTCCACTGGGGTTATTTGGCCCCTTAGGAGATATTTGGAGACATTTCCAGTTGCCTAAACTGGGGAACGGTACCGTTGATATCCAGGGAGTAAGGCCAGGGCTGTGCTAAGCATTCAAGAGTGCAAAGGACAGCCTCGACCCAACCAAGGACCATCCAGCCCCAAATGCCAAAACAGCTGAGACTGAGCAACTGCACAGGGAATCTCCTATAATTTCTTCAGCATTGCTCATATTCTGCTCATTTGACTGACACCTCGACTTAACCAAGGGAAAAAAAAAATTCTCCCTTTTCTCTTTGTATAGCTGTCCCGTAACTTGCCCAATCTAAATTTGACATGAGGCTTCCCCATGAATCTCAATGAGCGAATGCAGAACGAGGCAGAATTCTCCCCTTTAGCAGTGCTATTATACCATTACCTTACCTGGTAATTAATTGGCTCCATTTTCTGTCTTCTCGTACCCATCAGTGGGAATCTGTGCTTCCTGGCTGGACAGCCCCTAATGAACATTCTAAAATCGCCCCATGAGTCAGTGTTCTCTTTTACCATTTTTAGGAGAAACTGAACAAATTTAAATGTCAGTTGGTGTAGTTGCTATAATAGGTGGATTGCATTTCCGAATTACTCTTGGTAATAGATTTTAAATAATATAGAGATAAAAGAGTTGAAATGTGTCCTGTGAAAGTCCATAATGAGGAATTTTCTTTTCTCTCTTGCTCCATTATGACAATGATTTATAGTGAGGACTAAAATCTAATAAATAATAAATGCCTGAACTAAAACTTCATTTCAATTAAAAACGATGACACAAGCTCACTTGGAAAATATTAAAATTAAAAATGACTTCTTAACTACTGACTGGTTTTTAAAAACTTACTTCTCTGAGTGATGCTATTAAATAAATTGCTGTTTTTATTGATGGGCTCAAATAATACTAAAAAAGTTGTCTTATTATGCTTTTGGAAAACAATTTTGGTGTTTTTTTCTTTTCTGTTTAAAAATAATGCAATCATTTAATGGCTAAATAAACCACATATTTCACATATCATATGTATAAATTTTTAAAATGAAAAATGAATGGAAAAATTACATAAAATGAAAAAAATGAAGGATTGAAAAAATGGCCATTTTCTGAAGAATAAAATTTCAAAGCTATGTATATAGTAAAATCCCATTTTGTAAAAACAAATACAAATATATCCAGACACATTTCTCTTCCCATTTTAATGTAGTAGAAATGTCTTTCAATCCTGAAAAGCTATAGCTTTTCGTCATACAATCACAGGTGTCCTAGAAATATAAAATATTATAAATAATCTACATGTCCACAAGCTTCCCATTCTACTTTAATATTTCCATCCTACATACATATATATATCCTACTTCATATTCATATAGATATATATGAAGTAGGATGGAAATATATATGGAAAGAAATAGTAATTTGAGATATATGAATTTTTAAATTTTTGGAATATCTGCATATTCACAATGAGATATTTTAGGAATGGGACTCAAGTCTGAACACAACACTTATTAATGTTTCATGTTCATCTAATCCACATAGCTTGAAGGTAATTTTATACAATGTTTTAAAACTAATTTTGTGCATGAAACATTTATGTACACTGAACCATCAGAGAGCAAAGATGTCACTATCTCAGCAACCCATGTGGACAATTTGTGGTTGTCCGGCATTACCGTCATTCCTTACTCTAAATGTATAAGCTGCATATAAGCCAGGCCTCCTCAATCCCTGGGCCGAGGGCAGGTACTGGTCCGTGGCCTGTTAGGAACCCGGCCACACAGCAGGAGGTGAGTGGTGGGCCGGCGAGCATTACCGCCTGAGCTTCACCTGCTGTAAGATCAGCAGCATTATTAGAGTCTCCCAAACCCTATAGTGAGCTGCACATGTGAGGGATCTAGGTTGCATGATCCATATGAGAACCTGATGCCTAATGACCTGAGGTGGAACGTTTCACCCCAAAACCATACCCTGCCCCCTCCAACTGTGGAAAAATTGTCTTTCATAAAACTGGTCCCTGGTGCCAAAAAGGCTGGGGACTGCTGATATAAGCAATACTTTTATTACACTTCTGCACAAATGAGTACTTAACAGTAAAACATGTAACGCAGCATTAATACAGTGACATCTGAATGTGTTCAGGGTAAATAATCTGCACAGTGGCACCACCAGAACACCTGTGTCTGCTGTTAAACAACAGAAGCAACTGACAATGGCAACATTTCCAGTGTCCACCTGCGATGCTATGTTTTGGTTATAAGCTAACTGTACACTGTATTTTTTTTAATGAGAAGAAAACGTCAATGGTGGTCATTCCAACACCATACTCTTCTGTAAGATGATTCACACTAACACTACTGTCCAGTTTCTCCAAGTGCTTGACTTTTGGTGCTATACCTACACATAAACACGTCCTCTTTTTCTTATCACTGTTACCCATAGGGGAATCTGCAGGCCTTTTTCAAACTTTTTAACAATATCTTTACACCACAGAGCAGAAAATAAGCAGGCAAAAAACCCACAGAGAGTAATGCACGTAGGTCTCGGCCTCCTGTGGGACAACTGGGGGAATCTGCCATTGGTGCATACAGCTGCACGCACGTCCTCCTTTTTTTTTTTTTTTTTTTTTTTTTTTTTTGTTTTTTGAGATGGAGTCTCGCTCTGTCGCCCAGGCTGGAGTTCAGTGGTGCAATCTCACCTCCTGGATTCAAATAATTCTCATGCCTCAGCCTCCCAAGTAGCTGGGACTACAGGCATGTGCTACCACACCCAATTTTTTTTTTTTTTTTTTGAGACTGAGTCTCACTCTGTCGCCTAGTCTGGAGTGCAATGGCTTGATCTTGGCTCACTGCAACTGCTGCCTCCCAGGTTCAAGTGATTTTCCTGCCTCAGCCTCCTGAGTAGCTGGGACTGCAGGCGCATGCCACCACGCCCTACTAATTTTCATATTTTTAGTAGAGACAGGGTTTCGCCATGTTGGCCAGGCTGGTCTCGAACACCTAACCTGAGGGGATCCACCCACCTCAGCCTCCCAAAGTGCTGGGATTATAGGCGTGAGCCACTGAGCCTGGCCCACATGTCCTTTTATTACCCTTTGTGGGTATGCTTCCATGGGGGAGTGTGGCATGCATGGAAAAGATATATTGCAGCTGATGGGCGCTGCAGGGGTTGGGGGGACTGGTGTCTTTCCTCCCTAAGGACACTGAATAAACTGTGTGTTGTGCACGTGTGTTTTGACTGTGACCCGTCACATGAGGTCAGGGGTGGAATTTTCCATGTGTGGTGTCATCTCCGTGCACAAAAAGTTTAGGATTTTGGAGCATTTCAGATTTCAGATATTCATATTAGGGATGCACAACCTATAATCTGAATTTGTTTATTTTGCCCACTCTCCAAGAGGGGAAGGTGTTCATTTCTGTACTCAATGTCTCATGTTTTCTTTCTCTAATGCCTTACACTTCTGACAACCATATCAAAGAGTACAGTCTTGGGTTATAGGCATTCTATGGGCTATGGGCCTAACTTTGGTATTTCTATTTATCATGAAAAGACACCGGGCTCCATTGCTGAGCCATATTTCTGGAAGTGGATGCCCTAGGACTGTCATCCCCAAGAAAGATTGTCATTCCCAAAAAAGGTTAATGCATTATTTATATTCCAGCAAATATGACTAATCTGAATTACTGTTGGTGTCATTTAAGATTGACTCTTTGGGTAAAACACTACATCCCGTGTTTCTTATTTCCTCTAAATCACTAAATGATTAGTGATGTTGAGCATTTTTTTCTTTAACTATATGTCTTCTTTTGAGAAATGTCTACTCAGATCTGTTGCCCATTTGTTTAATCCAATTATTTGTTTTTATGCTATTGAGTTGCATGAACTCCTTATATATTTGTATTTACATATATTTCAAATATTTTCAACCCAAGGTTGGTTGAATTTGTGGGTGCGGAAGTCACAGATATAAAGGACAGACTATATGTAAATAGAAGTGTGTGTGTGTGTTGAGGGGGATGATTGTGGATTATATATTATGGGATATTGAGTAATTAACCATTGAGATGTTTGAAGATATCATAGAAGGTCATATATCTAATTTTGGTTATGGGATGATCCTCCCTAAATACATGGAATGTGACTTTGTCTTGATTTGTGTGTTTATGCATAACTGATTTGAAAATATTCACCTATCATTGTTTACAAAAGTGACTTTGTGTCAGTTAATCCATAGAAACAGTTTTGCTAGTATTACATAGGATAATGAGGAACGATGCCCTGACATAGTAACTTTTCATAAATTGCTTTAAAATAGTTCAAATGCAGTCTTTTTATTTTCCCTCAAGTATAATTATGTGTTGAATAAAATGACAGTCTTAGCTAGAGAAGCTTTCTTTGTTCTACTATAAATAAGAATATGGGAACTTCAGCTTGTGAGGACTTTAAAATCAGGTATCTATAAACGAGTGGATAACCTAATGCTATTAATTAACATGGGAATTGAATAATATATTTAAGAAAGTGATGATGTTGCTATATAAGAGATTTTAGGTGAGTATAGGGTAAAGTTTATAAAACTCTAGACACCTGGGCATTCTCTCCATGGTATTTTTGAGATATCACTTTTCTTAGATCCAGGTTTAAAATAAAATGATATAACATGTTATGCAAGAGCAGATGATTTTGGATGGAATAGCTTACATGATGAAAGCTTCTTTACAAAGTTTCTTTTTATGGCAGGAGGAGGCAAGAGTTGTTGCTTTTTCTGTTCATTTGACACATACATGAATACATGAATCAAATGCATTCATTCATACAACTGTATAACGGAGACTTCATAAACATTTCAGCGCTGAGCTCGTCTTTCTTTCTGAATTGAGTTGGTGAAATAGGACTCACTTTGAAATGCTTGGGCAGAGAAGTTTTAATAGGTGGACAACTGTATTTCACTGAAAATGAATTGCAGTTGTAAAGCACTTGGATCTAGCTTATAGCACAATGAATACAATGCTTGCATGGGACTCCTGTTGGCTTGCTTTCTGAAAAAAGAAATGGTGTTAGCCATCTTGTTTGTACTCACCTCACTCACACAGAGCATCTGTGGGATAGCTGTGTAAATACTCATTTAAGTCACTTTTCTGAGCATGTCTTCAATATTTTATTTTTATTAACCATGATGTGTGAATTGCCTGGCACCCTTGAGATGAAGTTTTTATCACTAATGTGTGAGACCTCCTACTGTGGGGTAATCACCGGCAAACACACAACCAAAACTAAAATCAGACTCTGTTCCAAGCTAAACCTTTCGCCAATGAAATGACAGATTGTGAAGAAAGCAGAAGAAAGCAGACCTTATACCCTTCACTGATTTCTCCCTTCCTTCTTGGAACAAGCTCTCTGAAAGTAGAGGGACTCATGCCAATTCCCACGTTGCAGGGAAGAATCATTTTGCTTCTCTTGCAAGAAGTGTTCCTGGTTCCCAAGCCAGTTATCAGAGTGTTTCATCTCTCATTGTTGGTGCCATATGCCAGAGACAGACAATTACTGTCAGTACTGAGTGCTGCCATGTTTATCATCTCCTGGAAGGAAGGATATGCTTTGTGGACTGAAGAAGACAGAAGGGGCTTTGTCAGCAATTTTGGCCCTGAACCTTACAGAACTCATTCACTTTTCCAGCCCTAACACCTTTGCAGCACTACAAATAAGAATCTGCTTTCCCAGCATACACTAAGATTCTGAGGTGGCCTCAATAATGTTTTTTAATGCGAAAGAAAAAGGACTGAAGTTGAGTGTAGCTGAAGGTAGTAAAAATTATAAAATCACTGTCCTTACTCTCTTGACATTGAAGTTAATTCCTCAATGTACTTATCATTGAGGTAATGAGATGCCTTTTTCTGAAATGTGTCAATGTAGTTCAAAATTATAGTATCTTTTGTAGACCCCTAGTGTTACTGGTGGAAGGTATTCGGGTTACTGGCAGCGTATCTGTACGAATCTGCAGCAACATCAATTCCTGCTTCCTCAGAAGAAAGAATTCAACTGACAGGCATAAAGCAGAAAAGGAGACCAAAGCAAGTTTCAGAGCAGGAATGGAAGTTTATTTTAAAAGGCCTTAGATCATGAAAGAAAGGAAAGTATGCTTGGAAGAGACTCAAGTGGGCGACTTGGAGAACAAGTGCGATGTTTAAACTTTGATATGGTTTGTCTGTGTCCCCACCCAAATCTCATCTTGAACTGTAGCTCCCACAATTCCCACATGTTGTGGGAGGGACCCGGTGGGAGGTAATAAAATCATGGGGGTGGGTCTTTCCCATGCTGTTCTCATGGTAGTGAATAAGTCTCACGAGATCTGAAGGTTTTGTAAAGGGGAGTTTCCCTGCACAGTTTCTCTTCTCTTGTCTGCCACCACGTGAGATGTACCTTTCACTTTCTGCCATGATTGTGAGGCCTCTCCAGCCACGTGGATCTGTGAGTCCATTAAACCTCTGTTTCCTTATAAATTACCCAGGCTTGGGTATGTCTTAATCAGCAGTGTGGAAATGGACTAATACAACCTTGATCCTAGGACTTTATAGGCTGGCACCTTTCCCATGATTCTTCCCTTAGGGTGGGCCGCCTGCAGGCACAGTGCCCCCCTCCTTACATTTGGGAAGTGAGCATGCACAGTGTGCTTAGGAAGTTATACGCATGCCAATCTGAGGCTTTCTTCCATTTTCCGACAGAGTGCCCCAGGAAGCTTAGACTTCCACCGTCTGCAACTCTCATTACTTTGAAACCCTTTTGCAAAAACTGTTATCAATGAGAAGATTATGACAGTGAAAAAATCCTGATCTAACGCACCCTCTTCTTGCCTTTAGCTTGCAAGCTACCTTCATTATTCCTGGGTTTAGGCATAGCTAATTTTGGAAGACTTTTAGGTTCCAGATTAAATAATGGGCCTTTCCCAAAGCTCAACCACCTTTGTAAAGCTAATGAGAGACCCACCTTCAGGCTAGGGAGAGGAGAAGAGCCTGAATTCTGCTAAGGTATAGACATAAAGGATTGCCAGCCATTATTCCAGAGGTCCTGCAGGTAACATCACTAATGTAGAACCTAATATTGGCCTTTTCAGATCTCTTTTCAGGTTTTTTTGTTTTTTTTTTTTTTGGCATGGCTGACACCTGGCTCTACCTGGACCCGGGTGGACCCACCTGGACCAGACCACTCCTGTGGGCCTGCTTAAGAGTGATTCAGCTCAAGAGGACCACTTTGACCCATCATGATTTCATCTCCAAACCAACCAATCAGCAGCAAGCACGCATTTCCTACCTACCACCACCCCATCACCCAAACTGCCTTTGAAAAACCGCCAACCAAAGAGTCTTTGATGAGATTGATTTGAATAATAACTCCATCTCCTACATGACATGGCGTCATGGCTGGCCCTTGCTTCGTTAAAATCTTTTTTTTTTTTTTTTTCTTGAGACAGAGTTTTGCTCTGTCACCCAGGCTGGAGTGCAGTGGTGCAATCCCGGCTGACTACAGCCTCTGCCTCCTGTGTTCAAACGATTCTCCTGCCTCAGCCTCCCAAGTAGCTGGCATTACAAGTATCCGCCACCACGTCTGGCTAATTTTTTTTCTTCGTAATTTTAGGAAAGTTGGGTTTTCACCATGTTGGCCAGGCTGGTCTCAAACTCTTGACCTCAAGTGATCCACCCACCTCGGCATCCCAAAGTGCTGGGATTACAGGCATGAGTGACTGCGCTGGGCTAAATTATTTTTTTACTGCAGTGCCGTGATCTTTCTTTCTGCAGAGGGCAGGAAGAACCCATCAGTCGGTTACAACATGGGTTATGTTGCTGAGTAAAATTGGATTTAAGACATTTTGTAGGCTTGTTGTTTTCCTCCCTTGTATAATTTCATTCATAACTTTCCTCATCCAGATTTCTTAAACACATTTAATCCTGATAAGGACACATGTTGTTAAAAATCAAAGAATGTGTTCAATTAGCTAATTTATTCAGAAATATTAATAGTATTCCACAGGCAATATGACCAAGGAACAGAACACATTTTTTTTTAAACAAAAACAATTGACAGGCATTTTCACATTTTCCGTGAGGTTAGACTCACACTTCTTACTGAGACGTCCAAAATTCCATAATTAAATTTCATTCTGGCCACACGCAGTGGCTAACGCCTGTAATCCCAACACTTTGGGATGCCGAGGTTGGTGGATCACTTGAGGCCAGGAGTTTGAGACCAGCCTGGCCAACATGGTGAAACCCCACCTTTACTAAAAACACAAAATTAGCCAGGCATGGTGGCGAGCACTTGTAATTCCAGCTATTTGAGAGGCTGAGGCACGAGAATCACTTGAACCTGGGAGGCCGAGGTTGCAGTGAGGTGAGAACACGCCACTGCACTCCAGCCTGAGCAACAGAGCGAGACTCTGTCTCAAAAACAAACAAACAAAAAAACAAAAAACAAAAAAAACACCAAAAAACACTATGCTTTTTAAAATTAGGAGTAATAAGTCTCTATCACTACTTCTTAGTTCATCTGTG